>NC_000010.11:27510000-28135000 GCF_000001405.40 Homo sapiens | reverse complement strand
CTAGTTTTTTCAGGTGGATTCCTGTTAACCTCATCTTGGTCCTCATCTTTATTCTTGAAAGATACTTTTGCTGGGTACACAATTCTGGACTGGCTATTATTTTTTCTAAGCACTTTGAAGGTATTTGAACTGTCTTCTGGTGTCTACTGCTGCTGTTAATCAGCTGTCAATCAGTTTTCTTCTTTCCTTTCTCATGATCTATCTTTTTTTGCTCTGAGTACTTTTAGGATCTTCTCTTTGCCTTTGCCATTTTGTATTTCTGCTGTGATGTATTAAGCATAGGTTTCTTTTTATCTTTCCTTGTTCCTAAAGGATATATCAGGCTTCGTGAACGTTTAGAGTCTTTCTCTCATCACTTCTCAAAAATTTGCAGCCATTATCTTCTCAGGTATTTTATCATCTTGATGTTGTTTATTTCTTCCCCATTAAAACTCTTGTTGGATACAAAAAGCATGAACCACAAAGGAAAAAAACATTTATTGAGCTCATTAAAATTAGAATCCTTTATTGAGCAAAAATAACCAAGAAGGAGAGTGAAAGGGCAAGTTACCAAAAGGGAGAATGTATTTCTAGCACATGTAACTGATAAAGACTGGGTCCAGCATACTATAAATAGTTCTTACAAATTAATAAGAAAAAGACAGATGCAATAGAAAACCATGCAAATATCTTGAGGAGGCATCTCACCAAGAGACACACATGCCCAATAAACACAAATGGGTTTCGTTCTCATTCATTTTAAGAAAAATGAACATTTCAACCACAGGAGATACCGCTATACACTTGGAATGGCCAAATTTAGACTAATAATGTAAAATGTTTGGGATCATGTTAGAAAGCTAGAACTCACATTTTTAGTAGAAGTATAATTGAAAAACGCTACTAATTTTGAATGGGCTTACTATATATCTATGACCCAGACATTCTACTCTTAAATATACTTAAATAACATCATATATATATGCATCAAAAGATATGAAACATTTATGGCAGCATTATTTGTACTAGCCAAGAACGGAAAACAACCCAGATGCCCCTCAAAGGCATAATGGGTAAAGAAATTGCAACATATTTATATGTTGTAAAACTATATAGCAATGAAAAATGAATTCCTTCTACCATAAGTAACAGCATGGGTGAATTTCACTAACTTAATATTAGGGAAAAATGAATACTCACTTGTAATTCTAATTATATAATTTTCAAATAAAGGGAAAGATCGCCACTTTGGGGGGTATGGAGGGCATGATGACTAGGAATGAGCATAAGTGGGGGCCACTGGAGTTTGGTTAATGTTGTATTTCTTGTTTTCGGGGTGTTTATTTGGGCATATTCATTTTTGAAATTTATACTATACACTTATGATTTGTACTTTTTGTATATATGTTATAGTCAATTCAAAAGTTTGATTTAAAACAGACACTATTTGCCATTTTAGAGCTTCTGTTTCAGTAGACAGCAAATATAAACCATATAAACATAAAAATGCACATATGATTATAAATTATGGACATGTATGAAGGCAAAGAACAAGGTGCTATGGGATTGAGTCACCAGGGGATCTGCTTTTATGTAATGTTTTGGCCAGACCTCTATGAGAAAGAGTTATTCAAGTTGAATGAGGAGGAGGGCAGTGTAAGATAAGGTTGGAGAGGCATGCAGGACTTTTAGGACATCCTGGAGAGTTTGGTCATCCCAATGGATGGGCAACTTTAGAAGGGCTATTAAGGGGTAGTTATGTGATTTAAGTTTTTAAAATAATCACTCTGGCTACACTGTGAATTGCAGACTTGAAAATGGGCCAGAGTTGAATGCTGCTGAACCATTTAAAGATACTGGAGTGCTCCAGGCAAAAAATGATGGCATCCATAATCTAGACCAGGGACCTGACAGCTTTTTATGTAAAAAGTGTGTGTTCCACCTGCTAAACTTTGCCACTGTAGCATGACAGCGGCCATAGACAATGGATAAATGAATGAGCATGGCCTGTGTTCCAGTAAAACTTGATTTACAAAAACAGATGTTGTAGTTTACCAATCTCTGATCTAAGTGGAGAAAAGAAAACCTTTAGGTATATTTTGGAAGCAGATTTAATAGGATATGCACTAGGTGCAGTGGCTCATGCCTGTAATCTCAGCACTTTAGGAGTCCAAGGCAGGTGGATCATGAGGTCAGGAGTTCAAGACCAGCCTGGGCAAAATGGTGAAACCCCATCTCTACTGAAAATACAAAAAACTAGCCAGGCGTGGTGGCGGGCGCCTGTAATCCCAGCTACTTGGGAGGCTGAGGCCGAGAATTGCTTGAACCTGGGAGGTGGAGGTTGCGGTAAGCCAAGATTGCACCACTGCACTACAGCCTGGGCGACAGAGCGAGACTCTGTCTTAAAAAAATAAAAATAAAAAAAATAGCTGGGCATTGGGGCATGCATTTGTAATCCTGGCTACTCAGGAGGCTGAGGAATTAGGATCGCTTGAGCCTAGGCGTTGAGGTTGTAGTGAGCTATGATCCCACCGCTGAACTCCAGCCAGCGTAACAGAGCAAGACCTTGTGTCTAAAAAAAAGTTTTTAAAAAATAGAATATATATTGGTTATTGAGAATGTCAGTAAGAGGAGAGGATTCAAGGATGGCTTGAGTAATTTATGAATAGTGGTGTTGCTTATTAGGGGTCAAGTTTGTTGAAAGTCCAAAACTCACTCATCTAAAATAGTGAATTGTGACATGTCAAAGTTCTGGTGTTCTTTTCATCTTTGGTGTAGAATTACATTCTTTTATACACATAGTAGTCACCAATTACACACACAATTAAAGTGAGGAAAAAGACAAAAGAATCTGTCATATTGATCATCATTGTATTTTCTGCTAATAGGAGAAAAAATAGTAGGAAAGAACAAAATATAGAATATTCTCAGACTCTATTTGACATTGCATCTTTAGCCCTCATGTTCTCCCTTCCCCCAAAAGTAACATCCCCCGCACTCTTGCCCCAAATTGCTACCTTTTTAAGGATAAACCAGAGAATGTACAACTTAGAGGAGATTATTTGTTGATTCTTTACATACATCAGTGACACTGGGGACAGAGGTGGCTGCTAAGTAGAGCTGCTATCTGCTCTCTGGACAAGCACTGTTTCCCATTCCATTTGTAAGAGGAACCTATTCAAGTAATTGTCTTATTACCACTACTATGTCAAAACCGTAACACTGTTTTGATTTTCCTTATAGTTTGATGTGTTTGAAATTTTATATATATTACATATAATATATAAGTATGTATATTTACTTATTTAAATCAACCTTTGAATATTACAGGCTTTGCTCTCTGTACATGATACTGTGGCTCAGAAGAATTACGACCCAGTGTTGCCTCCTATGCCTGAAGATATTGACGATGAGGAAGACTCAGTAAAAATAATCCGTCTGGTCAAAAATAGAGAACCACTGGTGAGTTTTGGTGCTCAGATATGAGTAGATACCATGATAGGGCCAAATCTGATGGTGCATACCATGTATAACTCTTTAAAATATACTTCCTCTATGTTCTTAAACTTTAAAAGAAATGGAACATTGATGTCTAAAGAACATGCTTTTGAAAAATGAAAGTGAAGGTTAATAGACATTTTATTGGCTACATTTAAATAGCAATGATTTTGAAAATGTAACCTGTTGACATTTATGAAAGAAGGCGTAACATGTACCAAGCATGGTTGATTTGAGATTACATGGTACAACTTAAAAAAATTGCTATTGTCTATGGGAACGCAACTTTAAGTTATTTTATATACTTAATTCAATTGCTTTTTAAATTTAAACTAATTTACAGCAGGTCCAACAAAACTTTTGAGAAGTCTCAGTGAAGTAAACATCTAATTTCTTTGTTAAACATCTTTTGAAGATCTTATTTGGTCAGGAGGCGTGGAACTTAAATTTGTTTAATTTAATTTTATTTTATGTCCAAGTAGCTCTATTTTTAAAAATAAAAAAAGCTTAATATAGAAAAATAGAACCTCTAATGGCAATGAAGAAATTTCCAAAATTATTTGTTAGCTATTCCTTAAATAAAGTATTAAGATTTAAAATGTCATTTTAAATATTGGAATATGAAATCAAATGAATAGAATTACTTGTCTTGAAATTTTTCTCATTCAAATATATAATTAGTGTATTATCTTCGCAATTATTGTTAAGGTAAAGTAAGATTATTGTGTGAACAAATTTAAAGTTTAAAAAATACACTACCCAGAAGAATAGAAAATACTTTCAACAAATTTGTTATTTAACATCAGTCAAATGACATTTGTTAGTTCGGGGAATTGTTGGAGAAGCCACAAGACTGTCAAAGCGCAATGAAAAACACACAGAGAGAAGATTAAGAGTCAAAGATATCTTTAGGAGAATGAGCCCCAGTCGTGAGAATCAGAAGTAGGCAAAGTGCTGGAAGCTAAGCTGAAATAAAATTCTAGCAAGTGGATGGTCAGGAAATGCTTGGCAAGTGATTCATGAGGAAAGGCTGTAACGTTTGGCAACCAAGGGATAGGTTACCAGTGTTATCTAAAAATGCAATTTTGTTTATTGGGATCCATAATGTGGTGACATGAACACTGAGCTTGCACTGGATGACCTAAGTGGGAGTTGGGATCCTGTCACTTTGCCCTGTATCCTATAGAGCAAACCACTCACCATCTCAGCCTCAGGTTCCTTATCAGAAAATCAGGAAATGTACCTCTTTGCAAGTGTTTTTGAACATCAGCTAAGATATAATGTGTTTGGAATGGTTTATGAGTTCTGAAGCATTATGCAAACATTATGTAAATATTAGAATATATTCTATCTAATATTTAAAAGATATTAGAATATATTCCATCTAATATTTAAAAGATATTAGAATTTATATTCTAGTTAATACTTATAAAAGCTAGGTTGCATCTGCTCAAGGAGAGAATGGTTACCTCAGAGAACAGGCTGTGAACACAGGTTATGTGGGTATTAGATAATGGATAGGAAAAAGGGTAATTACTTAAGGGGCAAGATCCCTTGAAAATGAAATTCTGTTTGTTGGTGAGTAGATTTCGATCCTAAATTCTCAGTGTTACTTGCATCGGCTGTCCTCTTGCTTCCTTGAGAACAGTGGTTCTCAGATTTTGGTATTGGAAGAATGACCTGAGATGCTTACTTACAATGCAGATTTCTGAGCTGAATCCCAAGGGATTTATATCAGGAGGGTTTTTTTGGTGCCTGGGAATCTTGATTTTAAAAAGCGTCTCAGATGTTCTTGGTGCAAGTTTTTGGTAGATCACACTTCAAAAACACTTGTTTCAAAGGCTCAATCTGAAATTCACTGTGCCACCTACTTGAGGAGACCTTGCAATACGGCAGTTTATAGGAAATAAATAAAGTAAATTTTTTTTTTTTTTTTGAGACGGAGTCTCACTCTGTTGCCCAGGCTGGAGTGCAGTGGCGTGATCTCGGCTCACTGCAACCTCCGCTTCCTGGATTCAAGCAATTCTATAGGAGATAAATTTTTTGTTTAAGGAAATCATGATAACCCAGTAAGCAGTCCCCTTTTATAAACCATTTTACAGAATTAATAATTAAGAAAAATCTGACCAGAATTTATTTTTTCAATCTAACTTGAAATTCTCCATACTCTGTTTTTAAAACAAAATCACATAGAATAAATTCAAAATAATTATGTAGGAAAATAAGTAATTTTTAAAATATTAGATCCAATTTTAATTTATTTTGTGTTGGCAGACTATGCTATAGGATTGATGACTTTTGTACAGTATCACGTGTAATGTGCTCTGTGTTTTTGAGATTTGATCTTATTTTCATGGAAATATATTGCACTGGGAATACATCAAACAATTGTGGTAAGAGAGGTTTGGAAAACAATATGGAAATAGAAGTCTTCAAGAATGAAGGGTTCAAAGTGAAGATTGATTCAAGTGGTAGTATCATGTAGAAAGTGAGAGATTATTCTTCAAGTCTGTAGTTTACCCTCCAAGCAAAGTAGAATCAGGGGATAGCAAGAAGATTCTATCAGGGCACTTATCTCTGTCTATAATGAGACCCTTATGCGTTGGAGTGCTTTGCATTATCTATACATTCCAAAAGTGATTTTATTCTGCCCATGGCTTTAAAAAGCGTCTATGTGCCAGAGACTCCCAGGGTTATTTCTCTTCCAGTCTTTTCTTCTAATCTTTAAATTCGTATATCCATCTGTCTATTTGTTATCTCCATTTGGAGGTCTAATAGACATCTCAATTTTCACATATCCAAAAATAAACTGCTGATCTTTGTCCCCAAATCTGTTCCACCCTTGTCTTAACCCCTTTTAGTTGATGGCAATTCCATCCTTCCAGCTGCTCAGCCAAAAGAAGTTGAGCCTATCTTTAATCCCTCTCTTTCTTTTGCATTCCATAGGCAATCTGTTGGGAAATCCTTTAGACTCCACCAATAATATAGCCAGATCCCCTTTCATCACCTCTACTCCTGCCAGTCAGATCCATGCCACCATCATCTTTCCCTTGAATTACTGTGCAGAGTGAGCATCCCAAATCTGAAGATCTGAAATCCAAAATGTGCCAAAATCTGAAACATTTTGAGTGCAGACATGAGCTCCAAGGAAATGGTCATTGGAGACTCTTAGATTTCATATTCTTGGATTTGGGATGCTCAACCAATAAGAATGCAAATGTGCCCAAATCTGAAAAGAAAATCTGGAATCTGAAACACTTCTGGTCTAAGCATTTCAGACAAGGGATTAACCTCTCATTAATTTCATTGCTTTAGCCCTTGCCATCCTTCACTCTTAGCACAGTGGGTGGAGTGGTCCTCCTAGGTTGTGCCCCTCCTGCTGTTCACAACCTTGCATGTTCCCTCTTTCATTCAGAGTAAAGCCCAGTGTCCTCACAGTGACTCATAAAGCACATAAGCTGACTCCCTTCTGCCTTTACCTCATCTCCTCTTGCCGCTCCTCTGCTACTGGGCTCCAGCCACACAGGCTGCCTTGCTCGCTCTTGAGCATTTTATTCACAGCCTTCCCCTTGGCACCTTTGCACTGGCTGTGTCTTCTGTTCCTTCCCATTGGCTAACTTCTTCACCTCCGTCCAGTCTTTATTCACTCAGACATCATCTTCTCAGTGAGTCCTGTGTCTTCACATTGTCTTTCCTCCGCCTGCCCTGGCATCCTGGTCTTCTATTTCCTGCCCTACATCCCCTCACACCCCCACAGTGTTTACCACCTGATAGGGTTCGGCTCTGTGTCCTCACCCAAACCTCATCTTGTAGCTCCCATAATAACCACGTGTCGTGGGAGGGACCTGGTGGGAGATAATTGAATCACGGGTCAGGTCTTTCCCATGCTGTTCTTGTGATAGTGAATAAGTCTCACGAGATCTGATGGTTTTAAAAACGGGAGTTTCCCTGCACAAGCTCTCTGTTTGCCTGCTGCCATCCATGTAAAATGTGATTTGCTCCTCCTTGCCTTCCACCATGATTGCGAGGCCTCCCCAGCCACATGGAACTATAAGTCCATTAAACCTTCCTTTCATAAATTGCCCAGTCTCAGGCATGTCTTTATTAGCAGTATGAAAACAGACTAACTCTCTAACATACTGTATAATGTATGTAATTATTCCATCTCTTGTTTATTGTCTTGTCTCCCCCATTGGGATGAGAAAGCAGACATTTTTTTCTTTTTCATCAGTTTATTATAAGCCCTTAGAACGGTGCCTTGCACAGAGTAAGTTCTCAATAAACATTGGTCAACTTCATTGAATACAGAATAAGTCAAAGGAACTAGCATTAAGTATAACAAACAGGTTAGATAGCCCTATACTGAAAAACTGTACAGTCCATAGTACAGAGAGAGATTGGTTCCACTTAACTAATTCTATGTTGCAAACCACGGCTGTATGTTGTGGCGAAAACAATATTATTTTGGGGGTTGATGAGCTCAGCTGGGAGGTTCTCACTTGGAGTTCCTCATACATACAGTCAGATGGTGGTGGCTGGAGTGAACTGAGGGCTCCTTCATTTACACAACTGTTACCTGGGCTTGGAGCTGGAAGGTTGGGGGCTGGCCAAGTGTCTCTTTCTCTAATTGTTACCTTTACTTGGCTAGCTTGGGATTCCTCAGAGCATAGCAGTGGTCATGATTTCTTACATGGCAGTGAGATTCGCATAGAGCAAGTGTTTCAAGAGGCCCAAGTGGCAGCTACAGATCTTCTTATAGCCTTTGAAGCCTCAAAACCATTTTTACCACTTAATGTGGGAATATGGCATGCACATACAAGGAGGGAAGGAATTGGTGATCCCCCTTTTAGAGACAATCTCCCCCAAGAGTAATGAACTCATAGACAGAATGAACTTATGAACGAAAGGTTATGGGAAGATAGAGGTTAAGCAGTATTGGATGATGATTGAGATGAATGATTGTGTCTCTGGTCAGATTACCTTAAACAAGTCCTGATTTTTCCATATACTAGTTATCTGATCTTAGACAAATTACGACCATTTAATATTCAGTTTATCATCCAGAAACTATGGATAAGTAAACTTAGATTACTAGGCTTTTCTGCCGTTGGGCATATTTGGTGGGAAAATTTGAGACATGTCATTAAGGAAAATGAAAGTTGATTTAATCAAACTAATTAGTTATATTGAGAATATTACATTTCCAGTCATTTTGGAAACAAGTTAGAAATTGAAATAAAAGCAGAAAATACTAGTAGTTGGTGAGTCTAAGCTTTATGACCATGAAGTGATGCTCATTCAAGTCTCTGGCCTTGAATACATGCACAGGTGATGAAAAATGCCGTAAAATGCCTGTCACTTAATTCTTTGACTTTTTTACTATTATTGGCTATGTATCTGATAGTTATAGATAAAGGATACTTATTACAGATGGACTTTTACTTTGTTTACATATCTGTTCTTTAATGATATAAATGTGTTTATTGACAAACTGGAGAAAAATTTCACTTCTTTTGGATGAATTCTGCTGCCACTGAAAAGCATACCTTTTTAGCAGTATTATGCAATGTTGGATGGCTTTGCAAAACCAATGCCAGATTCTTAAAAGGAAAGTCATGGAAAGGCTTTCAAAGTAACCACTTGTGCCTGTTGTTCTTACAAGGCAGCAGTTAATTTGCTTCTGAGTATCTGTAAGTGAAGAATTTTTGGCTTCTTTTTGAGACTGTTTCCTAATCTTATGCCAATACTTAGTTCTATTTGTACTAGTTACAATCCTAGTTCACTAAAACCATGGAGTAAGAGCTCTTTCTTCTAATCATTTGTCTTAGACTTAGGCAACAAATATAACTAATTTCTGGGTTTTAACTTTTTTCTTTTTCTTTATAATTATCGCCCAAGTTTTTTTTAATTTTTAAATTTTTATTTTTTTACTATGATAACTGAGGGTGATAGAAGGATCACTGAACTAACTAAAAGTCAAATGATCTGGGTTTTAGTTTTTTAACATATAGAATCTTTTGTCTATTAGTGTAATTGTCACTATTCCACTTTCTTGATGCGGTACTATAAGGATGAAATGAATGAAGAATTGCTTTAAAAGGATAAAAACCAAACAGCATTGAAATACAAGGTATTTTTATAATGGAAAGAAGGTATGTTTATTTTACACAGTTTTGAAGAGGTTGAAGATTTCAAAAATCCTTAAATTGGGCTGAAACCCTTTGATGCTATGTAGATAGAATTTCCTCTATTTAGTCATGAGAATAGACATTCTAAGACAAATGGCATGATGTCTATTTTTCCTGCCTCATTTCTTTTTTTTCGTTTTTGTAGTTGTTTTCTCTTTTTTCAGATGAATGTCCTTATTTCCTCCTTTTCTAACACCTAGTACACACATTTACCCACAAATGCTTTTTGTTTTTGTCTTAAAAGGGAGCTACCATTAAGAAGGATGAACAGACCGGGGCGATCATTGTGGCCAGAATCATGAGAGGAGGAGCTGCAGATAGAAGTGGTGAGACTTTAAATGTTAACCAAGTACAGACTAATCACGTGTTTCGTGTGTAGCATTTCCAGTAGATAACTAAGAGGATAACCATCTTTGGATCTAATACAGCAGAACAAGTAATAAGATATTTTTCTCTGTGTTGAAATGTGAGAGCCTATTTAAATAAATGATAGATAAACATTACTCTATGGTCTTCTTGTACACAAGCATCCAAAGCTATCTTAAAACTTGTGGGCCGGGCGTGGTGGCTCACGCCTGTAATCCCAGCACTTTTGGAGGCCAAGGCGGGTGGATCACGAGGTCAGGAGATCAATACCATCCTGGCTAACACGGTGAAACCCTGTCTCTACTAAAAATACAAAAAAAAAAAAAATTAGTCAAGTGTGGTGGCGGGCACCTGTAGTATCAGCTACTTGCAAGGCTGAGGCAGGAGAATGGTGTGAACCTGGGAGGCGGAGGTTGCGGTGAGCCGAGATTGTGCCACTGCACTCCAGCCTGGGTGACAGAGCGAGACTCCGTCTCAAAAAAAAAAAAAAAAAAAAAAAAAAATCTTGTTTCTTCTGTATTTCTCAATTGAAAAGTACTGCTAAGAGCATGCAGCCTTTAAGATAAATAAAAATTATTTTATTAGTATATTAGTATAAGATATCAGTAATGTGCATTTCTAGACAAAGACCAAGCTCCTGTTACCATTTCTTGGCCAGCATTACTATGTTGTGGTTTTTGAGTCACTGCTATGGAGAGGCATAGAGGCTGAAACCTGAGATGTGTGAAGGTCTCCTTTCCATTCGTTAAGTGTATTAAGGGAACCTAACAATGCTTTACTTATGGAAACAGCTGCAAATTACAGTTTTGGTTGTGGGTAACACTGCTAATTTACCAAATCTCCTATTTCTCAGGTCTTATTCATGTTGGTGATGAACTTAGGGAAGTCAACGGGATACCAGTGGAGGATAAAAGGCCTGAGGAAATAATACAGATTTTGGTAAGCTGTAAATTTCTTTTAAAGGTACAATAAAAATAAAATCGAATCACTGTATTTCAGACTTTTAGACTTGGTTTGACATAGACAGGATTTGTATTAAGCAGTGCAGGGTTCGAACACTTAATCCCTGTGTGTTCTTGGAAAATATCTTAATCTATTCATGCCTCAGTGTTTTCATTTGCAAAATGAGAATAAGAGGTAACTATCCATCTGGAGTGTTTTGAGGATTAAATGAGATAGTATATATAAAGAGTTTTAGGGCCGAGTGTGGTGGCTTATATCTGTAATCCCAGCACTTTGGGAGGCTGAGACAGGTGGATCACCTGAGGTCAGGAGCTTAAGACCAGCCTGGCCAACATGGTGAAACCCGTCTCTACTAAAAATACAAAACAAAATTAGCTGCACGTGGTGGCAGTCACCTGTAGTCCTAGCTACTTGGGAGGCTGAGGCAGGAGAATCGCTTGAACCCAGGAGATGGAGGTTGCAGTGAGTCGAGATCACACCACTGCACTCCAGCCTGGGCGTCATAGCAAGACTTTGTCTCAAAAAAAAAAAAAAAAAAAAAAAAGAATTTAGTACCTGTCCCTGTCCCAAGTCTATACTTAGCAGATGGCATCTACACTGTGGCTGGTGATGCATTTATCTTTGTCTTCCTCCCATTGACACAGTCACATTCCATGCTATAGATCATAGCAATACAAATTAGTCAAACTAATTTAGATGTCTTTTGAAATCTGACACTTGAATAAAATTATTTTATGCCTTGGAAATATTAATTCTAAAGTTCATTTGTAAGATAAAAGGAAGGGAAACTCTCTTTTATATGTGAAAACATACTGGAAACCTATACCAACTAGAAGAGGTTTGAGTGTGTCTCAAAAACAGATCTCTGTATATATGAAAATTTAGTATATGGTTAAGGTGGCATTTTAAATCAGTGGGAAAACAGTGGAACATTTCATAGATGGTATCAGGTTAATGGCGCAGAAAAAATAAGGTCAATCCTTGTTTTACACAATACATAAAAATAAATTCCCAACAAATTAAATAAGTGCAAAAAAAACAAAAATTGCACAATAAAAGGTAATATACAATTTCTATAATTATAAGGTAGAAAAAGACTTTTTAACCTTGATATGAAAGTCAAATAGAAAAATAACAGATGTGTCTACTAGAATTCAAAACTTTCTTTATAGAAAAAAGGTGCCATAAAGAAACATCAAAGACAAATGAGATTGTATGAAAAATATTTTCAGTATATATAATAAAAGGCTAATGTTTCAAAATATATAGAGATGATAAAAATCAATAAGAAAAACATTTACAGAAAAATCAGCAGTGCATATGGACAAATACTTTACAAAAGAAAACATAGATGTCTGGAGACACGAAGGTGATGCCAAGCCCAGGGCAGGCTTGATCCCCTCAAAGCATTTTCAGGATATGAGATTGGAAAGCTTGATAATGCCTAGAGTTGGTCAGGGTATAGGAAAATAGGTATATTTATATGATTTGGGGATGGGATAAATTATTAGTAGAACTTTTTGAGATCTGAAACTATCAAAATTTTAAATGTGCATACCCTTTAGTTGGAAATTAATCCTCAAGCAATAATTTGGTAAATGTGTATAAACAAAATTTTTCAAAAATATTCGGAAACTACCAAGAAAGTTGCGTTGATCAAATAATCATTCATCCATATGCTAGATTATTGTGAGGCAATCACGAGAGATAGACCTATATGGCTCAGCAGTAATAGTAATAACAATTGAGTCCTTATTAAATGACACTGTTGTAAGGACCATAGATCCATTTAAAAAAAAACACACAGACACAAACTAGAAAAATAAGAGGAGATTATAGAAAAGACTTTTGTTTTCTCTCTACCAATGTAATTCAGTATTACAGTATGAGAATTCTTTATAAGATTTGTGAGCGCCTTCTACAATAAGCAATAGCAATGATATTACCATTTTGAAATAAATCAACCCTTTATAAAATTCTATTATTTAAACTATCAGAATCCCATTTTACTTAACTTGCTGTGTTGCACTAGAGCTGCCTTCTTAAGGCTCGGCCCAGAGCTGACTGTGTGATGCACCATTTCCCAACTCAGCTTTCAGCAACTTCATGCTGGTGAATTGAAATTGACTATAGTGAAAGTATTTATACCATGGAAATTGACAGACAGTACACATCAGAGCCTTTTTTTTTTTTTAAATAAATGGAGTCCTGGTTTACCAGTGCACCACAGATAGTGAGACTCAGAGATATGTCTTGCCCTACCCCCCTTCCTTTCATATCTTTCAAATGTGCCAAGTATTTAGTGCTTTTATGGAGCTTACAAATTAGCAGGAGTAACATATCTTATGAAATAATGGCATAAATAATTAAATATGGCTACAATACATGGTAAAAAGAGAGAGACAGAGAATGACATGAGACTATATTTAAAGAGAAATCCTATCTGAGATAACAAAAACTTGTGGGTGCTGGTACTTATTTTAATGAAGTTAGAATAGATACTCAGTCTTTTCATCTTTCAATTAATCTATTACGTTGGATATTTTACTCGCTCACCAGAATACAATAGATATGAATGTTCTTTATTTTTTTTTTCTGATGGGCATTGCCACTAATTGAATCATGTATTTGTAACTGCACTACTGACATTATAGGTGTTTTGTCCCCCAAAACATGGATGCTGATACTTAAATGTAACTGTATGAACCTTGTACATTATTCTTTAAAAAAAAAAAAAAAAGCTTCTTGCTCTGTCACCTAGGCTGGAGTGCAGTGGTGCGATCACAGCTCACCGCAGCCTTGAACTCCTGGGCTCAAGAGGCCTTAGCTTCATCACCACGCTTGGCTAATTTTTAAAATTTTTTTTGTAGAGACAGGGGTTTTGCTATATTGCTGGTCTTGAACTCCTGGGCTTGGGTGATCCTGCCACCTTGCCTCCCAAAACACTGGAATTACAGACACGAGCCACTGCACCCAGACCTTTATACATTATCTGTTCTAGTCATTGAATACTGTGTTTATTTAAGGTGTTGTGCATATTTTGTGTGTTTCTATTTCGAAGAAACTTGGATGGGAATGTATTTACTTGACAGCTTAAAAGTACACAGGAAGTAAAAGTGGATTTAGGAGTTAATGTTTTTTAACTTATTCTACAAACTTCAGAGCTTTCTTTCTCACATTACAGGAATTTCTACAAAAATAGTTTCCTCCGTTTAGTCTATCTAAGAGTAGAAGCCCCAAGCTTGTAAATTTTCAGATGCATTTCACTTTCTACCTATTTTACCTTATTCTTCCTTGGGTCTGGTTTTCTTATAACTCCTTGTTTTATCTGTTACCAGGCTCAGTCTCAGGGAGCAATTACATTTAAGATTATACCCGGCAGCAAAGAGGAGACACCATCAAAAGAAGGCAAGGTAATTATTGCTTAAAAACATTTCTTCGTGCGTGGGAGGGAAGTCATGTTTTTCCATCCAACACATATCCACTTTGTCACAACACATTTCTTTCAATATTCCAGTTTTAAAATTACTATGTTTGGAGTCGGAGTTAGGAGAATATAGGCCATTTCACATTTATTTTTTATCTTTATTCATCTTTAATGAAACTTTTCTTCCAGATGTTTATCAAAGCCCTCTTTGACTATAATCCTAATGAGGATAAGGCAATTCCATGTAAGGAAGCTGGGCTTTCTTTCAAAAAGGGAGATATTCTTCAGATTATGAGCCAAGATGATGCAACTTGGTGGCAAGCGAAACACGAAGCTGATGCCAACCCCAGGGCAGGCTTGATCCCCTCAAAGCATTTCCAGGAAAGGTGAGCTGCTGGTACATAATAATGGCTTTTCTCCAGCTGACCTTTTGTTCTCTGCAAAATATCATTCTGGCATTGATGTGATAAAATATGCTATAAAACCTTGCCTTAGAATTTTTTATCCTGTGGGTTTGGATTTCTGTTTTGTCTAACTAAGTATGATGAATGACCAAAAATAATATGACAGTACTGGGTCATATTAGATTTTTGTTATGAAGCAAATGGAAAATAGCACATTAATATCTTGAAACCATGTTGATATGAAAGGTGGAAAAAAAAAAGACCAGTGGTTTTGGAGGGAGGGAAGATAATTTACAAAAATTTGAAAGTGGGCGATTTGTTTCTTAATTTGAATCTATTGCATTACATTCATTTTTTTCTCTAACCTTTAAGTTTTTTCTTAAGACTAAATATTTTGATATTGTATTCACCTCGGACCTGTGCTGAAAATTGATAGGTATGTTGACCTTCTTTCTCCCAGGAGATTGGCTTTGAGACGACCAGAAATATTGGTTCAGCCCCTGAAAGTTTCCAACAGGAAATCATGTAAGTTTGTTAATAAGAATGCAGAGAAACCAAACCCTGATGTTTATTTTTGACTATTAAAGCAGGTGCTCATGGCAGAACAAAGGGTCCTATTACCCTAGCAATAACTTTGGGATCATCAGTTCTCAGGAACAAACAAATATGAGATTCATATTTGGAATATTAACATGAATCTTTTGAGGAAAGGGGTGGTTGAGGTTGTTAATAATAAATCCATGACTCACTCTTTAAGAAAGTGACTACTACTACTACTGTCTTTGATTTCCAAATATAGTTATTTTATTAAATGTCACCTAAAATACAGCTCTTCCTTCTTCAAAGCCAGGAAGTTTGGGTTAGGTATTTCTTGGTAAAGATTAGGGAGAAAAAAAATCTACCATTTTCTTGGGTACAAAAGCAATTGTGCTCAAGACCAATTGTTCTTAATTCCTTTCTTATCCCCAGATCATAATACTTCTGACCTTTAGCCTATCCCTTTGGAGTTATTACCAGACTAGATTAAAAGAAAATGAGAGAAAGACAAAGGATGGCTACCGTATGACTACTGAAAAACTTAGTGTGCATTTAAATACTTTTTTTTCTCTTTCAGCCTAATCTTCTGTCAGCTTTTCTTTATTTCCCACCACCCAGCTCTTCAAGTCTGCATCCCATAAATTCCCTGTTCCACCTCGCCTAGATGTTTCATGGTTCTAGGTATTTTAAGAGGAAAAAACCAACCCTTTGTTTTTAGCATAGAAACTGTACATTAAACAGCGAAATGACCAAATAAATGGCCCTGGAATTTTACACCAACATCTGTTTTTAGTATTGTTGCATTTTTCACATCTCCTGTGATTTCTGTCAGTTTGCAGAAGCATATAGCCCAGGAATCACATTAGAAGGGAGCCAAACTGTAGTCGAGTATAAATCTCACAAGCAGGCAAATGCTTAAAGTGGAGCACTCATTCAAAAGCCTGCTTGTCCTTGCTACATTAAGTCTAGGCACAAGGAAAAAAACCCTTGTCACAGAATGCTACAAGTCTTCTGACATCAGAAAACTTAAAGCTTTCGTGAGAATATTGCACTGTTCTTAAGCGTGATGACTTTTCACTGGCCAACTCACTAACAGAAAGGAGCTTTGAGGCTCCTTGCCTGACTGGCTCTCAAAGGGATTTTTAAATAGGAGGCTTACACATTTCTAATATATTTGGCATATGTGGGATAAGATAATGTGTCACTTAAAGATGAAATAAATGTAATTATACTCGAATCTGGATCCATACTCAACTCTTTTTCAGTCCTAGGCAACTTAGAAATGTACAGTTTGATATTATTATAAATTTTCATTGATTGAAAATTTTTGATAAGTGTATATGTATTTCTTTAAAAGAACTATACAAAAGGGATATTTTGCTTTTTAATAGCTCTTTCAAACTGGTTTCTATATAGATGCATAGGAAGGTGAGGTGTGTGTGGGGGTATGTGTGTTTGTTTGTGTGTGTATGTAGAAGTATTAATTGTAACGGAGTCCTTTTGTATGTTGATTTGCATGATTTCTTTTTTATGTTAATACTTCAATATTTGGATCTGATAAATATTTATTCTAGCATTTATCTTTACTGAAATGTCCTCATTTGACTAATTTTGTTTTTTTTTGTTTTTGTTTTTGCTTTTTCTGCCTCTTGAATACCATTCAGAAATGTTTGCTGGTCCTCCTCTCTTTCTTTCTCCTCTCTCTCTGTCTCTCTTATTAAACTAGAGTTTGATTCACTGAGAGATGCATTGTTTGTTTTTATATATGTTATTTATTTTCAAATAAATCTGGTCAAAATTATCCTTATTAAATCATAAACATATAACAGATATGGACTTGTTCAGAGAGACAATATATTTCTGTGACAAATAGGCAGCTAATGTCTTTATTCTCAAAGAATTGAAATTCTACTTGAAATTTCCTTGAATATTGTCTCACATAAAGTTAAAAGTTATGCATAAATCATTGTATTGATTCTGAACATTTTAAATGGCATTTAAAAACACTTTAACCTATGTTTTGATGATGATTCTTTACCAAACTAAAACTTGTAAAGGCCATCTGATCCACTACTTTCTGGATTTCAATATTTGGTACTTAGGGTTTTGGAATAGGAAACTTACGTTATCATGCCCTTTGTTGAATTATAGGAAAATGCCATGAAGAAAAACAGCAAGTTGGTATAAAATCTTTTGTTTTTATGATTTTGAATATTAATAGAATAGGGTTGTAAAAAAAGTTTCTGATTCAATTAAAATTTATAAAGGAAGAATAATTCTATCATGTCAATGTTTATAAATTTATTTTAAAAATACAGTGATAAAAACTTTATCCACTAATTTTTACAAGTGTACTTAACATCTAGGAGGAAATTGCAAATATAGGATTTGAAATAATGAATTTAGTCACATAATACCATTTACGAAATTAGCCAGTTAACTTTTTATACAAAGTGATTGCTCGTATTACTCTTTTCTAAATCTTTATTTTGCTTTTTATTTCATTTGTAGTGTATCACCATAACTTGAGTTTGCATGGGGGAAAAGTTCATGGAAGATGGTTCTGGAACTATAGGGTTTCAGTTAATATCAACATAGAAATAAATAAGGAAGGGCACATCCCAATCTTACTGTCTTTGCATTTTTGCACTTATATTTGTGCTAGAGCTCTAGTTCTTGGCTCCAAGGTAAGTAAAATCAGGAGCCATGATAATAACAACCTCTTTAGGCTTTGAAACTAGCCTCCTTATGCAAAATTCATAAGTGCAAGTCATATTCATCTTTGTTGCTTGGTTATGTCCTCCCCTAAAGAATCTTTGTGTATCTAATACAAACCCAGAAGAATAAAAAGGCTTTTCAAACAAAAAAATAATTTACCTCTTAAAAAATTCCTGAAAACTAAAACATGACCTCTTAAACCTAAAATATTTCTAAGTCTTAAGTAGCTGGATATAAGGACTTGTCTCCTCCCCCTATTTTTTGGAAGAATTGCTTACCGAACAAAGATATTTGTAATGGAAATTTGTTTCCCTCCCTCTCCATCATCTAATGATAGGTTCCCACATAATGGATTTATATTAGTAATGCAGAGAGAAAAGCAGGCCTCAAAGTCTGATAGATTTTCTTTTATATGACCAGCTTTTAGATTATTATATACAAGATGTAGCTTAAGTGTTCTGGAAATGAGTAAAAGTGAATCTTATGTCTCAGATAGAATGTAGGAGTACTTTTGCATGACAGGAACTTGGCAGCTTGCATTTCTTGTGTCAATATAATTTAAAGTATTCTAATTTTCTGCCTAAAACTTATTTTTATAGTTTGGTTGCATGTACTACCTAACCGTTAAGAAAGAAATAGGAATTCATTTGTGGTATTGTTTGTTGCTTTTCTATTGAAATCTAAATACAAGTTAAGAATTGTCTTCCTAATGACATCAAATTAATTTAAGTTCAGTAGGATGTGATTTATATTAAATATTTAAATCCAGTATATATTGTCTTCAGAAAGGAGTAAGAAAAAGCTGTTATTCAGGTAGTGTATTTTACAACAGAATATTCAAGTGTGAGTTTTTATAGTGTTGTTTCCTTTTTTTAGTTATCAAAATATAAGAACCTAAAAGTTTCTAATATTGCTGACTGAATAACCTTAATTCAAAATTTTTGTTTTACACAATAACTCTTAAAAAATTCTTGCAGTCAAAGAAACAAGAATGTACAATTTTTCAACCATTTAAAGATTAGAAAGGAAAACACAAAATATTTTATTGTAGAATTTGTTTTAACTAGTCATGATTATTATTATGCAGGTAAAAAGAAAACATTTAACTGAAGCCAAAGGGTATCCATTTAAGCAAGGTGTAACTTAGTTCATTCAAAGGCAAACATTTGTCAGTTGATAATCACAATAGGCAAAAAAGAATTTAAGCATTGAGTAAAATAACGAATTCACTGCACACGGTACCGGTATTTTGGAATGTCTTAACACTTAGGAATAATATATCACAGGATGCTACAAGTCATTGTAATAAAGCTTTTCAAGTTGAGTAAGCTTCTTCTTCCTGGATTCTTAAGTAATTTTATTTGTTGTTTTCATACATAAAGTTAATTCAGAAACAAACACATTGCTTATGTTGTTACATGAAGTTTGTATGTCTAAAACATTGTCAAACATTTTCTTAATATTGGTGGGGTCTTGTATAAACAGAAACACGTGGGGTTTTAAAAAATACCTAACATTGGCCGGGCACAGCGGCTCACGCCTGTAATCACAGCACTTTGGGAGGCCGAGGCAGGCAGATCACAAGGTCAGGAGTTCGAAACCAGCCTAACCAACATAGTGAAACCCCGTCTCTACTAAAAATACAAAAAAATTAGCCAGGCGTGGTGGCACATGCCTGTAATCCCAGCTACTCGGGAGGCTGAGGCAGGAGAATCGCTTGAACCTGGGAGGCAGAGGTTGCAGTGAGCCGAGATTGTGCCATTGCACTCCAGCCTGGGCAATAAGAGTAAAACTCCATCTCAAAAAAAAACAAAAACAAAAAACAAAACAAACAAACAAACAAACAAAAAACCTAACGTATTTTTCCCCTAATACTAATACTATCTGGAAGATGCCAGAGTTCAGAGTTTGGGTGGAAAGAGGTGTAGATGAACTAAGTTGTAAATTTCATATCTGATCACTTAAATCGAAGATGGTTGAGGTGAAGAACCTTCTAACTGTTACTGCTCACACTCAGTCTCAGTGAACTGTGTTCTCCTGGGATTCCCCAAGATGTTGCTTCTCAAACACTATCAGAGTAGATGCTTCTAGTCTTTCCATTGGAAGCGTTCTCAGCCCTATTGTCTCTTGTATTTTGTCCTGGGGACTCAATGCCATGCAGGTTGGAAAGCATTGGTTAACTCTTAGGGGTCTGATCTGTGGTTGCGGATTATTGCAGACTTTTAGGACGGATTGCGGTAGGGGGTGGGGAATTTAGGAAAGTGGTTTCTAGTATGGGGATTTAACCTTGCCCATGTGAATAATAGCACACTAATATAGACACAGTTTCTCCACTTGTCAGGAGTGTCACACATGTCCCTTGCAGAGTGACATCCAGCAGAATGGGACGTTTACTACTGCCCAGTGTGCAGGACTCACCACGTGCTTTTCACAGAACCTTTCTAGTTCATTCTCTTAAGACAGCACATTTATCTTTCTCTTTAAAAAAAAAAAAGGTTTTCCTTTTTTTGAGACAGGCTCTCACTCTGTTGCCCAGGCTTGAGTGCAGTGGCACCATCATAGCTGACTGCAGCTTTGAACTCCTGGGCTCAAGTGATCCTCTTGTCTCAGCCTCCTGAGTAGCTGGGACTACAGGCATGCGCCACCACCCCCAGCTAATTTTTAAAATTTTCTGTAGAGATGGGTTCTCACTATGTGGTTCACGCTGATCTCAAACTGCTGGCTTCAAGTGATCCTCCTTCTGTGGCCTCCCAAAGTGCTGGGATTATAGGCATGAGCCACTGTGCTCAGCCACATTCATCTTTTTGAGATCTTCTTGGCCTCCCCTTTGTCACTTTTCTAACTTTCCTCTCCTGCTCTAATGTACTTGAAGATAGCAGATGGTGGACTCTTGATAACACTGGAGAGAGGAGCTGGCCCTCCCTGGCCACTCCTGGCAGGAGACTCTCCCTTGGAATACCGAAGCTTTGGGGAGGGATGGCGGGCCATGGGAGGTCATGCTAAGTCAGTAGGAAACTTGTAAGAAACTTTATGTCCCTCGACCTCTCTCCTGCCCATTTCTAGTCTGAGACTTGAGTAATCAAAACATGATTTTGTCATGATTAGCATAGCATTGAATTAAAAACTCAGACTCGAGCCAGATGGCATGGGTCCAAATCCCAGTTTTAACATGGACAAGTGTGTTGTATTTTTTTTTCTTTCTAATTAGTTCTTGAGCTCTCTCTAGAAAGTGGCTATAAACTCTAGCCCTGCTCTGATGCAGGGGAGGTGGTCGTGGCTGTCTGCAGTGTGCCTTTCTTGGGATACTTCTTTCTGGTGGAAGGCCTAATGCCTAAGTGTCCACCTGTGACCAGATGTCCTCTCTCATAAGGACTTGATTATATTGACAGACACTCTTGGGGCTCTTGTCTGACCTGTTTCCGGTTTATTCCTACCAAGATAGCCACTCTCTAGGAATGCCCTGACCAGGAAATACTGTAGATTCAGGTGTGCTGGGCAGGTGAGACACAGAGGAGGCAACGTGAAATAGCAGGGGTGCATGAAATAGCAGAGGTAGTGTATTACTCACAGATCCCAGAGAGGAGAGCAGTATACCTCGCAGGGCCAACAGGAAGAGGGGAGTTGTCTGGGATGCAGACTCAACCAGTGTGTGGGGAGCAAGAGAGATGGGGGGACCAAAGCCTTCACTGGGGTCCAGGACATTACCCAAGCAAGCTTTCCTTCTGGGAGTTCTAAATAGTGGGTGTAAAGAAAGCAGGCATGAGTTCCGTGGAGTTATGCTGTGACTGAGAGGTGGTCACTGCAGCATAATTGCATGGTCCACGTGGGGTGTAGAGGTCACGGAGTGAGTCAAATAGGCTGTATCCGTATGTCCCATAGTGAGGTGGTCACCAGCAGGCAGTTGTATAAGGCAGATATCTGGATGGGCTGCCTTGAGGAAGTGGGAGGAGGCAGAGAGCTTGAAGCCATGTCAAGGGCGACTAAGCCCTGTTTCTGATATGAGAAAGTTAAGCCTGCATTCACAATGGATGCCAAAGCAACATAAAATTATGAGAATTCACTATAGGGTTCTTTCTTATCTGAAAAAAATGGGGATTATAGTACTGGACTCATAGATTGTTGGGGAATTAAATAAGTTTGTGTATTGTAGTGTACACAGAACAGTGCCTTCCACATAGTAATAATCATGTGACTATCCCAACTCTCTTCTGAGATCAACGTTTTATATATTTTTTCCTCTTTGTTCAAACTTGCTAAGTCTGAGAAATTCTGTTTCCTTTTCTTACTGGATGTTCATTAAGCATGATACTTGCTACTGAATATATGTGTGTGGTTATATCAGTGATATAAAAATATCATTTTCTCTCTACTTAAAAATTTTATGGAGAAACATTCTTTTGCAAATTTATACAGCATATTCATGAAATTTTATTAAAATGTGAAATATGTACTATATGTGATATAAATTACAGATTTTTTTGTGGATTGGCATTGGTGTTTTAATTTTTTGTTGGTTTTTGTGGTATGGCTTTTATCATTTGATTTCCATGGCGCTAAGTCTTTAATCGAGGGTGTAGTATTTAATCTATCCCATTGGTCCTATAAAAAAATAGACTCTATGTTTAACAACCCACTTTATAATGGAGTACCTGAGATTTCAAAGTGACCCATCTGATGTCCATCATGCCTAGCTGTTTGCCTAAGCCACATCATATCGTTTATTTCTTGTTTTCTAACCGTTTGCTTTAGATGCGCATGACAGGTCAGAGTTACTAAGACATGTGCTTAAATAAAGTCACAACTTGGGTGATTCAAAGCACGAGCCTGAATAATAATAATGATTTGCTTGTGATATTTGCTAATACTGGTCAAACCAAGCCAACATAGTTTAAGGATCCATAGGTATTTGAAAAATAAAAATACAGTGGTATACACCTTCCTGGAAGTGTTTTCTTTGGCCACTATTCTGTAGCTTGGATGGATGAGGGGAGAACTGTTCTGATCACTCCTATTTGCTCTGAGGTCATTGTAGTGAAATGCTTTGTACCTTGACTCATAGTTAGATTTGCCTCTGTAATATTGCCAGTATTTTTTCCACCCTTCTGAAAGCGAGTCTCTGAAGTCATATTTAACTTTTAAATTGCTATCCTCTTAGTAATTTAGGAACTGTTTAGGATTACTTTCTAAAATACCTTTCATCAGATAATATAGACAGAATAAAAATAAATGATTCTGCATAACTCATTTGATATGTATATAACATTGATAATTGTCAGGTTATTGTTAAATTTACAGGATATTTAGATATGTTAAGGACAAAATTTGTTGTTTCTAATATCCTTTTTTCTTTCCACTATTTTTATCGAGAAATTTCTTTTAAGTGTTGAACAGATTGATTTACAAACAAAACTGTTCTATGAAAATAAATGTAATCCCCTTATTAAAGACATTATTTTGAAAAAAATGCTGAAGGTTTTTGTTCTGGTTATTTTTCCCATTTGGTTATTTAATAAGCTATGTAAGGACTATGTTTTGACAACTTAAGTGTATGCATTCTTTTTAAAACAAGGCTGCAGTGCAGCCTAAAATGTAGTTTTTCATAAATTCTATTTATTTGTTGACTGATAATTTTGAAACATTTAAAATACATTTGTTTTTTCCTTTGGCTTTGCTAAGATGAGGAAACAGTTGAGTGTGGTAGGTGGATTTTTTTTTTCCTTTGGGTGCAACATCTTCCTATTCTAATTGCATTTTCTGCACATTTAATCATTTCCTTTCTCATTTTCTTTGTGCTTCTCAGAGGAAATTAAAGGTACATGTATAATAAGTTACCCTGCATAGTCTAGTCATTTTATTTAGTGCACATATATGTAGGATTAAATTGAATATAACAATCAACTTACAAATGTACTCTGTTGTACATCCAAACTTCCATCTTGACGTTACAATACCAAAAATTGTGGTTGCACTTTGTTTTAGAAAGAAATATGCATTTTTTTGCTTTATGCAGCAGAAATATAGAATGTAATCTGAAATAATACATTATATTTTTATTCTGTCAGTAGTCTTAAATGTGAATGAAATAAACAGTATTATTCAAATGTATTGACAGACGTATTTTGATGTAGGATCTAGGGGAACCTTCTCAATTAATTTATTTCTGTGCAGTCTATGCTGCTAGTTCCACAAGAAAGAGGCCTAAAATATTAAGTACCCCACTACTTAAATAAAGTTTTTAAGATATGTATAGCCTAGTATTCATGTGACTTAAAAATACTAGCACATTGCTTACTTTACAAATGTTTTTATCAGTTCTTTAAAAGAAATACCAATATTTCATTCCCCTGTTACTCCCAACATGAAATCTCTTCTTATCAATAGAAAGGACATATTTTCATCTTAACCTTTCTGTCTAATCCAATGAGCCAAAATAAGTGCTGTATTTTTACCTATTATCTAAGAGCCTGATTTACAAAAGTAAATGTACTTTGGGGGATCAGGTGGCATCATTTTCTTAACTTTAAAAATATAGGTCGGGCGTAGTGGCTCACGCCTGTAATCCCAGCACTTTGGGAGGCCAAAGTGGGCGGATCACCTGAGGTCAGGATTTCGAGACCAGCATGGCCAACATGGCAAAACCTTGTCTCTACTAAAAGTACAAAAATTAGCCGGGTGTGGTGGTGCGTGCCTATAATCCCAGCTACTCAGGAGGCAGAGGCAGGAGAATCGCTTGAACTCAGGAGCGGAGGTTGCAGTGAGTCGAGATTGCACCATTGCACTCCATCCTGGGCAAAAGAGTGAGACTCCATCTCAAAAAAAAAAAGAAAAAAGAAAAAAGAAGAAAATATAAACCTCTCAGACAAGTCTCGTATAATTTTCTTGGAACTGCATCAAGAAACCACTGAAGAAAGTTGGAGGAATTAAAAAAACCCTGCATGATGTTTAAAAATATCACTTTAAACTTAAATATAAAACAAACTGTTTTATGTTTAAGAGTGGCATTGCAAGGGCTGTTCTATGCTGTGCTTTACCTAATTGTTTTAAGTGTTTTTTTTTTTTTTTTTTTTTTTTTGCGTCTGCGGCTGGCCTTCTAACTGTTCTGCTTTATTTCTTGGCTTTTGTTCTGTATGCTTTTACACTCCATCCAGAAGATGCTGACTATGCTGGTAACAACAGTGGAACCTATATAGGTGAGCACTTGGCCACGGAGGAGGATCTCTTTCTTTCTGTTGCTTTCCTCGAAGTCATTACCTCGTTTTATCTGAAATGAGCGCATTTGCACTCGCATGCTCTGAGATTCGGTGGGGGTGGCATGCACCTTCACGTTACACAGGCTCAATGGGCTGGACACAAAGGGTTTCCTAGTGTGCTTTGGTTATTATATTCCGGAAACGTTGCCAGATGCCCTATCTTTATATTAATCTAATTTATATTTTTGATATAAGATAAAAATAATTGTATAATTTTTGATAGACGGTGGAAAAGCATCCTATTGGCACTAAGCAATTTTACACAATTAATGGCATCTGGACTTTTCTAATTACCTAGTTAATTGTGAATTAATCAACACTTCTAAATAACCTTTTTCTTCCCGACAACTTTCTGCTTATTTGTTGTTGTTGTTGTTGTTTTTGAGATGGAGTCTCACTCTGTTGCCCAGGTTGGAGTGCAGTGGCACAGTCTCCACTCACTGCAACCTCTGCCTCCGGGGTTCAAGTGATTCTCCTGCCTCAGCCTCCTGAGTAGCTGGGATTACAGGCACCCACCACCACGCCTGGCTTATTTTTGTATTTTTAGTAGAGACAGGGTTTCGCCATGTTGGCCAGGCTGGTCTCAAACTCTTGACCTCAAGTGATCTGCCCGCCTCAGCCTCCCAAAATTCTGGGATTACAGGTGTGAGCGACCGAGACTGGCCACTTTTTGTTTATGCTTTTTTATGACTTCTTATTCCCACAGCCTCCTCCTAAGTAAACATTGACTGAACAGCCCCAAATATAATTAAGCCTTATGACCAACTTTCTAATCTGTACTGGCAGGGAAAAATTCTAGTTTGGAGATGCCGAGGGTTGTTATACACGAAAATATTTAGAAATTGCTCAAGGCATTAAAATGATCTTCCCCAACATTTTACCTTCAAATTTTCCCACTCTTGCCACATCCAGGCATCATGACAAACTCTCTACTTTTAGTAGTGAGAGGGAATGAATGGTGAATTTTATTTTATATTATTTTATATTATTTTATTTTATTTTATTTTATTATTTGAGACAGGGTCTGGCTCTGTCACCCAGTATGGAGTGCAGTGGCATGATCTCGGCTCTCTGCAACCTCCGCCTCCCAGGCTCAAACCATCCTCCCACCTCAGCCTCGCAAGTAGCTTGGACTACAGGCCTGCACCACCACGGCCAGCTAATTTTTTTGTATTTTTGGTAGAGATGAGGTTTCACCATGTTGCCCAGGCTGGTCTCAAACTCCTGAGCTCTAATGATCCACCTGTCTTGGTCTCCCAAAGTGCTGAGATTATAGGCATGAGCCACTGTGCCCAACCAGAAACACATTTAGAGATCAGCTGCTTCAGCTCTCTTATTTTAAGATTAATAATTATGTATGATGATAATATCTCCTGGTTATTGAAGAAATGCACCAGAGCCTGTATTTGGTATTTACTGTGTATTTTCTCTAATACTGTGAGGTTAGTGGTATTGTATTTATTTTAAGAAAAGGAAACAAAGGTCTAGAAAGTTTACAGTATTTACCCGAGGACTCAAAGATGGTAAATGGAGCATCCTGAAGTCACATCCCCATCTGCAGAGACAGAATATTTGTACTGTGTCTTTTACAATTGCTGCCTTTTGATTTTTCATTTTACAAAACAAACTAGAAAACCCTTTGCAGACATATGGAGTATTTCAATTTCTAGGCTAGAGAAAATCTACTAAGTAAGAATTGGATGATGAGAGAGATTTTATTAAAATTGTATTCTTTACTCATTTCAGAATAATACAGTGTGCCAGATACCCGGTACATCCATTAACACCTCCCCCTACATCACCAGAAACTGTAATGGCTTTAAACAGCAAGCATTTATTCTCATGATACTGTGGTCAGCAGTGTGGTTCTTCTGGCCTGGGTCAGCTTGGTGGATCTGTTCAGGCTGGGGTCTTGGTTGGGGTCTGGTTGGTTTGGGGGTGCTCAGGTGGGTGAACTTGTTTCTGTTTCATGGAGTGTTTCACCTTTCGCAAAGCTAGCCCATGCAGTGGTTTCAGAGTTCCAGAGAACAGCAAAAGAAAACAGTCTCCAGGATGTAAATGCTCAGGAAGCCTCTGCTTGCATCAAATCTGCTAATATCTCATTGGATGAAACAAGTCTCATGGCCAAGCCAGGGTTACTGTGGAAGGAGACCCCCTGAGAGCTTGGATACAGGGAGGTGTGAAGACATGGATGGCCATCACTGCATGCTTCTGCTTCTCTCAAAAATAGAAAGAATGGTACCTGCTCCCTAACTTTAAGGGCCTATATTCAGTCAATCAGACAGTAGGGATTATAGAAAACTGTGGCATAAAGCACTATCTGATGACTGTCACATAAAATGCTGTGATTCAGAGAAGGTGGTGATCATCGTAGCCTGAAGCAACCAGGGACCCAGTCCCACAAGAGAGGCCATTAGAGCTGGGCACCAAGGGTTAGCTGTAATTCCAGGTAGCATGGGGGATAAAGATAGAAGAAAATAGCACGGAAAGAGCACTGGACATATTTAAGTTCGATGATATGTAGATGGTGGGCCTGGAAATTTAGTTTGGTACTGGATAAGGTGAGATCATAAGTTTTAGGTTAAGTAATTGACACATTTATTAAAGTTTTGCCAGATTTTGGTACTCAGTGTTATTCTTTGTGTAAAATTTCGTCCAAAGAACAAAATATGGATTTTAAATCTGTGTCTCTCTTCTAGCATTTAGGAGTTTTGTAAAATGAGTATTTAATCAGTAGATGTATTATATTATACATTGATGTGCAAAAGGAAGGGGTGATCAGAAATATGGGTTTCTTTAGAGCACATAAAGACAATGAGTTCTGACAAAATGCCATTGAATTTGGCAACGCGGAATCACTGATAACATCTGAGAAACATTTTCACCGGAAGCCAAATTGCAAGGTGTCAAGGAGTGACAGAGTTGACAGCAGAGGAAGGATTGCCGTTGAGTCCGAGGCAGTTTTTATAGTTGAGGATAGGAGTGCTCCAGTGGGAGAGAGGATAATATGATCATTTTTATAGGCAGAGATGACCGAGCCAATGGTAAAGAATTGAATATCTGAAAAAGGAAATAATTGTGGTTAACTGTAAATGATTCAAAGCTTCTAAATAACTTTTTCTTTCAAATATCTTTTTGATTATGTTTCCTTATGACTTCTTATTCCCATAACCCCTCTAAATAACCGTTGGCTAAACAGCCCCCAATATAATCAACTTATGATTAACTTTCTAAGGAAATCTCCAGTTTGGAGATGCCAAGGGATGTTATTAATATAAACAAAAGCAGGACTACCTAGAAATTGTTACAGGCATCTTATCTTCACCTACACTTCTCTTCTGACTTTCTCCCCACTGCTGTAGATAGGTATCCTGGTAAGTTCTCTGCTTTTAGTAGCGAGAGGTAATAGTCTAGAAGCACAGTTTTAGCGATCAATTCCGTTAGAGAAAAAAGTCCAAATAAGACTAGATTGGGTGGAATTAAGACTATGGGAGGGTTTAGATAAAATAATTTGGCACTAGCAGGTGAAGTTAAGCATACAGATATCCCATGGCCCAGCAAAATTATTTCTTTGGAAAAGGTGATGAGCTTTGTGCTTCCAAGAGACCATTCTACATCAGACAATTATAGAAGAAAACGGGACCATCTAAGTAGAATGAGAATAGCATGAATCATGTAATAATTCATATCAAACTGGTGGCTCACAGACACTCTGCAGACTGTGTTGGGACAAAGATCCATATTTTTTGTTAGACCTACAAACTGAGAAATTTCATATGAAAATTTCTGGCTCATTTGGCAGAACAAAAGGTTTGTGCAAAATAGGCCTTCATTTCCCGATGTTAATAATTAGCTGAGGCAGAGCGTGGTGACTCATGCCTGTAATCCCAGCACTTGCACTTTGGGAAGCCAAGGCCAGTGGATCATCTGAGGTCAGGAGTTCAAGACCAGCCTGGCCAATGTGACGAAACTCCTTCTCTACTGAAAATACAAAAATTAGCTGGGCATAGTGGCGCACACCTGTAATCCAAGTTACTCAGGAGGCTGAGGCAGGAGGATTGCTTGAATTTAGGAGGCGGAGATTGCGGTGAACTGAGATCGCGCCATTGCATTCCAGCCTGGGTGACAGAGCCAGATTCTGTCTCAAAATAATAATAATTAGCTGAGCTGCATTATAACTGATTCCTTAATGGAGAGATTAAGAGCACTTCAGTTCATCGCAGTCCACACCATTCCTCATTACTTGCCAATTCTGAGACAGGTTGTCAGTTACCATTCTCCTAACAGTTGTACTGGTGCTTGTGCTATAATAGCAAAGTATTTCTTTGTATCCATATTTTCAACCATGGGAAAGTAAAGGTAACCCAAGAGTATTTCTAGAAAAATGAGACAATATGTTTCTTCAAGGGCTGATGTTGTGCAAAATGTATTCTTATTGGCAGATGGATAACTTAAGGTCTTTCTGCCTACCTGGCTTTGACAGGGTTTTTGCTTTTTTTTTTTTTTTTTTTTTTTTTTGAGATGGAGTCTCACTCTGTCGCCAGGCTAGAGTGCAGTGGCGCGATCTTGGCTCACTGCAACCTCCAACTCCCTGGTTTAAGCGATTCTCCTGCCTCAGCCTCCCGACTAGCTGGGATTATAGAGTACAGCTATTCACTCCATTCAACTCTTGGTCTTAGAAAAAATAGCTTCATTTCCATCCTTGAGTATGGCAAAGGGAGAAATGTGACCAATGTGTTTTAGTATATGTGCACCATGACAGCATTTCTTTATGTCCTCCTGGTCTAAATACTTATTCTAATGTGTGCAAGAGACAACCACAAGGTTAGTGCACCTGGAAGTTCCTTGAGATACCACCAAGATTAGGAAACCTAGGAGGGTACCTGAGAAGAGAGTCATACGGTATAAAAAGACTTTTAAAAAGAATACATCCTTCCACAGTGAAATAATAGGACAGATAAATGAATAGTGTTGCTGATAAAAGTATCTTCTTTTATGGAAGCTGTTCAACTAATGACCAAAGATTTGACGTTAGTTCTTTTGTAGAATAAGCAAGTTTGATCATAGTCTCTCATTTAAAAAAGAATATATTGCTAAAAAGTTACTTTGTTACAAATAGCTTGAGAAAATTATCTTGTGGAATTCTATTTTTCCCCCAAAAGCCAAATCCTAAAAATGCCTACAGATCTTATGTGTTTTTAAAACAAGGCTTATAAGCAACATGCTAACATAAATGGCAAAACTATTCTATGGTAAACATATGTATTTAAAAAACGTGTTAAAATGTTCTGTGACTTATCGTAATTGTGGGACTTTTTAGTAGTTTTCCTCCCAATCCCACTTGTTTTTTCCTCTTAACCATTTCTTTGCCCCCTTTTCTTGTTGGGTTATTCATCAGTCTTCTGTTAATTTGATGAGCTCTTTTTATATTATGAATATTCATCCCTTCTCTGTTGCCCACATTTTCTTCTGGTCTTCTGGTTGTGTCTTAACTTTTTCTTTGCTAAATTTTAGAGCATGTAGGTATTTTTCTTTTCACCTAGCCAAATCTGTGAATCACTTCCCTTTTGTCTTCTCTTTTCTTTTTGTATTCCTCATACCAAAATTACTTAAAATAATTTAAAATTATATGTTTTCTCCAAAGTACTATATGCATTTGGTTGAAGCAGATGAAATTGCTGTTTTGTCAGTCAAAAACCAATAACAATGCCAGCAATTTCACATGGTTCCATTTAATAAATTGTTTGAAAAGTCAAATAGTATTGCAAGTCCAGCAACCCAAAGCAGGAGTCTCCTTTCCTCCTCCTCCTCCCCATTCCTATGGCTTCTCTCGAGAGAGAACCACCTTAGCTCTGGTTGCCATTTTCTTCTGGTATTTGTAGCATATAACTTTCTTATAATGCTATTTCTGGATTTTATAACAATATTTTTGAGTGCCTTTTACATTCTAGATGCTGTTCTGGGCACTGGAGTTTCAACAGAAATCAAAACAAACATCCTCCTTTTCTAGTACTTTTGTGTTGGGAGTAGGAGTGGAGACAAATTGCTGAATAATTCGTTAGATGGTAATAAGTGCTAAGAAGAAAAGTAAGGTGGAAATGAAGATGGGGTGATGAGGGAGCTGGGGAAATGGGCATTTCAAATTTAAATATGGTGGTCAAAGAAGGCCTCCTTGAGAAGGCCACGTTTGAGCAAAAACCTGAAGTGAGCTTGTTGGGAATAAGCATTCCAAGCAGTGGTACAAGCATGTGCAAAGGCCCTGAGACAGGATGCATGTGTTCAGGTGCCCCGACAGCATGTGCAAAGGCCCCAAGACAGGATCCATGTGCACAGGCCCCCAACAGCGTGTACAAAGGCCCCGAGACAGGATGCATGTGTACAGGCCCCTGACAGTGTGTTCAAAGGCACCAAGACAGGATGCATGTGCACAGGCCCCAGACAGCGTATGCAAAGGCCCTGAGACAGGATGCATGTGTACAGGCCCCCACAGTGTGTGCAAAGGCCCCGAGACAGGATGCATGTGCACGGTCTGACCCCCCAACAGCATGTGCAAAGGCCCTGAGACAGGACGCATTGTGCACAAGTGTGTGCAAAGGCCCTAAAGATGGGTCAAGAGACCAGAGTGACCAGAGCAGAGTGAATGGGGAGAGTGATAGGAATTGAGGTTGTCAAGATAATAGAATGTTTGTGGGAGGAGGAACTTTGGCTCTTATACTCCAGATCATTGAAGGGCTCTAAGCAGAGCCGTAACATGAACTGCCTTCTGTGTGTAAGGGTCACGCTGGCTGATCTGTTGGGAATGGATTGTAAGGGAGAAACAGCAGAAGCAGGGAGCTCCTGTAGTCATTCAGGCAGATGATGATGGTGGCTGGAAGCAGATATTATCTGTGGAGGTGGTGAGAAAATGTCCCATTCTGGATATATTTTGATGGTAGAACTGAGGAGATTTCCCTACAAAGTGGCAAACCAAGGATGGGTGTATGGTTTTTGGATTTAGTAACTATGAAGATGGAGTTACTATTTACTGAGATGGGAAAGACTGCAGAGGAGTAGGTTGGGCTGAGGAAAAGTTCAGGGATTCCATTTGAGGCGTATTGAGTTGACATCCAAATAGAGATCTATGACACTCCAAGATTTAAATGCCAATTTTTATGAGAATTATACTTTAAAACCATATTTAATAAGCTATCACTGGTGTGAAAGTACACTATGTGGTATGATTCTTACTGACCTGTAACATACCTCATTTCTTAGAGGTTAGCATGTTTATTAATGAAAGAGGTTTGGCTGTTATTATTAAAAGAAAGGAAAAAGCTCACTGGGCAATGGAAGTTGTATGTAGTTTGCATAAAATTTTGTAATAATCCAAGCGCAGTGGTGCACACCTGTAATCCCAACTACTCCGGAGGCTGAGGCGAGAGGATCACTTGAGGCCAGGAGTTCAAGGCTGCAGTGATCTACAATGATGCCACTCCAGCCTGGGTGACAGAGCAAAACCCTATCTCTTAAAAATAAATTAAATTGTAATAATAACATGAAGGTGAATTGCTAGTATGCTGTAAACATGAATTGCATGAATTGCAGAAATTTACACCATTTAAAGTTGAATGTCCGCAAGTCAAGGGCTGCCTGTATATAAAGACTGTCAAATCATATATGTTTATATATGTATATGCTTGCATATATATGAATTATTAGGAAAAATTCATTTCTTCCTATAGGCTTTTGAAAATTTTGCTTAGCTTTGGTGGATGGCATAGAAGTTAGTTTATTTTTGGTCTTTCAGAACAGTATGTTTGCTTCCAAAGTATAATTGCTTCTCGATGGTCGAACCATCAGCATTAAAAATTCTCCTTTTTCCTACTGCAGTACAAAATAATCCATATGAAGAGTAATTTCTTTTGTAACATTGGTCAGATTTACAGACTGTTTTCCTCTGGTTAATTCATTATAGAAAACTTGTTCTAATCAATTCACAAAGCATCACTTACCATGCATCTCTTTTCTAACATACTTTCTTACAAATAATTTCCTGAAAAGTCACTCTTTCTCTACTTTTCCCTTGCTCTGGAGTACTTCATACATTCTTTTAAAACAAGATCAGTTTGGGGACTTAATGTAAGTTAAGAGGGGTTTGCCATAAAGTTAAATAAAAATGAAACTGTCCATTTGTTGTTATTTCTTTCAAATGTTATTATTTACCCACATCTACTCCTAGGTGTTTTTTCCTAATCTGTTTCTTATTTCTGTCTGTCCTCCTATGTTGAAGCAACACTGATCTTCAACAAGTTATCTGCATGTTTTATAAATCCAGTAAATATTCCATTTATTCAATATTCAATCATTTTATTAAAGAATGTCATGCAAATTAAGTACAGCTATGTCTAAATATACTGCCTTAATATTTTTCCTAAACATTATATTTATGCATAGGGAACACTTAGAGGTATTCTTTCAGAAGTGACACAGGTTCTTTCTTGAATATGAAAGAACGCTGCATAATCTCAGCATGTCTGGAATACTACTTGGAAATATTTTTTTCTGACAGAAAGAAACCATTTGTGTTTGGAGAATTTTAAGTTGCACAGACTCAACTGAGAAAACATATTAAAATTTCAAATCAGTTTTTCTCTCTGTTCAGAACCATATTTTTATATACAATTTTACATATGCATAACTGTATTTTCTCATAATTTTGAAGGTATAAGTAAGAGCTTATTTCTTTATTAGCCGGCTTACAAAAAATTAAATTCTCATATGGTTTCTTCTCTCTCTCTCCATTTTTATGGTGATGTTCTGTGCTGTACTTTAAAAACGAATTGTAAGTGGTATCAGGAAAACTTTTAAAGACCTAAGTAATATTTTTCTTTGAAAATTGCAAATTGATATCTTTTATTAACTTTTGTGGTTTCATTAGGTACTTTGAGTTTCTATTTTTATTTTTAGCCTGAGATGAGCTGAAAGACTCAAGGGTGTTTATGGCATGTGAACATTTCTTTACATTTTACTGAGAGCAACTTTGAACCTGCAACATTGCAGAGATGAATTTTCTAATAGTATGTTTGAAAGCCTTTTTCCCCTTTATCTACAAAATTAGCATGTGTATAATTGGCTAATATAATCCATGAAAATGTTCATTTTTCTTTGGTGATTTTTTTCTGACATTGTTTTGTAAGATCAATACGGAAGCTGACTAACCTAGCCCCTTTAGACTTCAGTAAATCTAGATTTAGCATTTCTTCTCAGTTTAAACCTCCTCCCAAGATTTTTACTTGTTTGTTACTGTAAGATGTTCTTAATTATCCTCCATAGTCTTTGGGATAATTTTATGATTGGCATATAATGAGAGCATCATTTAGATAATAATTTTCTATTAAGATCATGTTACTATGTTGGTTATGATTTGCACTATTATAACAGCATTGGCATTATATTCAAAATGTTTTTATTAGTAGAAATGTTCAATGTTTGGTTGTCAGAAACCTAATATCATATAATAATTTCCAGCTGCTTAGTTTTTATTAATGTCTACGTGTTTTTTTTTTTTTTAATCTTCTTAAGAAGTTCACTTATAGTAAATTTTTTTTTTCCTTGTAGTTAAGGTACCTATTGAATCAGTTAAATATTTGCTTGGTCAAATGAATCCGATTTTTAAGATGCAAAAAATAACTCATACAATGATTTTAAAAAATCTTCTGATTAAAAAAATATGCATTTTAGTAATTTTAAGGTGAGAAAAAAAGAATTTAAATGTTTTTTTTTCTCCGTTGAAAAAATGAAGCAGTTTTCTAGACTGTTTGTATCAAACAAATGTATTCCTTAAAACCTTAGGAACTTTATTTTTTATTTATTTTTTTTTTTGGGAGATGGAGTTTCACTCTTGTTGCCCAGGCTGGAGTGCAATGGCACGATCTTGGCTCACCACAACCTCTGCCTCCTGGGTTCAAGTGATTCTCCTGCCTCAGCCTCCCGAGTAGCTGGGATTACAGGCATGCACCACCACATCCGGCTGATTTTTTTGTATTTTTAGTAGAGACGGGGTTTCTCCATGTTGGTCAGGCTAGCCTCGAACTCCCGACCTCAGGTGATCCACCCGCCTCGGCCTCCCAGAGGGTTGGGATTACAGGCGTGAGCCACCACACCCGGCCTAAACCTTAGGAACTTTAGAGTGGCTCCTTCTCTAATCCTCTGTTATGAGTCAAGACTATTTCACTAGGACCTCTTTTCCCATGCTATCAACACATATAAAATTTAAACATATTAAAAGCTTATTTTTAACATTAGAAATGCATACTATCTGATGTTATTAGACCAGGTTGGTTATGTAAAAGAAATATAATCAAAGATCTAAACTGTCCCATTTGAAAAATTACAGGTGGTAACGTAGTAGTATTGATTTTCTTTGAGTTAACAGAAAGCCAAGTCCCACTTCCCCCTCATTTACATGTGCGATTTTTTGGAGGCTGTTAGTATGGGTGGTGAGTTATCTTGACTTTGCTTGAGGGCCTTTTATGTTAATGGCCATGTTTGTAGCTAAAATGATCATGTATTTTTAATAAAATGCCATCTTAAAGGTCAATATTTTATTAAAAAGTGAGATCATTAAAATTACAAATATAGGTACATTATAAGTTTACATTGAAATTATGTGTTTGTGAGAGCCAAAGAATATAATAATTTGTTATTTTAGAAAGGATTTTTATCCATTTTATTAGTTTGGTTGTAAGTTTCGAAACTGTAAGTACTTCTTTTTTTCATCGTTACTACTTAGGTGAGACTTCTGGTTCTCTCTCTTCCTTGCCCTTATTCTTAACTTCTTATATTATATTCTTATTTTTTATACTTTTCCATGATTTTTGCTTTTGTTGCTTGCTTTATGCTTGAATTTATGTGGCTATTCCTAACTATTGTTAATATACAAATTTGGTCTATTACCATAATCACTGAAAAATATAGATGATTAGAACTTGCCTCTGAGACATAACCAATATGTATTTTGTGTTACGTGCTGATATAACCACACAACTACATCTGCCAATACGGATTTCATTTGTTTGTTCATTTCATTTGTTGTTGGTTCATATATTTTTATGTTTTCTTTTTAAAATTATAAATTTGAAATTATGTAATTTTATATAATTATATAATCTAGTAATTTTGAAACATATATAATATTACAGTAAGTTTGAAAAATAGAACAAGTAATTGTCCACAGCCCTCTCTACCTAACACAACCATTGTCTTTTTAAAAAACATATTTTCTTCTATATTTCTGTATCCATAACAGTCTTTATATTACTAAAAAAAGTAAAACTCATAGTGTAAGTATGATGATTGTATCCTGTCTTTTTTTTCCCATTTATTGTATGAAATGCATTTCTATGGTACTATGTAGTTTTATAATTTTAATAGTTTCAACTTCATTTCTTTGAGAAGGTGTTTTATAAGTTAATTGATCATTTCCATACTTCTGCATATCTTGGTTACTTCCAAGTTTTTTAATTGTTAAAAAATATTGCTAACATTTGAAATTATAGTATAGGTAGTTATAATATTTATCTATAATATGAAACTTATTTTAATAACAAATGATTCTTAATTTATGTATGTAAGCATTAAGGTTAATACTGTATTGGTGAATAATGTTTTACAAATGCAATGTCGAGAAATAGCTTTGAAAGTGACCAAATTGCAACTGTCCAAGTTTTAAAATTTTTTACTTAAGAGAAATTGGAGTGACTGGAATACTTGCAAAAAGTCTTTATTTTCTAGTCATGGTCCTGCATTGTGAAAACACCTTAAATTACAAGCATTTGAGAATAAGTTTTTTGTCCCCTAGTGGTTGGGAGCCAATGACACTGCCTTACATATTTTTGTATTTCTAATACAGGGGAGTGTTAAAATGTGTTTCCTTATTTCCTTATTTGGAAAACGTCTTCTATCAGGAAAAAATTATGTTTTTAATCCCTAAGTTAAACCGTTGGTCCTTTGTTAATTTTTTCTATTAAATTATTTCATACCTAACATAATGTAATAGAAATGAACTAAATTCATTTTTTTTCTATTATGCATCTATGTATATAGGGTAATGTCTGAAACTTTCTTCTTGACTTCATTTTATCATTTAATACTTGAACCAAAGCTTTGGCCATCTTTGTTGATTACACTGAAGAGTGTACTTAAACACATGGATTGTTATACCCACCTCATAGGGTTGCTGTGAGAATTAAATAAATTCATCACACATAAAGTGCTTTGAGTAGTGCCAGTCATCTAACATGTGCCCGACAAATATCAACCACTACCACCACTTATACTGATATTATTATTATTATTTGATATTATTATTAAAAAGAGAATTTATTGATATTATTAAAAAGAGAATGAAAGGCGAGGTATGGTGGCTCATGCCTGTAAACCTAGTACTTTGGGAGGCTGAAGTGGGGCCAGGAGTTTGAGGTTAGCCTGTGCAACCTGGTGAGTCTCCATCTCTACAAAATACAGTTTTTGAAAAGTAACTAGGTGTGTTGGCGTGTGCCTGTATGTCCAGCTGCTTGGGAGGCTGAGGTGGGAGGATCGCTGGAGCCCAGGGGTTTGAGGCTACACTGAGCCGTGATCGCACCACTTTACTTCAGCCTGGATGACAGAATGAGACTCTTTCTCAAAATAGTAAATAAATAAAAATAAAAAGAGAAGCTAAATTTAGACCAAGAATCACCTTTTTCTGTCATGGCATAATAATGTACCATCTGGTATTTCAATACAATGTATATGTCAACATAAAGTAGTAAAAGGGTTGTTCAGTATTTCTGAGACCATTGGTTAGTTATTTAGAAAAATATAAAGTTACAGCCACACTTCCCAGGCCTGATTTCATCATGATTACATGTCAGTAATTCCAGATGGAATTAAAAAATTAAGTGTAAAGCTGTGCAACCCACTTTTTAACACTTCAGAAAATATTGGTGAATATTTATCAGAACTAAGATGGAAAAGTTATAGAAACAATGGAAGGAATCACAAAGGAAAGATATTTATAAATTCAAACACGTAAACAGTTTAAATTTCTTTATGATGACAGTTAAAAGGAAAATTGAAAACCTTACATCTTTTTAACAAATAGAACAAAGGGCTCGTGACCTTATTGAAAGATACCTATGTATATGTATTTATGAAGACTCTACTCCAAAAGTGATCAAAATTTATAAACCAACAATTTACAGAAGTAAGAAATGCAAGTGAGTAATAAACATGAAAAAAATACCCTCAACTCCACTAACCGTTAAAATAACAGTGATGTACAGTTTTCACTTGTCAAATCACTGAAGATTTTAAAGAAGAGATTAGAAGTCCTTTGATGAGAGAATGGTGAAATGGGCCACTGTACATACTGCTGGTGGGAATGGATATTGATATTAATCAATCCGAGAAGCATTTGGACAGGATCTGTCTAGTTTCTAGCAATTTGCCCTAATGAAGTCATCAGTGACATGGGATAAAGGGATGTTTATTGCAGTCTTATTGAACTAAGAAGCAAATAACGAGCAACTCAGATCTCTCCCTTTACAGTTAAATTTTTAACTTTCACCAAAGCTATAAATTAAATGATAAATGAACAAGTCATCATAAATTTTCTACTGGAAAATATTAGATAAGCGGTGTCTGTGATTAGGGACTGACCTGCAGCTGCAGTCTTAACTCTGAAGTCACTTTCCTATTGTAATAAACTAAACGTGCCGTTCCTTTCAAAAACACAAATCTCTAGCAGCTGTGGGTAAGCTCCCTGGAAAAAGCCTGTCCATAAAAATGTTGAGCCAATTATAAATTGCAAAAACATGAAATGTAAGGAAAAATATTTTTTATGTAAAACTGTTCCCTTACTCTAAATTCCTTGTTAATGTACCCCTTTCCCTTCCGTCTTTTTAAAAGCCAGCTCTTGCTAAAACTTTTGCACTGAAAGTGAACTGAAATCAAACAGGTTCACATTTATCTAAAAGAATCCTCTGTGTACTTTCAGTTTAAGGTCACATTTTTTGGTCTTCCTTTTAATACGAGAAGTAAGATCTGAAGGCAAGAAACGATTAACTCCCTTTTTCTGACACAGAATTACTCTCCCTTAAGCTTAGACTTAACTAAGGTGTACTGACACATCGCTCATTATTTTACTGAAATTGGAAAATTACAGCCTCTGTACTGCCTTGAAGGACATGTGAAGTGTGCTATCACCTCTGACTACCCATGGGGGACAGAATCTAGAAAAATTGCCGTTAGGAGTATGGGGCAGGCTGAAAAATCATCACAAATAAATACTCTGAATTTCATAACTCTTGCTGTATCTTTTGTTCTGGCTATTTTATTGGTTGTCTGGGCTGGCAATTTTTCCTTCTTTTCACCCTGTCTGTGCATGTGTATACATATATATGTCTGTACATGTATATATGTTTCTGTATATATATATATATATATATATATATATGCATATGTGTGTATGTATATCAGATATGTGTGTATGTAAATATGAGCATTAATATGTATTTGTGAATCAGGGGAGTAAGTAAAAAGTAAGACCAAAGGAAAGGATACTTTCTTTCAATGTAAATATGGTAACAAATAACTATATCCCTAGAAAGAGAATCTATGAAGACAAATGAAAAAATAGTTAATACATACTAAACCTTTCTGTTGTATTTTTTAAACTTATTTATTTATTTATTTAGAGATAAGGTCTTGCTCTGTTGCCCAGGCTGGAGTGCAGTGGCGGAATGTTGGCTCACTGCAACCTCCACCTCCTGGATTCAAGTGATTCTCGTGCCTCAGCCTCCCAAGTAGCTGGGATTATAGGCATGTGCCACCACATCTGGCTATTTCTGTTGTATTTAAAATGTCTTAATACTTAATAAGGTACTTTAGGCATCTACAATATTTAACATATTTAAATCTGGCTTTAATTTTAACATTTTATCTGTTTTATACTATTAGTCAATTTGAAACTAATTAGTGAGCCTCTTAACTCCCCCTCCTCACCCCGCTTTTTTTTATTTTTGCTAGACACCATGCTATGGGACTACAAGGGATACATGTTCCTGCCTTCAAGGTTCTTTTAAGTAGTTGGAGGCATTGCAGCATGAATCTGTAGCTAACATGTAAAGCACTTACCATATGCCACAGATGGGACCGAAAGCTTTACATGAATTATTTAATCCTTAACCACCTTGTGAGGCAGCTACTACTATAATCTGTATTTTAAAGTAGAGGAAATGAGCCTTGTGGAGAAGTAAGTCAGCAGAGCCTAGGTACTGGTCCGGATCCTCTGCCAGCCTCTGCTTGGTAACAATCAGTGACCAGCTGCTCCCATGGAACCCCTGTTGCGACCTCACTGCCTTTGCTCCTTTGCATTGTAAAATATCGTTCAAGGCACTAAAGCTTCATAACCTGTGTGAATTCCTGTGCATTAAGGCACTGAAGCTTCATAACCTGTGTGAATTGATTGCTGTTGCTACTGAAAAACCGATGTGAACAAGTGCAGCGTATGGCTGCCCCGCGGGGAGCAGACTCAGATGACCTCCAGAGTTTCTTCCAGCTCTAAGGCTTTCTTGTTTGCAGAGCGTTAGCCTTTGACACCTTTTAGAATTTTAACTCTTAGAAAATGCCTAATGTGTCATGCTTTCTTTGTTGAAATTTACATGAAGCAGATGAAACAGGAATAATAGTAGGGTTTTTGTTGCTGCCTTTTAAAATTACTTCCATTCAGTAAACGTTTATCAAGCAACTGTTCTGTAGCAAGCCTTGCACAACTGACATCACCCAACTATCTATGCAACATGGTCCCCATCTTTGACACTCATGCAACATCACCTTAAGAGATCTGATTACCTTCTCTTTTCCTCACTAACTCTTCATTGTTTATGATGAAAGTAAAAACTTGGCTGGGTGTGGTGGCTCATGCCTGTAATCCCAGCACTTTGGGAGGCCAAGGCGGGTGGATCTCCTGAGGTCAGGAGTTCGAGACCAGCCTGGCCAACATGGAGAAACCCCATCTCTACTAAAAATACAAAAATTAGCTAGGTGTGGTGGCAGGCGTCTGTAGTCCCAGCTACTCAGGAGGCTGAGGCATGAGAATCGCTTGAACCTGGGAGGCAGAGGCTGCAGTGAGCTGAGATTGCACCACTGCACTCCAGCCTGAGCCACAGAAGTGAGACCCTGTCTCAAGAAAAAAAAAAAAAAAAAGGAAAGTAAAAACTTAAGTGAATTTTAAAGGCTCAATTAGGTAAGCACATTGAAATTCAAGATTTAGCTGTGATTTGCTCATCAGAAATTTGTCAGGTTTTTACTTTTGGATGTTATTTCCTGTGGATGAAGCATTTATGTTCTTGTTATATCCATTCCTGTGCCAAAAGTTTGTAGAGACTTGACAGCAAGCCTCCCTCCATACAGGGAATAATTATAAAGGAATTTATAGTTCTACCTGCTTATTCTGTAATTGCCTCTCATGAGGCAAGAGCTGTGGAAACATGAAATTAGAATGCTGTGAAATATCAGCATTCTAACTTTTGTTGTTAGAGTAGCTCATGTATCATCTTTGTTCTAAACCAGAAGCCGTGCTAATACTGGGCTACAGTCTGGGCCAGCACACATCCGTGACAGAGTAGGTGCTGGGGTTGGTTTGGGATAACTAAATTCTGCAATTAGAAAGAGACCCTTGTCTGAGAACCACTGTGCTCAAGCACAAGGGGTAGTTGTAAAGACCTTGGCTACTTCTGGTGTAGTGTGTTATGTCTGTGATAGGAAGGTGGCTGGGTTCAGTGTCTCATGCCTATAATCCCAGCACTTTTGGAGGCTGAGGTGGGCGGATCATTTTTGCTCAGGGCTTCAAGACCAACCTGGGCAACATGGCGAAACCTTATCTCTTCAAAAAAAAAAAAAAAAAAAATTGAGCCAGGTGTGGTGGCACATGCCTGTGGTCCCAGCTACTCAGGGGGCTGAGGTGGGAAGATGGCTTGAGCCTGGGAGGCAGAGGATTCAGAGAGCCGAGATCCTGCCACTGCACTCCAGCCTGGGCAACAGAGCCAGTCCCTGTCTCAAAAAAAAAAAAAGGTCCCTTTTCTGGGTTCTATGAAGCTTTCCCTACAACCTAGAAAACAAGATGAACAAAAAGTAATAAATAACTTTTTCTCTGGCGCTTTACATAGAAGTTTGAATCCTCTCTGCATGTGTGATTTTATAATTCCACCTCTTTTTCTCATCCTAGGGCCAGAGGGATGTATTTACCTTCTAGCTTTCCTCAGATGTCATCTCTTGTCTTATAAGACACCCATGTGTTTACAACTTGTCCTATTCTCTTCTCCTCTTTACCTTTGTAAAGGAGCTTTAGAACAACTGTCTTCCTTGTTTTAGATCCTTTATAAATAACCTTTTCTCTCAACTCAAATATCTTCTCAAAATCGGAGTGACTCTTAGAGGGCCACAGAAACATGTTATCAGATAAACTTTAGTCACTCTGTCCTTAATATCTTGATCAATTTTTATCAAACTCTGAATCCATAAGGTGAGTCACATAAAACCATTGTTAGTCATTGGTAATTGTTTCACATTTCCTTTATTTTGAATCCTGTTAATTTCTTAAACCCAATGGTAACAATTATTCATTTCCTTCATGCAGTCATCCTATGATATCCATGGGAGATTGGTTCCAAGACCCCCTTGGATACCAAAATCTGCAGATGCTCAAGCCCCGATATAAAATGTGTACTTGCATGTAATCTATGCACATCCTCCTGTATACTTTAAATCATCTCCAGATTACTTGTAATACCTAATACAATGTAAATGCTATGTAAATTATTATACTCTATTGTTTAGGGAATAATGACAAGGACAAAAGTCTCAATACAGATGAAATAACACTCAATACATGTTCAATAGAGATACAGTTAAAAAATTTCAGTCCATAATTGGTTAAATCCACATGGATGGAACCCACAGATTCAGACAGCTGACTATATTCACTAAAATCCACACAGATTAGTTATTACATTTTTTTCATTTTGTTACAAAATACCTCTGTTTATAAAAAAGATATCTATGGCTGGTCATGGTGGCTCACGCCTGTAATCCCAGCACTTTGGGAGGCTGAGAAGGGCGGATTACCTGAGGTCAGAAGTTTGAGATGAGCCTGGCCAATGTGGTGAAACCCCGTCTCTACTAAAAATACAAAAGTTAGCCGGGCGTGATGGCATGCGCCTGTAATCCCAGCTACTCGGGAAGCTGAGGCAGGGGAATCACTTCAACCCAGGAGGCGGAGGTTGCAATGAGCCGAGATCATGCCATTGCACTCTAGCCTGGACAACAAGAGCAAAACTCCATCTCAAAAAAAAAAAAAAAAAGTTATCTGTTTATCAAAGTTGATGAATATTCTTTTTGAAGAGAATGTATTTTTATACCTTTAAAATGTACTTGCATTTTATTTTGAACTTTGCAGCTGATATAAAATATATATAAGGGTTTTTTTGTTTTGTTTTGTTTTTGAAATGGAGTCTTACTCTGTCACCTAGGCTAGAGTACGGTGGTGCGATCTTGGCTCACTGCAACCTCTGTCTCCTGAGTTCAAGCGATTCTCCTGTCTCAGCCTCCCGAGTAGCTGAGATTACATGTGTGCACCACCACTTAGCTAATTTTTTTGTATTTTTAGTAGAGATGGGGTTTCTCCATGTTGCCCCACCTGGTCTTAAACTCCTGGGCTCAAGCGATCTGCCCTCCTTCCTTGGCTTCCCAAAGTGCTGGGATTATAGGCATGAGCCACCGTGGCTGGCTCTATTTCTTAATTTCATATGTGTCACATTATGAAAGCATAGAATTTCCATTAGAGAAAAGAACCTGAGGCTTGATGATTTATTCCATCCCCTGGAGTCCAGTTAAAGTTAACTGACTTGCTGAAGATCAACTAATTGTTGACTGGGTGAGCTTTGTTCTGTCAGCCTGACTGACGCATAAGCACACGCTACACTACACACTCCCTAATTTAGTTTTCTTTTTGTTTAACAATAGATGCTGCCTGTGCCATGGGTACGTTGTGAGGTTATGCTTAGGATGTAATAGAAACTTTGTTCATGTTCATGAATGAGAGAACTTATTGTTTACATTTAAAATGCTTTTACAGTGTTTTTAACTTTTTCATATCAAATGTGTTTACCAATCAGTTCTTGATAAATTATGATTTTTGACTTATTTTGCTTTATTATAGTTATTTTACTCAATGATTTTTCAACAGAGCTCTTTATTGTTTAAACCAAATAAAATTTACATTATTATAACTACATAAATAAATATTAAATCTAAGTTATTGTTTTTATAAAATTGTGTACTATTATTTTTTTCTTACTGAATGCATTTCTAACAATATTATGATGAATAGGCCAGGCACAGTGGCTCATGCCTGTAATCCCAACACTTTGGGAAGCTAAACTGGGGGGATTGCTTGAGGCCAGCAGTTCAAACCAGCCTGGGCAACGTAGCAAGACCCTGTCTCTACAAAGTATTTTAAAAATTAACCAGCCGTGGTGATGTGTGCCTGTAATCCCACCTGCCTGGGAGCCTGAGGTGGGAGGATCGCTTGAGCCCAGGAGTTCAACACTGCAGTAAGCTGTGATGGCGCCACTGCTCTCCAGGTTGGGCAACAGAGTGAGACCCTGTCTCTAAAACATTAGGGTTTTAACTTTAAAAACCCAATATTATGGTAAATAAAATCCAACCCAACTCTGAGGGTTTTTTTTTTTTGAGGGTTTCTTTTTTGGTTGATGTTACTAAAAATATATTTATTTTAATATTTGCAGCTGGTTTTAGAAAAAGTTTTCGTCTTAGTAGAAAAGATAAGAAAACAAATAAATCCATGTATGAATGCAAGAAGAGTGATCAGTACGACACAGCTGACGTACCCACATACGAAGAAGTGACACCGTATCGGCGACAAACTAATGAAAAATACAGACTCGTTGTCTTGGTTGGTAAGTGCTTGTTTCTGTGAGTAATTCTGAGGAAATGAGTGAGCTAGTAAGAATTTCTCTTCAAAGTGAATCATACTTGAAGTTTTCAAGCTAAAAATCTCCTCCCCTTCAACACCTTTTGTCTTGTCTCTGAAACAAAATCTTTAGTTTTTTGTACGTAATTGACTTGCAGAGACTTTTAAGACATTTCTGAAGAACGGTACTGTCGTTTTAGTGGAACCTTTGTCAAGTGGGGATAGCAAACACTGTTGTAATATATGAAGCATACATCAGGGCAATTAAATAATAGAAGTGAATATTTTTGAACACAATGCAAGTTCGTTTCAAAGCATTTTGAGGCAGCAGCATGGTACAAGCTTCAGATGGCATTTAGACCTTCAGTGAAATAAAGTATTACAGCAGAGTTCTAGGATATTTCAAGCTAGAGAGTCAGCAAAGTCGCTTTAAAGTTGATAATTGGCTGGGTGCCGTGGCTCACACCTTTAATCCCAGCACTTTGGGAGGCCAGGGTGGGAGGATCACTTGAGGTCAGGAGTTTGAGACCAGCCTGGCCATCATGGTGAAGCCCCATCTCTACAGTGAAGCCCCATCTCTACATTGAAGCCCCATCTCTACAAAAATACAAAAATTAGCCAGGCGTGGTAGCACAGTCCTGTAGTCCGAGCTACTCAGGAGGCTGAGGCAGAAGAATCCCTTGAACCTGGGAGGTGGAGGTTGCAGTGAGCCAAGATCGCGCCACTGCACTCCAGCCTGGGTGACAGAGCGAGACTCTGTCTCAAAATAAAAAGGCAGTTAATAAAGGAATGTGGGTATTTTCACAAACATCGATTGCCTTGACTCAGATTTGCATCCTAGCATCTATCTTGTGCACCCTTCACAGATGTGAGTAGCCACAAGCTCCATGTATCTTCACTTCATCCTCAATGCATTTCTTTAAAAATGTAGCGAGAGATATTTAAACTTCCAGGATCAAAGCCAATGATTTTAGAAAAGTTTTGGAGTAGAAGAGCATGGTGTCTCTTAGTGTTAGTACATTCTCACACTGCTATAATTACCTGAGACTGGGTAATTTATGAAGAAAAGAGGTTTAATTGACTCACAGTTCCACAGGCTATATAGGAAGCATGACTGGGAGCCCTCAGGAAACTTAACAAGCATGGCAGAAGGTGAAGGGGAAACAGGAGCGGGCTTCACATGGCAGCAGGGGAGAGAGAGAGTGAGAGCGACAGGGGACGTGCCACATACTTTTAAACCATCAGATCTCCTGAGAACTCATTATCGTGGGAATATCATGGGAGAAATCTACCTCTGTGATCTAGCTACCTCCCACCAGGTCCCTCCCCCAGCATTGAGAATTACAGTTCAACATGAGACTTGGGTGGGGACACAGAGCCAAACCATATCACTCTTGTTAATTGTTCTTTTATAAACTCGTGATGATACTTATGGAAATGAGAATCAATGGAGAACCTGAGAATTACCCCATCTTAGTAAGATGGAGTCCTTTGAAAGGTTACAACCCATGCTGTTCATTGAGAAATGGTGGGTGACTCATGGGAAATGATGCAATTTCTCACATCTGTAGGTCCTGGAAGTGAACACTAGCATCATTACATATTAAGATTGTTTGCATTATTTTGAAACACATATTCACATACTTCAAAAGAAATTCAAAATTTCCTTTATTAATAATGTCCACATCTCCTAATTCATTTATACTGAGCCTCCTCAAGGAGGAGGAGGAAGAATTTATTTATAGCTTACAGTGCCCTGCTTCTCATCCTTATAGAGGTGTGCTGAGAGAACATGCATTTCCCAGCTCAATGGGGCTACCTGAGACCTCCTGCTCCTCTCCCACCTCACTGTCCCTTCTGTGCTGCCTCCTTCACCAGCACAGATCACAGCAACATCTCTTCTGTCCCTGTTGCCTCTTCTCCTCAGCCAAGGGGAAAGACATGTAATAAAATGGCATTGAGGCTGGGCGCAGTGGCTCATGCCTGTAATCCCAGCGCTTTGGGAGGCTAAGCCAGGAGGATCACTTGAGGTCAGGAGTTCAAGACCAGCCTGCCCAACATGGCAAGACCCTGTCTCTACTAATAGTATAAAAATTAGTCAGGTGTAGTGGCAGGCGCCTGTAGTCCCAGCTTCTTGGGAAGCTGAGGCACAAGAATTGCTTGAACCTGGGAGGCAGAGGTTGCAGTGAGCTGAGATTGCATCACGGTACTCCAGCCGGGGCAACAGAGCAAGATTCTCTAATTAAAAAAAGAAAGAAAGAAAAAAAAAGGCATGTGTTAGTCTGTTGTGTGTTGCTGTAAAGGAATACCTGAGATTGGGTAATTCATAAAGAAAAATGATTTGTTTGGCTGATGGTTCTAATAGCTGGAAGTTTGGGCATCTGGCGAGGGCCTCATGCTGCTTTGACTTGTGGAAGGCGAAGGGAATCCTGTGTGTGCAGAGATCACGTGGAGAGAGAGGAAGCAGGAGTGGTGGGATGTCAGGCTGTTTTTAACAACCAGCTTTCTTGGGGGACAAATAGAGTGAAAACTCACTCACTGCCTCACGCCAGGGAGGGCATTAATCTATTCATGAGGGATCTGCTCTTATGACCCAAACACCTCTCCTTGGGCCCCACTTCCAATGCTGGGATCAAATTTCAACACGCAATTTGGGGGGACAAACATCGAGACTATAGCTAGAGGGAAAAATAAAATGGGAAACTTCATTATCTTGGAGGCCACCTCTCCAGATTTGACTCCATCTACACTCTGCCTGGTTTTGTTTGCCTTTCAGAGTCCCTAGGTTGTTGCCTTTTGTGCGCTGTCCAGAGGTTTGGGCTGTATTCAGCGGGGGATAGACTCTGGTGGGCTTTCCCCGATATAGTGGATCTGGAACTCTCTGAAGCTTTAAACTCCTCTGACACAACTTGGCCTTTCTTCATGGGTGTGCCTTAATCAGCCTCCTCAAAACTGTGTAATGGAACCCCAGCCCTACTGGTCAGCAGTTGAAACGGTCGTCAGGACAAAAGAATATCACAGCATCATTCCAGCTACCTTTTGAGGCAAAATAATGCTCCCAGAATTATATATCACCACATTCTATTGTCAGCCAAAAATCATAGAATGACCTGAGGTATTTTCGCTTCTCCTGTCTGAATGCTAATTGTCCTGATCCGTGATCACTGATTGCACTAAAATTCATCTGGCTGAAATCATCAGTAAAGAGATTAATTGTATGCACTTCAGTTGCCCTGTTTCCCCTTTGGCCTTTGGGTTCCTGGTACCCGAATTCTGAATTGAATGTGGACTCTGTTTTGGGGCCAAGTGCTTTGCTTTTTTTCTTTCATTGTTTTCTCTTCTTTCTTTCTTTACTTTCCTTTAAATTCTGGGATACATGTACAGAATATGCAGGTTTGTTACATAGGTATACATGTGCCATATGGTGGTTTGCTGCACCCATCAACCCGTCATCTAGGTTTTAAGCCCTGCATGTATTAGGTATTTGTCCTAATGCTCTCCCTCCCCTTGCCCCCACCCCGCAGGCCCTGATGTGTGATGTTCCCCTCTCTGTGTCCATGTGTTCTCATTGTTCAACTTCCACTTATAAGTGAGAACATGCGGTGTTTGGTTTTCTGTTCCTGTGTTAGTTTGCTGAGAATGATGGTTTCCAACTTCATCCATGTCTCTGCAAAGGACATGAACTCATCCTTTTTTATGGCTGCATAGTATTCCATGGTGTATATGTGCCACATTGTCTTTATCCAGTGTATTATTGATGGGTATTTGGGTTGGTCCCCTCCCTTTTCTCACTTTATTTTTTAATTCCCAGCAGAATCCTAAAGCCTTTTTTTTCTAGCCCTGTGATATCAATCCTATTGCAATGACTGCTGTTTCTGTCTCCTGTTTGAAATTCCTTAAGTTTGATTCCTGATTCTCAGAGATTTCCCCTTTGTCTTCCAACAGGGATATTCCCTCGACATAGTCCTAAACTGGAGATGCTAAATACTGATGCTCCCAAGTGGCACAGTCAGTGAACGTTTATATTGCCTTTGATAGGTGCTTCTGCCAATGAGTGTTTCCTCATTCTCTATAGATTTCCAGGCCTTAAGTAAATAATTAATTGCATTGCTTCAATGACAACCAAAATATCTGTTTGAACTTCTTAGGTTTCTCTGCTACTAAGATCTAACTGTCATGTTTCACTACCCTCTGCTGTTCCCAACTCCTTTCAAACAGTCTCAAGCAAGTTTTTAAATTTTAACTTGTTTTTAAGAGGGTCCTGTCCTTCCTCCATGCTATATAATAACAGTAACTAAGAGCTATGAGTGTATTCCTTCAGTCCTCATCATGACTACATGGTAAATACTCTTATTATTCCCTGTTTTACAGATGAAGAAACTGAAGCACAGAGAGAAGTAGGTAACTTGTCTAAGATCCTGAAGCATTAAGTTACAGAACCGATTCAGACCCCAGCAGGTGGACACCAGAACCCTACTTCTTATCTTACTGTAGAATATGGCTTCCAATCTTAAAATTAGGGCAGTACTTGACACTGTGCTGGATCTAAATATCTTACTTTTTAAAAAATCTCCTTGATTAAAGGACTGTTCATTCATTTTCCTGACAGATACCTCCTTGCTTTGTGAAAGTTTAGATGTGAGTCTAGTGAAAGCGTTTATGTTCACTTGAATCCTGCCCACGTCTACAACTTGAGTTTCCAATGTAGGTCTCCCTAGGTCAGTTCAATAGGCTTGGTGGGCTCACCTCTCTCTTTCCTACACGCTAATTCTGCACACTGTCTAGGCAGGGTTTCTTACTGCACCTGTCATTACTATTTCACTGCCCTGCTCCTTAAAATTTTTCAATAAATTCCTAAAGTGCTGATTTTCCTGGTCTTTCCCTCTCAAATTTGTTCACATTTCCCATGGTCAACCTGGGATAAGTCTTCCACTTACCACGAAAGGTTATATTCATAATCTGTCTACTGCCTTCAGAGTTCAGAGATTGTCTCTCAATAGTTTTTTGATTGCCATAGATAGAGGTAGTCTTGGAGAATATACAGAGGGAGGAGCTCCTGCCCTTCTCCTCTGACCTCCAGACCCTATTCCAGGGCTTGTCAGATTTAACATGCATTCTGGTCACCTGGAGGTCTTGTTAAGATGCAGTTTCTAATCTGGTAGCCTGAGGTGGGGTCAGAGAGCCTGCATTTCTAACAAGCTCCCAGATGATGCTGTTGCTGCTGGCCTGATTAATTAGGGTACATTTTGCTTTTCCCCTATTGCTGCTGGTTCAGATGCAGATGCTGTGAGGTCTGGTGCTGTGCACACAGGGAGAAGCCTTGTTGCTCTGTTTGAATGGGTTCAGTTGCCATTGCCTTCTTTGGTTAGTGATTGTGAATTGGCTGCCATTTATTTTGATTTTCTACTTTTCTTGGCATTGTATTTCAGTTTTGTGCTTTCTCATGTATGCCTTATAATGATGGCTTAGAAACTTTTGGTTTCCTCTTAATCTTTCTGCTGTTCAGGATTTGCTCAGCAATATTTCAGGTTTTGGCTTGTCTGTTTTGATCAACAGATTTGTTATGATTATTAGCCTTTAGTCTGAAATTCCTCTAGGAAAATTAACTTTATGTGAAACTCTTTAGCCCCTAACACGTTCTTTTCCTATTTTGGAGCAATTGCTGGTATAAGGCAGTATTTCTTAAATCTGTGACAATTGGATTATAACAGAACAGACTTAATGGAGAATATTCATTTTATTCTTTTTGTCATGTTAGATCACATTTTCTCTTCAGGCGAATTGTATTTCCTGTGTCTCTATATAAAAAATAGAGTAAAGGCCAGGTGCGGTGGCTGATGCCTGTAATCCCAGCACTCTGGGAGGCCGAGGCAGGCAGATCACTTGAGGTCAGGAGTTCGAGACCAGCCTGGCCAACATGGTGAAACCCTGTCTCTACTAAAAATACAAAAATTAGCCAGGTGTGGTGTCGGGCGCCTGTAATCCCAGCTACTCGGGAGGCTGAGGCAGGAGACTCACTTGAACCCAGGAGGCAGAGGTTGCGGTGAGCTGAGATCATGCCAGTGCACTTCAGCTTGGGGAACAAGAGCGAAGCTCCATCTCAAAAAAAAAAAAAAAAAAAAAAGAGGAAGAAAATCATGTAAGCATGGTATATTAATGCAAACTTCTTAGTAATAGTTCTACTAAAGAAAAGATCTAGAAACTTTCCAGAATCAAGAATGCCTGTACAGCTGGAGGCTTGGAAATTTCAGCCCCCTGGTGTCATTAACAGAACATTCCACCTCTACCCCACTGTGGCCTGTGTACAGCACGACACTGTACAGTGGGATCTGGTGATGGCCAAGGCGGTTTTATGTAACTGTCCTTCAGAAGTATTCCCTATTATTTGCTTTCTTCTTTGTATTCCTTACTCAGAAACCCTTTCAGCTTATGTGTATGGCACATTGGAAGTATCAGAAGCTTAGAGCCTGTTACGTGGAGAAATCCCCATCTCTTTATATCCTGTGAGGCAGGATAATATAGAAGATGAGAGATGAGCCTCTGGGACAAGATGGCTGCCTTCCAGTCCTGTGATGCCCTTCAGTAGTCACATGACACGGGAACAATTCAAATTTTCTCTGGGCTTCAGTTATTCATCTGAAAATTTGAGATAATAAAAACACCTACTTTCTAGGTTTGTTTTGAGGGTTAAACAAAATAATCTGTGCAAAGATGCAGGCCAATTCATGCACCTAGTATGGTTTTAATAAGAAATATTTATTGCCCAGCATAGTGGTGCATGCCTGTGGTCTCAGCTGTTCGGGAGACTGAGGCAGAAGGATCACTTGAGCCCAGGAGCTCAAGACCAGCTAGATACAGTGAAACCTCGTCTCTAAAAATAAAAAAAGAGACTGAGCGCAGTGACTCACACCTGAATTCCCAGCGCTGAGGGAGGCTGAGGCAGGGAGAGTGCTGGAGGCCAGGAGTTCAAGCCCAGTCTGGGCAACATAGTGAGACTCCATCTTTATAAAAAACAAAACAAAATAAAATAAAATTAGCCAGGCAAGGTGGTGTGTGCCTGTAGTCCCAGCTACTTGGGAAGCTGAGATGAGAGGATTGCATGAGTCAGTGAATTAGAGATTACAGAGAGCTGTGGTTATACCACTGCACATTCTGGGCTGGGCAACAGAGTCTAAAAGAAGAAGGAGGAGGAGGAGGAAGGATAAGGAAGGAGGAGGAAGGAGGAGAAGGAGAGAAGGAGGAGGAGGAGAAGGAGAAGAAGGGGAAGAAGAAGGAAGAGGAGGAGGAGGACTTACATATTAACTAAACATAATAAGATAAACATGAAATGTTCAAATATCAGTAGGCTTCTACTGGTTTTGAACCTCAGTGTTAAAACACTTATTAGATTATCTAGAAGTTTATCATCTGAAATAGGTAATGAAGCCATGGACACAAATTTTGGAAATTCTGGGTTATTCCTGAATTAACTGTTTACTGTTTAGTTTATGATTATAGAAACGTTGTATACATAGGAATTTATTTCCTTGGCTCCTACAATGTGTATTTATGTAGGAAGATGGAAAAAGTATAAGTGTCATAGTCCTCCTTGGAAATAATTTCTGGCTGGGTGCAGTGGCTCATGCCTGTAATCCCAGCACTTTTTGGGAGGCTGAGGCAGGTGGATCACCTGAGGTCAGGAATTCAAGACCAGCCTGGCCAACATGGTGAAACCCGTCTCTACTAAAAATACAAAAATTAGCCAGATGTGTTGGCAGTCACCTGTAGTCCCAGGTATTTAGGAGTCTGAGGCAGGAGAATCACTTGAACCTGGGAGTTGGAGGTTGCACTGAGCCGAGACTGTGCCACTGAGTGACAGAGCAAGACTCTGTCTCAAAAAAAAAAAAAAGAGAATAATTTTTTGCCCAGTGTTTCCAAAGCCATTGGGAAAAGTGACACTTGCTTTGAAACCGTTTCATAAATATTGTTGAGAAAATACAAAATATTATTTTTCTATATTATCATAATGCTATATGGTTTTTATTCTTATATTTAATGATCAAGAAATAATAATAGACCAAGTTGTTACCATGGCAAAAATACAATAATGGAGGACTTTGAGCTGTGATCAGAAGTATTATAATTTTCTCTTCATTTTGAAAATGTATTCTTCTTAAGCCTCATTTTAGCCACCAAAACATCTCAATGACAGTTTCTGTTAAATTTCCTTCTGCATTTAAAAGCATTTTCTAGAAAGTATGTTGAAACCAAATGTCAGGCTTTTAATACATTTTCCTACATGACAAGTCTTATCTTCAGTGAAACCCAACTTTTTGAAAAGTAAAGTAATAAAGTCAAATAATGTGTGTGTGGGTGAGGGAGGGAGCAGGGAGAAGACTTAGGTGTTAAAAAGCAACTAAAACACTTTTCACGTTTAAGCCAAAACAAGAGCAAAAATTCATCTTGTGGATATTCAGACAATTTGCGACTTGTTCTGTCTGGCTGGGAGGTACAAGAGAAACTAATAATAAATCTTTCTGTATATTTCACATTTTTAGCTTGAGCATCAGTACTATTCTGCTCTCCTTTGTGCTGAATCTTATGTGCTGCCCAAAGACTGCTTGCAGAGGTAATTTGAATAAACAGGCATTTATTATAAGACTGTCACTATTTTTTCATAAAACTGTGGCATAACACAAAGCCTCCCACATAAAGCAGAGTGCAAAGTAAGTGCTCAAAACTAAATGTGTTAGTGTGTTTATTAGAATTCTCATATCTTTTGTTGCACTTTGATGGAAGGCTTGTAGAATTAGAGTTGGCTCTGGAGGATTTTATATAGATAACTGTAAAACTGAAAGTCATAATGAAATTCCTGAGAATGTGATGGATTTAAAATTATAACCCTTGTATGTAAAAGGTAAATGTGATCTTCACTGGAGTCACAGTTGGCTTTTTATGCCGTTGGCCAATCTTAAATATTTATTTTCAGACTTCATTTCTGGGCATAAACCACAAATCTGTTCATTCAACTGAGTTTTACGGTGTACCAGCTATGCCAGGCACTGTTCTGAGCACACAAACATTTTTGCCCTTGTGCCATTTATGTTCTAATGGGAGAAGATGGACCAAAACCATATTTATAATAAATTAGTAAGAAATGATAAAATCACTTGTACAGTTGTTAGAAGGCGATAAGTCTATGGAAGAAAGTAAAGTGGAATGGGATAAGGGGAATGGAGAGTTGGGGACACAGACAGGATAGATTTTGAATTGGGAGCTTGGTGGCCCCATTCTGAGCAAACTCTGAAGTAAGGCAGTTTCTCATGCCCCCGTCTACTTAGCCACGGAACACTCAGGGATGATTTTATTTTGACCTCTTAATTTTATTGCACTCTTGTCATAGTTTTGAAGTAGAGTGAGATGAGTATTTTAGTCAGTCTATATAAGCGTAGAGTAAATAGCTGCCTGGAAAAAATGGTGCTCTTTCAATAAGCTTCCCACTTTTTACTTTTCTTTTGTTTTCCTTCCTTCCTTCTTTTCTTTTCTCTTCTTTCTTTTCTTTTTCTTTCCTTTCCTTTCCTTTTCCCCTCCCCTCTCCCTCCCTCCCCCTCCCCCTCCCAATCTTGGCTCACTGCAACCTCTGCCTTCTGGGTTTGAGCCATTCTTCCGCTGGGATTATAGGCACCCCGCACCACACCTGGCTAATTTTTAAATTTTTAGTAGAGATGGAGTTTCACCATGTTGGCCAGGCTGGTCTGGAACTCCTGACCTCAGGTGATGCGCCCGCCTCGGCCTTCCTAAGTGATAGGATTATGCCCATCCATATGCTTATTCTTTATGACTGTCATTTAAAATATACACATGTGCCACATTTCATTGATTTCAGTAATTATTTTCACAATAGTAATACATATTGCTGTTCAAGTAAATGTTTATTCATTCGCTCAGAATGTGCACTAACATGTAAATAAGTACAGAATTGAAGGTTCAAAACACAACGCCTGAGACCATGGCCATTAACAGGTTTTTTGTTTTTTTGTCAGTATAAGAACATTATACCTGGTATTTCAAATCATTCTTTCAGTGCATGTATGGTTTTGGGTGCGCTTCTAGGCGCTGATGTTATTGCCTGAAATCTTTTTCTACTCATTTAGCTTTGTTTTATTTTTTGTTTGTTTTTGTTTTGTTTTTTAGAGAGGATCTTGCTATGTTGCCCAGGCTGGACTCAAACTCCTGGTCTCAGGTGATCTTCCTGTCTCAGCCTCCCAAGTAACTGGGATTACAGGTGCAAACTGCTGCACCTGGCTTGTTTCTTTCTTTTTTTTTTTGTGGTATATGTCTGTATCAGATTTAAAAAAGTAGATTATTTGGGGAGACCATGTTTACAGAATGAAAAACTTGTATGCATCAACTGTGAATTAATTTTGAAAGTATACTGTGCTAGCATTCTAATCAAAATATACTTTTTGTTTTTTATACATAAACATTTGTTACAAATCATAAACACCTAAACATATTTGGGGAATACAAAGAAAATCTGAAACAGAACAATGAAAATACCCTACGTCTCATAATTACATTACATGAAATGAGGCAATAATGTCAACCAATTTCAAGATCATTTGGGGAAAAGGTGTCATGTATGTCTACCTTCTTCTATGTAAATTAAAGCTGAGAATTTGCTATAGATTTTTAACCTTTTTAAGATAAACATAAAAGAATCTTTGCATGTAGTTAACAGTGACTGTTTTCTTAAATTTAAAATCTTAAATAGAAATTGTATTAACATTTTATCGACACCTTAAATGGGCTACGTAACTTTGGTTAAAATGAATGAAACTTTTTATAAAACCATGCAACACATTTGCTTACTTTCAATAAGGAGTTACTAATTAAATGCATAAAAAGGAATTTAAAGTAGTATTATGCTTTTCTAATTATCTTAATTATCCAATTGACACACATTTTTCCCAAGACCTTCACGTAATACAAATTGATACACACAGCTTTATTCTTCCTTTCCAACATGGTTTTATAAATTCTTATGAAATATTTTTTAGATGAAGCAGATAAATACTTACTTACATTTCTGGTTTGGCTATAAACATTCTTTTCAAAGCTAAGAGACACACCAACTTTAGTTTACTGCCTGAATTCCAGATTAATAAGCTCCAAAATCATTTTTAATGTGCCTTTTTGGCTTTTACTTACATATATCATCTTTGTGTTTGATTTTCCTCAGTCCTGAATTGAGAATCCAACACATATGCCCAGTGTCTGTGGCCCAGGCCTGGTCTGCACATCATCCTCATTCAGTTTATATTAGACTTCTCAGAGATTCTGCACAGAGTGAGCTTTGAGATCACCAGATTTGACTTCTGCCACTTTTTGTAGCCTGAATCTCTGCCTATTCCTGGAGCATAATTAGTCATCACGAAGTATGGATTGCGTGGACTGGGGATGAGAGAGTCCGTGAAGTTCCAATTCACAGCCATAAACAGACAGCAGAGCAACAGCTACCCGAGTTCATGTTTTATTGGCATATTCTTTTCATAAGATCATAGGTAGAGTGGAAAGAATGCAGACTTTTGAGTTAGACAGACAGGCTTTTGAGCACCAGCTAAGCCACATGCCAGATGTGTGACCTTTGGGAAATTACCTCACCTTTCATTGTCTCAGTGTTCTCATCTGTAAAATGAGGATAATGATACCTTTCTTGCAGGGATGTTCTGAGGATGAGTAACAGTGTATGTGAACCATGTCACACATGCCTGTCATGTAAAAAGAACTCACTATGTCATCATCATAATTATGCCACAGCCTGTTGTCTATGATTTAAAGATGGGCTGTTTAGATTCTGTTCTCTTCTTCGCTTTATCATTAGCAAGCTCAGCTGAAAACGAACTACAGAGTAATCTACTTATATGTGCCCGTGTAAGTGTATTTCACCAATTGTGATAAAAATTTCTTTATCGAAGGGGTAAATGAAGCTATCCTATTGCAGAGGCGTATGAATAAACCTAACTCAGTTTGCATCCCTAAATTGCTTGGAATGTAAATAGATTTTGTATTCCAAATACAAACCAGACAACTAAAAATGTTGTGAACTTAGGCCTAACCCTAGAAAGAGGATACGGGACAGGATGGTGCATCTGAGCTGTGGTCTTTTAAAGTCAAGGGGAGACTCTAGAACTTCTCCAGTGGGGATGGCAGATTGATCCAAGGGCCTGACTGGGAAAATGCTGTTTGTAGGCCCACTGGACAATTTGGCAGTAAGAATGATTGAAATTATGTCTCTATTTTTAACCTTTCTTGGGAGGATACTTCTACCTTTGAAGATGATGACCTAGAATAACCTAATTTAGGGAAAATTTTCCAAATAAAGTCATTTGCCTCTGAATGTTCTTGGCACCCTACATGGGTGTCGTGAGCTTGCTTGTAAGGGTTAGATTATAAAGTTAGCATATTACCTAGGCCCAAAATCGAATATAGTCAAAATTTAAGGATATCACATTAGAGATGGCATATTTTTTCCCACTAATTCAAATATACCTAGTTTTTTTTTCCCTAGAGAGTTGATTTTTTTTTTTTTTTTGTAGTTAGAGATTTTTAAGAATAAGAAAGGAAGTGCTAGACCTATCTCACTTGGCAAAGTATCTCACACTCTAGCAGTCACTCCGGAGCTGAGACCTTCTAAGGAAATGGTGAATTTACATCCCTTCCTGTAGTTCTAGTTGTCTTGAGGGACAAGGCAGGCTGGGACACTCTATTTGCATTTTTTTTTTTTTTTCAGACGGAGTCTTACTCTGTCACCCAGGCTAGATCGCAATGGCGCCATCTCAGCTCAGTGTAACCTCTGCCTCCCACGTTCAAGCAATTCTCCTGCCTCAGCCTCCCAAGTAGCTGGGATTACAGGTGTGTGCCACCATGCCCAGCTAATTTTTGTATTTTTAGTAGAGATGGGGTTTTACCATATTGACCAGGCTGGTCTCAAACTCCTGACCTCAGGTGATCCGCCTGTCTTGGCCTCCCAAAGTGCTGGGATTACAGGCGTGAGCCACTGGGCCTGGCCTGGCCTCTATTTGGATTTTATAATAGTGTTTTGCTGTGTTTGCTTCTGTGTGTGTGTGTGTGTGCGCGCATGTGTGTGGGAACATATATAATTGGGTTTGCGTTATTTGTACTTAGAAGGTACCTTCATTGCAACACCACTTGTTTTCCTTGTATTTTCTCTATTTATTTGAAAAAGTGAGTTTTAGAACTTACTCTGAATACTTTTTGAACCTTTAAAGTAGGTAAATATGTAAGCCCCTACATGGTGCCTGACATATTATAGACAACCAATAAGCACTTATGTCTTTCGCCCTTTCCCTCAGAAGTCTCACCTGTCAATGCAGTCTCAGGTTTTACCTTGATGTGAATACATTCACAATGGAACCCTAGCCCTGTCCTCTCTGTTACATGGCAGCTCTTGTCTGAGTTTTGGGAGCAAGATTTTCTTTCTGTAAACTCACTGTACCTAGAGTGAATCCATCACCTCCCCTTTTATCTTAAGATAAAGAGCCAAGTTCAGATGTGAATTCCAGCAACTTCTATTGGTTAACTTGAGCAGATTATCTAATTTTCATATCCACACGTTCTAGGGGCAAATACTTTTTAACTTTCTCTCACACTCCTTTGGTTCATTCAACAAAGTTTCACCTGCATAATAGCATCATTATTGAGTATAATTTAAATAAATAATCTAACTAGGGCCTTCAATTTGCCAGCTAGGGAAGCCGTTGTTGAATAAGGCAGAAGGCATTCCTGTTTTCACAGAACTCACGGTCTGTTAGACAATCAAGACAAGGAAGCAGGCAAGTACAATGCAGTGTGATAATTCCTTGGAAGTGGAAGTACAGGAAACACATGAACTCGGGAACCTAACCCAAATGTAAAGTGTCAGAGAATATTTCCTTAAGGTGCATCTGAGCTGAATCTTAAACAACAAGCGAGAATTAGTCAGGTGAGAAGACAGGAGTGTGCATAAAAGAGCAAGTAGCACGTGATGAAGACCCAACACAAGGAGAAGTGGCCACGTTTCAGGAAGCAGGAGAAATTTCATGGCGCTGCAGCGTACAGTGCAAGGAAGGAGTGGCAAGAATTAAGAGGAGAGATCATAGTAACTTGCGTCGTGCAATCTATATAAACCTGTAAAAAAATTTACACTTGACTGTGGACACAGGATAAGACAAGTGGGAGGTGCTGGTGAGAAGTTTCGGGGCCATAAACCAGGATGGTGGAGAGAAGGGTGAACTACTGTGTGGGTTTTCTGCACTCTGTGGTTCAGGTGTGGGTATGGAGAGGGGCCAATGGGTTGATCTTAGATGGGATGTTTCCTTGGCACGTGATAGGGTTTGGATCTGTGTCCCCACCCAAATTTCATGTTGAAATGTAATCCCCAGTGTCGGAGGTGGGGCCTGGTGGGAAGCGATTAGATTATGGGGGCAGATTTTCCCCTTGGTACTGTGTCGTGATAGTGAGTTCTCACAAGATCTGTTTGTTTAAATGTGTGTGGCACTCCCCTCTTCCCCTTCTTCCTGCTCCCGCCATATGAGACACCTCACTCCCCCTTCACCTTCCCCCATGACTGTAAGTTTCCTAAGGCCTCCTCAGAAGCCAAGCAGAGGATAGAATCATGCTTCACAGGCAGCCTGCGGAACTGTGGGCCAATTAAACCTCTTTTCCTTATAAATAACCCAGTCTCAGGTATTCTTTATAGCAGTGTGAGAACAGACTAATGTGTGATAAAAGGACAGTGTGTAAAAGAGTTGAAGATATTAGCAAGAGTGGAAGACACCATGGCCCGTGAAAGTGGAAACATGAAGGGCTGTTGAATTAAGGGCTGGAGAAGAATTTAGAGTTAAGGGAAATGTGGAGCTTTTATTGTTGTTCTTGTTGTATTAAGGTAAGAGAGGCTTTATCAGTTTTAAGTGCTGATAGAAAGGAGCTAGAAGCAAGAGAAGTGAAGATTCAGGGAGAGCAATCTCTAAGAGAAGATGTGAGAGTATATGGCTGGAAGGAAGGATAAAGGCTGCTTTAGAATGGGCATTGTGGTTCATGCCTGTAATCCCAGCGCTTTGGGAAGCCAAGGTGGGTGGATCACTTGAGGCCAGGAGTTTGAGACCAGCTGGCCAACATTGCGAAACCCTGCCTCTACTAAAATTACAAAAATTAGCCAGGTATGGTGGTGCACACCTGTAATCCCAGCTACTCAAGAGCCTGAGGCATGAGAATTGCTTGAACCCAGGAAGCGGAGGTTGCAGTGAGCCATGATCACGCCATTGTACTCCAGCCTGGGAAGCAGAGTGAGACTGTCTCAAAAATAAAAATAAGCAAGTTAAAAAAAAAAAAGGTTGCTCTAGGTGGATCTAGATGCATCACTTTGTAGGAAGGACTTTGAAAACATTTCCATGTGTTGGCCTCTATGTTTTCTGAAGTAGTTGAGGTCTTCTGCTGAGCATGAGGTGGTGATAACAACACTAAATGTTTTATTTGTTCATTCAGCAGATGTTTATTAAGGATTTATTTGGTGGGGATGGTAAACAATATAATACTCCTGCCCTCATGGTGCCTCTATCTGGTGGGTGATACAGCCATTAAACAGTGTTTTGGCTAGTTGTCTGATTATGATTTTTAAGTATTATGAAGGAGATGTACAGGATGCTGTGGAACATGAAAGTGGGAACCCTGATCCTCTAGGATCAGGGGTGGCTTTCTGGAGGAAGCACTGTTTGAGCCAAGCTCTGAAGGATAGATCAGAATTCCTCTCAGCTTCAAGTAAAGGAGAGAGTTGCAGGCAGACAGGGCAGGGTTCAGATCACACAGACCCTTGTAGACTAGGTAAAAAAAAAATATTTTTTTTTTCTTGAGATGCAGTCTCACTCTGTCACCAGGCTGGAGTGCAGTGATGCAATCTTGGCCCACTGCAACCTCCACCTCTCAGATTCAAGCGATTCTCTTGCCTCAGCCTCCCAAGTAGCTGGGACTACAGGAACCCGCCACCATGCCCAGCTAATTTTCGTATTTTTAATAGAGACAGGGTTTTGACATGTTGGCCAGGCTGGTCTCGAACTCCTGATATCAAATGATCCACCTGCCTTGGCCTCCCAAAGTGCTGGGATTACAGGTGTGAGGCACTCCCCTCAGCTCCATGTAAAGATTTTAATCTTTTTTGGGAGACCCACTGGAAACTACATATCCAAGAATGTCAAGCATGGTTGCAACAGGACCAGAATAACTCCTGAAAAGACCTTTCTGGCTGCCAGGTGATGCTAGATAATATGGAAGGACAGCAGATGTAAGGCAGATAAAAGGCTGTTTCGGGACAGGAGGCAAAACAGGGGTATTGTGGCAGCAGTGGCAATGGGGAAGCATAGATCTGATAGATCTGAAGAATGTTTAGGAGGTGAAATTGGCAGCCTTTGGTGGTTGATTCTAGGGATATACAAGAGAGAAGTGACCAGGAGGCTCCCAGGTGTGGGTAGAGAGGAGCCTGGAGAAAAGTCGAAATTGCCATCATGGGGATCTAAGAAATCCAGATGATAAGGAAAACATAAAATGGTTGCTGGAGCACATGAAGGTCCTGGTTTATGCGTGGAGACCAGGAATGCGTGATGTTACTGCTGTCCAGGGGCTGCATGGGTTTTCTGCACTCAGCTCAGCAGTGGGTATGGAGAGAGGCCATTGGGTTGGTCTTAGATGGGTGGTTTCATTGGCAAGTGTGATAAAGGACAAGTGTAAGAGAGATGAAGACATTAACAAAATCATAGAAGTGAAATGTCCTTATATGACCATAGGTGTGGGAAGAATAACTGAGTGAGTGATCCAAGAAGATCAGAGAATGATACCATACTGGGGAATTTGGATTTAATATTTTCATAGTGAATCAGCTCCTAGTGATGGCAAAGGCCAGGCGTGCCATGTCATGGTTGAAGTGAAGTAGAGAGGGAGGTCACCAGAGATCAGGAAGTCAGAGGCTGCATTTGGAAGCAATTTCTACATGGATATTGATGTCACCCAAGATGATGGCAGGATTTGGGGTGCAGAGAATGACAAGGGTCAGGTACTAAAGTCATAGAGAGTGGTTTCCACAGGGGCAGGACTGCCCACTGGGGTGCATTATGGACATTGTTAGGGAACTTTTTTTGATGTCAAAATGGCTGATGGGTAGAGGGATGTAGACTTGACCCTTCTATAGAACAAAGATCTGACTGCATCCCACATTACTTCAACATGCTGTGCTAGACTTTCAAGGACTGAGGAGATGATGCAGCCTGTGGTGGGGTTTCTAGAAAAGCAAACTGTCTGGTGCACTGAAGCACTGTCTCATCCCACATACTATTCTTTATTTTATTTTATTTTTGAGACAGAGTCTCGCTCTGTCGCCCAAGCTGGAGTGCAGTGGTGCAATCTTGGCTTACTGCAACCTCCGCCTCCCTGGTTCAAGCAATTCTCCTGCCTCAGCCTCCCGAGTAGCTGGGACTACAGGTGCCTGCCACCATGCCTGGCTAATTTTTGTATTTTTAGTAGAGACAAGGTTTGACCATGTTGGCCAGGTTGGTCTCAAACTCCTGACCTCAAGTGATCTACCTACCTCGGCCTCCCAAAGTGTTGGGATTATATGTGTGAGCCACCGCGCCAGGCCCCATATACTACTCTTGGGTAAGCTCAGGTCATTTGTATTGTTTTCTTCACTTCGATAGCCTTGACATGCTATCCTTAGTTGTTTCCTTCTTTCCTTATCATATTCAAGGAAGTCTGATCTGTGGTTTCTATCCAAATGCTAGTTCTTATTCCTGGATTTACATGTACCACTGGGCTTTTGTTTTCCTGTTCTTTCTTGTGCAGAATAGCTCCTGATCTTTTAAATCCAAACTTATTTATTATAAGTAGGTGCAAACATCTGACTTGGTTAGGTTTTCTGCTCTAGTCATGCCAAGAATTTACATATTGAAATACATATTGCTTTATTATAAATTATTTTTTCTCCTTTCATATATTATTTTTAGTTAGGTCAATGTATTAATTTGGAAGGGAGAATTATGTCGATAAGTTATATTAGCAATTAATTCCATTTCAGGATATAAATGGGGTATTATGGCATATTTATTATAAGAGGGAGAATTGAGAGTTGCTGTCTTACAGAAAAGGGAAAGTTGCCAGAGAATTGATACTGGACAGCAGTGTGGAGAAAGGTTGAAGGTGGTAGTGAATGACCACCTCGGGACAGGTGTTTTTATACAAGGGTCAGGGACCTAGAAATGGCATTAGAGCAAGAACAGCACAGTCCCCAACTTCCCCCACTTTGTCTTTGCTCATCCTTTTCCCTCCACCTGGGATGCCCACCCTACTTCTCTTTACACCTGCATGTTCTCCATTGTATGGTGTAAAACCTTATTCTTTCAAAGCCTCCTGTGACCTCCTCAGGGTGGAAGAAGACATAGGCAAGGCAGTGAACAGTCAAGTACCTGGACACTGTGCTAGCCACTGTGCATGCGTTCTCAGTTCTCATTCATTCTGCCCAAGAAGGAAAAGGAACAGGCACACTTTTAGAAATAAAATGAAATCTAATTACGCCCCTGGCTTTGCCTTCCAGTGTCACCAGGTGAGGGCATAGCAGATGGGAAGAGATGGGACTCTACCTGAGGGCAGTGTGGTAGCTTGTGTCACCCGCTGAACCACACCATCCTTAAATGGACCCTGATGGCAGCATTGTGAGAAGCTTTTAGGTGGAAAGCAATGCTGGAAAGGGGGGACTTATGCCTGTCTAACTTTTGATTTCAGACTCATATTTGAAACTGCTCTTTGTTTTTTGTTTTTCTGGTCCCGGACTCATAATTAACCGGTGACTTCCTTTAAGATCAGAGTCAATTTGTCATCTTTTGTTGTCCGCAGAATCTACTGTATGCCTTGCTCCTTATATATGTCCAGTGTGTATACATTGATTGAGTAAAGTGTGTAAGGTCTAGGCAAGTTTTCAAATGCTTAAGGAAGTCTATAGTACAGGAAAAGGTCTCAGCACATGTAAATGTGGCTGATTGTTTAGCAGATGTAAAATGCGTAACTGAATTTGCATCCCAAATAAAGTCAGGGTGAAAGGTTTTGTTTTATTAACACTTAAAAACATTTAAAATTGACATTTTCACTATCTGCATTATGCAATTGAATTTTCTTAGGTAGACATGTTTTTAGGCTCTTGTGGGTAGCTTGTTATTTGGTAATACTTAAATACTCTTTTTTTGAGGAGTCTCACTCTGTCACCCAGGCTGGAGTGCAGAGGCGCGATCTCGGCTCACTGCAAGCTCCGCCTCCCGGGTTCACACCATTCTCCTGCCTCAGCCTCCTGAGTAGCTGGGACTACAGGCACCCGCCACCATGCCTGGCTAATTTTTTTTGTATTTTCAGTAGAGGTGGGGTTTCACCGTGTTAGCCAGGATGGTCTCAATCTCCTGACCTCGTGATCTGCCCACCTCGGCCTCCCAAAGTGCTGGAATTACAGGCATGAGCCACCACATCCAGCCTAAATACTCTAGAACATATCTCATTTAAACATAAATCTTTCTATCCTTTTTGAGGAAAAGGTGAGGATTTCAATTGAAAAAGTAAAAAAGCAACAAAAGAAATCTAGCATTTTCTTAAGTTCAAGTTAACAGAAAATAATCTCTTTACTTAGGATGCAAAGCTGGATCCATGTTTTCAGTCTGTCTTAGAGACTCATGTCAGTTACAGAAATGTTTATGTGGTGTTTTGTCCAATAATGAATTTCTGTTACCCTGTTTTTCAGGTCCCGTGGGAGTAGGGCTGAATGAACTGAAACGAAAGCTGCTGATCAGTGACACCCAGCACTATGGCGTGACAGTGCCCCGTGAGTTCTGCGCTACTCAGTGTTCCTATGACTACACTTACGATAATTTTAAATTTTTAAAAAATTATTTTAAAAAATTTTTAACTTGTTTTTAAAATTTTTTGGGTACATGGTAGGTATATGTATTTATGGGGCATGTGAGTTTTTTTTTTGTTTGTTTTGTTTTTTTGAGATGGAGTCTCACTCTGTTGCCAGGCTGGAGTGCAGTGGCGCAATCTCAGCTCACTGCAACCTCTGCCTCTTGGGTTCAAGCAATTCTTCTGCCACAGCCTCCCAAGTAGCTGGGAGTACAGGCACGTGCCACCACACCCAGCTTATTTTTTGTACTTTTAGTAGAGACAGGGTTTCACTATGTTGGCCAGGATGGTCTTGATCTCTTGACCTTGTGATCCACCTGCCTCGGCCTCCCAAAGTGCTGGGATTACAGGCGTGAACCATCACACCTGGCCAAGGTGTTTTGATACAGGCATGAAATGCTGAAATAAGCACATCATGGAGAATGTGGTATCCATTCCCTCAAGCATTTATCCTTTAAGTTACAAACAATTCAATTACACTCATTATTTTAAAATATACAATTAAGTTGTTATTGACTATAGTGACCCTGTTGTGCTATCAAATAGATCTTCTTCATTCTTTGTAACTATTTTCTTTTTGTACTCGTTAATAATGATTGCTTAGTACTTACCAAGCACGTATGGTATCAAGCACTGTTCTGAGCACTCACTCATCTAGACCTCCCAGCTGCCCCAAGAAGTATATAGTGACATTATCCCCATGTTACAGAGGAGGAAACCAAGGCAAAAATGGTTAAAGGATTTGCGCTAAATTACACAGATTTTTGGCAGAATATTTGTTAATCACAGCTTCCCTACTCTTAGGTTTTTATGATGAATTTTAGTACACATATGACATCAAATTATTACTTACAAATTTTCTTCTAAATAAAAGTCTAACAATTCTGTTTCCTAAAATAAGTGCTAATGTTTTCCAGAGTTTTTCACCAGCTTTAAGATTAGAAGAATCAAATCACAGAGAGCTGAAGGAGACTTAATTATAATATAAACCTTTCTTAATTACTTTTTATATGTAGTAATTGGCAGATGATGTTAAATGGGCTTTTCATGGCTATATAGTTTAAATATGGTAAGCTTCTTTTCAGTACACAGAATTAGATTTATTTTTATAAAAGTGGTTTTCATAGGCATTCTTACAAATAAAATGTGATGCTTGAAACATTTTGATCTGCAGAATAAAGGCCATTTGACTACTTAATATGTTGATAATAGAAAGCTGTCTAAAAGGCTAAATTGAAATGTTGGCTTTTTTCAAGCAGTTTTAGTACTGTTTTAAAAAATTTACTTGTATATTGCCCTTAGCGATGTTCTCTAGTTTTGGAAGAGTTCAACTTTATTTTAAAATTATAGTTTTCTGTGACCTCAAGTTCCTTCTTTTTACATTTTTCTAAATTATTGCTTGTAATCATTTTCAGTCACAAGTTATAGGACTGCTGCTTTCTACCAACAGAGATGAAAGTTAATGAAAATGTGGAACTAGACATTTTTTTTGCCTGTAATTATTCACCTCAATTACAAAAGCTGAATTGCAATATATAAGTTATTAGAAAATTTTACAAAATAATTTTTAAGCTTACAGGTGAGCAATTATAGAAGAGACCTAGAAGATGCAAAAACAGATTACAAAGAAAAAAAAACGAATTTTTAAACTTCCTACTGTGTATTCATCTCCTTTGTTTGTCTTAATTTTTGTAGCCTTCCCAGTCAAGTATAAGATGGTTGATATTATCTCTATTTCACAGAGAAGGAGATAGGGATAGAAAGGATATGTTGACTTGAGTTCCATAGATGATAGGTGCACTTGGATTCGAAACCAAGTTTTTTTTGATACCAGTTCTCATGTTCTTCCTCCTATATTAACACTAGCAATCCTTTAAAACTACAGACTATCTTTGTTGTATTCCAGTAAGTAGTCAAAACTGACTTCTTTTGAAGATGAGAAATATCCATAAGCCAATCTATCCCATGTAACTCCCTATGAGAGATGTGATATTATGGAAGGACCTAGGGCAACAAACATACTTTAGCCTCAATTTACCCAGCTGTTTAAATGTTTGCCTCTGAAGTTGTTATAGAAGTTGACAATATTACAGAAAGGTTGTGGGACTGGGACTCTCCAAAGAAATCCCCAAAGTAGTTATTTTTCACTCTGATTTACTTTTAGACAGATATCAATGTCAAAATGTCTTCATATAGTAATGTTTCACTGGCTTGCCTGATGATAAGATTCTCATGGAGTTCTATAAAAAGATATGCCCAAGTATCTGTATTTATAGCATGTTTGGAAAATACCGCATCAAACCAGCGTGATTTAATTAATTAAAGAAGAATATATTTTAAGAGTAATTTTAGAATTTCAGGTAGTTTTGCTTTGTAAAATACTTTGGGCAGAATCTTGAATATTGGAGAAAAATGATTGCTTTGCTTATACCACCAGTATTGTTTGATGTTTATTTCTATAATTCTCTTTTTGAAAGCATGTATTACATATCCACCAGAAAAAGTTATGGAGCAAAGGAACTCCTGCACATTGCTGATGGGAATGTAAATTAACACAATCATTTTGGAAAACTAAGTAGCAGTATCCACTAAAGCTGAGCAAACACATACCCTTGACCCAGCAATTCCGCTCCTACTGCACACCCAATGGAAATGCATAAGTACGTTCACCAAAAGACACGTACTGAGCTATTCTTAGTCATTATTCATAAGAGCTCAGAACTGGAAACTACTCAAATGCTTATCATTTGAATGAATAAGTAAAATGGAGAAGTAAAGTATAGTATATGCATACAAAGTATAGTATATGCATACAATGGAATACTGTAAAGCAATGAGAATGAACAATCTTCAACTACATGCAACAATAAGAATGAATCCCGCAAATGTGTTGAACAAAAGGAGGCAGACACAAGAGAATGAATGAGGCAGCGTGATTTCATTTTTATAATTGCAATAAAGGCAACATTCATGTGTGCTGTTAGAAATCTCAAGGATTTGGGTTAGAACAGGAACTCAAGAGGTGATTCTGGAGTGCTAGCAATTTTCTGCTTCTTGTTAGAGTGCTGGCTACATGGGGGTGTTAAACACTTTTATGTGTATATATATCAGTTATTGTATAATACTCAGGCTTTAAATGTTAAAAAGAAATAATAGTTTAACTGTAGTTTGCTGATTTTCTGGTTTTCCTAAAGTGCTATAGTTATGTAAATATTTCAAGAGGAAGCTGAGTGATTTTACATGGGACCTGTCTGTACTATTTTTGTAACTACTTGTGAATTTGTAATTACTTTAATTTAAAAACATTATTTAAATGGATGCTAAATCAGGTACTCGAGCTAAAGTGGCTGAATGAGCTATATGAAATGTTTAAAAATTATCCATGTAATAATATTAAACATTCAAAGTTGCTTTTCAAGAAAGTGGTGGCTGAAACCCTTGCTTTCTGTCTTTTGCTCCTCTGTGGGAAGTTTCTTATTGATTGATTGATTGTAGAGATGGAGTCTCACTATGTTGCCCAGGCTAATCTCAAACTCCTGGCCTCAGATGATCCTCCTGCCTCAGCCTCCCAAAGTGCTGAGATTATAGTTGTGAGCCAACATGCCCAGCCTGTGGGAAATTTCCTCCTTGAAAAGCAACATCAACATTGTTTTAAGGCTGTATAGGTTATCATCAATAAATCTGAATGACTATTAATACAACCAGTCAAAAGGGTCTCTTGTACATTAAATTAAAATAAAATAGGTAACAAAAATTATTATGGTAGACATCAAATATTTGATAGCTTCCAAAATCTCTGTAGTCTAGAATTTGGGCATTCTAAGTCAACCACATCTATTAATCACTTTCTGTGGTTCTCAGAAAGATGTATATTGCAGTTTTTGTGTTTTTGTAGGTTTTAAAGCATCCATGTTCTAGACAACTTGTTTGTCCATACAATACTTCACTTGAATTTTCTTTAAAAATAAAAAAAAGGCATTATAACTAGGGTACCAGTTTAAACTTTTTTTCCGTATCTCCCCAGGACAGCTATTTTGGGATATTTTGGGGACATGGGAAGAGGGCTCCTATTTTGTTTTCTATTTTGCCTTAACTGGTATACATAGTGGGTACTCAGTGAGCTGTGATGGAGTCGTGCCTGCCTTGTGGGTAATATGCACATCTTTCCCTTGGAATCTCCTTCACATAAGAATTTCAGATCTCTTATTCAGTATTCCTTGTTGTGAATGAGTTCATGAGGTTCCTGTGGAACTCATTACAATTAGGCACTGACATTCTTTGTCAGTAAAATAACATCAGACCTAGGTAATTCAGGTTGATTATGATAAGCAAACAATTTGGTTGTAGACACATTACCTTTTAAATGCATGTGGCAGTGTCATAAATGTCTTGTTCAATTACCCCTTGATGTGGTTCTAAAAGTATTTTAACCCTGCTGTGGGATGCCGTGTGTCAGGGAAGTGATCTTTCAACCATGTGTTGCAGATTTTCAACCAAAGTGTCCTGCCATCATAATTGAATAAAAACAATCTTTTCTCTGTCCGTAAGAAAGAAATCAATGCACAGAAAATTCTCAATTTGATTTTCAACAATACTTTTTACTTAGGCTTACTATTTGCTAAAGGAACACACTAGCAAATAGCAACAACACAACTGATTAAGTAATGAATGAATATTAAGCCTAAACTCCAAAGCAGGGCATTATACTAATTTTAATATATCTCATGTTTTTGGATATTAATCGTGTTATATACCCTCAGTAGGGTATTTTTCTGCTGCAAAACTTTAGTGTTTGTGATAGAGTACAATGTACCAGTTTAGAAGACAGTGCACCAGTACTTCATGCTATTCCTGTAAAGAGTGTGACATTTCATTTTAAAGACTAGCACTACCTCTTGGTGCACCACCTGCAGAACAGGTATGAAAAACTGTTTCAAGAGATCTGAGCATTGTATTAAAATATTCTTGCTAACTAAATAAAAGGGAATTAAGCTTTGGGATATAACTTAAATTAGTTGGATTTTATAAATTCATTACTTTTTCTATTAAGTTACATTTTCCGTACTTCTCAGATTCTTTTTTATAACATCAAGATGTAATTGGAATAAACTGCACATATTTAAAATGTGCAATTACATCAGTTTTAGCATCTGCGTACACATGTGAAAACATCAGCACAGTCAACATAATGAATGTTTCCATCTCAAAAAATTTCCTTGTGCCCTTGGTAATCCAGTCTTCCACCCTGTTCCCAGGCAACACTGATCTGCGTTCTGTCACAATAGATTATTTGGAATGATTTAGTATGTTATCTAAATAGGATTATACAGTATGCATCCACTTTTTTCTTTGCCAGACTTTTTCCACTCAGCATAATGAATGTAAGATTCACCCATGTTGTCTCCTACATCAATAATTCATTCTTTTTCATCCCTTTTCATGCTGAATAGCATTCCATTGTATAGAACTACTACAATTTGTCTATCCATGCACCTGTTGATGAGGATTTAGGGGTTTCTTCCTCTACCCCTATTTTTGGCTATTATAAATAAAGTTATTACAAGGTTTTTGTACAAGTCTTTTGACAAATATGTTTTTGTTTCTCTTGGCCAACTATGTAGGAGTGGAATGCTGAGGCCATACGGTTTAATTTTTTGAGAAACTACTAAACTGATGTCCAAAGTGGTTATACCATCTTACAAACCTCTAGTAGCGTATGTGAGCTCCAGGTGCTTCACATCCTTGCCAACACTTGGTGTAGTCAGTCTTCTAAACTTTTGTCAATGTAGTAAGTACGTAGTGGTATCTCATACTTCAGTTTGCATTAACTAATGACTAGCATAATTTTATGCAGCGGTCCCCAAACTTTTTGGCATCAGGGACCAGTTTCACAGAACCACAGAAGACAGTTTTTCCACAGACAGGGCAGGAGGGGATGGTGTCAGGATGAAACTGTTCCACCTCAGATCATCAGACATTAGATTCTCATAAGGAGTACCCAATCTAGGTCTCTCACACGTGCAGTCCACAATTCGGTTTGTGCACCTAATGCCGCTGCTGATCTGACAGGAGGAGGAGCTCAGGTGGTAATGCTCCTTTGCCTGCCTGTCGCTCACCTTCTGTGTGGCCTGGTTCCTAACAGGCCACAGACTGGTGTGGCCTGGGGATTGGGGACCCCCGATCTTCTTTGGTAAAGTGCGTGTTCAAATCTTTTGACTTTTTTTTTTTTTTTTGAGACAGAGTCTTGGTCTGTCACACAGGCTGAAGTGCAGTGGTGTGATCTTGGCTCACTCCAACCTCCACCTCCTGGGTTCAAGTGATTCTCCCACCTCAGCCTCCCGAGTAGGTGGGATTACAGGTGTGTGTGCCACCATGCCTGGATAATTTTTATATTTATAGTAGAGGTGGGGTTTCACCATATTGGCCAGGATGGTTTCGAGCTCCTGGCCTCAAGTGATCCACCTGCCTCAGCCTCCCAAAGTGTGGGATTACAGGTATGAGGCACTGTGCCTGGCCCATTTTTAAAAACTGGACTGTTTGTCTCGTGACTGAGTTTTGAGAGTTCTTTACATACTGTTGGATACATGTCCTTCATCTGATAAATGTGTTACACATATTTTCTTCCAGTCTGTGGCTGACCTTTTCATTTTTTTTTTAATGGTGTCTTTTAAAAAGCAAAAGTGTTTAATTTTGATGAAATCTAATTTATCAATCTTTCTTTTATGTTTTGTAATTTTTCTGTTCTATGTAAAAGTTCCTTGCTATCTCAAGGTTGCAAAGACATTCTCCTGTTTTCTTCTCGAAGTTTTACAGTTTTAGGTTTTACATTTAGGTCTTGACCCATTTCGAGTTATTTTTCATGTTGTTACTTAGCAAACTTGCCTTGCTCCTGATCTCAGGGGAAAACAGCTCCATCCTTTACCATTAATATAACGTTGACTTTATCAGTTTGAGGACATTCTTGTTACTCCTAGTTTGCTGAGACTGTTGTGAATGGTGTCGAAGTTTTTAAAAAATGCTTTCTTTGCATACGTTGAGATGATTGTTTTGTCTGCCATTATTCTCTTAATGCTGTGAATTCTACTGCTTTTCTAATATTAAAGCCAACCTTTGGTGTGTGTGTGTGTGTGTGTGTGTGTGTGTGTGTGTGTGTGTGTGTGTGTTTACTATTATGGAAATGATTGAATTTAAGCTACTATTTTATTATTTGTTTTCTGTTTGTCTCTTCTGTATTTTATTGTATTTTTCTTCTTTTTCTGCCTTCTTTTGGATTATTTTAGTGTTTTTTAATTTCCATTTTAATCTACTTGTTGACTCTCTGGTGGTATCTCTGGATTAGCTTTTTACTGGTTGCTCTGAATATTAATGTATGCATATCTAACCATTCATGACCTGCTTGCAGTTTAACTTGGTGTCATTTCACATAAAATACAGAAACCTGGCAGCCATTTAAGACCCTTTCCCCCAGCCTAATCTTTTTGTTTTAGGTGTCAAATGTATTACATTTGCATACATTGAAAACTATCAGACAATATTATAACTTTTCTTTAAAATAGTCATATATATCTTAATGAACTTAACAGGAAAAAAGTAGACGTTTACATTTACACAATTATTTGTTCTTTCCTCATTCCTGAATATAAAAGTTTCCTTTTTATCATTTATCTTCAGCCTAAAAAACTTCCTTGAATATTTTTTTTGAACAGTCGGCTGTGAATTCTGTTAGTTTCTCTTCATCTGAGGAGGTCTTTATTTTGCCTTTATTCTTGAAACACATTTTGATTAAGTATTTTCCTTTAGTGCTTTAAAGATATTATTTCATTGATTTCTTATTTTTATGATTTATAATAAATCTGTGACAGTTTAAATCATTATTCACTTATGTGTTCAGTGTTTTTTCCTAGCTGCTTTGAGATTTTTTATTTATCTTTGGCTTTTAATAGTTTGATTATAATGTGTCTAGGCATAATTTTTCCCTTCTGAGTGTATCCTGTTTGGGATTTGCTGAGCTGCTGAAATTGGTAAGTTTATGTATTTCACCAAATTATAGAAGTTTGGGGCCTTTATTTCTTCAAACATATTTTTCTGCCCCAATCTCTTTTTTCCTCTCCTTCTAGTACTCCTATGACATATGTGTTTTCTCATAGGTCCCTGGAGTTCTATCTATATTTTTTAAATCTTGTTGTTGTTGTTGTTGTTTAGATTATATAATTTTATTGTTCTGTCTTCAAGTTCACTGGCTTTTCTTTCTGTCATTCTGTTATTGTGCCCATCTAGTGATTTGTTTCTGTTGGATATTTTTATTTTTCATTTCTACAATTTCTATTTGTTTTTTTCTTTATAGTTTCTGTTCTTCTGCTAAGAATTTATATTTTTGTTCAATTCAAGTATATTTTCTCTTACCTTTTCAAGCTTAGTTATGGTACCTGTTTGAAAGACTTATGTCTAATCTAACTTCCAGGTCATTCAGGGTTGCTATCTGTTATCTTTCCCCTTGAAAATTGGTGTTTTTTTTGTTTTGTTTTGTTTTTTTTTGTTTTTGGTTCTTTCATGTTGAATAATTTCAGATTGCATTTTGGACATTGTGAATATAATGTTGTATTAACACTAGGTCTTGTTACCATATTCGGGAGAATGTTGATGTTTTTATTTTAGCTGCCAGCTTCTTTTATCTCACCTTTGTTATATTGATTTGGGTCTGTTAGGATGCAAGGATTAGTCTAAGACTTGTGTGCATGGTTCAGATCTCAGCTCAGTTCTTTAAGCCTTTTCTTCATTGGCTTAGATATGTTTTGCGATACTCTTTTTCAGGGGTTAGGCTGAAACCTGTACATTCCACTCTCAGTTCATAAGGCCTTTGCCGTGCTGGTTTGAGTTTGAACTACATGTGTGTAGCACAGAGAGGATTCTTAGACTATTGTTGACTCATACACAGAAGTGAAGTATTTTCTTCTCCAGCTTTCTTCTCTCCTGGATTTCCTCCACACTTTACAGCCCACAAGGACTTTTTCTACCCCCCGTCCCAAGTTCTTTGCACCAGAACGTTAGGGCTTCTCTTGGCATTTTGCTGCAGATTCTACCATGCTGCTCTGCGAAGGATTCCCACCCTTGGGGCAAAGCTAAGAGGAAAATAGAGTTAAACTCCTCCCCGTGCAGTTTGACTCCCCTCTACAGTCTACCTGCTTTACTTATTTTCAAAGTGTTCGGGTAGTTTCTTGGCATCCATAGTTTTTAGTTGGGATCTGCAGGAAGGATGGCCTGTAGTGGGTTTACATTTGCCATGTCAGCACTGGAGTGCCTTGGGCTTTGTTCATGTTGTCGTTTTAATGAATCCTATATTTTCTGCTCCATTTTAGTTCGTTAATAAATAATTAGGCAAGATTACTGAAAGGTTAGAAGTTCAATAGTATTCTAAGATGATGCTATTTATGACTTTGCAAAGGAGGAATGAGTAGCACACAGAAGTATTTGGCTTCACTTGGCTGGTAAAACAAAACTTTGATGGCATACCCACTATGTCCCATGAGAAGAAGAGAGTCAAACAGTTTCAGAGTTTATCTAACAACTTAGTGGTTAATAGATTTGCTTTAATGAATGAAGATCAATAAAGATAATAAGCATATTATTTGCAAAAAAAAAAAAAAGGTTTTTTTCCTCAGGAGTTTAAATAGCACTCTTGTATCAGGTTAGAGAGCCTTCAAAATAGCAAATAATAGCAGAGACATACAATGCAATTAACTTTTTAACCCATCTTCAAATCAATATAATTTTAATAACAGTGGAAAATCTGGATTTATAACAGCTTACTGTATTTTATTAGCTAATTTGCTTTTTAAATACATTTTTAAATCCTGTTGAAAAAACTAATTAAATACCCTTGATTTCTTTTTTAGTATTTTCCTTAAGGTGGCTGATGTGGGCTTTTCTAAACTCCTTTTCATTAAATCATAGATACCACCAGAGCAAGAAGAAGCCAGGAGAGTGATGGTGTTGAATACATTTTCATTTCCAAGCATTTGTTTGAGACAGATGTACAAAATAACAAGTATGTGGACATTTTTGAGAATTTTCATGTGACTGTTTTTTATAAGCACATGCCTGTCCCGTTTTAGACAACTGAGAGTTCTCCATTTGAAGTGTATTTTAATTATCATAATAATATTTGAAACAGATGAAAAGGTAATAATTTGGTTGGTAATTATTGTTAATCTTCACCTCTAATTTTTTAGTAACCTGGATTTGCTTCATTTCTATAAAATGTGTAGACACTGCTTTGCAGAATGAGGGAAGGTTGCAAGTGTCTTATTCTGACCTCCTTCCAGCCCACTAATTGAATCTTAACATGTAATTTGGATAGAATTTTACTTCAAAAACCAACAACTATGTAGTATATCACTAGGTCCAGCGTCTGCTTCACACACCTGCATCTCATTCTCTCATTGGCTCTTCAAAAAATTGAAATGATGATAATTAACTTGCTGGTACCGTCTTCTCTAGCTAGCTCCAAGCCCACCCCAGTGCCCCCTGCCCAGGTTTTCCATCTGCTGAGGCACAAATATTTTAGGCTATCAGAAGCAATATGTGTTTTAATGCAGGATTGTGGGATTTTATTAAAACATCGAAATGCTTTTTTCGTGTTTGGCGCAGTGATTGTGTTTTTATAGCACATGATCGACTGCCCTGGCTCCATTAGCCACCACCCAGCGCCTCTAGTTCTGAAGCTGGGCTGGGTTACTCCGTAGCGTGCAATGAAATTCCAGTAGTTTCTATTGTTTGGCTTATTCACCATTTTATTGCATTGCATTAGTTCTGAAGAAAAAGGGGGTGATGGAAAACATTAGAGCCCTACTAGACTAAAGTACTTTTTTTCTGCTTAAGTGTAATTTAAGCAAGTGTTACTGATTTGAAAATGTATAATAAAAGATTTTTTAAAAACTGACATTTTGAAATACTTGGCTCTGTTTATATTATTAAACACAGTTTAAAAAAATTACGTGTTCAGCAGAAACGTCTTTTACCTATGAATTTTATCTTGCCACCTATAATTGTTTTAAATTCACAAATGATTCCAATGCATTTAATTTTTTACAGGTTTATTGAATATGGAGAATATAAAAACAACTACTACGGCACAAGTATAGACTCAGTTCGGTCTGTCCTTGCTAAAAACAAAGTTTGTTTGTTGGATGTTCAGCCTCATGTAAGTAAACAATGAGCTATTCAATACCCTTCTGACCCATGTCATCTACAGCACCTCATGTGAGCATTTCAGTATGAAATAATATGAAGTCAACTCACTTTTGGCATATATGTGGCTTTTCTGAGATGGCAAAAGCATTTAAATATAATTGGAGACATCTTTGGTGGAGAAAAAGAAAAGCCCATAATATTATTAGAAAGAGAAGTGGAGGAAGCTCCAAGACCTGTGTTTGTAACTCTTATTTATATTCAGTTTTTGTCAAGTAAAGCAACTCTTAGATGTTTCTACATATTCTGTATTTTTAAAAAATACATCACATTGTTACATGCATAATGCATTCTTATGTGTTATGTATTAGTAACAGTGTCTATAATTTTTAACGATGGACATTTTGGTTCCAAGTCTTTGACTTTGGTTCTGTATATATCCTAGCAAATAACCCCCCACTAGAACTGAAGGGCATTTTGCAGGAAATGTACTGAATGAAAGCCCCATTGCAACTGCCATGTCTGCACCTGTCATCCTGGAAACTCCATTATGAACATTCTGAACTGAGAACTTCAGTGGATGAGGCCATTCAATTCCCTATCAAACCATACATCTTCCAGCAGATCCCCAGCCCACAGCATTTTCCTCATCCCCCAGGGACCATGGTTTCTCCTTCCACTGATGGCTGTACCCTGGGGTGCAAAACCTCCAAATGCTAGAATGACCTGCGGAAGCCCTTTGGACCTCTAAAGGAAGATGAATCTGGAGTAAAAGTGTTTCAAGAATCAGGAAGGCTGCCTCCTGACTTGGGCACTGTGTTAGTCCCTTGTTGCACTGCTCTGAAGAAATACCTGAAACTGGGTAATTTACTAAAAAAAAAAAAAAAAAAAAAAAAAAAAAAGAGGTTTAATTGGCTCACTGCTCTGCAGACTGTACAGGAAGCGTGATGCTGGCATCTGCTCAGCTCTGGGGAGGCCTCAGGAAACTTGCAATCATGGCGGAAAGCAAAGGAGGAGGGTTGAGCACTTCACATGGCCAGAGCAGGAGGAAGAGAGAGAGAGGAGCGAGGTGCCACACACTTTTAAACAACAGGGTCTCACGAGAACTGACTATTGTGATGACAGCACCAAGGGGGATGGTGTTAAACCCCGGGAAAATGCCCCTATGATCCAGTCACCTCCCACAGGCTGCACCTACAGCAGTGGGGATTACATTACAACATGAGATTTGGGTGTGGACACAGATCCAAACCATATCAGGCACCAACAGTGAATGGGACAGTCCTGCTTATGCAGAGCCTCTCTGCTGGTGTCCCAGGTCCAGTTGCTGTCAGACTCCCACAGTGTAGTATCAGCTCATGAATAATAACTTTCAGCTCTCACCCTCTGTAGATAGGTCCCCAGAAGTATAGAGTATAGAACATCAAAGATTTGATGAAGGAATCTAGACAGGCATCATGGAGAGCAGGAGGCTGCCCTTGTAGGGTACTCTGAAGGATAGGGTGAAAGAGGAGAACTCCTGCCTGAAATCAGAAAGGGGCTTAAAAGGGATGGTTGGAAGACATTTGTGGACAGAAAGTTATTTAACTCATCACACCTTTGGAATATTTGATCTAAAAACCAGTTTTGTGATATTTTTAGTCACTTCTGTTCAATGTTAATTATGATGTATTTCAGAACATTTTAAAATGCCAAGTTACATTCCCCAGCTTCTTTTCAGAAGTGTTTGTTACATTTAATTGTCAACAGTTAATTGAATAATAATATATTGAAATGACTACTGACCTTAAAGAATAATTTTGAGGAATTTTCTCCTAGAAAGAAAATTCAGTAATTCATGATGCTATGGAGAAATGTGAGAAAACTTTCTTTTCTTCCTTGTAGACAGTGAAGCATTTAAGGACACTAGAATTTAAGCCCTATGTGATATTTATAAAGCCTCCATCAATAGAGCGTTTGAGAGAAACAAGAAAAAATGCAAAGATTATTTCAAGCAGAGATGACCAAGGTGCTGCAAAACCCTTCACAGTAAGTATAATGATGCTTGGGGGCCAGGTGTGGTGGCCCACACCTGTAATCCCAGCACTTTGGGAGGCCGAAGCAGGAGGATCATTTGAGTCCAGGAGTTCAAGACCAGCCTGGCCAAGGTGGTGAAACCCCATCTCTACAAAAAATATGGAAATTAGCCAGGCATGATGGTTGGACACCTGTAGTCCCAGCTACTTGGGAGGCGGAGGTGGGAAGATCATAAGACCCCAGGAGACTGAGAGTGTAGTGAGCTGAGATCACACTACTACACTCCAGCCTGGTAGGCAGAGGTGGGAAGATCACAAGACCCCAGGAGACTGAGAGTGCAGTGAGCTGAGATCACACCACTACACTCCAGCCTGGGCGACAGAGTGAGACCCTGTCTCAACAACAACCACAAAAAGCTTGGAGATAAGATATAAGCAGTAGATAAGATGTAAGATACAGTTGTATATATGAAAACATATATACAGCTGCATGTACTTGGGAAGAGTATAATAGATACAAAAATCAGTGAAAGAATTGTATTTAGGTACATACCTTTTGAACAGTTACACTTCTTGTGCTTTGGTGAATGGATCTTCATATTCAATTGACTCAAAACTATTTTGTATACTATTATGTGAACATTTCATACTATTGTAGGCTGAACATTTGTATAAAATCTAGACCAATTAATTTTCAGAGCAGCCTTATTTTTAAAGCTAAAAATACCATCAGTAACTGTTACTCATTAAGAGTCCAAATGAAAAATTTAATAATGTGCCTTGCTTGTCTCCTTGTGTCAACAATTATATTTAGCACAGCAAAAGAAAATCACTATTTTGGGTATAGGATAAGTAGACCAATATTATTCAGCAATAATATTTGTATTTTCTATGAGTGTTATTGGAAATGATGATTGTGGTATATTCATGACTATTATGGGTTCTGGCAAGACCTTTTATTGTTTTTCTTCTTAATCTTAATATATTCTACCTTTGGACCAAAAATCAAAAGCAAAGAAATTAAATGTGAAGAGCTTATTTTTTTCTTGCCCCTCTTAATTAGCTCATCATTAACTTTAGTTTATATTAATTTATGAACTGTTCATTGTGGTTACAAAATACAGATCACATTTCTGATTCCCAGTATATTTGATAAATACCTTTTTTTACATGCCAACAGTACATATCCGTTCTGAGTAGGTACTGTCATACAATGTTAGTTACTCAGGCTCTTGATCAACACTAAAATTAAATTTTCTGTTATTGTGAAATCTTATGTGACAATGAAATGCAGACTCAAATTATTTCAGCATGTTGCAACATAAAGATTTATTGTACTATTTAGACATTTTAAAGGTTTCTCAACGAAGATAAGAAAGGATCACATATTCTTAGGATTTGGCTCTCTTACATTTATGTTATATAGCCAACTAAAATACTTCCTGGCTTTAAAAATGTGAGACACGAAGGCTCCTGAAACACTTTTAATGAGACATCGAAGGAACGTGGTAATCAGCCGGGCGTGGTGGCTCATGCCTGTAATCCCAGCACTTTGGGAGGCCGAGGCAGGTGGGGATCACTTGAGGTCAGGAGTTCCAGACCAGCCTGGTGAACATGGAGAAAATCCATCTGTACTAAAAATACAAAAATTAGCCAGGTGTGGCGGCACGCTCCTGTAATTCCAGCTACTCGGGAGGCTGAGGCAGGAGAATTGCTAGGACCCCGGAGGCAGAGGTTGCGGTGAGCCAGGATTGCACCACTGCACCCCAACCTGGGTGACAGAGTGAGACTCTATCTCAAAACAAAAAACAAAAAACATGGTAATCATCCTTTTACAAATTTGTCCAACTCTGAAAAAGGAGTTTATATTATAAATTCCTTCCTATGAATAAGCATAAATAATGCAGCCAAAACATCAGAGTAAACAATTCTTTTCTCCAATAGCTATTTTAATACTGACATTTCCCCATAATGATGACTAGTGACTCATTATCCTGCAATTCAGTTAAGGCAGGAGTTTTGACTCTTGCCAGAGTAGTTTTTTGTTACAAGCAAATCATAGAAATAGTATTAGAAATTATGGCTTCTGAAGCACTTGTGGTTAAAGAGGATGACTTTTATTTCTGGCTGAGGGGAAAGACTGAACACAGAACAGCATTAGGTAAACCAATTGTAGAATGTTTGCATTGATATGAAGTGAGGTAATGGCCTGGTTAACCAATTATTTTTTTAATACTTCCTTTTGTAGGAAGAAGATTTTCAAGAAATGATTAAATCTGCACAGATAATGGAAAGTCAATATGGTCATCTTTTTGACAAAATTATAATAAATGATGACCTCACTGTGGCATTCAATGAGCTCAAAACAACTTTTGACAAATTAGAGACAGAGACCCATTGGGTGCCAGTGAGCTGGTTACATTCATAACTAAGAGAAATTTCCATAATTGTCTTTTTCTATAGAGTGCATGATGAAATCAATTACAGTTTTGGTAGTAGGGTTTTTAAATCTATATCACTGTCATAGATGTACAATCTTGGTTCAAGTTGAATGCTGGTTTTGTTTGTATCTTTTTACAGCCTTATTTCAAACGCCATGTGTTAGTATAAGATCCGAAATCAAAATATGCACAGTACTGTATTCTAAGCAAAACCTCAAACCTTCTCGTTGTCTTCAATACCGCTCTATCTCCAAGATGAGGCTGAAATTTTCAGAGAGACTTAGCTAGAGGCTTAGTATGTATGGGAGTTCAGCGCTTCTGCTGGTCTCAGGTGTGGCTGCTGCTGTCGAGTTTGAATGTTAGCTGTTGAAGGTATCAATTCAGCAGCCATGAGCAGCTCCAGACAGACAGGTGAGCTCTGCTGTTTCTGGGTGGATCATCACAGATTTAGCCGGGCAGGCAGTAAGGTGTCCTCTTACTATTCAAAAAGTGTAGACTTTCTTACATATTCGCAATACGTTCACAGTGTGTGCATTTTAAAATAATTCTTAAAGGAGTAACTGAAATTTTACCTTGAGTGAATGGCCTTCATAATATAGCTTGAGAAGTCCTTTTGAGTACCTGTCAGTGACTCAACAACATTTAATAAGGGAAAGTAGACTTTTAACAGTTATTATATATGTAACGAAAAGCCTTTCCTTTGGGATTAATATAAGTAAGAATGGTAGCCTTGTGGCAAGAAATGATTACAAAGGATATTTTTATTTGTAATTCCTCAGAAGACAATTTATGAAGTCACCCAAAATGTTATTTTAGCTGGTTTTGGATTTTTCCAATAAATTAGAAGAAGGATTTCTATTCTAAAACATGTAAAACCTGTTTTACATATTACTGATACAATTAAAGATTATTTTTCATCTATGTGCAATAGATCACCCCTCTTTAAATTGCTCTAAGATTTATTTTAGAAAACTTTTCATGTGATGTTATTTCTTTGTCATCAAAATGCTTGTTAACACTGTCCAGACACCATCCTAACCTTGCCATTGTTAAAGAAGTTTAGGAAAGACTCTTATATTGTAAATATTTAGATGGGTTCTCTCACTTTTCTTTGATACTACTGATTTTCAGCAAGTGAATTATATAATTCAAAATGCTAGAAATGTCTATCCGTTCTATAAGAGAGCATATCCTGCCGTTCTTGCATGCAGTGAAGCCCTGCCCGTCGAAAATCATTGCATCTGTGACTTTCAAAGTGGAAAAAAAAATGTTATTTTTTTGTTGATTTGTAAAGAGAGTTTAAATGTCATGTGAAAAAAAATAGAATGTAGTAAAATTCTATATATTTATGAAATATTTTAAAGGCATATTTTTTTAAATATCAAACGGGGCTATTCATAAAATAAACTGATTGTATGTCAAGATGTCCTAATTTAAAAGAGTAGTTTTATAAATCATGGTCAACATTCCATGTAAATATTTGAGCTTTACAAAGATAGATCCAAGTGTGCGATCTGTGCACTGCACATTTGATAGCATTATTCACTGGTTTTCCTTCATACTTGTCAAGTTCATATTAGAAGCAGAGACAAAAACCACTCCAATGGCCTTGACACATAGTCACACCAAAATAGATAATCAGACTAAGTATTATATAACAACGTGATCCAGACAGTGAGTTCTAAGTGTATTAATTAAATAGCAAAAAATTTTGTTTTTAAAAAATGAAAGAGGGAGGGTTGCCAACCTGAAGTCTTAAGTAGATTGTTTGGGTAGCATATTTCCTTCTTTGAACATTGTCTGAAATTTTCTATAAATCAAGACTTCTTGTACAAAGAATGATGGGACATATGTAATAATTCAGGCAATCACCTGAGTAATTTAGGCAGTCCAAATTCTTTACCCTGAAATACCCACATTTTAAAAAAATTGCAGATAATTGCTTCAGTTATTTACTTTGGGGACAGAGATATAGTGTAAAGTGGGAGAAACTGAGTCCTTTTTTGGTGGTGGTAATAATAAGATGTTATAAAAATATAACATTTTAAAAAAGAAAGGTCCAGACCTTAAGCGCAGAGCTAGAACAATATTTTTTAAATAATGGGGGGAAAAGGGGGCACTTTGGTAATTTTAGAAATCAGGTAGTATACTTTTTTTTTTTTTTTTGAGACAGGGTCTTGCCATGTTGCTCAGGCTGGTCTTGAACTCCTGGGCTCAAGCAATCCTCCTGCCTTGGCCTCCCAAAGTGCTGGGATTACAGGCATGATCCACCGTGCCCAGCCGGTAGACGTGGTCTTAAAAACAGTGTTTACATGGCCATCTTGATGCTTAGAAAGATAATTGATTAAAATTTAATAAGGCAGGGCCAACTCCGAGAGTTCATTGACAACGGCAGCAAAAAGGCCCTGAATTCTGTACTTTCTTCCCCCAGCCTCCTTCTCCAGCAAGGAGAATAGCACTCCTCCCTCCAGAAGCCAGCTCCCTAAGTTGGAGCCACTATGTAAGAGAAGAGGAACGTTCACTTTTTAAAATTCATATATTTAAAAATCAAGACCAAAAAGTAAATTCTGTACTCCTATTATTGACTGTAGTCAATCAAACATAAAAAGGTGAAAGTAAAATTTAATTTTTTACCCTTATTTTACTGACCAATATGGAAGTTCTTGGTATCTTTAAGGCTGACCTTCCTGGTATTGTGTAATGATTGAATGTATCTAAACTGTAATAATTTGAAACTGACAAACATAACCTTCTCAGACTTACAAAACTATGTTCTTTCTAAAGATACAGATTTTTATTATTTTATTTTGACTAGGAAGGATTTATAAATAAATGTAATGAAAAATCTTTGATCTTAATAAAGTACCTTCAAACAGTGTGTGTACTTACTTGAAAATTGTTTTTGCACTTGGATATTCTATTTTATTATACTACTATTGTGATCTATTCCATTATACTATTTCCCATGGTAGAACAAATTATATTTTCTACTGTGATATGAAGTGATGTAATTGAACTTGCCATGTCTAAAATTAAATTTCATATTTTTTTCAATCAAACACTGCTTTCATCGAGGCTGTTGGAGAGATGGAATTCACTAGTGTTGTTCTTACCCATACATTCCAGCAATTTAAAAATGTGGAGAACCTTAGTGGGAAGGAAGAATTAGGACCATCAATGATGGGAACACACCTCCCCCACTCCCCACCTCCTCTCCCTCCCTCCCACTAGGAATCAGTGTCACACATATCCTCTTCCTGAGCTCCAGTTAGGCGAAACTCAACTTTTTCAACTGTGCATATAGGAACAGATTGTCATCTGCTATGCAAACTAGCTAGCATTGGCCTTGCTTCAGTCCTCGAGCCAGTTAGCCCCAGCTGTGCATCCATAGAAAGGTTGCTCTGAAGAGCATTTAAAAGCATTTAAGAGCATGGGATCTGGAGTCAGAATTCTTCAGTTCACATTCTGATTTTGCCTGTTTCCAGCTCTGCAGCCTTGGGAAAAACACTGAACCTCTCTGTTTTTCATTTTCTCATCAGAAAAAAATAGGGACAAGAACAGTGATTACCTCATGGGATTGGTGTGGGCATGAAATGAAAGAATCCATGTATACTTAGAACAAAACCTGGGACAGAAGTGTTCAGTAATTGTGAGCTCCTGTTGTATAATGGTCATTATCATCACATCACACAATTTAAAAATAGCTGTGTAAGTATTCTCAATCACCCTACATAAACAGTTTTCCTATTAGTAAGCCCACTGGAAGTTTACAATAAATCATTTTTTAGAAGCTTTATTTTTTTTTTTGTTTATTTTTTTGAGATGGAGTCTCACTCTGTTGCCCAGGTTGGAGTGCAGTGGCGCGATCTTGGCTCACTGCAAGCTCCGCCTCCCGGGCTCACGCCATTCTCCTGCCTCAGCCTCCCAAGTAGCTGGGACTACAGGCGCCCGCCACCACGCCCGGCTAATTTTTTGTATTTTTAGTAGAGATGGGGTTTCACCTTGCTAGCCAGGATGGTCTCGATTTCTTGACCTTGTGATCTGCCTGCCTCAGCCTCCCAAAGTGCTGGGATTACAGGCGTGAGCCACCAGGCCTGGCCAGAAGCTTTATCATTTTTTTAAAAATTTCATAGCTTCCTACCAAGTGACACATCAGGAACTAATTAGGTAATCCCCAATAGGAAGTGAACCAATTTTTATTTTCAACCACTGGGTATGCAGTGTAACTGATAACAATTAGAAAGGAATGTCCCTTAGTTGTATTAATGCCATTTCTTCTACTGCCACCGTTTTATCCCCAAATGCGTGTTCAGTTACACTTAAGCTTCTGGAGGACAGAAAATATTTTACTTTTGTAACAGCTATCTTATACACATACACAGGCCTAATCACTGCCTGGCCAAATTGTACTTATTAATCATAGAACATCTTTATAATTTCCATACATGATCTCATTTAATCCCACAACTATCTTACATGGAAGATATTATCTTCATATTTTACAGTGGAGCAAACTGAGCAGCAGGGCTGGAGTACCTTGCCCAGGGTGACATTGGTGATGAGCAGTGGAATCAGGGCTGGAATGTCGTCTGGCATCCTCCAGCTCCACGCTGTTTCCACTGCATTGTGCTTTATCATGTTTCTGTAACTTGAGGTAAAGCTGGGAACAGGTTAAGATTTGGGTAATTAGAGGAATGATTGTTCATACTTATGCACATGCAGTTGGCAAATAATTTTCTCAAAACACTGTTGCTTTAGTCAGATACAACTTGATGTATCCATGCCTGTATAAGTGGGTTCCTCTTCAAACAATGGCTATTATCAGAAATGTATAAAAACCTTAGATAGCATACTATGAAATTTTCTGTTAAGTCTGCCTGAGTTCCAGTCCCTACTCAAGATTGGCCTCAGTCAATCATGATAATCTCCTTTTTGTAGTGATTTATCTGGGCCAGTCATGCTACCAGTTTGAGGTCGTGTCTGTTGGAGGAGCCATGAGAAAGACACATTTCCCTGATGTAAAGAAACAACTGCATGAAATGAAAATCCTTTATAGTCCTGCCCTCATCTTTCTGCTTGAGATGCTCAGTTGTGGTGCTTGTCAATATGACGGCCATAATCCTAACCCTACATCAGAGGATGATAAAGGCCAATGTACTAAGGATGACTGAGTGAAAAAGATCCTAAATCCATAATATTGAACTGCTGAACCAATCCTGGGACTTCCTTCCTCTAACTGTTAAATTAAAAAAAAAAAAGTTCTGATGGTTTAAGTCATTGCTTCCTTGCTGCTGAAAGCACTCCTAATTTGAAACAGTATTCATGAGCAACTCAGGCCATTCTCAATATCTACTTTTCACTTAGCAAAGGTTGTCCTTTTGCTCAGTGGTCACACACCCTGCAATGATACAATTACTGAGTGTTAATACACTCTATAGAATGGTCCAATGCAAGACGTTCCATTTAAATTTTATTTTTCTCAGATTTCATTTCTTTTTCCTGCTCAATATGGATAACAATTTAACCTTAAAATTCAAGTTCAGAAAAAAGTTGTTCTTCCTTAATGTTTTTGGATTTACAAATTTATGATGGTTGTGTTCTATTAGTCACTCAAAATATGTTATAAATTAAAAGGCTGACTAAACACTGCAGAGTCTACCATTTCAAACAAAGTAATGCTTGTTTAATTGTTTAATTTGACTAGGGCAAGAATTATACCAAAAGGTTCCATTTGTTAAGCCCTTGCTCTGTGCCAGGCATTGCTGCTTAGTAGTAGATAAGCTGTTTGTGGTAATCAGTTTCACTTAAACATAGAAAAGTTCTAAATAGAAATATATTTGGATAACTACAAAATATAGCTACAAAACATCTATTGCTGTAAATGTTAAAGGGATGCAATGTAGCATAAAGTAAAAACTTATGAAAATATATTACTATTAGGAATCTAGATGATGTCACAATAATGGAGGATGGAAGAAGGAAGGAAGCAATATAAATGTACGTAAATATCAGTTAAGTAATTATTTTTTAAGAATTTGACCGGTCTGGGCAACATGGTGAAACCCCGTTCGTTATCTACAAAGAAAAAAGAAAAAAAAAAGCCAGGTATGGTGGTGAGCACTGGTAGTCCCAGCTACTCAGGAAGCTGAGATGGGAGGATCATTTGAGCCTGGGAAGTCACCGCCGCGAGCCCTGATCACGCCACTGCACTCCAGCCTGGGAGATGGAGTGAGACCCTGTCTCAAAAAACAACAAAACAAAAAAATTGAAAGCAATTTCCAGTGAGACTATAATTAAATACGAAGAATCAAAAAGAGAATCCATAAAATGAGATGACAGAAGCAAGACCAACTGTATCTCTAATAAGAGATTTAAATGGCATAAATTCATGTATTGAGACAACGTTTCAACTACATTGAAAAATGAAACCAACTGTATGCTTCCAGATGAGAAAGATTTTAAGTGAGAAGATTAACTACAGTATGCCAGGCAGATGCAAACAAAGCAGAGAGCACAAAAAAAACAAAACAAAAAACCAGAGTTGAAGTCAATGCTTATTAACTGGGTCAAAAAGTCGTTCTTTAGTAATTAATGCTATGAGCCACTACAAGAAGAGCATTGAAGGCCTAAAACAAAACATGAGAAACATAATCACCAAAACCACATTACTTGATAATCTGTAAAACACATCTCTTAGACCGTGAAGAAAAATGGTTATAGAGGGTCTGAATATCCTAATTCTTCAGGCTGATGTCATAGCATTTTATGAATTCTCTTTTAGATTCTTTGTATTTAATTTTAGTCCCACAGGGAATCGTTTTCATAGCTATGTCATAGCTATGGAAAGAGAATTTTGTCCTGAAAATGAGATTACATCTCATCGGGCATTTATAAAACAAAATTCTAAAGTAGGCCACTGAAAAGCCTCATTAAAACTCTAAAATATTTAAATATCTCAAATTACATTTTATGACCGTAGTCCAATAGAACTAGAAGCAAATAGCAAATATAAACTGAAAAAGGACCTAGAAATAAAAAATTCAGAGTATTCTGATCCAGAAAATAAAAATGAAATTGCAGATTATCCAGAAAATAACACTGAAATCAGAATCTATGGAATCTGAGTAAAACTGAGCTCAAGAAAATTCGTTGCTTTAAAAACTTTTCTAAGAAAAAAATAAAAATAAACATTGGCTCAAGCAACTCGGGAAAGAATAACATGAGTGGTACTGTATTTTGGCTAGGTTATTGTATACACTGAATTTTCCAGGAATGCACTACCATGTAAATCAAAGGGAGATTGTACTTCATTTTTTTTTCAGAATACTAACAGTTTTTTACCATTTTGGAACATCATGTCACCAGTTGCAATACAACTCATAGCATTTGAGTCTCCACTGACCTGTCTCATTTGTCCACACCTTTGCTGTGGCACACACAGTAACTACATCCATTCGATTTCTGTTTTCTTCTACAGCAGTGCTGCTTGAGCCTTTATGTACGAAAATATGTCATATTTTCAATGGTTTTCCTTTTATTTATCTCTTCCATTACAATGGGGTTTCTTGTTGATTATGTAGATTATTTCAGTGAACTTCATTTCAGGACAGCAAAAGGAATATTACAACATTTCTCTTACAGAAAGGGACCCCTGTGTAGGCTATGTGGAGTCTCGCTGCTTCAGATATATGGCCATTTAAATCTCATCTATTTTTCCCCTTTGAGGTTCACTGGCTCATCCTGTTTTAATATTTTAAGATGATTAATATGTAACAGCATAGATTAGTATCCTCGGACATACTACTGCTATGAACAGACTGCTAAAGACGAAAATAACTGTAAAGTTAAAATATTTTCAGAAAATATCTAATACGATTGAATAAAATCATGGAAATTACCACAGACCTAAATATTAGATCAAAAGATTAAACTGATAGACTCTTTGAGAACATAATTTTTAAAAGATAAGGGATGAAGATTGAGAATATGTTGAGACATGGATAGTAAATCCAAGAGACCCACTGTCCACCTAATAGGATTTCCTGTTAAGCTAAAGACATGAAATGAACAATACAGTAAATTTCCCTAAATTGAAGATAACATCTTCAGACTTAAATAAAATCTCCATTCACTGACCAACTACAGTGTTGCAAAAAGATCCAGACACTTCTTCCTGGAATTTGTGACCTCCAGTAATAGAGAATCCTGTAAGCTCAGAGAAACAGAAAGAGAGAGAGTGATATGGATAGGCTTTGTGTCCTCACCCAAATCTCATCTTGAATTGTAATCCCCAGGTGTTGAGGGAGAGACCTGGTAGGAGGTGATTGGATCATGGGGGCAGTTTCCCCCATGCTGTTCTTGTGATCATGAGTGAGTTCTCAGGAGATCTGATGGCTTTATAAGGGGCTCTTCCTCCTTCACTTCCACACACACTCTCTCTCTCACCTACAGTCATGTAAGATGTGCCTGCTTCCCCTTCCACCATGATTGTAAGTTTCCTGAGGCCTCCCCAGCCATGCCTCCTGTATAGCCTGTGGAACTGTGAGTAATTAAACCTCTTTCTTTTATAAATTACCCAGTCTCAGGTGTTTCTTTATAGCAGTGTGAGAATGAACTAATATATATGTGTGTATGTACATATATATATGTATATAGTTATAGAGGTGGGGAGAGGAGAGAGAGGAGAGAGAAATGTTACTTATAAAGAAATACAAAATCTACTAGGCCTCAAACATCTCATCTGCAATAGGATAGTAGATGACAAAACCCATATCATATACTGTGGGGAAAATAAGTCTAAGCCTAGAGTTCTGTAACCATTCAGACTACCATTAGGAGCAACAGTAAATAAGCTCAGATGTTTTTACCACCCCTATATTCTTCCTGGAAGAAAAGGCTCAAAGATGCACTTCAGCATTGAAAATAAATTCATGAATGAAGAAGGCATGAATAAAAGCAAAATAAGTAAAAGAATCAGGAAAACTTAGGACAATACTAAATAAGAAGGATTTACGTTCAAATCATTGCTATACCACTTCCTAGCTATTACATAATGCAAACTACTTAACCTTCTTGAACTTTCATTTCCTAATCTATAAAACAGAAGTAATAATAAGACTGATACAATAGGGCTCACTAAAATACTCTACCTAAAGCCCTTAGGACAGTGTTTGGCATCGGGTAAATGTTCAGTAGATATTAGCTATTATTATAATCAATGATGGGCTTCAAATTGCTAAATAATTTTTGGTAGCCAATTTTGCAGTTCCATCAAATGTTATAATACTCATGCCATGCCCCTGAACCAAACAGCTTCCATGCACACTCATATTTGTGTAGCAATGTTAATCGCAGTAGAATTTATTGTGGGAAAAATTTAAATCAATCTCTTGTAAGTGAGGGAATAATAAACTGGTATAATATAGTTTTGACTACTATATCACTGTTTTAAAATATGGGGTGGTTTTTTTGCATTATATTATTAATGCAAAAAGGTATATATATAAAATGCAAAAGGTATATAATGCAAAAAGGTATACAATATTATATATTATAATACAATATATAATATTACTTATAAGTAATGTATCAAAAATATATGTATTATATATTATTATACACAATATGTACACTATATGTAATGTGTTATATATAATATGTTAATATTATTATATATTTATATATTAATATTATATAATATATATTATAATGTACATAAAAATCGTGGAAGGATGTTACATTCTCATGTGTAAAGATACATATTAAATGGTATGGAAAGGTACAAACCAATTGTTAATGGTGTATATACACCTGGTGTATATACCATCTTCAATGGTGCCAGCATCTGCTTCTGGTGAGGGCTTCAGGGAATTTTACTCATGGTGCAAGAGGCTGAGGCAAGAGCATGGCTTGAGCACAGGAGTTCAAGGTTGCAGTGAGCTGTGATTGTGCCACTGTCCTCCAGCCTGGGTGACAGAGCAAGACCTTGTTTCCAAAAATATAAAAAAAGAAATCTGATTCACTTGGAAATGAGGATCTAGAGTTCAAGAAAAATTAAAAATAAATATTTTGAAGTTTCTTGTACTCAAAACTTACCTTAATGAAGTTTTTTTAAATGAGATAAAAATTCTGAAAAAAAAAAAGAAAAGGAAAAACAATGTAGAGGTTTGGCTTCCAGACATCTACAAAACAAAACAAGATAAGACAACCCAAACCTGATATTTTAAAAAATATTTTATAATCCATTCTCTGGTAGGATTTTGAGCCTCATCTTTGTCCTTGGAGCTCCCCAGCACCCTATTTATATCTCCATTAGCTTCAGGTCAGATTGCATCTAATTATTTGCCCTTAACTTTATCTTCCTTTCGTCTCTATGCCTGCAAGATGAATGCAGAAAATGTTTCATTATATTGGTTTCCTCTCTCCTGCCTGCAATACCTGGAATTGGATAATTCATGGAAACATGGGAGGAATCATGGAAATGTATTCAACTAGACAATGCAAGACCATTCAGTAGTCTGGAAGTGCTGCTGCTGCTGTGTGACCTTGATATTTTAGACTTATGGGTAGGTTTGAGGAAGAAGGAAAATCACCTTGTAACTTTTCACGTTGAGGTCTTCAATGGATGGAAATATGCAAGGCCATTATCCAGCTGGCTGCCATTTCCTGCCATGAGGTAGAAATACCAACTGTAATGAAAACTTGGGGTCAGCCTCTCTCTCTCTTTTTTTTTTTTTAGATGGAGTCTTGCTCTGTCACCCAGGCTGGAGTGCAGTGGTGCGATCTCAGTTCACTGCAACCTCCGCCTCCCAGGTTCAAGCAATTCTTCTGCCTCAGCCTCCCAAGTAGCTGGGATTACAGGCATGTGCCACCATGCCCGGCTAATTTTGTATTTTTAGTAGAGACGGGGTTTCTCCATGTTGGCCAGGAGGGTCTCGGACTCCCAACCTCAGGTGATCTGCCCCCCTTGGCCTCCCAAAGTGCTGTTATTACAGGCATGAGCCACCGTGCCCGGCCTAGGTTCTCTTAAGAATTAGGGAATAAAAATCTGACCCCCAATTTTCAGGCACATTTTACAACCCATTATGAGTTCGACGATATTCCTGAGAACTTTTAGATAGCTGAGCTGAGCAAAATATTTTTTATAAAGTATACCTCTTTTAGCCCCATATCCCTAAAGATCACTTCCCTTTAACAATTTATTTTTTTCCACCAATAACTTTATATTCTTGAAAATAATATTTTTGGAGCTCAGCCCTTACCAAGTAGGCTGCCAAGAGGCACTTCTTATATACAAAAATTACTCAATTAATATTTTTTTTTCTCTGTACCTCTGTATTTCACGAATCTAAATTTTAACTCACCTTCCCACCAGAACTCTTCCACTTCCTGTATTCTCAAGCTTTGCTAAGGGCTCCATTGTCCCTCCAATGTGTCCAGCTAGAACACTCACAGTCTAACTGAAGCACTACCTATCCTTTACCTTGGTTGCAAAATTCTGAGATGACCTCCAGGATCCTCCTCCTGTGATGTACACACACCTTCTCCCAGTTCTTTAACCAAGCGCTAATCTAGATACTGCTAGGAAGAAATTTTACATCTGCAATTAAGTTTCCAAATTTGTCCACCTTAAGAAAGGGAGATTAACCTGGCCTAATCAGGTGAGACCTTAAAAGAGGTCAGGCTTTTCCTAAAGAAAGACATTGGAAGCATGAGAGAGAGTTGACGTTAGGGAGATGTCTCTGTTGCTGGCTTTGAAGATGGAGGAGGTCACATGCAAGAAATGCAAGTGGCCTCTAGGAGCTGAGACCCCCCCTTATCCTCCCACTTGCTGGCATTCAGCAAGAATGCTAGGATCTCAGTCCCACAGCTGCAAGAAACTGAATTCTGCCAATGTCCACATGAGCTTGGAGGAAGACCGTGAGCTCCAAATGAGATGAGCAGTAAGCCCTGCTCATACCGTGACTTAAGCTTTGTGAGACCCTGAGCAGGGAACTCAGTCATGCCATGCCTAGACTTCTGACCTGCAGAACTGTGAGCCAAAAATGAATGTTGTTCTGAACTGGTAAGTTTGTGGTCATGTGTTACACAGCAGTAGAAAACCAGTACACTAACTCACTGCAAACATTCAGCCACCAAGTCCTATGAGAAGTCTTTTAGCTCCATCCTCTCCTCTCCACCTTCTCTGCTGCTGCCTTTGTGCAAAAGTTCATCATTTCTTTCCTCAACCACTGCAATGAGCTTAATGTTCCTTTTGAGCATCTTACACTTCTGTTCATCCTAAACACCACCACTATTAATCTCACCTTCCACCTCCTCCTTGCTGTCTTACCATTTGGAACCTATCTCTGTGTCTTTGCCTGTTTGCACTATGAACAGTTTTCCATTTTTTTTTAAGTTTCCATTTCTTTTTAAATTATACTTTAAGTTTTAGGGTACATGTGCACAATGTGCAGGTTTGTTATATATGTATACATGTGCCATGTTGGTGTGCTGCACCCATTAACTCGTCATTTGACATTAGGTATGTCTCCTAACGCTATCCCTCCCCACTCCCCCCACCCCACAACAGGCCCCAGTGTGTGATGTTCCCCTTCCCGTGTCCATGTGTTCTCATTGTTCAATTCCCATCTATGAGTGAGAACATGCAGTGTTTGGTTTTTTGTCCTTGCGATAGTTTGCTGAGAATGATGGTTTCCAGCTTCATCCATGTCCCTACAAAGGACATGAACTCATCATTTTTTATGGCTGCATAGTATTCCATAGTGTATATGTGCCACATTTTCTTAATTCAGTCTATCATTGTTGGACATTTGGATTGGTTCCAAGTCTTTGCTATTGTAGCAAAGAAGCAGCTAACAAGGATAGATAGAGCAAGTATGCATACTTCATTTACGGAAGAAACATTTATTGAGTGCCTGCTATACATCCAGCCTGTGCCGGGATTAGTGAACTGACTAGCAGACAGTCCCTGATTCAAGGTGCTCATGTTGTAAAGGGAGAAATAGGCACCCAGATTGGGAATAATGAGATTGGGTGGTAAGAGCACTAATGGAGATATGCATGTGGAAGCTCCAAAGAGGATCTAACCCACTGAATAAAGGGATAAGAGGTGGGAGAGAAGAGGGGTGGGAGGGTAGAAAATTAAGGATTGTTGTAAGAGAGGAGATGTGAGCTGAATGTCATTGGATAAATAGGAGTTTACCAGGCAAAGGGAGGGTGGGGGTGAAAGGCAGGAACCAGGGGGTATTTCATATAGAGACATGAGCCAAGTCATGGAAGTGAGATGCACTTAGCATAGTAAAATGCAGGCATTTAAGACTACCAAAGTATGGAGCTAAAGTCAGGGACTAGTAAGAAGAAAAATGAGATTGGGCTGGGTGCAGTGGCTCAATCCTGCAATCCCAGCACTTTGGGAGGTGGAGACAGCAGGATTGCTTGAGTCTAGGAGTTTGAGATGAGCCTGGGCAATGTTGTGAGACCCCATCTCTACCAAATAATAATAACAACAATAATAAATTAGCTAGGTGGTGCTGGGTTCCAGCTACTCAGGAGGCTGAGGTGGGAGGATTGCTTGAGCCCAGGAGGTTGAGGCTGCATTAAGTCGTGACTGCACCACTACAGTTCAGCCTGAGCAACAGCACGAGAAACTCTCTCAAACAAACAAATAAACCAAAGGGAGATTGGAGAGGCAAGAGCCAAGATCAGGAGGGTTTGCTGTATACAGAGTGTCCAAAACTTTAACATGTGCGTCACTGAGGTACGTATGGGAAAGTCAGATTTCTAGGAAAGCTGGAGATGACGATTTGGTAAGATCATGATTTGGTAAGACTGGTGTAAGTTTCAGAAATCAGCTTTGTCACAAACTCTTAGGTGAGCCTGATGCAGATGTTCTATGGTTGATAATTTGAGAAACACTGTAGTTAGCAATGGGGAGACAATGAAGAAATCTGAACATAGTGGGAAGTGGTGGGATTGTTTTTTGCTATGTTTACATATTATGCCTTCTGGAGGCTTATAAGGGGCTCGATTTGAAAAGGAGGAGAAAGACCTAATCCATGGGGAAAGGAACAATGATCCAAACTAGTGCTGGAGAAGGACAGGAGAAGTCAGAGTCTGGAACTCTTTGGTAGGCAAAATCTGTAGGATGTATGCTTGATTAGAGAGGTGAAAAGAGGGAAGAGACAAGTTTCTAACATGAGTGATTGGATGCTGTTGCCCATTGAATAAAAAAATATAAAAGGAAGATCTGGTGGAGTTGGGAGGATTATTAGGTCAGTTGTGGACATATTGAACATGAAGTACATATAGAACAGCAGTGCGATGTCCCAGAGGCAGTTGGTTGCATGAGCCTGAAGCTTAGGGGAAGATCTGGCATGGGTATCAAGATTCTGAAGTCCATGGAACACTGGTCCTTGTGGAGGCATGAGAGTGGTTGAGATCATCCATGGAGAGAGTGTAAGAGGAAAAGAAAAACCTGCTAAAGACAGGATCCCAGGTAGCACTGACTTTTATGAGGTACCCAGAGGAGAAGAGATAAAAGGATGCAGTCAAGGAAAAGCTAGAAGGGTGAAGAGAAAGGGAGTGAACCACAGAAGCCACAGGAGTAGAAGACATCGAGAAAAAAGGAATAACTGATGATGTCAAGTACAACAGAGAACTTAAGGAAAGTAAGGATGAATAGCATCCCTTGGATTCAGCATGGGTGCCCATTGGCAACTCTAATGAGGACATTTTCAGATAAATGGTGAAGGGAGAAGTCAGACTAAAGTGCATGATGGAATACTAATATGGAATACTAATACTAATATGGAAGACTAATATGATGGAATACTACTCAGCCATAAAAAGAATGAATTAATGGCATTCGCAGCAACCTGCATTTTATTGGAGACTATTATTCTAAGTAAAATAACTCAGGAATGGAAAACCAAACATTGTATGTTCCCACTCATAAGTGGGAGGTAGGCTATGAGAATGCAAAGGCATAAGAATGATACAATGGGCTTTGGGGATTCGGGGAAAAGGGTGGGAAGGGGGTGAGGGATAGAAGACTACAAATTGGGTTCAGTGTATACTCCTTGGGTGATGGGTGCACCAAAATCTCACAAATCGCCACTAAAGAACTTATGTAACCAAACACCACCCATTCCCCCAAAATCTATGGAAATAAAAAAATTAAAAATAAAAAAAGAAGTCAATGAGAAGTGCCAAAGCACAAAGCACAGCTCCCTGACTCAAATGACATGACAGTGGCTTTCTTCGCAGCTGTAGTTTTTGAAGATTTCTTCCAAGCTGCTTGCTGGCAGCACAGGGAAAAAAAGATTCTTGTTGTTGAAATCCAGATGTGTGGATTTCTGCTCTTGAAGTCAGTTTAAAAAGTCTCCTGTTTAGATTATAAATGTTGACATTCCTATACATGATATATACTATTTGTGTCTTCTTATATTTCACCAACCTCATATTTTAAGTTAATGTAACAGTCTAAAATAAAATATATTGGTTGGCTGAATAACTTCCAGAAGTTTATGTCTTATCTATGGGCATTTTCAAGCCCTCCTTTCTACACACACACACACACACACACACACACACACACACACTCTAGATGAACTAATACAAATTTAACTTCAGATTTTCTACTCATATTTGAATGGATTTTCTTCCATCCTCATACTATTATTTAATCCCTAATTTTCAAATAAAATCCAAGTTACTGTCATCTCCATAGTGAAATCATCACCATTGGGTGCTAAATGAAGTATAAAGCAGCTCCCAGTGGACCAGTAGCCAGAGACACTTCTGTAGGGTTGGAGTCCTTTTCTGACTAAGGCAGAGTTCTCCAGTCAGGCACGCAGCAGGAGCGTGAAGGCATGGATAGAAGGGGAGAGCTGGGCATGCACAGATAACCATTCCATGCGCAAAACCTGAGTTTGAATGTTGGTTCTAGTAATGAGTACAAATCTGGACATGGAATCTGTGGCTTAATTTTGATTATTGTGATGGTGGAGGTCCAGCTCCTTGTGGATATCTAGGAGATTTACATGCCCTAGATTTTCAAATCAAAAGCCAAGTGCCTAGAACGATGTAGTTCCCAGTTAGTTCTCTGATTGGCTCCTTCTGCCCTTAGACGTGGTGTCCTGGTCCCTTTACTGATCCTGTTAATTTTTCGTTTTCACATTGACCATAAATCTGAAGTCTCTTTTCCATTTTCTGCCAATGAACCTTAGGCATAGCCACCCCAGTCCACCTGAATAGATGCTGATGACATTTTATTTTAAGGAATAGGGCCTGAATTCCTTCCATTGGGGTTTTTATAATTTACTCCCATCAGGTTTTTAGTCCTATAAAACAACCACTTCTCCACCCCAATTAAGGTCACTTCACAGAGATCTTTGTATAATAACATGGCACATAATCCAGATGTGTGGAGTAAGGGAAGGTTTCCTGGAGGAAGGTAGTCTGACTCAAGATCTGAATATGGTCAGCAGAGGTAACCAGAGGGTAAGGACAACTGGTTGAAGGTTCAGGAGCCAGAAGCTGGACTTCTTATAGCATGACTGGATCACAGATTTTACAGGATTTTGTGTTTTGCAGCACAAGATGAAACCAAAGAAATAAGCCAGGGTCATATCATGCTAGGCTTCATAAACTCAGTGGAGATTAACATGCTCTTTAAAAGTGAAGAGAAAAGAAATAATGCTGATAAGAAATGATGGTGGCCTAAACTAGGGTGGCAGCCATGGAAATGGAGCAAACTCAATAGATAGTGGAGAATCTTGGCTAGAATCAACAGATCATGGTGTTTTGGAGGAGTAGGTGGTGGGGGAGAAGGCAGTTATTACCATGGGTGCCTGGATGATAGTGAAACAAGTTAAAGTGGGTAGGGAGAGATGAGTTCAAGTTTAAATATAGTTAAGTTTCAGGGGTCTGTGTAGGAACCAGGTGACACTTGGATATATGGATCTGAAGCCCTGGAGAAATAACAAGATCTACAACTCTTTGGAGTTGTACATGTGGGAGTCATCAGCATGAAAATGGAAATCTAAGGATAGAGAATCACCCAGATAATGTGTAGAATGAGAAGAAAGATAAGCCCCGGATGGACTTCTGAGAGTTGTCTGAATTTAAGGGACAGACAGAAGAGTAAGTGTGGCAAAGGAGACACGGGGAGGTCAGCAACAAGCATAGGAGAGCTAGCAGAGTATAGTATCATTCAAGCTCCTGAAGTGAATGTTTAAAGGATGAGGTGGCCAACAATGCCAAATGCTGGTAAAAGGTCAAATTTTAAAACCATTCATTGCGTCTGGCAGCAAGAAGCTTGTTAGTGATCTTGAGAGTTTAAATGAGGTGCTGAGCAAAAAATGTAAGGTTATAGATGCTTAAGAAGTGAGTGGAAGCTCAGAAGGTAGAAGCTGTAAGCATAAAACCTCTTAGGAATTAAGTGTAAGCCTTTCAAAAAATTAAGGTCTGAAGTAGAGGAGAGAGAGGAAGGTAAACTAGATGGGAAAATGGGGATAAAAGACTTTATTTTAAGAAGAAAGACTTGAGCATTTAAAAATACTCAGGGTAAAGACTCCTTAGAGAGAAGTTGAAGATATAGGAGAGAAAGATGAGATATTAAAGAGAGACACTGATAAGGTGAAATATAATTAAATAATTAATTCTTGAGGAATACTTTTCTAATAAGAGGCATTTGAGCCAAGCCGTGAAGGAAGTGAGGGAGTGAGCCATGTGGACATTGGGGGCAAAGTGTGTCAAGCAAAGAAAACAGCAAGTACAAACGCCCTGAGGTAGGAGCATACATCATTGATCATGAAATAGCAAGAAGACCAACATAGCTAGAATAAGTGTGAGTGCTATGGTTTGAATATCTGTAGCCTCTAAAACACCTGTTGAATCTTATTCTCCAATGTGGCATTATGGAAAGCCTAGACATTGGATTTACTAGATTAAAAACTTTAAGTCAATTATTATAAATAAGTTCAAAGAACTAAAGAATACTATATCTAAAGAAGTAAAGTATAGAACAACATCTTATGAAGTAGAGAATATCAATAAAGACATAGAAATTATAGGGGATAACCTGATAGAAATTCAGAAAGTATCAAAATATACAATAACTGAAATGAAAAATTTATTACAGGAACTCAACTGCAGGTTTGAACTATCAAAAGAAGGAATAGGCAAACTTGAAGGTCACTTGAAATTTTCCAGTCCAAGAGCTAGATTTTTAAAAAAGAGTGAAGAAAAAGGAACAGAACTTCAGAGACCTGTGGAATATTAACACATACATAACGAAAGTCCATTAATGAGAAGAGCAACAGAAAGGAGCAGAAAAATTTCCAAATTTGATAAAAAAAATCATTAATATGCATATCTAAAAAGCTCAACAAACTCCAAGTAGGATAATCTCAAAGATCCACATCTAGACAAATTATAATCAAACTGTCAAATTAAAAAGAGAGAACCTGAAAAGTTAGAAGAGGCCAAGGACCCATTATATAAAGAAGAAGCCTCAATAAGATTCACAGCTCACTTAGAAATCATGGAGGCCAGAAGCAGCAGGATAACTTAGTCAAAGTGCTCAAAGAAAAAGAATGTTAACCAATAATTCCATATATAGTAAAACTATAATTCAGTAAAAAGGAAAAACTAAGATATTCCTAGATAAATAAAACTGGATAATTTTATATTAGCAGAACTGCCCTACAAGAGAAAGAAAAGGAAATCCTTCAGACTGAAATTAAGTACACTAAACAATAACTTGAATCCACATGAAAAAATAGCACTGATAAAAGTAATTGCATAAGGAAATATAAAAGATGCTATAAATATACTTTTGTTTGTAACATTTTTCTTCTCCTGTCTAATTTAAAAGAAAATTCTGGAGACTTCTGCTTCTTGAAACATGGAGATGTATTTTACCCTGTTCCTCTATGTACAACTAAAAACCTTAGATGTTACATACATAACAAACATTACAAGACTCTAAAAGTTGGAAAGAAGACAGACTGACAAGGGACCTTAGGACTTGGGAAATGACACAGTGGTGAGAACCCTGTATTTTCTTTTTGTCTCATATATCCCAGAATTGGAACTGAAGAAGCTAGCAACCCAGAAACTCCAATGGATGCAGACAACAACAACAACAACAACAACAACAAAAAACCTTAACAAAGGCCTGCTCTTACTTGCCAAAAGAACAGAATAGGGGCAGCCTAGCAAGACAAAAAAAAAAAAAAAAAAAAGTCAAGACAATGATTGCTTTATTCCAGCCAAAGATCCTAGAAAAAAAACTGTGGCTCCACTCCCATCCATGCTAGAACCTAGACTTATAACCCTCCCGAAACTAAAGTGAAGTATCCCACACCCATGCTGGGGAGGTATCAAAGAAGGCCAACAAAGGATGCAGGACTCTCATTCCCACTGCCCAGTGATGAGTCCCTGGTGATGTCAGTGGGAATCATGAGGGAAGCCTAGAATTTCACTCCTATGGCAGATACCGCTTCTCCTCCCTGCTCAGGGACCTAGTGGAAAGTCAGGACTTTCATCATTGCTAAGGAGTAAGGCCGTGCCACCTTCATCCCCTGCTGGAGTGATGTCAGAGAAGCCAGGCAACACAGAAGTTTTAAAAAATAGATCCAGAGTCTTATAAAATAATATAAAATGTCCATGTTTTAATTTTAAAAAATCGTTTATCATACCAACAAAGAGTAGTCTCAAACTGAATGGAAAAATCTGATCAATGAGTAACAACACCAAGATGACAGAGATGTTAGAATTAACTGTCAGGAATTTTAAAGCAACCATAATTTTTAAAAGCTTCAACAGCAAATACAAACATTCTGGAAACAAATGAAATACAAAGTCTCAAAAAGGAAATAGAAGGTCTCGGTAAACTGATAGAACATATAAGGAAGAACCTAAAGGAAATTTTAGAAGCGAAAAATGCAATAACCCAGGTAGGAAGCTAAGTTGATGGGCTTTATTGCAGAATGGAGAGACAGATAATAGAATCAGTAAACTAGAGAATAGGACAATAAAAATGAATTAATCTAGACTATAGAGATAAAGTAGAGTTAAAAAAAAAAAGACCTTTTAGGGACCTGTGTGATAACAAAAGAGTTAACATGTATTTCATCAGAGTCCCAAAGGAGGGGAGAAAAAAGGGGGAGTTGAAAAAAATACTCAAAGATAGAATGCCTGAAAACTTCCTAAATATGGCAAGAGATGTAATTCAAAAGTAAGCAAATGACAAACAGAATATACCAAAGAAATTCATGCCAATACACATCAAAATTAAAGTTCTGAAAACTAAAAGGCAAAGAAAAAATCCTGAAAGCAGCCAGAGACAAACAAAACCTTGCTTACAAGGAACAAACAAAGCAACAACCATTTTCTCATCAAAACTGTCAGGCCAAAAGTGACAAAATATTTTCCAAGTAATAACAAAAAAAGTACTGTCAGTCCAAATATTATACCCAGTAAAAATATCCAGGAATAAAGGGGAAATCAAGACATTCTGAAATGATGGAAAGCTAAGAGAAGTCACCGGCAGACCTACTCTAAAACAATGGCTGAAGGAAGTTCTCTGAATAGAAAAAAAACAAAGAAGGAAACTTTGAATTTTAAAAAGACAGAGATGCCACAGTAAGCAAAAATATGAGTAAATAAATAGACTTTCCTTATCCTTTTGAATTTTCTAAATTATGTTTGATGACCAAAACAAAAATTATCTTTAGAATGTGTAAAAAGTGATAGCATTTACCGAATTGTAATTGCTATTAAAATTCAAAAAGCTGAACATATTCTTTTAACCATAAGCCAGTCTTAGTTAAATCAGGACTGCCCAACAAAAATATTCTGTAAGTCATTCATGATCTGAATTCTGGTGTAGGATATCTATTAAATTGTGGTACACATTAAAAAGTCATGGGACATTTCTGTTTTGAAATAAATAAGGCAGTAGCCAATTATTGCTCAGTAGCTTTTTTGAGGTAAGCTATCAGGTCTGCCCTTTCTGCTTCATCTTAACGCCAGCAAAGATCATTTTGTAAAGTTCGACTGTTCACAGAGATCTTAAAACCTATTGGAGATTGGTTTTACATTTATATGTATTTAACTGGTTATATGAATACATTTAAATACTGGAGAAATTCCTTCACTGTCTTAGAACCAAGCAAGATTCACCTGTGTTTTGTGTTCATTTGCCTCTCTTAAAGGAAAGGGCTGAAAATAAGGTAGCAATATCAACTTTACATTTTTGGCCTTATGCTAATCTAATTAGAATTCTGTGTTTCTAAAATGGTTCCTTTTACTTATTGAAAGGCATTTCTGTGGTTTATGAGTAATATCAAAGATTATTTAACATTTCAAAAAATTGTAATGCTCTCTGATGTGGTCCTAAATGTATATAGAAAAAATATTTTTAAGATAATGAAATTATCTGAAAGGTAAAGGGGTTAAAAGAAAGGTAAAAATTTCTATACTTCACTAAAACTGATAAATTTCACTAAAATTGGTAAATTGATGACACTCATAGACTTTGAGAAGTTATGCATAAGTTATGTAACATACACAGCAACTGCTGAAACTGCTGTGCAAAGAAATATACTCAAAAACCTTATAGATAAAATGGAATTCTAAAACATATTCAAGTAACTCATAGGAAGTGAGATAAAGAAGACAGAGAAATAAAAAACATAAAAAGTAAAATCATAGATTTAGGTCTACAAACATATCAATAATTATATTACGTGAAAATGATCTAAATGCTCCAATCAAAAGACAGGTGAACAGAGATGATTGAAAAAGATGATCTAACAATATTCTGTCTACCAACAACTTACTTCAATATTATGATACAGACACAGTGAAAGTGAAAGAGTAGAAAAATTATATTAAACACATATTAATTAAAGGACAGCAGAGTGGCTTAACAGCAGATCAAATGAACTTCAGAGCAAAGAAAATTATCAGGAAGAGAGACAGGAATGGTATAATGATGAAAGAATCAATCCACCAAGAAAATCTAGCAATCATAAGTGTGCATGAAACAAAAAAATGGGATTCCAATTATATGAAACTAAAACAGATGTAAGAAGTAAACAACTCCACAATTATAGTTGAAACCTTCAAAACCTCTGTCTCAACAATTGATAGAACAAAACCTCTGCTTCAACAATTGATAGAACAACTAGACACAAGATATGCCATTATGGAATTGAAAAACCAGCAATCAACAGGATGGAATCCGTATTTAGAGAATTCTCCACCCAATAACATCAGAATACACATTCTTTTTAAGCAGCTGTGGAATATACAGGCCAAGATGTGTCACATGCTGAGCTATCAAAAAAACAAAACAAAAAACCTCAACAAGTTGAACAGAATTGACATCATAGGGCTGTGTTCTCTGAACACAATGGAATCAAACTACAAATCAATAACAGACATTGTTTTAAGAACTCCAAAAACTTGAAACTAAATGACGTCCTTCTAAATAAGCCATGGATCAAACATGAAGTCTCAAGAGAAATAAAAAGGGAAATATATATATATAAAGTTATAACTATATATAACTAATATATATAACTATATTTAAGTTATAACTATATATAACATATATATAACTATATGTAGTTATAGAGAACAGAACTCGGTTCACTGTTAATATATAGTTCTTTATAAATTAACTGTTTTTTATAACTATATATAGTTATGACTATATATAGTTCTTTATAACTATATATTTCTCTATTAATAAATATTGATTATATATTATTACTTTATATAGTATTAATTATATGATATATGATAGATTATTAATCACATATTTTATATTGTATAATATAATATTCATTAATTACATAATATAATTATTTTAATGTATTTATATATAATTAATTGTATATTATATTATACAATTTTAAAATATACCATATATAGTCATATATAGGTATACCTATATATAGTTATAAAGAACAGAAATTTATTTCTCATAGTTTTGGAGGCTGAGAAGTCCAAGATCAAGGCACTGGCTGTATCCTCACATGGTTGATGGTGGAAGGAGGTGAAACTACTCCCACAAGCCCTTCATGGTGGAATTAATTCATTCATGAGGGCAGAGCCCTTATGGCCTAAACACCTCCCATTAGGCCCCACCTCTCAACATTGTTGCATTGGGGATTAGGTTTCCAACACATGAATTTGGAGAGATACATTCGGACAATAGCAAGAACACAGCCTCTAAACAAAGGCTTAGAACATTACAATTTCCAGAGGCCCTTTCTATCCCTCTAGTTACTTACTCATGCCCACAGTGAGCACAAGCCTGATTTGTAAGAGCGAAGTTTACTTTTGCTTCTTCTTAACCTTATTTTTGAAATGTTTTCCTTTTTTAAAATAAATTTTTAATTATTATGGGCACATAACAATTGAATATATTTATGAGGTACATGTGATATTTTGATACAGGCCTACAATGTGTAATAATCAAATTAGAGTAATCTGGGTATCTATCTTCTCAAGCATTTATCTTTTTTTTGTTAGGAATACTCCAATTCTACTATTTCAGTTATTTAAAAATGTACAATAAATTATTGTTGACTATACTCACTCTTTTGTGCTTTCAAATACTGTATCTTATTCGTTCTATCTACCTATGTTTTTGTAATCATTAATCATTCCCAACTTAACCTCCTTCTCCCTGCTACCCTTTCCATCACTATATTCTGTATTTCCATGAGATCAGTTGTTTTTTTAAGCGCCCACATATGAGTGAAAACATGTGAAATTTGTCTTTCTGTGCTTGTTATTTCATTTAGCATAATATCTTCCAGTTTCATCTATGTTGTTGCAAATGACAGGATTTCATTCTTTTGTATGGCTGAATAATATTCTATTACGTATATATACCGTACTTTCTTTATCCATTCATTTATTGATGGACACAGGTTGATTCCAAATCTTTGCTATTGTAATAGTGCTGTAATAAACATGGGAGTGGTGATATCTCTCAATACGCTGATATCCTTTCTTTAGAATATATGCCTGGCAGTGGAATTGCTGGATCATATGGTAGTTTTATTTAGTTTTTTCCGAAACCTCCATATTGTTCTCCATAGTGGCTGTACTAATTTATGTTCCCACCAACAGTGTAGGAGGTTCCCCTTTTTCCACATCCTTGCCATCATTTGTTATTGCCAGTCTTTTAGATAGAAGCCATTTTAACTGGAGTGAGATGTTATCTCATTGTGGTTTTGATTTGCATTTCTTTGATGGTCAATGATATTGAGCAAATTTTCATATACTGTTAGCCATTTGTAGGCCTTCTTTTGAGAAACGTCAATTCAGACCTTTTGCCTATTATTTTTCTCTTGGAGGAAACACAAAAATATTAATTATAACTAAATTTGGGTGGTGAAATTATTCAGAGATGATCTTTTCTCTTCTTATGCTAGTCTGTATTTTCTCTCTTTTTTTTCAGACTGAAAACAACAAAAAATTATAGAGTAAAAAAATGAATTCAACTTTTCCAAAGCACAAGAATGATACCAAATACTTGTTTTAGAATTCATGAGACGTGCTCTCAGAAAAAGGCCATTGTGAATGTTAGAGAACAGAAGTTTTACTTTTACTTAGAAAATGAGAGTTATTACAAATTCTACACTTGTAATTACCATTCTAATACCTTATGTGTACAAAAATAATTTTTAAGGTTAACTATATTATGTAAGTTTTAAAAAATTTTTCTACTTTTATTTTAGATTTGAGGGTGTATGTGCAGGTTTGTTACATGGGTTTATTGCATGAAGCCAAGGTTTGATCCTATCACCTATCACCATGAATGATCTTATCACTTATCACCCAAGTAGTGAGCATAGTACCCCACAGGTAGTTTTTCAGCTCCTGGTGCCCTTCCTCTCTCCCACTTCTGGTAGTCACCAGGGTCTATTGTTCCCATCTTTATGTTCTTGTGTACCCAATGTTTAGCTCCCACTTATAAGAGAGAACACAGGTTTTCTGTTCTTGTGTTAATTCTTTTAGGATAATGGCCTCCAGTTGCATCGCATCCACGTTGATGTAAAGGACATAATTTCATTCTTTTTTATGGTTGCATAGTATTCCATGTTGTATATGTATTCCATTTTCTTTATCCAATCCACCATTGATGGACACCTAGATTGATTCCATGACTTTGCTATTGTGAATAGCGCTGCAGTAAACATACGAATGTATGTGTCATTTTTGTAGAATGACTTATGATTCTAGAAACTAGACTGATGGTCTAGTTTCATTTTTCTGTATACGGGTATCCAGTTTTTCCAGCACCATTTATTGAAAACACTGTCCATTCCCCCAGTGTATGTTCTTTGGAACTTTGTTGAAAATGAGTTCATTGTAGATGTGTGGATTCATTTCCGTGTTCTCTATTCTGTTCCATCGGTGTATATGTTCGTTTTTATGCCAGTACCGTGCTGTTTTTCTTCCTATAGCTGTACTATAATTTGAAGTTAAGTAATGCAATTCTTCTAGTTTTGTTCTTTTTGCTCAGGATAGCTTTGGCTATTCTGGGTCTTTTGTCATTCCATATAAATTTTATGATTACTTTTTCTGTTTCTGTGAAGAATGTGATTGGTATTTTGATAGGGATTGCATTAAATGTGTAGATTGCTTTGGGTAGTAAGGACATTTTAACAATATTGATTCTTTCAATCCATGGACATGTAATATCTTTCAATTTTTGGTGTCTTCTTCAATTTCTTAAAAAGTACATTAAACTGGATGAAAATACAGCATAACAAAATGTGTGGAATGCAACTAAAGACAGTACAGAGAGGGAAATACATAGCACTTAATGCATACAGTAGAAAAACAGGAAAGGTTTGAAATTAATAATCTAAATTCTCACTTTAAGAACTAAGAAACGAAGAGCAAAATAGTCCCAAATCAAGCACAAGGAAGGAACTAATAAAATTAAGAGCAGAAATCAATGAAATTAAAAACAGAAAAAAGAAAGAAAAATCAATGAAACAAAGAAACAAAGAGCTGGTTCTTTAAAAAAATCAAAAAGATTGACAAACCTCTAACAAGACTGACAAAGATAAAAAGACTGAAGACCAACATGCAGAAGGAAATAGTGGGCTATCACTAGAAACCATGCAAATTTTACAAGATAATGAAGGAATATTCCAAATAACTCTAAATATATACATTTGACAACTTAGATGAAATGGACTAAATCTTTGAAAAATAAAAATGAGCACAAGTCTTATGAATTATAAAATGGATAATTAGGGTGGCCTTATAACTATTAAGGAAACTGAATTCAAATTTAAAAACTCCCAGGAAAGAAATTTCCATATCCAGATCATTTCACTAGAGAATACTATAAAACATTAAAATGAATTCTACACAATGTCTTCCGAAAAACAGAAGGGAGGGAACCCTTGTCAATTTATTTTATTAAGCCATTATTCTACTGACACCAAAACTAAAGATAGTTTTTTTAAAAAACTTTGTTAAAAATCTTTATTTAAAAATCTTTATTTCCAAGAAGCAAGATTGGTTTAATATTGAAAACATCAATCAATGTGTCTGCCACATTAACAGGCTGAAGCAGAAAAATTACATGATCATATCAATTGATACAGAAAGAGTATTCGATAAAATCTCACACAAATTTATAATTTTTAAAAAACTCTCAGAAAAATGGGAAAAGAGGGGAACTTTTTTCATATGATAAAGAATATGTACATAAAACTGTAGCCAGCATCACACTTCATGTGAAAGACTGATTGCTTATAGCAGCTTTACTCATTATTGCCAAAACTTGGAAGCAACCAAGATATCCTTCAGTAATGGGTAAATAAACTATGGTACATGCAGACAATGGGATATTCTTTTGCACTGAGAAAGAATGAACTATCAAGCCATGAAAAGACATAGAGTGTCTTAGTCTATTTGGGCTGCTATAAAAAAACACCATAGGCTGGGCGTGGTGGCTCATGCCTATAATCCCAGCACTTTGGGAGGCCGAGGCAGGCAAATCATGAGGTCAAGAGATGGAGACCATCCTGGCCAACATGCTGAAACCCCGTCTCTACTAAAAATACAAAAATTAGCTGGGCCTGGTGGCGTTTGCCTGTAGTCCCAGCTACTCAGGAGGCTGAGGCAGGAGAATTGCTTGAATCCAGGGACCAGGGGTTGCAGTGAGCCAAGATCACTCTAGCCTGTGACAGAGCAAGGCTGTCTCAAAACAAAAAACAAAAACAAAAACAAAAAACCTATAAACTGGGTAACTTATAAATAACAGAAATTTATTTCTCATGTTCTAGAGGCTGGAAAGTCCACGATCAAAGCACTGGCAGGTTTGGTATCTGGTGAAGGCCTACTTTCTAGACAACCATCTTTTTCTATAACTTCACCTGGAAGAATTCATGAACGAGCTCTTTGAAATCTCTTTTATAAGGGTACTAATTCTATTCATAAAGGCTGAAGCCGTTATGGCCTAATCACCTCCCTAAATCCCTACTTCCTAATGCAATCACTGTGGGGGTTGGATTTCAACATGAAAATTGGGAGGGGACATAAGCATTCAGACCATAGCATGGAAGAACCTTAAATGCATACTATTAGTGAAAGAAGTCAGTCTGAAAAGACTACATACTGTGTAATCCCAACTACATAACATTCTAGAAAAGGCAAATGTGTGGAGATAGTAAAAAGATCCATGATTGGTGGTAGAGAGGGATGAGTAGGTGGAACACAGAAGACTTTTAGGGTAGTGAAATAATTACATGTGATACTATTATTGCAGATACATTACACATTTGTCAATACGCAAAGAATGTACAGCACCAAGAGTGAACCCTTATGTATACCAGGAACTTTGGGTGACAAAATCAGTTGTTTTAAGCACCACCCTGTAGAACCTTGGGGGCAGAACACCTGGAGCCTTGGTGGTGTGACCTCCACCCAGCAGAGCCAAGGAGGTGGGACCACCAACTCAGTAGGTCCGGAAAGTGACAAAAAGGCAAAGAGGATTAGTCTCACACCTTAAGGCAGAGTTTGCCTTGCTAGGTGTGGGACTTGCTTGGGACTCATCACCTCTTTCTTTCTCCTTTGGAATGGCAATGTTTATTTTATAGCTGTCCTACCATTATGTTTGGAAGCACATACTTGTCTGATTTCACACAGGTTCACCAATGGGGAGAAATTTTGCTTCAGGATGATTTGTACCTTGAGTGTTACCCATGTCTGATTTAGATATTTTGGTAGATTTTGTACTTTTGGAGTTGATGGTGGAATGAGTTAAGATCTTTGGAGATGTTGGGATGGAATTTTGCTTGTGAGAGGGGCATGATGTTTGAGGGGCCAGGTGCAGAAAGCTATGTGCTTCATGAATTGTGTCTCCCTAAATTCAGATGTTGAAGTCCTGACCCCCAGTGCGATGATCTTTGGAGATGGGCCTTTAGGAGGTAATTAGAATTAGATGAATCACGAAGGTGGGACCCTCATAATGAGATTAGTGGCTTTATAAGAAGAGGAAGAGAAAGAGATTGTTCTTGCTCCACCATGTGAGGACACAGTGAGAAGATAGCTGTCTGCAAGCCAGAGAGAGGGCCCATGGTTATTTTTGTTATAGCAGCCCAAACACAAAACACTGGTATGGATGCAGAGAAAATAAGTTACCATACATTGCTGATGGAATTGTAAAATGGCAAAATTATTCTGGAAAACAGTTTGGCAGTTTTTAAAGTAAACATGCAAGATCCATACTTCTGAGAAACTGCATTCTTGGCCATTTATCTCAGAAAAAAATAGAGTTATGTCCACAGAAAAACCTATATATGACTGTTTATAATAAAGTTTTCCTTGTAATAGCCAAAAGCTACAGGCAACCCTAATGTCCTTAAGTGGGTACATAGTTAAACAAACTGAAGTACATCTATACCATTGGATATTACTCTGCATCATTAAAAAGGAATAATCTGTCAATATACACAACAGTCTGGATGAATCTCCAGAGACTTCTGCTGAGTGAAACAAGCCAATTCTAAATGGTTTCATAACATAAAATTTTATTTATATAAAATTATTGAAATAACAAAATTGTATAAACAGAGAACAAATTAATGGTTGCCAGAAGTTAAGGGGAAGATAGAAATTGGAGGGAAGTGCATGTGACTATACATGGACAATAAGAAGGATCTTCATGGAGATGGAGTATTCTGTATCTTGACACTGTCAATGTCAGTATCCTGATTGTGATATTATACCACAGTTATGAAGGTGGGTAGCGGGAGAAAGCTGGGTAACAGGTACATGAGAAAAGCTGGGAACAGCTAGGAAAAGCTGGGTAACAGGTACATGAGAAAAGCTGGGAAAAGCTGGGTAACCAGTACATGAGACCTCTATTATTGTTTCTTACAACTGCATGGGAATCTATGCTTAGCTCAAAACTAAAGAAAAAAAAAGAAAGAAAAACACATAATGCAATAGTAGAACTGTGTTGATGGGTTTATCATGTATAAAAATGTAATTCATATAATAATAATGGCACAAAGAGGAAGGTCACAGAACTATATTAGAACAAGCTTTTAAGATATTATCGAAATTAAATTGGTATTAATCTGAGCGAGATCATTTTAAATTAAATGTTAATTGCAAACCCTAAGGCAATCAAGAGGAAAATAAGTAGAAAAATATACTAAAAGAAGCAACAAGGAAATTAAAATGGCTAGAAAATATTTATTTTACACAAAAGAAGGGAGCACTGAAGAACAGAGAAACAAAGAAAGACAATGAAAGAAAACAAGTAGCAAGATGGCAGATGTAAATTCGACTTTAGTTAATCAGCATATTTCTAGACCTGTGCCACTGATTGGTTTAGCGTTGGGCATGTGACTCAGGTTGTTATAATGTGAGGTTAGCCGGTTAGCCCATTCATTGACTGGGGAGCCCAGTCTCCTACTGGACAGGAAAAAGGAAGACTTGGTTGATGCTGCCATCCCTCTGGCGAACATGAGTGGAGCCAATTTATGGAGGCAGTTCTCTGTGGATGTAGCTGACATAAGGAAAAGCAGAACAGATAGGTGAAAATAAACTGATTCTTGGCTGACATTGCTGAGCTAAAGGCTCCCACTGTTAACATAAGTCACTTTTGGATGCATTAACTGAGCAAATGATCTTGCGGGAGAATGGCTTTGTGATTAATTAGAGGCTCCTTGATGTAATTAAAATGGTACCCTGTTTTCTGGGTTGGATGCAGCCCCAAGCTTAGATTCAGCTCCCACTTGACCTCTTGCCCAGGCACTTCTGTGCAGGACATAATCTATGTAAACAAACAGTGGATCTCTGAGCCTTGAAACCTGCTCTCCTCTGGAGTTTTTACACGGGCTAATACATTTTATTGATTAAGTCAGATCTTTTATATTACTTGCAATCAAAAGTAGCATAATCATAGGGAATTTGCTATTAGAAAATAGGATGTTACAAATAATAGATCCTAAAATGTGTACTTATCTGAACTAGTAAGGTAGGCTGCAAGGTAATGAGAATGATTTTCTCTACTCCAAGCAGGGGAGTTGGTGACCTTTGTATGTTGCAACAAAAGAGCTGCTTAAAATCTTTTATATCATACTTTGGAATGCTGACCACATTTCTACCAGGACTATAGCATAAAGACATCTGGAAGAGGAAAAAAAATCAGATTTTGGAGATTTTGAATACAATTTTTGGCTTTGAGTTAGGTCTTACACAAGCAATACAAATTTAGACTGCAAGTGCCTCTTCTGAAAGCAGAAAGGAACTTAATTTAATAGTTACTTTCTTAACCAATCTCTGTTGAACTGACTTGCTTGGCCACTTCATGTGCTCCACACTTCTATAAAATATCCTGACTACATCCCACGGTCCTCAGATGTTCTTGGCTATGGGTACCACCTTTAACCTACCAAGCACATCTGTTCCCACAAACTGAGTTTTATAACTAGCTACTTTATTTGTCTTTGTTTCCAAACTTATTTATGCCAATTATGTTTATTATAATTATATAATTTAATACAATATTACAAAAACCAAGGAACTATGATTATGAAAATAGGAGGTTTCTTCCTATGAAAGCTAAATTAAATGCTCTGGAAAGACTCGATAAAGGTCAATTGCTTAAAAATTGCTCTCAAATTATAAAAATTGGAGAGAAATTATGAAAATGTAAAAAGATTCTACTCTCATGTATTTCACAAGGGTCTTCAAATTCTCACTCCTCATTAAAAAAAGAAACTGAAACTAGAAACCTTAGATACTTTGATGCATTGTGGCTAAGGTTTATGTGAAAAAGACCCATGCTCACAGAAAAGGCCCTGGTCCCATACCAAAATATTAGTGAATAGGAGATTAGTTAAAATAAAATGTTTACTCATTTATGCTTCCCTTTGAACTTAAATAGACCAACAGGTAGTTCTACCACTTTGGGTAGGAGGTTTCTACTTTCTGGCTTCACTAAGAGGTACCTTTTTATGGAGCTGGCCATCCATAGCATCTGGGGATCCAGTAATCTGAAGGCTTTCAAGGTTGGAAAAGCTTAATTCTCTTTCACAAACTAAGGTTGGTCCTAGAGAAAGCAGAAAGGTGGGAGTTATCTGTAATAGCAAATAACTTTGGCCAGACACTCATGCCTCCATGCCCCACATTCATTTCAAAATCCTTAGGTTATGCATTAGTAACCATATGAATGGCAGAGGGAGGAAATTGCTAAATTTCTAAAGGAGTGTTATTTCCAAAGGAATTCCAAGCCTGGCTGATAAATATTGGTGATCTTCAAGGTATAGTGTTGAGGAAAGAGACATTCTCTCTCTCCTCCTGGGCTTGCTGTTGGGAGCCATCCTACAACCACGAAGCCAACAATGAAGAAGGCAGGAACTTTGGTGACATCATTGGAGTGTGGATTAAGACCAGCCTGAAGTTAACACAGATGCTTGCTTTTTAAATTACCTGAGCCAACATATTTCCTTCACTGTTTGGATTTGGTTGTTTGTTTCCAAACAGTTACAAGAGCAGTTTTTTGGCTTGGGGCATGGTGGGGAGAAAGTGTCTTAAAGTGGATTGAAAAGTCCAACCAGATAAAGTGCATATCTCCCTTAGAGGAATTTTAAGAAATGCAAATTTGTTTGTTGCCAGCTAGAAACATTTCCAGAGATGTCTTAATGCACCATAGATCTCTCAGTGCCCTTCACAGGTTAGTACCATGGACAACTGCCCAGCTGGACTTCCACTTATCCGGTCTCTGATGTTGTTAATAAAGTTTGCTCTGCCCAAAGGCCAGTGGATGAATTATAGCAGGACACCCAGACTATCAGCCTGATGGGCCCTTTAAAAAATGTGCATAGACAAAATGAACTATTACTTTAAGCAATGCAGCAGACCAATGCTGTCAAGATCACAAGGAGAAGTCGGGTTGAATCTACTTACTTTGAGCAAAGGCACTGTGCATCAGGAGGGCGTCCTGTGGTCATCCTGGTATGATGCAAGCTCTCCCAGGGGGATGTCCTCACCAGAATGTAGAGTCATGCCTCTGCTCACGCAGACAATATTTGTGCTGGTCCCGGGCCTGTTTGCCTTTGGATCCATTCCTCACCCATCCCCTTGCACAAGGAAAGAACACTGCAGACTATTTTCCAGGATGGGAATGGCCCAGGTAGACATGAGAGGCAGATGGGGGAGGAGGCTGGAGAGAGAAGCCAGGGTTTTTCTCCCACTCCCTCTCTGTTTCTGGCAACATCTGATGCAATAGTTGAGTCTCTTCTAGCCCCCATCTAAGGACCTTAGTCTCTGCCTCCTCACTCTGGCCCAGAGGAGGTTGTGGTTTTCTGGGAGTGTTTACCTCTAGGTTCTCTCCCTGTTTGCTGCTAAGCATTTCAGCTCTTCCTTTTCCTGGGTGATCAGTTTCCTGCACCAGACCCCTCTGTTTTAATACTCAAGTGGTTTATCTTTCTTGAGAGGTCCCTGACTGATAAGTAGATAATGCAAAGGCTTAGTACAGAGCTTCAGAAGGATGGGTCCAAAATATATCGTCCTGTCGCTATTCTAAATCTGAAGGTTTTCAGTCTGTTTCCCGTTTCATAAGTGCTCATGTTATAATTTTCCCCCTTGCATTCTCAATATTTCTTCTATTTACGACTTGAAGTTGCACTTCAGCTTATAAATGGACTTTCTTGTTTTCTAGTTATTACATCTTGGCATAATAGTTTCCAAACACTGTTTTATTATGTTCCACACTTAAAAAGCCACCTGGATATTCTCCCTTTCTAGTCTTTTGTTAAACTATCTTTAAGTCTCCTTGCGTGTTTTTGTAATGTGGAACGCAGACTTCGTTACGACAGAACAGTTTCAAAAGACTTGTGCAGCTGGGAAGTTTATGATGATTTCATTTTATAAGTCCTTTGGAATGAACGTGGGCATTAAGAGGCACAATGAATACAATATCAGTTTAACAAGATTTGAGTGGCCTTATTTTTTACAGAGAAGTTAACATTTCTAGACATGGTGATTCCACCAGTGGCTTTCTCCATAATGTTTAAAAAATGGAATTTAGCAGATGTATAAAAATGGAAAAAAACCCAGAGAAGTTGTCATAAATCTTTTATACTAAAGTGTTTTGTGATTGCTTAAGAAAGAAACAAGATGAGAAAGTCCAGGTGCTATTTGTTAAAATAGAGGGTTGATGTTTCACCATCTCAAAGGGATAGAATGAAAGAAACCGAAGAACATAGGTCACATGTTTTACGGTAACTCACCAGAGAAATCAAGCCCATCTGGCCTCTGCACAAAACAGGAATGTCCAAGGCCCGCCAAAGAAATGAAAGTGCACATCGTGGCAGAATTCATCAGACCCTTTCTCTGCGGGCGGGCCTCAATCTGCTCCCATGCTGGCCACGGTGCCTCTCTGTGAGTCCCCATAGGGCAGCCAGAGAGCAGTCCGCAGGTGTGGGATTTCCTCACCTTTGTGACTACACATCAGCCACTTGTACCACCAATGCTATTTACTGTCCCCAAGGGAGATCACGTGGTCACACTGCTTGGGCCAAAAAGGCTAGGAGACCCCACAAGCCTTGCTTTTCTCTTCAGTCTGTATATTGTTCAGCACCAAGAGACTTCCTTATTGACTTGTGCCTTTGGGCCAGCTGTATTCCTCCACAGACCATTTTTTTCTCTAGTGTCTTTGATTTAGTAGATAGTTTGCACTTCACCCTCTAAAAAAATGCTTGAAGATTCACCAGTGGCTCACACCTGTAATCCCAGTCCTTTGGGAGGTCAAGGTGGGAGGATTGCTTGAGGCCAGGAGTTCAAGACCAGCCTGAGAAACATAGCAAGTCCCTGTCTCTACAGATTTTTTTTTTTTTTAATTTGCTGGGCATGGTGGCATGCACTTGTAGTCCCAGCTACTTGGGAGGCTCTGACAGGAGGATTTCTTGAGCCTAGGAGATCAAGGCTTCAGTGAGCCATGATCCCACCCAATGCACCCCAGCCTGGGTGACACAGTGAGACCCTGTCTCTAAATAAATAAATTAGTTAATTAATTGAAAAATTAAAAATACTTTAAGATTGTTAATCTTGACTATATATATATATATATATATATATATATATATATATATGCACAAGCTTTCCATATTAGTCTATATGATTTCTGTCACCTTTTAAAATAGCTGTGTAGGCTGGGTGTGGTGGTTCATGCCTGTAATGCCAGCACTTTGGGAGGCCGAGGTGGGAGGATCATGAGGTCAGGAGTTCGAGACCAGCCTGACCAACATGGAGAAACCCCGTCTCTACCAAAAATACAAAATTAGCCGGGCATGGTGATGCATGCCTGTAATCCCAGCTACTCGGGAGGCTGAGGCACGAGAATTGCTTGAACCCGGGAGGTGGAGGTTGCAGTGAGCCGAGATCACACCACTGTACTCCAGTCTGGGTGACAGAGTGAGACTCCATCTCAAAAAAAAAAAAAAAATGGCTGTGTAATAGTTTTTCACGTACCTGGATATAAGGTATTTGTTTAAATTCATGGCATATTGGTGAACACTTATGATTTTTCTCATTTTTTACTTTTACATACACGGTTGCAGTAAATATCTATGAACATTTTTCTTCAGTGAATTTTCTTGACTACTTCTATGAGATGAAATTCTAGCAGTGGAATTTCAGAGTCAAAGGGTATAAACATTTTACATTTTGGTAGATATCGTGCAGTGTATTCGTGGCATATTAGGCCATTTTATACTCACACAAACATAAGTGTGTTTGTAAAAATTATTGTTTCTTTTTAGTTTTTAAAGTTGTGTAGCTTGGTTATTTAAAATCAGTTTTAAAGGAGAGTAGTTCCTGGAAATTGCAGAATCCTTTTGTTTTCTGAGTGCCTTATAAGATTGGTTTGGCAAGCAAGTTTTAATTTTTTAATTTTTTTTTAATTTTAATTTTTGAGATAGAGTCTTGCTCTGTCGCCGAGGCTGGAGTGCAGGAGTGCGATTTTGGCTCACTGCAACCTCTGCCTCCTGGGCTTAAGCAATTCTCCTGCTTCAGCCTCCCAAGTAGCTGGGACTACAGGCATGTGCCACCATGCCCGGCTAATTTATTTTATTTTATTTTTTTGTATTTTTAGTAGAGATGGGGTTTCACCATGTTGGCCAGGCTGGTCTCAGACTCCTGACCTCAAATAATCAACCTGCCTCGGCCTCCCAAAGTGCTGGGATTACAGGTGTGAGTCAGTGCACCTGGCCAGTAAGCAAGTTTAGAGGCAGGAACTAAAGCACAGTTAAATCTTCTTGAATAATTTCAGGGGAGAGAAACCCAAAGAGAGAGGTGGAATTCTGGAGGTCAAAGACTGGAGTAAGATCTGGACCTGTGGTGATGTGGTGCTTAAAGGAGGGAAGAAAGAATGGTTTTCATGGCACTACAGCACAGAAGGGATTCTGGGAAAAAGGCTGTCAAAGGGGCTTTCAGATTCTCTGATGTGGGACACCTCTTCTGTCCCACAGAAGATAATGTTAAATATCTCTTCTCCCTTACCAAATTGTCAACAACTTGCATGTTCATCATTAACTTATTTTTTCAGTAAATTCTTTTGAGAGAGCTCAGCCAAAAAGACAAAGGACCAGTAGGCATCAGCATTATAGTAGTCTGACTACATTGCATTTCATTTGGAAAATCAAGACAAAGGCAAGCAAAACAGCCATGGTCCTATAACCCGAACATAGCCATGACTACAATTTTATTTGGTTCCTGGCCATCCATTTATTTTCCTATGCATTTTTACATAGTTGTAATCATAGTCTATATGCAATTTTGCATCCTGCTTTGTAAATTTGTTGTTCAGGTGTATGTGTGTACTGATAAAACAAAATTACAACATGGAGAAACAAACCTTTTATATTCTTATTTTTCACTTTTATTTGTAGGTTTTATTGTGGCCAGAAGTAATTATAGACATATGTATATAGTGAATGTTTGGGATTCTGTTCTCAGGGTTGAAAGTTCAGTGCATATGTTACACAGCCTTGTTTGGAGATAAAAAATGTGACAATAAATAAGTTGCTGAGGGCTGTTGATGTCACTTTTCAGTTCTAAATATAGAAAGTGGTGTTGACTGAAACATCTACTCCTTCAACTTTTACAGATACAACTTTTGCAGCTACACTAACAAAAGTTAGTATTTTGGTTCTTGATCAGATTGAATTAATTTTCTTTTCTAGAGCTAGAGTCTTGCCCTGTTACACAGGTTGGAGTGCAGTGATGAAATCATAGCTCACTCTAACCTCTAACCCCTGGGACTGAGTGATCCTCCTGCCTCAGCCTCCTGAGTAGCTGGGACTACAGGTACATGCCGCCACCATACCCAGCTCATTTAAAACATGTTTCTGTAGAGATGGGCCCTTGTTTATGTTGGTTAGGTTCACCTCGAACTCCTGGGCTCAAGTAATCTCCCTGCCTTGGCCTCCCAAAGCACTGGGATTACAGGCATGAGCCATTGTGACTGACCTTATTTGTGTTATTTTTTACTGTTTTTTAAAAATATTTTCAATCTGCAGTTGGTTGATCCACAGTTGGTTGAATCTGCGGAACCCACAGATATGACTGTCATACACATTTTCTAAAACAGTAAAATATTAATTAGTAAAACTTCAAATTTCAACAATGCTGTTAACTCCCACCTGCATAGTTTTTAAATATAAATGTAACTGCTCTAGATAAATGAAGAAGATGGAAATAGCTGGTGAAAATTAGTTATATGTTAAGCCCTTGAAATTAAAAAAAAACTCTTTGAAAATAAGTATCCATCTAGTAAAACAGAAACCTGATTAGAAATATCTCTCTAATTATGATTATTAGTACACAAATCTCCAACATTTTAAAAAGATTGAAGAAGTAATTAGATTGAATTTTTCTCATCAATAAGATATACAATCACTACTAACTTGTAGGCTTTTTTGCCTCAACTAGAATACCCACACATTTCAAGTAAAGCACTCATTTTAGGTAATGACCAGAAACAGGAATTTTTAAAATATCAATTCCAAAAGTAGTCACAAAAAGCACGGTTGTATAACTTGAGAAGAATAGCAAAGAACTAATGGAGGAAATTATTATAATTTGCACCATTTAAGACAATTATACAATGCTTATCTTTGCATTAAAACATTATCTATTATGAAAAATCTTCAATACTAATTTATACTAGCTCATATTTATATTTTAAAAGTTATTCCTCAGTAAAATGTTTAAAAGAAAGATATTATAATTCTTAAGTTTAAAGTTCAAATTAGCGAGAAAATAGTCCAAAAAAAATTATAAAAATGGGCAGTGAATGAGCAGCAATTTCACAGAAGATAAGCAAATGGTCTATGGATATATGCAAATATGTTCAGCCTTATTGGTAGTAAGACATGAGCAGATTAAAACAGTAAGATTCTCATCAGATCAGTGAAATGTAAAGGTTGATGACATCCAGTGCTTTCAAGGACATGGTTATATATTGGTGAGCTGTAAAAAGATAGAGTTTTTTTGAAAAATTGTGTGTAATTAAATTTTTTAATGCACATTCTCTTTGCCATAGCGCTCCCACTTTTAGGAATGTTTATACTGACATATGTGTGTATGTGTCTGTAAGAAGAAATGCACATTTGAAGCGATGTCTGTTTTTAATAGTGAAAATTTAGAAATGACTTAAAAGTCCATCAACAGTTGAAGGGTTAAATCAATTACAATATATCTTTATTATAGAATTCTATGCAGCCAAAATAATGAGTAGATAAATTTACTTGCAATGACAAGCATTTCATGATATATTGTTAAGCGAAAAATTGCAGACCACATACATAAAATGACACCAGTAGTTTAAAGTGGTCCTAAATATGTAGTGGCCCCCAGTGTCTGGCAGAAGCAAATGCCAATCCTGTTTAGAGGCAGCTTATTTTTCTCAGTTCTTAAGGAATTTCCTTGAAAAATAAATTTCCAAGTAAATGAACAGCTTACAGTCAAAAAGGCTTTCAAAATATAGGGAAACAAGGTACAAAGAGTAAGAAGCAGCAAGAATACAAATAACAGAAACAAAAATACTTCAGATATTGTATAATGAGAAGTAGATGATAAAATAATTGTTTAGTGTGTTTATATAAATAAAATTTAAAAATCCTTATAGAGAATAATAAACCATATAGAATGATCAATCACATTTGAGAAAGAACCAAACAGAGCACCTAGAAATGAAAAATATATTCACTAAAATGAACAAAAATCTCAGTGGATGGACTTGACAGCAGATCAGATGTAGCTGAAGAAAAAATTAGTGATCTTAAAGACAAAGAGGTGTGAAGAAGTTATCCAAAATGTTGCACAGAAATGAGATGCAAAAAATGTTGGTGGGGGGAAGGGAGGAGCTAAGAAAAATGGTGGATAGAGTAGAAATGTGCCTAATTGAAATTTTAGATGGAAAAGAGAGAGAAAAGGGGGACAGAGGTAATATTTGAGAAAAGATGACAGAATTTTCCAGAATGGATCAAAAATATATTCTTCTAGATTTAAGAGCACAGCAAAAATCAGACAGAATAAATATAAAGAAATGCAAAAGCTACAGAAATCATAGTGAAACTGGAAAGCCACAAAGATGAAGAGGTCTTAAAGGATATATGTTACCTTCAAAGGAGCAAAAAACTGACAGCTCATTTCTTGACCACAACAAGGGAAGCCTCTAAGAGACAGTGGAATAACATATTCATGTGCAAAGGAAAAACTGTCTTCAATCCAAAGCTCCATACTTAGAAAACATTTTTTTTGTACATAGAGCCAAACTGATGACATTCTAAATCCATCAAAAACTTAGGGGAGTCTGCCATTAGCAGATCTTTGCTAAAGGAAAATCTAAACAGTGTACTAGAGATACAAAGAAAGTGATCTCATATTCAATGTCTGAGATACAAACTGATGGAGAGGGACTTTCACTAATAGCCAAGATGGAGTAACAGGATTTGGCTTTAGGCTTCTGCCTGAAACACCACCACTACCAACAATAGAGTGCAGTGGCAGAAGTGAAGGATTAAAAAAGGACCTAAGAAATCTTTTGGAGTTGAGGATATGATCATTCTCTTGATTGTAGCAATTGTTTCACGTATGTCAAAACTTACGAAATTACACAATTTAAATATGTGCAGTTTATTGTATGTCATTCATGCCTCAACAATTCTATTTTTTAAAAAAATGGAAGGCCAGAGAATTTGGAGAATATATGGATAAATACAAACAATATAATGATTGTATAAAACAGAAATCTTTGTGTTTCTAGTAAAAAAAATAAAAGGATTTAAATGCATGACCACAATGGCATCTTATTTCAGAGGGAGACATAATTCTAGTAGGGATGAAGGCAATGTTCTGTAGGTAGGTATTGATTAACTTGAATCTTTGATAAATTAATAATGCATGTTATTTTGGCGATAAACACTAAAAGAACAGTATCAGAGTGTGTGACTTCCAAATAGTAGCAGAAAAAATAAAATTTAGAAAAAACAGTAAATCTAAACAGAAGGCAACAGAGGAGAGAAAAGGAATCAAACAAAAGGCAGAACAAATAGCACATAATAAGATGGCAGTTAGTGCAAGTAAATTAACGCCAACATTAAACACCAAGATTGTCAAGCCAGATTTTTTTTAAAAGCACCTATATTCTGTTACAATAAACATGTCTAAAATATAAGTTTCTGGAGGAGTTAAAAGTGAAAGATGGGAAAAGACATACCTGGAAAACACCAAAAAGAAAGCTGGTGTACCTCTATTAAAATCAGAAAAATTAGACTTTCAGGCAAAAATAATTACTAGAGAAAAATAGGGTCACTTTATGTTGATAAGAGGATCAATCCCAGGAAAATATAACAAATTTAAATTTCTGTGTACCTGTTATACAGTGTCAAGACTGGGCAACGTAGTGAGACCCTGTCTCTATGTGATGGCTCAAGCCTGTAGTCCTAGCTAGTGGGGAGGCTGAGGCAGGAGGATTGCTTGAGCTCAGGAGGTTGAGGCTGCATCATTGCCTCATTCTACTCCAGTCTGGATGACAGAGTGATATCCTCCCTCAAAAAAAAAAAAAAAAAAAAAAGACATAGCTTCAAATTATTCAAAATATAAAAAACAAAAACATTTTGTATGATTCATTTTGGCCAAAGAGATACAAATAGAATTGTGGTGTGGTAATTTCCAGAAAGAAAGTCAGTTTGGGACTTTTGCTCCTTCTCTTGAGGCTTCCCTCCTCTTGGTTGGTTAGAATGTAGTCATGATGGCTGGAGACAAAGCACATCTTGGAAACTTGGGTCTTGCACAGTGGAGGAGGAGCTTAGGTCCCTTGTGACTCTGCAGAGTCGAGCCACTGCTGCAGACCTTAACTGTTAACTCCAGACAATTGTTGTAAGTAATCAATTTCTGTCTTCTGTAAGGCTCTGTTTTTAGAGTCTGTTTCTCACACCGGAACCTAATCTTAATTAATACAGAGTGAGTTTCCAGAAGCCAAGGAAGTAGACACTTTTGCAAAGGAAGGAAAAAAAATCATCATTGCTTTCCTAATCCCAAAGTACTCCTGAGACATTATTATAACACTTAGGTAATCAATATGACAGAAGAAAAATAGTTCCCTCAAATGACAACTGGCAATATATTGCATATGGTTATTAATCTGTGCTCTGCCGCCTACTTTCAGCTGATTTACCAGTTAAGAAGGAAATAGAAAATTAGAAGATTAGTTTGGTTCATTTAGACTTCCAGTTTTTTTCTTTCTTCTTCAAGCACTTAATATCCATGGAAATTGCCAAATGGTCCATTTGTGCTTAATATCCTCTATAGGAAATTTAATTGATTAAGAGAAATATCCCTCAGAGAATGCACACATTCGAATTTCTGTTCTACGATATCGGATTACAATCTGTTTGTGTTCCTTAAAAACTCGTTTTGCTCCTGCTGCTGTTGCTGCTGCTGTTGTTTTTCAATCCAGTGACAAGACCCAGAGAAGAATTGTTCAAGCCCAAACTCTTGCCAGGTAATAAAGAGATGTGAAAATTAACCACAGAGTAAGTCAAAGGAAGATTTCAATATAGAAAACTAAAAGCCAGTGACCTCACTAAATGCATTTCATGATGCTAGCTCTGAAAGCTAATAGGTTCTGGTGCATTTTGATTGGTGCAAATCTATAATGGAGTGTGTAGGAGGAAATGACTTAAGACCTCGAAGGGCATAGAAATACGGGAACTCTATCAATGAACTAAGTAAGTGGCCTCCAAACTGACGTACACATGAATTTTTTTCAAAGGGTATGTGGGTATAAGATGGTTTACGGGAAATCAATTTCCAAATTCCAGTTCTTTCAAAAAATTTTTTCTAAGAACGTTCCTGTGTGCAAAGCGTCATCCCGGTTTTCTTGTTCTACCTTCCTTTTTACAGTCATCCTCCTTCCACTGTACAAGATTTTGAACTATATTCCAGTCAGTGAAATAAACAAATCATCTCACCATAAACCCTGATTTACTTATGTTCTTATGAATAAATCACATTGTATGGTAAAACTGATTTTCATTGCAAATAGTTTATTCATCATTTCATTATTTGAAAAGGATAATGCCCGTGGCTTTTATCTCTTTAATAATATTACAAAGTTGAAGTGCAAAATACTACTAGTCACCCAAAGAATGCATCCCTTCTCAAAATAAGAAACATTCTCCCTTAGCCATGTTCTCATTTGGTATATGGACACATGATTTACTAGGCATCTGGAAGCCATTCTTTTAAGACGTCTTCAGTGTTTCCTTTGGTGTTATTGGGAGACATCACCCGGATATTATTAATCCTCAGTTTGTTTTTCCAAAATATCAAGTCTCACATTAAATCCTTTATCCTCCATGAGGTTTTCTGGAGTAATCACTTCTTGGCTAGACTACACATTTTCTATATCAAATAACTTTCCCTACATTCCAAGATATTTTGCTGTGTGTTTCGACTTTTAAAAAATCCAGAAAAAGTTCCACTTGACATACAATGAGTTCAAACATTTTTAAAGAGTAAAATATATTCCTATTTATTTTTTAGATAAAAAAGAGAGCTTAGAATAAAACAGTGTTTAAATACAATGATTTATAACAATATTAAATAATATTTTAAATAACTGCATAAAAAAGAAGCAAATTCGTACACTTAGTCATTAATTCTGCTCTTCATCCTAGATATTCTTGCTAAGAGGCTGGAATAGGATAAAGCGACCAAACCACCATGGTAATATAATGGAAATGATGACCAAGATCAGAACATATTTGATAAATGATGAATGATATGATGAAGAAGGGTGCTTTGGCAGATTGAATTGTTGGTCTCAATGATTTCTTCACTCTCTCACAGTGATGTCATGTCTCTACACTCTTGCCATGGCTTCATGGTTGGCAAATAATAGTTCCTCACACTTTGACTTTGGGCTTGACATATGACTTGATTTGGTCAATGGGATGTCAGTGGATATGATGCAATCAGAGATTTGGAATGTCCATGGAAGTGATCCACCATGATAAGAACATGTCACTGGTAGTCACGCCTCTGAATCTAGGTTCCAGAATGAGACCTGTGGAGCAGATTCACAACCTGCAACCAAGCCCAGAAGAAATATAGCCTGAGGCAGAGCCTCTGAGTCAGGCCCAGCCTAGATCAGCCAAACTGCAATTGAAACTCCAAATGTCCTATAGATTCTGGAGTGTGAGCATAAATACACACATGCCACTGAGTTTTGGGGCAGTTTGTTATGCAGTATTGTTGTAGCTGTCTTTGACTCTCACAGAAGCTTCAGCTCCTTTGACGGTCTGTGTTCATCAGGACTGAATCTATTTAAGCCTTTGTGATGATTAGCCCAGCCTGGATAATGGAGAGCAAGCCTTCTACAAAGTGGTTGATGCTGGTTCTTCTTGAGAAGTTGATTTGCTCCTGATTGTTCTTTTCCTGAAAGTCATAGTGATGGACGACAACTCTTACCATTGTCTTCAGCATTGCTCAAACATTTCTACATTTCCAAATTACATGCTTAAACTGCCATTGTTTTCCTTATTTTATTTTGTTTAATTTTAATCTTTTTTTAAGAGACAAGATTTTGCCCTGTTGCCGAGGCTGGAGTGCAGTGGTGCAATCATAGCTCACTGCAGCCTTGAACTCCTGGGCTCAAGCAATCCTCTTGCCTTAGCCTCCCTAAGTGCTGGGATTACAGGAATGTCCCATTGTATCCAGCTCTGATTTTTCTTTTTAAGAGATTATCATTGACTTCTTACTCTGGAAGAAGATGGTATAATTCTGTTCCATCACTCCTTCCCCACTCTACCCACACACTTGCCCTATTCCAAGACTTGCATATTTGATTGAAAAGACTCTTATATGTGAGCACCTATAGATCTTTGCTTTCAGGCTGGTCAGTCTCAGATCTGCCTGCTGATGTATACTGGGTTTCTAGTGCGAGGAAGGTGACCAGGAGAAGGGGTTGAGGGGGCTCTCAGCATTCAGCATGCCCATTGTTTTAGTACAGTGTTCATGGCTGTGCCTGGTGCCCTGGGTTATAAACTTGTCTAATGAGAAAAAGAATACAAATGGGTTTCTGCTACCCTTTGAACAAGACTTTCAAGCAGTTTTCCTGTTTTCAGCCCACCTCTATCCTGGCCGTAAGAGATGATTCCCAAAAGTGTGAACAGAAAATTTACAGAAGACAAAATACTAAAATTAAGAGTACGTTGAAATGCTATAAATTACCAGTGATACAACCAAATAAATTCAAATTAGAGCAAGAATGAGCTATGAAATTCAGAAGACTACTTCAGTGCTGGATAGTTCACGGTGAGAAAAAAAAATATCCAACACTGAAGATAGAGAACAAATTGACGAAAACTCTGAGAAGCAATCTGGTGAAATTCATTAAAAACTTTAGAAGTATTTATGTCCCTTGACCCAATTCAACTTCTAGGATCATATACTTCCAAATAATAATAAATATTTGAGAATAAATATACTCATTTCTGGGTTATTGCTAATAAAAACCAACTAAACTCAATGTCTAGCAATATGAAATTATGACAGATTTGTATGAAAGAATCTTTGTAAATATCAAAATTGTTTATGTCAAACTTGATGATTGGGCAAAGAAAATTTAATTTGCAGTTAACTGGAAAAAGAAAAAGATGCCTGGAAATTCTAAGTCTTCCCAGAGTCTGATTCACAAACATATTTTTGTTGGCTTTTACCCCTTGGAGCATTTAGGTTTCATCTCTCTCTGATCTGCTAAGCTAGTTTAATACTTTTGCTTTCTATTGTTCACATTTTGTTGACATGTTTTGTCTATTTCTTCCTTCCTCCCATTCTCTTTCCCCACTGTCATTTTAGTGGGCTTTTGGGATGTGCACAATAACTGTATTTGACTGGAAGTTTCGTAATGTTGCACGTGGGTTTAAAACACCATTGAGCCCATGACCACTTTCATCATTTCTAGAGGTGTTGACCAAACCGAGTACAGAATATACTTTCCTGGATTTATTTCCTTTTTTTTTTTTAAATAGAGTACTGAAGCTCATAACATCCTTATCCTGTCCCCCAAAATTCAATTTGAGATTCCAGTCATTTTGATCATTTTCTTGCCCAAGTTTCCTAGTCAGAAGGCCAGCCAACTGCATTACATGTAAATACTACATAAGGATTGGAGAGAACACTTTTTCTTCATGAAGTTTCTTCAAGCCAAAATGTTTAAGGAAATTCTACAGCTTTATTTCAGAACCAAAATCATTTTGTTTGATATATATGAAATAACCTATTATACTTGGATATTTGATATATGGCCTAATTTTAATTATATATAAAATTTAAATTTACTCATAGGTTCTACGTTCATTGTCTCTTATACCATCCTAATTTTTGTTACTACAGGAACATAGGCTCATTTTAACATGTTAAAAGATAAAGAGGAAAATAAATTTAAAAATTAACAGTTCTTCCCCATCCATTCACTTCCTAAGGCAATATATATACGCATTATTGATCTGTTGTGTAACCATCCACAGTTTGTACGTATACCTAAGAAAGAGGATGTTAGAATTGTTTCGCTGGTTCAAGATACAATAGACAATTCATTCCACAGTGGGGTACAAGGCTAAGATACAAAACTGTAAAAGCTATAACTGGGAAGTCAATTACCTGACTCACTCACACTGAAGTTATAGAAGGGAAATGAGTGGATTTCCAGGGAGGAGCTCTTTGGAGAGTCATCCAAGGCATTGCCTCTCTACTCACTGCCCTCTTGGCCCCCAACATCAATTCAGAGGGGAAGGGAGAAAAGGGACTTCAAGGGACTACTCAGAGGGCAAAATATATGTCCTGTGTGGTTGGGGGTCGGGGAGGACAGAGTGGACAAGTGTCTGACTCCCAGCTGAGAATTCTTGGGGTTAAGAGACAGGCTGTGTCTGGTGGCTTTGATGGAAAAGAACAAGAGAGCTTCTATAGTGATGGCATCGAGCTGCACTGCTAGAATTTGCTGGGCAAATAATGTGTGAGTACATCCCATGGATCAGATTTAGGCTGTTGGGGTGGGGGAAGGGAAATTCACTGGTTGGGGGAGATGGAGGTGGGATGGCAGCTATAGGACCTCAGCAGACAGTAAACTGCCAGATTCCCAAGACTACAGCCAGAATAGAGAAGCTTGTTCTGGGTTGGAGCAAAACACAAAGGAAAGGACACCAACCAGGCAAGGTTTATGAAGAACCGAGAAAAATACCCACAAGAGGGACAGCCAGCCTCGGCTTTGTTCAGAGAATGCAAAGCTAGCTTATGGCAGGACCAGACAATTAAACAGGTTCCTTGTTCCTTTTTTTTTTCTTTCCCTGTTCTTTTTCACCCAAAGGGTTAGAGTGAACCCCCAGGTAGGAAATGGTGAAGACAAGCTAGAAAGAAGAAAGTGATCACACATTATAAATGTCCTTTGCCCTCAGGCTGACACTTTGTCTGGTCTGGGATGCTTGCCTGATGGGATGACCCAGATCTCTGTTTCTGAGGGGTTTGAGCCCTTAGCTGCCTTGCCTTGATCATGCTGTGGTTACTGTAAGCCATGGAGGAGCAATGAAGTGAATTCTCAGGGTCCCTGGGTTCTAAACATCTTCTTTCCTGATGGTAGCACCCTAGCTCCCATGCAATCATGGCCAATCATGACCTAACGGGTGTAATAACTCCCCCACTCCCCCCCTTTTTTTTTTGGCCTGCTGGTTTACTTGCATGAGGAGCCCAATGTAGCCAGGTGGTAGTAACAGCCTTAAGTTCAATGGAACCCTTAATCTATTCCCTGATGGATGGAGTCTCCCCATGGCAAGTAGAGCTTCTAGTCTGGCAGAGCCCAAGGTTAGTGATAATTGGAAGCTCAAATTCCCTAAGCAGGTAGGTCACTGAGAGCTCTGGTGAGAAGATTCACTCCTTGTTTTGCACACCTAGGAATTCTAACAATGAAGGAAAACAGCACTGCGTATCACATATCCACTGTTAATTCTGAGCATATGCCACATCTTGGAGGATGGAGACCCAGCCCTAAAAAGAGTTCTGCCATACTAGCACCTTACCTGAGCCCTCAATGTGTCATTCTTCCGTGCTATCAGGCTGACTGTCTCTAGGTGACATGGTCCAAGGTAAGACTGGTGGCTGTCACAGTCACGAGCCTATTGTTGTATCTTTCTTTTTGTTTGTTTTATTTTAGATTCAGAGGGTACATGTAAGAGTTTGGTACATGGATACATTGCATGATGCTAAGATTTGGGCTTCTAATAATCCCATTGCCCAAGTAGTAAACACAGTACCTGATAGGTAGTTTTTTAACCCTTTCCCCCTCCCTCCCCATTTTTGAATTGCCAGTGTTTATTGTTCTCATGTTTGTGTCTGTGGTGCCCAATACTTAGCTCTCATTTATAAGTGAGAACATGTGCTATATGGTTTTCTGTTTATGCAATAATTCACTTAGAATAATGGTCTGCAATTGCAAAGAACATGATTTCATTCTTCTTTTTGGCTGTGTAGTATCCCATGTTGTATATGTACCACATTTTCTTTATCCAATCCAACCATCTTTATCCAACTCAGATGGGCATCTGGGTTGATTCCATGTCTTTCATTGTTGCATCTTTGATGTCTCAAATGAGTCTCTTTTTCTGAGGTATACATTGTTGTGGTGAATCTGAGGTAATCATGTGGGTGAATCAGGCTTTTTTTTTTTTTTCCCAAGACAGGGTCTTGCTCTGTTGCCCAGGCTAGAGTGTGGTGGTGCAATCACATCTCACTGTAGCCTTGAACTCCTGGGCTCAAGTAATCTTCTGCATAGCTAGGACTACAGACATGTGCCACCATGCCCAGCTATTTAAACAATGTTTTGTAGAGAAGGGGTCACACTATGTGTCCAGGATTGTCTCAAACTCCTGACTTCAAGCGATCCTCCCATGATGCAGACATTTTGATGGTGGTGCTGGCGGAGGCACTGTGTGCAGAGAAGGCAAACTCACATTTGGAAGACGTGTCAGCCCTAGTAGGGAGGAAGCTTTTTGCCACCTCCAAGGTAGAAGGGATATGATGTAATTGACCTGCTACCAGGCCCCAGTTGGTCTCTCCAGGAATGGTGCCATATTAAAGGTCAGTTTCTGCTGTTGGTGGACTGGAAACTATCAGTGGCATTGGTCAGACTGGTGTCAGCAAGAAGGACCCATGCATAGCCTCCATCCCTGTTGCCTTCTACATCTCTTCTTATATTTGGTCATCCGGTCTCAACACTTTCAGTGAAGGGGCACTTAGGTCTACTCCAAAGTAGTAGATCTTCCCAGTTTCTACTGTTGGCTACTGCCCTAATAGAGCCATGGAGCCTTTTAGGAGGTGTGGCTGAAATGCGAGCTTGATAGTGGGGCCCCATGAGGGTGGGGTGCCATCCTACAGGCTGCAGTATATGCCCCAAATCAACAGCCATTCTATGGGGCTATGACTCCTAAGGGTAAATTGCATGGGTTCCAGAACCAAGAGATGGAATAAGTGGCCAAGTTTACCCATCATGTGGGAAAATTTGTGCTTCCTGTCACCACAGATCTGGGCTCTGCACATTTATATTTTCTTAAGATTTAAAAAATTTTTATTGTAGTAAAAATGTAAAATTTACCATCTTAACCATTCAAGTCTACAGTTCAGTGGGATTAAGTACATTCACATTTTTGCACAACCATCACCACCATCCATTTCCAGAACTTTTTCATCTTCCCAAACTGAAACTCTGTACTTATTAAACAATAACTCCCGACTGCCCCCTCTCCTAGTCCCTGGCAAACACCATTGTACTCCTAGACTACTTTTGGACTCAGTTTCTTCTTTCACTTAATAAAAGAAAAGGAGCACTGCTGGCTAATGGGATCATTCTCTATGTGCAGGCCTTCTTGCATATAAGTGATTGAGTTTATTGTAGAGAAAGGTACTAGAAAATAGAGTTGTAGAAAGAAAACAGGTGGAGACATAAACTGGACAAGGTTTTCATGCTGGGAGTCCTATCCAAAGGCTTCAGCAGTCCTGACGCAGGTCTGTCCAATTCTTTTGCATCAGGAATCTGATCTTGCGAGTCATTTCTTGCTGTAGGACTGCCGGCAGGTTTCATAGCTTTCCTGCTGTCAACAGCGGCATGGCTTCTCATCGTACCCCTGATGGTATCCCCGATGCTTAATGTCCTCAATGAGTCCATCTACAGTGAGGATTCCTTTGAGGGTCCTGTACCCTCCACGGCCCTTCCTGTACCATCATAGTCCTGGCAATGAACTTCAGATGTTTTACCATGACCTTGGATTTAAGTCTACACTCTGCAGGGCCCCATGCACTCAGTATCCAGTGAACCTGAAGCCTATTCTGCACATTTAGAGGTCATGGCTCCTAGAGGAGAATGTTCCACCAAGGGACATAAAACTTTAAGTTATGGTGGCTATTTCATAACTTTGGACTCTTTACGCAAGAGACAAAAAGGCAAGTGAAGGAGTCATGATCCCAATAGAAGAAACTGCCCTGGATCATCAGGAAGAGGGAGGTTGCTGTTGCAAAGTGGGGTAAGGATGTCTTTTCCCAGTTTTGATGGTAAAGGTATAGAGTAGTCACCACCTGAGAAGGGCATGATGCCAGAAACTCAGCAGTGAGGGTCAGGATCACCCCCACCAAGGAAACCATCTAGATCAGCAAAAGTGCTAGTGAAACATGCAGGGAATCTGGAATGGGCAGAAAAGGAGGGCAGAAATGGATACGTTTTGGCTTGGAGACCAACTGCAGAGCCAGGGCTTGCAATTTTGTCTCATCTTTCACTTGTAAATTTCCCCAGGGAAAGCTGACCACCAGGATTCCGGAAGAGCTGCTCCCAGATACCGCTCTCAGAGCTGTATTGCATGATGCTAGTGATCTCAGCTGTGCAAGGGGTGGACAGTAGGGGATGCAGTGGACTGTCAAGATATCTGAACCCATCCCACCTCTCCAAGACCAAAGCACTCCTGCCCTCAGCTGCTGGGGATTATGGGCAGATGATAGCCCTCAAATGAAAGAGTAAGGTTATGCCCTATTCCTGGGGACAGCCTGCACCCAGGGACTGGCTGATAATGATCAGTTGATGAGAAGATCTAAAGGTCCAGCCCCTTTGCCTCAATATGGGAAAACTGCTGGGCCATCCCAGCTTCAGGGCTCTCTGTGGGATGGTTGTGGCTGCATGGCAGTTCAGCTTCTCTCTCGGTCTAATCTCCTTGCCTTCACTCTCCTGAGGGCACTTCTCAATACATTTCTTACATGCCCTTCTCTATCTCAGAGTCTATTTCTCAGGGGAACCTGAGGCCAGGTGTCTTATTAATAGTCTCTTTCTTTCTACTCATGCATTTCTCTAGTTTACTTCCACTGTGTAATCAGAACAGCTTCTTAACAAGAGAAATCGGAGCATGTCACTCCCTGCTAAAAATCTTCCAGTAACTTTCATTTATTCTTGGAAGAATATTTCAATTGTTATCATGGCTTAAATGTTCCACCTCATGCAGTCCTTCCCACCGATTCAGTCTCTTCTCCTTTCTCTCCTTTGCTACTGTGCTTCATGCCAGTGGCTCTCCTTCTAGTCCAGGAATTCTGAGTTGAGTTTAGTAGGCTCCTTTTTTGGCTAGGACTTGAATTGGATAATCGAGTTCTGCCAATGGAGTGCCTGGCACAAAATGGCATCCAAAAAGCATTTATTGAGTAAATGAATGTCTAGGAGATTAGAATCTAAGGAGAAGGAGCCATTTCATTTCCAGGCCGTGGGCCTTGGTCCACAATGCATCACTGAGAAATATCAGAGGGCAAAGGGAGGCAGCTGAGGCTGCACTTCTCTGACTTTTTGTCTTTATCTATGAGAGAGGGTAGAATCTGGTGAATTTGGTTTTTAGGACTTCGTAAGACTTCATGCAATTTTCTCTCATGGGAATTTCTGTTGAAAACTCCTAAAAAATTCCACAGAGAGGCAATTCCGCCCTATAATGAGACTTACCCCCATTACGACAAAATATAAATGACTGTAATTCCCTGCAAACCTCAGGAGGTTTATTTCATCTGTCTTAGTCCTTTCCTGATTGAGGTACTGGATGCTTAAACCAACCTTGCCTCTTACTTTCTCCCTGGTTATGGCCTATAAATTCTTAGTCGGCTTCACTCTGACACAGATGAATGGGCGCTGGAAGCCTGCTGATCACATCTTTACATAATGCTATGTGTGACATTGTGTCCCCCTAAAATCGTATGCTGAAGTCCTAACCTCTAGTGTCTCAGAGTGCAACCGTACTGAACATAGGGTTTCTATAGAAGTAATCAAGTTAAAATGAGTTCATGAGGGTGAGTCCTGATCCAATATGACTGGTGTTCATAAAAAAAAGAGGAAATAAGCCAAGAGGAGTGTCTCACACCTATAATCCCAGCACTCTGGGAGGCTGAGGCAGGCAGATCACTTGAACCCAGGAGTTCAAGACCAGCCTGGGGAACATGGCGAGACCCCATCTCTACAAAAAAAAAAAAAAAAAGCCCACAAAAATTAGCTGAGTATGGTGGTGCATGCCTGTAGTCTCAACTACTTGGGAGGATGAGGCAGGAGGATCACTTGAGTCTGGGAGGTCGAGGCTACAGTGAGCCGTGATTGCACTATTGCACTCTAGCCTAGGTCCTGTCTCAAATTCAGAAATTTGTGTACAGAGACAAGCACACAGGGATAACATCATATGAATGTGAAAACAACCATCTACAAGCTGAGGAGAAAAGCCTGGAATCGATTCATTCCCCATAGCTCTCAGAAGGGATCAATCCTGCCAACACCTTGATCTTGGACTTCTAGCCTCCAGCACTGTGAGATAAGACATTTCTGGTATTTAAGCCGCCCCAGTCTGTGATACCTTGTTACAAAAGCCCTAGCAAATTAATGTGTGCAATCTGTGTCTGAACTCTCTGATACATGAGAGGAACAGATTTGCCCAAGCCAGGGTGGATGGTTTCATAAGAATCCCTGTAGATCGGCAGTCCCCAACATTTTTGGCACCAGGGACCAGTGTCATGGCCAACAATTTTTCCATGGATAGGGTGTGGGGGAGGGGATGGTTTCAGGATGATTCAAGCTCATTACATTTCTCGTGCACTGTATCTCTACTATTATTACATTGTAATATATAATGAAATAGTTATACAGCTCACCATAACGTGGAATCCGTGGGAGCCCTGAGCTTGTTTTCCTGCAACTAGACGGTCTCATCTGGGGGGGATGAGTGACAGGGACAGATCATCAGGCATTAGATTCCCATTAGGAGCTTGTAACCTAGATCCTTCGAATGCACAGTTCACAATAGGGTTCATGCTTCTATGAGAACCTAATGCCACTGCTGATCTGACAGAAGGTGTGGCGTGTGGGTGGGGTCCCTGCTGTAGATGACGTAATGTTGCGGAGGTGGACCAAAAACTATCAAGTTTTTCCCAGGAGCCTGTGGCAGATTTTCTCTAAAGTTTCAGTGGACAGCGCTGCACCATGTGCTTGCACTCTAGCCATGGGCAGGGCTGGTAAAGGCCTCTGGTACAGCAAACCCCGGGTGTGCCCTCAGTGATGAAGGCTCTTTCCAAGATCACGGCTACTTAGAATCCTCAGGCTGGTTCTATTAACCCTAAGAAAATGTGGGCCTTGCCTTTCTGGTGCTTGGTGAAGAGTGTCAGGAAGCAAGGCATCTTTGACTAGGCGATTCATGAATTTAGCTCCTTCTACGTGCCAGTCATCCTTCTAGATCTTAGGAGTACAGACTTGAAGGAGGCAGAAAAGCTCCCTATTTTCATAAAGCTTACCTTGTAGGGGTAGCAGATGGGCAACAAGGCAAAGACAAGTTATGGCCAGGCACAGTGGTTCATGGCTGTAATCCCAGTGCTTTCGGAGGCCATGGCTGGAGGATCACTTGAGCCCAGGAATCAGAGGCTGCAGTGAGCTATGCTTATGATTATGTCACTGCACTCTGCACTCCAGCCTGGGTGACAGAATGAGACCTCGTCTCAAAAAAAAAAAAAAGAAAAAAAAAAAACAAGTCATGATAAATCCTTCAGGGAGTGACTGGGCCCAGGTAGTGTTTCATCACGACAAGGAAAAATTGGAAAGAGGCGACTGGGACTTCTTCAGATTTAAATATTATTAAGTTATTTTTGCTTGGAAAATATCCGGTAAAATAAATTCACATTTTGGCATCAGATTAAGCAACTTGGCATGAATTTGGCAAACAACGACATAGTTGCTCAGATCTTGGTGGGTTCTGGCTTTTTCCAGCTTTGCAAACCAAGGTGAAATGTCCTGAACTTGGAAGATCTCTGGCTGGCATCCACATTGGACCCAGTAATGCTCCCTTATGTCATACAGCTGATTAAAATGTGCAGAGGAACTAAAGTACCCACAGAAGCTTCCTTGCTTCCAGGACTGGGACTACTCCAGGATCCTTCCGAAGGATGCCCTCTGCTCCTCACCAGGTTGTGACCTGCATTACCGCCACAGGTGTGATGCTGTTGTCTCAGACTGTAATCCACCCATTTTTAAAAGGGCTTCTCTGTATACCTATTAGCATAAGCCCCTTTCTCACTGGTTGCAAGTCTAAGCTTCTCTGCAGGTAGTATCTCCTTTAGGTGAAACTATTCCATTCCTAACAACTTTCGCACTTTCAAAAAGAGAAGAAAAGAACCCAAAACAGGCCAGGCATGGTGGCTCATGCCTGTAATCCTAGCACTTTGGGAGGCCGAGGTGGGTGGATCACTTGAGGTCAGGAGTTCAAGACCCACCTGGCCAACATGGTGAAACTTCGTCTCTACTAAAAGTACAAAAATTAGCCGGGCATGGCGGCGCATTCTTGTAATCCCAGCTACTCAGGAAGCTGAGGGGGGAGGATCTCTTGAACCCGGGAGGCAGAGGTTGCGGTGAGCCGAGATGGGAGGCAGAGGTTGCGGTGAGCCGAGATCGTGCCACTGCACTCCAGCCTGGGTGATAGAGCCAGACTTCGTCCCCCACCCTCCAAAAAACCCAAAACAAAGGACAAATATCTATACCTCATATCCCTACGTGTTTGCAGAAAGGTTCTGCTTTGAGCTGAATCCGTATAATATTATGACAGGTGATATCCTAACATCATTCCACATTTGCCTCTTTGGCATCCGGAAAAGAATCCAGTTTTAATTCCTAAACACCCCATCATCCTAAGTGCTCCGGCATTGGTCCTTAAACACCGTGTCCCCCCACCCCAAGATAGTGCATTCTTCCCCATCCCCCCCCACCTCAATATTCCCACTCCTTTATCCCTCACTGGTGTTCCAGTTGGGGCTCTTGCTGGTAGGGTGTCTAGAGGTGGGGTCAAAACCATCTTAATGGACAAAGGTAAAGGCCATTTAAAAAAAGAGATGGGGGACATGTTTTCATTTCACTCCGATCCTCTGCCCTATTGAAGAGCGCTTTCTGCTTTCCCGGTGAGTATCAGAGTATTCTACCATATTTGTTTTTTTGGAGAGAAACATGTAAGCCTCAAATATCCTAGGAGAAGCCCTATGCTATTTGGGGGTACTCAGTGAAGATTTCAGGTACATACAACGCACTTGTCTGGAAGCCTATGGAAAAATGTAAAAAGGGGTTTCTAAGGAATATTTTCTGCTTCCTTTCTGCTCCATTTTAAGTTTTCTGCTAACTTGCCGCCGACCCCGCAACTGCTCACGACCTCTGTCAAAGTCAACCTTTCCCACCGCGTGGAGTGAGTTAGGGTGCACACTCGGGAGTTGCATAAAAGTGTTTGAGAAAGGGAGATGCAAAGTTGAATAAAAGTGTTTCCCGGGAGGGGCCGAGCGGAAAGCAGCAGGTGGCCGGGGCGGGTGGAACCCAGCGCGGGCGCAGAGCGTCTCTGGCGCGGGCATACGGTGCAACGGGTCCGCGGGAATCTTGGATGCGCGGAGGTCCCGAGACCAGGGTAACGGACTGGGCTGCGGTCGCGGCCGGGTGAGGCTGGGAGCGGAAGGCGGCGGCGGCGGCGCCCGGGGGAGGGCACGGGCCCTGTAGGCCTCCCACAAGGGCGCCGGCGTGCGCGGCCGCAGGGCGCGCAGTGTTGACCCGCGTCCTAGCAACAGGCGGGCGCCGACTGCGGGGGGCAGGGTGCTGCAGGTGAGTGCGGCTGGGGGTCTCCACGCTCACCCCCGCAGGGGTTCTGCAGCCGCCCGCGTGGATCGGGAAACAGAGGCGGCTCTCTGGCCCCGCCGCTGCCGCTCTCGCCTGCTCCCCTTTCCCTCCCGGGGACCAAGACCCGCCCCCTTCCCTTCTCTCTCCCAGCCCCATCTCACTCCTTCCTCCCCGCGAGACCCTGCCTCGGCCCTAGGTTGGGGACCGTCTGCTCCTCAGTCCCTGCGCCCCTCTCTGCACTACCTCGGCCCCATCACCTCCCGGATCCGCTCTCCACTTCTCCCGCCGCTTCCCTGCCTCTCCTTCCCCCAGCCCGTCTTTCTCCTCCGCCCTTTGCAGCTCTGCCTCCCGCTCCCAGCGTGGTTTTCGCCGTCCCTTCCCTCCTCGTCCCCTTACCGAATCCATTCCTGGAAACTTAGGGTCTCAGCTCTGACGCCCCCTTCTTGTAACGAGTCTGGTGGGGGCCGTCATCCCACACTAGGCTTAGCTTTGGTTTTACTTAGGGCCCTGTTCATGTCATGTCTAAAAGTTCGATTTTCTGTCGGTCTTACTGAGTAACTTCTGCATTCTCAGAAAGCAGTGTATGCGCGGACTCCCCGTGGATGTTACCAACCACATTTCATAGATCTCAGAGCTGATGGCTGCCTTTCCGTAGCCCCCTAAAGAATTCGGTTGTGCTTCTGTTTAAGTGTTAACGATGTGATTACCGAATGGGTTTCATTTCACTAATGATGCTGGAAGCTTGAAATTGACCTTTAGAAAGAAAAACAATCTGTGGTATCTATTGGATAAAGAGAAAAATGAGTGCTAAGTGATTCCCAGTTTATGTAAACATCCCAGTTTATGTAAACACGTAACCAAAACTTTTTTCCTTTTAATCTTTAAACTTACTTTCTTTACTTCAAAGGTGTGTGCTGTGTATTTACATGGATTCATTTTAACTATGGTTCTTAAGCCAAAAGAGCTTGGCAATGGGCAGAAACCGGGGAGCAACTGGTCTTGATTTTAAAATCTTAGTTTTGAGTTATGCCGACCATTTTTGAACACCATTTATTTATTTATTTATTTTCTAATAACATTGATCTTGCCTTCTGGATTGTCATAGGCCACCCTGAGGTTTTCTTAAACTCACCAACCTTCTTGAATAAAACTTGTGCATTGCTACGGTTCACTAGACTTGGAAATACAATTTGAATAGATTCAAATGTTACATTTCTGTCAAAATTTATCTTGACGAAAATAACGATTTTGCATTTCTTAATTCTGTGTTAAGGGTCCTTCAAGAAGTTACTATATGGTATGTTGACTACCATAGCGTTACATAATCTATTTAATTTCGCATTTTTTCTTTAAAAATGTGCAAGAAGCAATCTTTATAAGATTACCAAAACAAATGTTATACTTAAGATTAAAGACAGACAGAACTTTCACCTAAGCCTTTCTGTATAAGATAAAGCTATTTGCACTTATTTCACACTATTTTACACTGATTTGCACTTATTTTACACAACAATGGGAAATTCAAGAGTCTCACACATACACATCAGAACATGTTTATGTGTTTAAATCTAAAGCATTTCTCATCGGTTAGCAATAGAAACAAAATGCTAGAATACTAAAACAAACACCCAGAACAAATTTGTGCACTAATTTCTGCACTTTATTTCATGACCACTTTGGTATATATGTCTGGATCAGTTGTTCTCCACCCTATCTGATCCAGTACTTGGTTTTTATAGCATATATGTTGTAAGGCTGCTTTGCTATCCTGAAATCAATATCATAGATTATAATCTTACATATTTAATATAGTTTTAAATATTGATAGTGTGCTAACTGTAAAATGAAAGAAAATAATTGTAAGAAAAGATTGGCATGTAAACGCTCAAGTACCACTACACTAGAATATATAGGGAAGTAGTCAGATGTCCAGCCTTACACAGAATGACTGTGAACACAGCAGCCCCAAATGCAGACTGATACAGATGTGCCATTGCAACTTAAATTTCTCAAATAACATTGCCATCAATGGTGTCATTTTCCAAAATGCTGAGCTCTTGGTAAAATTCCATGTAAAACAAAATATGTACAACCTTCTTTTCGTTTATGGTAGCTACAATTCTGGAAAATTCAGGGTGTAATAAAACTGTGACAAAATACTCTGCAATTTTTGCAAAGTGCAGAAAAATTCTAGGCTCAGGTAGTGCTTATCTGAAGTTTTTCACTTACTAGATGCCTGGAGGTTACAGCAGAATTCTTCCTTCTGAGGTACTATCCTGCACAGGATATTTTACATTGTCGGTCCTCAACACTAAAGGCCGATAATGCCCCCTTTCCTATCATGTTGATAACTAGACATCTCTATAATATTTCTATACTCTTTATCAGCAGGAAGTACTGCCCTGTTGCCATCCAGTGATCTCCTGTGATTGAATTTAATAGATAGTTCAAAGATTTAATACAGTACAGAATGTAAAATCTCCAAGTCTAATCTTTGTACTTTAAGCCTTTTTAATAATGATGGGAGTAAAAAGCCAATTTTATTCTATATTTAACCGTATAACCATTCTTCTAATATTCTGGAAGAAAGATTTTATCAATAAGTGCTATACAAAAGAGAAAAGAAACAAGTATAGATTATCTGCCAAAAAAGCATTAAATGTTCATTATGAAGTCAGAACGTGCTTTCTAACTTGGCTCTTATTTAACGTTACAGATTTTGTTACTTTTTAAAAGATCTTCTTTTACAGACTAATTTCTATTTAGCCAATGTGAAATTTGTCTCACTTGAATTGGTTTTAAATTTTACTGCTAGACTCTTCTGATAACTAATTTAGATAAAAAGGCTGAAAGAGTCTCACTTATTCCTACATCTCTCACATTAACTCTTAAGAAGGTTGTGAATTACAGTAAAATGTCATCTGGGCAGGATATACAGGCAGGGAAAATAGTATTTGGATTGTCCAGATATTCTGGTAATAGGATCAATGTGTCCTGTATCAATTTTTAGAAAAAAAATTATATTTCACAATACTGTTCTTATTCTATTTCTTTTTTAACTCAGAATGCACTTGGGGAAACCAGAGCTACCAGAATCATGTTCTTCAGTCATCATTGTGATGATGCAGATATTGTCACTGTAAGAAAGTCGGGATAACAGTATTCAGTTTAATAGTGTAATTCTAAACAATGTGTGTCCTGGCTGAAAGGAATGTTTGTCCCTGAAACTGCTGGCTCCCAACAGAGCTGTGAACAAAAGCCCTTAATATAAACCTCTTCCACTTCCTTTTTTTTCCACTCTTGGAGTTTTCTATTTGGGTTTTATGCCTATCTGTTTGAATCCTCTCTCTTAGGCCCTAGGGAAATTAGAAAGAAGTTATTAATTTCAGGGCAAATACCGGAAATTTCTTAAATACTAGTCAGTTTTATCTAGTGCTGGTTTACTACTTCATTGAACTGAAGAGCAATTAGATAATGTTAAAAGAATCTTCCAAGATTAATAAGCAGAATGTGGGATGGGGAGTACTAGTTTAAAGTCTTGAGAATGAAAAATGTTCCAAGGAAAAGGTGGACGCTGTTGTCTCTTTCTCTTTCTGCTCTGATGTAGTGCGTGTGCTAAGCTCAGGTCTGAGCACGGTGGATCCCATGGGTGTGGCTCTGAGGAAATTGACGCAGTGGACTGCTGCCGGACATGGAACTGGAATCCTCGAAATCACCCCTCTAAATGAAGCGATATTGAAAGAAATTATTGTGTTTGTGGAGAGTTTTATCTATAAACATCCTCAAGAGGCAAAATTTGTTTTTGTGGAACCACTTGAATGGAACACAAGTTTGGCGCCCTCAGCATTTGAATCAGGTTATGTTGTCAGGTAAGCCAGTTACTTGCTTCTAGGATTTGATATCTTCGTTGTACATAGTATTATCAATTGGTTCTAGGTTTGGGGGCAAGTCACCTAACCTCTCTGAACCTCAGAAGCCCTCTAAACCAGGGAATGAAAACCAGAGACACACAGGTGAAGTCTGAGGATATTCAGCTTGGCCAACACAGTATCTTTCTAAGTTTTAAATTTTTCAAATTAAACAAAATTTTAATTTTTGTGGGTAAATTTCTTTTAACAGGGCATCCGTTATCCAGGTCACTACACTGCCAACATCCATTGCTGCTTTATGCCTGGCCTTTCCACCCATATGTGGAGATATATATACACATATATATACTTTTTACAGATGAGGTCTCACTATGTTGCCCAGGGTGGTCTCAAATTCCTGGCCTCAAGTGATCCTCCTGCCTCAGCCTTCTACAATGCTAGGGTTACAGGCATGAGCCACCACACCAGGTCATCCATATTCTTCTGAATTTTATTTCTATAAATGTATGGGGTACTTCCGTATTACCTGCCAGATGCCAGGAGCCATTGGTTTCGTGACCTCTGATGTAGATGAAATCTCTTCTGGTATTTAAATTGATCAATTCCTGGGCTAGAAGCAGGAGGCGGCGGGGAGGGGTGATGAATGATGAATTTTGATTTTGCCCAATATAAGGGAGAGAATTCTTAAGAATTACTGGTGTCCTCAGATTAGAGCCTTTCAAATCTGAGATGAAAAAAAATTTACTTCTGTCTCAAACAGTGAACTCTCAATCTATCTCATTCAAACATGGCTAAAATATATATATACACACACATACGCATAAATTATGTGAACAAATTAAATATAATTGTATAAGAATGTATTAGTTCATTAAGCATTATAATTATACAATAAGTAAGCTAACAAATACACACACACACACACACACACACACACACACACATATATATATATATATTTGCCAGCCTCAGTTTATTTTGCACCTTAGGCATTCTATTTTCTACCACCTTGTTCTTCTTTGTTCTGGATATGAACTTTTAAAGTCTGATCATATAAAAACAGTTCCCTAGCTAGCCAAAGCTTCCTGTAGATGCCTTTTCCCTTTTCTCCCTTTGGGATTATTTGTGAGAATAAAGTCAGAATTTCATTTTTAGAACTGCAGCAAAACCATTCTTAAACTGTATTTCAAAAGCTCTTTAATTCTTCTATTGGTCAGCCTTCTCTCTGAGTTGTTTGAAGTCATATTTATTTATTTATTTTTTTTTCTGGAGACAGAGTCTCGCTCTTTTGCCCAGGCTGGAGTGCAGTGGTGTAATCTTGGTTCACTGCAAGTTCCACCTCTCTGGTTCAAGCAATTCTCCTGCCTCAGCCTCCTAAGTAGCTCGGAATATAGGCATCCGCCACCACGCCTGGCTAATTTTTTGTATTTTAGTAGAGACGGGGTTTCCCCATGTTGCCCAGGCTGGTCTTGAACTCCTGAGCTCAGGCAACCCGCCTGCCTCAGCCTCCCAAAGTGTTAGAATTACAGGTGTGAACCACCACGCCCGGCCTGAAATCTTATTTTTCTAATGGTGCATTTTATTTCTAACTGTGCCAGTGGTAACTTTCTCCAGAAGTTGTCATTTCTGTATTGTTCAGCTTTTTTCCTAAGCTTTGAAATATGATCTCCTACGTAAAACAAATTAAAAACATATTAACTACTTGGCTGATCATGGTGGCTCACACCTGTAATCCCAACGTTTTGAAAGGCCGAGGTGGGCAGATCACCAGAGATCAGGAGTTCAAGACCAGCCTGGCCAACATGGTGAAATCCTGTCTCTACTGAAAATACAGAAATTAGCCGGGCATGGTGGCACGTTCTGTAATCTCAGCTACTAGGGAGGCTGAGGCAGGAGAATTGCTTGAATCTGGGAGGTGGAGGTTGCAGTGAGCCGAGATTGCACCACAGAACTCCAGCCTGGGTGACAGAGAAACTCCATCTCAAAAAAAATTAATATTTTTTTATAAAAATGCATTTAAAGCAGATGACAGAAAAGAATATCATGATTGTTTTGCCTTTGTACAAATTTTGTGCTCCAAGCACAAACGTGATCACATCTGACCCCTAGTTAGGTGGGCTGTGACACACACCTCTCAAATCTATCACTATTTCCCCCTATTCTTGTCCAGATTCTTTTTGCCTTATTTCCATTCTTATATCTCAGCACACAGTTATTTATGTATTTATTTAAGACAGGGTCTGGCTCTGTTGCCCAGGCTGGACTGCAGTGGAGTGATCATAGCTCACTGCAGCTCAAACTCCTGGGCTCCATGGATCCTCCCACCTCAGCCCCTCAAGCAGCTAGGACTATAGGCACATACTACTATGCCTGGTCAATTTTTCTATTTTTTTGTAGAGACAGGATCTCACCATGTTGCTCTGACTGGTCTTGTACTTTTGGCCTCAAGAGATCCTTCTACCTTGGCCCCCTGAATTGCTGGTATTTCAGACCTGAGCTGCTGTGCCCAGCTCTGCATGCAGTCTTTATGCACAGTGTTCCCTCCTGAGAAGGGCATTTTGACATTTTGAAACAATTACCCCTTGATTTTTATACTTCTGTCATATTTACTATACAACTTTTCCTTGGGCTAATTTCTCAATCCATTCTTTTTGTGTCTGACCGTTATTGATATCTTTGATGTTGGAAGGGTAGAGAGAGGTATTGCTGTTGTATTTGAAGGAAACCATGCTTGCCTGGCGCTGATGAAAACCAAGAGTGCCTTGAAGAAGGCAAAGTGTACAGCTGAGATTTTGGTCATAATGGAAAGTACCAGATGCTTTAACATCCAGGTCTTGACCGTGCCCCTTGGTCTACTCCCCAAACCAAAGAAAGTTCAGTAACCCATAGCCACTCAGTGTTTGCTATGAGAACAAGTGATGTCAACCAGAGATATTCTCAATTACCCAAAGAATTTATTATCAAAACAGTCCCCATGACCTCATTCATTGCCCTTTGGACCAAGCACACTCTTCTGGCTTCTCTGCTGTTAGTACACTATTATACATTTATTGAAAGTGGGGAAGCTACTTTCCTTCCAGACAGGACTCAGGTCTGGGCATCCATGTGTAAGGCCAAGATTATCCTGGAGGATTTGAGCTTGGAGTCTCTGGATGTGTTTCTACCAAATAGGAATGTCCTTGGATACTTTAAAGTAAAGGAGGATGCCTCTCCTTGTGGGTAGACCTCTCAGGCCTCTTGTTCCAAAACAAGTTAAGTTTTATCTACGCTGAAATTCTGCCGAAGTAGATAAGCTACCCCTTTTTTGTTGGTCTCTGTGGACATTGATGGCAATATATTTATATTTGTGGCTTTAGTTCTCATTTGATGTTGCACATTCCAAATGCACTGTGGGCAACAGTCAATAGAAGTTTGATCATCCTTTTTCTGATTAGGCTAATGAGAATCTGATACTGAAACTGATACTTTAGTCACACACTGGAAAGGTTTTATGTTTCATCAACTGCCTTCTGTCCTTTTGTGCAGATCGTTATTAATTGAATAGATGGGCATAGCCCTGTTCATGTTACGTGATGGTCTTTTCCTTAGAATGATTCCCAGTGTTTTCATCATGTTATAACATTTGTCATCATCTTTCCACGTTTAATTTTGGGGTGGGGGCTGGGGGTCAAATAGCTCTACTTTCATTTCATGGAAATCATAGGTCTCTTTGTATTATCATTTGCAATTGCTTTTGTTCTTATCAGACAGGATGAAATTAATAGTCTTCCTAAAACACCTCAGAATGAAACTTAAATTTGCTGTAAACTAAGAACAAATGACACCACTCAATGGCAATACCATCTGTGGTACATAGAACCAAGGCACTTTGATTCTTTCTAATGTAGCTTGGGAAATTTATAAATTGGATAAGCGCTCAGAATCACATGGTGAAAATGTTATTACCTGATTTTTTTTCCTTCTCTGGTAGAACTACAGTATGATTTTGAATCAAATGTGCTATAATATTGCCATATTTTATTTTTAAATCTCACTCCACTGCATCTCAGTGATATATATGCATCGAGATAAAAATATATTCTGGTAGGAGTTGGGACAGGAAGTCAGGTCACCAGAGCAATGGCTGTCTTCCCCTCAAGAATGCACAATTCACACACAATTTATACCTTTCTGGACCTTAGCTTTGTGATCGATATCATGAAAGGCTGAATTTACATGATCTCTAAGGTTACACTCAACCTATAAAATAATATTGTTTTATGAGACAATAATTATTGCATTTTGGTAAAATTTCTAAGTCACAGTAGTAGGGTCAGTGGCCATAAGTTTTGTTACTGAGCTATTTATTTTTTGTCCCTGAGGACTGCTAGTTTCTTAGCTATAGCCTTATTTTCTATGTTACTATTTAGACATACATTTATTAAGTAGTAAGACACTAAATGGGGCCGGGTGCAGTGGCCCATGCCAGTAATCCCAGCACTTTGGAAGGTGGAGATGGAAGGATCACTCGAACCCAGGAGTTCAAGGCCAGCATGGGCAACATAGCAAGACCCTGTCTCTAAAAAATAAATAATAAATAAATAAACAGACCAACGAATAAATAAGCAGCCAGGTGTGGTGGCGTGCGGCTGTAGTCCCATCTGCTTGGGAAGCTGAGGGAGAAGAATCCCTTGAGCCCAGGAGTTCGAGGCTGCAGAGAGCTATGATTGTGCCACTGCACTCCAGCCTGGGTGACAGAGCAAGATCTTGTCTCTTAAAAAAAAAAGGACACTAAACTCGATACTGAGGATTAAAGAAAAAAGACACTTTTCTGCTTTCTTGCTTTAGAGTATAAACAGAATTTTTAGCTCCCTTCCACGATTCTGGTTTAAAAGTTTCTCCATCAGGTCACTGGAGTTTTTGATAGCTCATTCTTCCTGATCTTCCCAAGGTGAGTGCAGCATTTTTCTTTCCAAGAGCTCATTCTTCAGGTGTTAGAAACTGTGAGCCTGAAAACTGAAACTTCCTCTTCAAAATCTTGTCCATAGCTGGCGTTTTTTATTTTTCAAATCTATTTTTATTTTATTTTTTGAGAGGGGGTCTCACTCTGTCACTCAGGTTGGAGTGCAGTGGTGTGATGTTGGCTCACTGCATCCTCCCGCCTCCCGGGCTCAAGTGATCCTCCCACCTCAGCCTCCCAAGTAGCTGGGACCAAAGCACGTGCCACCATGCCTGGTTAAGGTAGCTGGCATTTTATTTCTGACTTCTCTGTTAAGTTACAGGCTTCAACTGGTAGGAGCAATGAAAAATGTCACCTGTGCCCTTTGGCTTCTCACCAGGAGTTTCACTCTCTCTAGTTAAGTAGCTTGGTATCTTTGGTATTTGGTCAGCCTGTTACTTAGTCCTCTCACCATCCACTTCGTGTGGTGGCCAGCCCTTGATGTGAGTAACCTTTAGGTAACAGGCCTTTAAAAAATCTCTTAAGTCCTAAGGGCATTATTCCAGAAGCTTAATTTTAGAGAAAATATACATTTTGTGAACAATGCATGTCATTGGCAAGTCTAGAAATATTTTATTCATTCATTTATTCCCCAGATGTTTACTAAATGTCTTCTATGTGCAGTTCCTATCTGAAGTGCTGGTGATAGGGGCAGTCCCTATCTGCACCCAGCAGAATCGGACTCATAAAGTCCCTCTGTGAGCCCTCTTTTGCTGCTGTAACACATTGCCCCAAACCTAATGGCTTAACACACACAAATGTATTATCTTACAGTTCTAGAGGTCAGAAGTCTAAAATGAACCTGCAGGGCTAAAATCAAGGTATCGGCAGGGTTGCATTCCTTCCGGAGGCTTAAGGAGAATTTATTCTTTGCTTTTCCAGCTTCTAGAGGCCCCTATGTTCCTTGACTCATGACTCATGGCTCATGGCTCCACATCACTCTGACCGCTGCTTCCATCAGCATATCCCTGTCGCTGCCTCTGTCCCTCCTGTCTTCCTCTTATAAGAACCCTGGTGATTATGTTTGGCTTCCTCCAAATACCCAGAATAGTCTCCCCATCTCAGGATCCTTGACTTAATTTCTATGCAAAGTCCCTTTTGCCATGTAAGGTGACATGTTCATAGGTTTTGGGGATTCAGATGTGAACATTATTCTGTTTCCCCTAGTTCCTATCCTCTTATTTTTATTCTAGTGAGATCGTCAGTAATAAGTAATCTCGGTTGGTCAGATTTACTTTTTCTGATGAACTAGCAACATTTTACATCTATGTATCTACATTGCAATTCAAAATATGTTAGATCAGGCCAGGTGTGGTAGCTCACGCCTGTAATCCCAGTACTTTGGGAGGTCGAGGTGTGTGGATCCCTTGAGCTCAGGAATTCAAGACCAGCCTGGCCAACATAGTGTAACCCCGTTGTCTACTAAAAATACAAAAATTAGCGAGGCATGGTGGCATGTGCCTCTAGTCCCAGCTACTTGGGGGCTGAGGTGGGAGGATTGCTTGAGCTCCGGAGGCAGAGGTTGCAGTGACCCGAGATCACGCCACTGCACTCCAATCCCGGTGACAGAGGGATACTCTGTCTCAAAAAAAAAAAAAAAAAAGCTAGATCAGGTGTTAAGGTGTCAGGAGTTTCATCAGATATAGCCTCCTGTAATACAAAACCTAGACAGTTTAGTTAATGTTGTAAGTGGTAGAAATCTATAGAAATATCACTTCCATGAAAACATCTTAATATTTTTTAAAGGCCAACCTGAAAAAAATCATTAAAATGGATGGAAACACAAAGCTAGGAGACTCAATAACTTTTGATCAGGAAGAATCCATTTAGAAAAACTGCCTATTATCCCAAGGCAAACCAAATAAAGAAGTTTAGAGTGGGAAAGGAATTCAGAGAGGATCTAGTTTGCCTTCAGTTTGCTTTTTTTTTCATAGTTTTTTTGTTCATAAACACAGTGTAGCCAAGAAAACCCCTAACCACTAATTACTGTGGTGTAAAAATTTTATAAATAAAATAACATTAGAACTCCCCAAAGCATGAAGGGTTTTGCAGAACCAATGATTTTTAAAAAGATGCCAGAAATCAACACATTTTAGAAAACAAAAACAAAAACTGTGACTATTTGAGTTCAATTGTGAATTCAAGAAATTGCTAAAAAAAAAAAAAATTCTTCCTTGGTTATATCCTATTGGTCACTAGGCTTGCTGGTAAGTTTGAGGATTTAAGAGTTTGAGTGTGGAAGAAAGTGGGAAAACAGATGAGCTACTAACCAGATGTATTTATATTTTCTGTATTTTATAATGAGATATAGGAATAATCTGTCTAAATGTCTTAAATTTAACTTCTACTGACCTCTAGGTAGCATGAAGCTTTCAATTTTTTATTTTTATTTTTTAGTGAAACAACAGTCAAATCAGAAGAAGTTGATAAAAATGGACAGCCTTTGCTATTTCTCTCTGTACCACAAATTAAAATTAGGAGCTTTGGGCAGCTGTCACGCTTGTTACTTATTGCCAAAACTGGGAAGTTGAAGGAAGCCCAAGCATGTGTTGAAGGTGATCTTAATGCTCCAGTCTGTGATTTGAACTTTTAGAAACAATCTTGCTGGGAAAGTGGGGAAAGGGTGGGAGGATCATTTGTTAGAGTCTCTTGAAAAAGATTCTACAATCTACAAGGTAAAAAGTCAAATGTACAACTTCATGAAAATGTTATTAATTTTCCTTGGCTGCAATATTATGCTCCTATCAAATTTCTGCTTTAAAATGAAAAGCCTGCTACCTTACCACTGGTAAGTTTCTAGGTTTCTGATTTTAGCATGTGGTTTGAAAGAGAACCTTCTCAGCTTCTGGAAAGCACAGGGGGCTGTAGCCTGTTAGGTCAGTGTCAATAGAGAAGACAGATGACAAGGGCTGGCCTCTGAATCCACTCTCTCTCGGCATACTGCCAAGGAATAGATTGAATGACAATCTATTTCCTTTAAAATGAATGTAGGCTCTTTCTTTAGCAGAGACAGCCTTTAATAGTCTCCCTTTCCACTTTTCTCAGCCATATTCCACTGTGGACTTCACAGCCTTCTGTGAATAGTTACAGTCATTCAACTTTGTGGCAAATATTTTTCTTCTTCTTAAAAATATGTGATGTTCACACTATCATCTAATCATCTAACATGCAAAAAATGAATGTGGTTGCCTGCTATAATTGTGTGGTAAATGTTTCTTATGAGTAGAAGTACCTAATCATAGGTGATAATGTATGCGTCCTGCTTTATTGGAATTATGTGACCAATGGGTTTCTGGCACAAGGTATTTGAATTCTGCCTATTTCTGTGTGAGATGGGAAGATGGTCTTTTTTTTACTTTTATTTTTTAGATGCTAACCTCAGGATGGCAACCTCTTTTTATGCCTTGCCTATTACTCCTTATTAGGCGAGGGTATCAAGTCTTGAAGAGTAAAGCTGAATTCAAGGAGGTAGTTAATAGATGAAGGATTATTCATTCAATTCAACTCAATTGGTAGACATAATATGTAGATTTCTATATAGCTGAATACTTATCCATTTGCTAAATACTTATCCTTTGCTACATTTTGCCATTTCTGCAAGAATTTTGGTATAACCCTTAGTTTCAGGTCCAAGTTGCATGGTACATGGCAATTTGGTAGTCAGGTTTATGCCATTCCTCAGAATCTGCCTGCTCTTTTTGTAAATCTCTGTGTGATGACAGTCATAAGGTTGTTAAGTTGAGATGCTCAATAAATGGTTGATTCCTTTGTCTCCTTTTCGCTGCTCTCCTCTCCCCCAGTGAAGTCCTTTTCTCAGCCTTAAGGCCTTGGCATATCCCATGACCACATGGGAATGTTAATGCCTTCACTATACTTTTCTTCATTTCCTTTAAGTTAAGCTTTCTGAATTAGTCTCATAGGCCTTCCTCTCCACCCCCATCTCAATGCATACATATTTTCATCTTTCTCAAATTTCTCCATTCTAAACAAGGGTTTTCCACTTTCTCCTTCATTTTCAACCATATTGGTTTTTGACATTAACCAAATTCTGTTTTCAACATCTCTAGGTTCAACTTTCACATCTGTATCAGCCTTGATAATGAATTGGTATTTGTTTTTCACTATAATTTTAATATATATATAATTAAATTATGTATATATTATGTATATGGCTAGATGTGCTTTCCAACTCTAAGATCATATGGCATTGCAAATATTAAGCTGTTTGAATACTTGCAAAAGAGTGCTACTGGGTCTGTAGGCTTAGGAAAGCATGCTATTTTGGAAAGAAAGCCTTTATAAATACCCAGCACTGCTACACACACATACACACATGCACATATAGTTCTAGTGATGATTCTTCTAAGAAGATCACTATTTCTCCATCTTCAAATAAATTCTGAATGTATTAATTGAATGTGCATTCTGAACAATGCCCCACGGCCAATTAAAAAAGAAAGAATGAATGACTGTCTTGGTCTTTGTGCTATTAGGGAGATATATAGATGATGTTACAATACAAACTAGAGCATCTCGTGAAGTAGAAGAAAGTTCCTAAAAGCAATGGAATCTCAGACGTAGAGATGAATTCTAATTGGGTCGTTTAGAAAAAGCTTAATGAAAGAAACACGTCTGAATGGACTTTGAAGGATTTATTAGTCTTAATGTTTGTTGTACTAGAAGACAAGTGGATAATTTTTATTTGTCTCCTTTTTTTTTTTTTTGGCAGCTAACAGAGACCCCATAGTAAAAATCCTGGGCTCTGATTATAATACAATGAAAGAAAACTCAATTGCATTAAATATTCTTGGCAAAATTACCAGAGATGATGATCCTGAAAGTGAAATTAAGATGAAGATTGCTATGCTGCTTAAGCAATTGGATCTGCACCTCCTCAATCATTCTCTAAAACATATTTCATTGTGAGTCTTTTTCAAAAAGGAACCTCTATTGTATTGAGCCAAGATTGCACCACTGAACTCCAGCCTGGGTGACAGAGCAAGACTCTGTCTCAAAATAGATAGTTAAATAAATAATAAAATATTACAATTAAAATTAAAAAATTAAAAAGGAACCTTTAAAAATTAGTTACAAAGTTGCTTTCAGAGTTTTAGAAAAAAAGACACAAGAAAAGTAAAGTATGGAAGTTATTGCTATGGATTTAACTTTACATTTTATTGGAACAAACAATTTTCCTGGGATTCATTTATTCCAGTTCTAAAAATTAAAAATTGCAGGTGACATCACGAAAACATTCTGGTGGGGTTTCATGCAATTCTGAAGACATTAGGTGGTCTTGTTATTTTCAAATGCTCTCAAGACTATTACACAAATTATTAAATTATAATGCAGATATCATGTAGAGTTTGTATAGTCCAAAGCATGTTCATTTTCTAATATTTTTAGTGTTAGAATATTATCAGCATGAAATAAAGTGAATATTTAATGGAGTACGTTTAATGTTGCATTAAACATAAATCACTAATTACTTGATGTGTTGACAGTGCTGTTATAAAATTATAGCACGGCTAAAATTAACTGCAATTTTAATTACAAAAAAGATATTTCTCCTGATACAATGAAATGTGTTCATGTGTTTCCTAGATTCTGTTTAAAGTATTTAAGCTGACATTTTAAACATTTATTTCAGAGAAATAAGTTTAAGTCCCATGACGGTGAAGAAGGATATAGAACTGCTCAAACGTTTCTCAGGAAAAGGAAACCAAACAGTCTTGGAATCTATTGAATATACCTCAGGTTTGATGTTTTCTCAGGCTCATTTTATGTTATTTACATTTTCATAATTACATTTGCAAAATGCTTTCAATGTCTACATTACAAGAGAAGGTTTAAGAAGGGGAAAGCTTAAAATTTCCACAATATTTATTTTGTGGAAGCCAACACTTTTTACCAAACTCTAGGTTAAGGAACTCCTGTTAATTGCTTGATGATTGGTTTCAGATTATGAATTTTCAAATGGATGTCGAGCCCCACCGTGGAGACAAATTCGTGGGGAAATTTGTTATGTGCTGGTGAAACCTCACGATGGTGAGACTCTGTGCATTACTTGCAGTGCAGGAGGAGTATTTTTAAATGGTGTAAGTAAATTTTTAAAAACGTAACTAAAGCCAGTGGACTTTGATTGTTAGCTGTAGATGTCTCAAGGGTGTGTCCCAATGACCACAGAGAATGAATTACCATTCTGTGGGATAGAAGCAGATTCCTTTGATATATGCTTGCTGGGCAAATCCAAAATAGCTTCAGAATTAGCTCTCTTATTCTCCACTGCAGGTCATTAAGCCAATCTGATAAGAAATGGGCTTCAAAGTGACCCATTCCACTTTATAAATGTCTTTAACGTAATCACTTCACTGATTCATTACACAGCTTCCAAATGATAGAAAGGTCAAAAAAGAAACATTGAGATAATACAGATGTCATAACTGCAGCTTGCATCCTAAGAGTTGGAGGGACAAAGGGAAAGAGAGGGGCTTATCTAAATGTAGAAGGTAGGAGACAGTGCCCTATGAAGCTGGGACCCAGACCTCTTGGGAGGGTCCACTTCCAGGCTGTGCTGGTCCCCACAGAGTTCAGACCATCTCCATGAGGCAGGGCTCCAGATCTCTGAAGAGTGGGCACTGCCCAGTTAATGCTCATACCTCGGGAAGAGGATCCTTGTAGAGATGGCAGAGCTGGGACCTGGACCTTTGAAAATGGAGCACTGGATGACTGATAGTGATATTTCCCAGGGGGTGAGGTGAGCCTGTTTCTGGGACCGTGAAAAATCAACAAACCTGGAAACTGGAACCAACTGTTGCTACTGGAAGCAACTGCCACTGTGTGGAAAGAAGGGCCGTTGCTGGGGTGACTCTAACAGGGACAGTGGGCCAGCAGGAAGCAGCAGGTCCCTCCTCCCTCTGCCAGCCTTTCAGTCTTCCTTTAGCTGATTCTAATGACGGAGCCTAATAACCTAGCCTGGTGAAAGGAGAAATACGACATTGCAGATTCCTGCGTGAGTAGCACAAAGTAGAGGCTGGGTGGCTGGGCTTTGAGCTGAGTGATAAACAGCACACAGTGTTCTGGATTAAAACACTTTCAGTCTCATCCCTATTCACAGAACCAGCTAGAAGGAGCTTAGCTTTCACCTCTGCAACATCCTGCCCTCAGTATCTTCAACATAAATTTGGAACTCAGAAACAAAATTCTACAAGGAGGATCCAAGTCCTTAATGGGGACCCAGCCATCACGGGGGACTGCCTGGAGGGTTGTTACATGTTGGCTTGGGTTGGTACCAAAATGCTGGAGCCTCTTTTCTGATTACCTATAGTTATCTTTCTGACATGCCTTTTGGTGCTTTTCTTATTAGCATGACACTGAGCTCATTTCTACAAAGAGGCAGTAGACAAATAAGATTTTGCTTTGGTTTATGATATTTTAGAAAAACGAAATCTCTAATTAGGAATAAAGGGACAAAAGAAGGAATGATTTTCTTTGACCTTCTGGAGGGGGGCAGGGAGTCTTTATTTCTATCAAAGGTTATTATTGATCTACATACATATAACTTATTTAGCATGGAGATATCTAAGTATCCCTTTAAGTTTTAAAAAAATGAAAGACAAGGACCATAAAACTACTCAATAATTACAACAAAGTTTAAAACACACTGGTCATACGTATAGAAATGTTTTTGTGTATACAGTTATATATAACAAACTGCAGTTATATGTATTTATATACATATAGTTATGTGATGTGTGTATACATTATATATATATATTCTGTTATGGAAGAACAATAGAGGTAGGGAAGAAAAGGAAAATGAGGAAAGGAAAGAGACAAGAAGAGAGAGAGAGACACATGGGTGTGTGGACAGATCGTTACACAGAGATCTAGAAAATAAGCCTATAGCAACCATGCCACAGACAGAAGAACAGAGTGTGACAAACAGAAATGTAGGCTTTTCCACGGTTAAATTCTAACCTTGAAGACTTTTATGACATCATCAACTAAGGCTCGTGAGGTCATAATGCATTTTCAGAGTAGAGGAGAGCGGAGAGAAGGAAGCTCTCACTTCTCTGCTGAACAGCAGAGTGCCTTACATGCATATAGGAGGTACTCAGTAAAGCCTTGCTGAATGAATGAACAATTGAATGAAGGAAGGAATGAGTGAATGAATGGAAAAATAGATAACATTAAATTAAGGGGGAAGGATTTTGCCTATACATTTCCTGTATTAAAACTACCATATAGATCCTTCGGAGATGAAAATAATACGTGTGGCTAGCTTGTGATGTATTGATCAGCTTCTTACAATTGTTCTTATGTTAATCATAGAATGAAACTTGTTTTTTCCCAAAGGGCAAAACAGATGATGAAGGGGACGTTAATTATGAGAGAAAAGGTTCAATTTATAAAAACCTTGTCACATTTTTAAGAGAAAAATCACCAAAATTTTCAGAAAATATGTCTAAATTGGTAAGTTTTATGGTTTCTTTTGAGCTTTCATAGCATTATGTTACTAAACTACAACTTTCTATGGTACAAGAAAAACAGTAATTTTGCCTATTTTTGGGCACTTTTTATTATTAGTGGTTTTTTTTTACAACATAACATAACATAAAAATACTGTAAATGTAGTATCATTGTTCAGGGTTCAATGGCATTAATTACATTCACAATGTTGTACAAATATCACTATTGTCAATTTCCAAGTCTTTTTCGTCTCTCGAACTTGAACTCTACACCCATTAAGCAATAATTCCCCATTCCTTCTTCCCTGACTTCCTGGTTAACTCTGATCTGCTATTTCTATCAGTTTGCTTATTTTAGATATTTCATGTCACTGGAATGATATAATATTTGTCCTTTTGTGTCTGGGTTCTTTCACTTAGCATAGTGTTTTCAAGGCTCATCCATGCTATAGCATGTATCAGAATTTCATTCTTTTATGGTAGAATAATATTTTGTTTATGTATAGACCACATTTGGTTTATGCATTCATCCCTTGATGGACACTTGGGTTGTTGCCACCTTTTGGGTATTGTGAATAATGCTGCTATGAATATTGGTGTACAGGTATCTGTTGAGTTCCTATTTTCAATTCTTTTGGGTCTTTTCCTAAAAGTGGAATTTCTGGGTCATATGGTAATTCTGTATTTAACTTTTGGAGGAACTGCCAACCTGTTTTCCACGGGGGCCACACCATTTTCATTCTCACCAGCATTATCCAAAGATTCCACTTTCTTCACATCCTTGTTAATGCTTCTTATTTTCTAGGTTGTTGTTTAATTATAAACATCGTAGTCAGTGTGAAGTGGTATCCCATTGGGGCTTTGATTTGCATTTCCATAATGATTAGTAATGTCGACCATATTTTCATATATTTGTTGGTTATCTGTATATCTTTTTTGAAGAAATGTCTGCTTGAGTCCTTAGCTTATATTTTAAATTGAATCTTTTTGTTGTTGTAGTTTTTGTATATACCCAATATTAACCCCTTATCAGATAGAAGGTTTGCAAATTTTTTCTCTTGTTCTGCAGGTTGCCTTATAACTTTCTTGATAGTGTCCTTTGATGCAGAAACATTTTTAATTTTGACGAAGCCTAATTTACCTATTTTTTCTTATTTTCTTACCTATTTTTTACCTATGCTTTTGATATCATATTTAAGAAACCATTGCCAAATCCAAGGTCATGAAAAATTTAGCACTGTGTTTTTCCTCTAAGGATTGTATAGTTTTAGCTCTTAACTTTAGGCCCTTGATCTCTTTTGAGTTGATTTTTGTCCATTAGGCTCCAATTTCATTCTTTTGCATGTGGATATTCAGTTTTCCCAGCACAATTTGTTGAAGAGATTGTCCTTTCTCTTTTGGATGGTCTCAGCATTCTTGTTGAAAATCAATTGATCATAGATGGAAGAGTTTACTTGGGGACTTTTAATTCTATTCCATTGGTCTATATCTTTCTTTTAGTTATAATAGTTTTGACATAAGGAAGTGTGAGTCCTCCAACTTTGTTTTTGTTTTTTAGTACTGTTTTGGCTATTCGGTATTCCTTGACACTGTTTATGAATTTTAGGCTTGGTTTTACATTTCTGCAAAAAATGCCATTGGGTTTTGATAGAGATTTCATTGAATTTATGAATTGCTTTACATAGTATTGCCATCTTAACCATATTAAGTTCTCCAGTTTATGAACAGGAGATAGCTTTCCATTTATTTGTATATTTAATGGCTTTCAGCAATGTTTAGAAGTTTTCAGTGTACAAGTTTTTCTCCTTCATTATATTTACTCATTAACATTTTATTATTTTTGATGCTACTGTAAATGAAATTGTTTTCTAAATTTTATTTTCAATTATTCACTGCTAGTGTATAGAAATACAGCTTTTGAGTGATCAAATCAGATCTAATTTTTGAGTGTTAAAATCAAGATTGAATTTCGCAACTTCACTGAATTCATTTAACTCTGTGTGTGTGTGTGTGTGTGTGTGTGTATGGGTGTGTGTGTGTATTCTTAGGTTTTTCTGCATACAAGATCATGCCATCTGCATACAAATAGTTTTACTTCTTCCTTTCCAATTTAGACTCTTTTGCAATTTCTTTTTCTTGACTAATTACTGTGGCTAGGACTTCCTGGACTATGTTGAATAAGAGTGGTAAAAGCAGGCATCCTTGTCTGATTCCTGATCTTTTTTTTTTTTTTTTTTTGAGATGGAGTCTCACTCCATCTCACTCTGTCACCCAGACTGCAGTCTGGAGTGCAGTGGCATGATCTTGGCTCGCTGCAACCTTCACCTCCCCTCCCGGGTTCAAGTGATTCTCGTGCCTCAAGCTCCCGAGTAGCTGGGATCACAGGCATCTGCCACCATGCTCTGCGAATTTTTAGATTTTTAGTAGAGATGGGGTTTCACCATGTTGACTAGGCTGGTCTCGAACTCTTGGCCTCAAGTAATCTGCTTGCCTCGGCCTCCCAAAGTGCTGGGATTACAGCTGTGAGCCCCCATGCCTAGCCTGACTCCTGATCTTAATTGAAAAGCTTTTAGGCTTTCACCATTGAGCCTGATGTTAGCTGTGGGATTTTCTTATATGACCTTTAGCATGTTGAGGAAGTTGCCTTCTATTCAGTTTTCCTTTTCTTTTCTTTTTTTGAGATGGAGTCTTGCTCTGTCACTCAGGCTGAAGTGCAGTGGTGTGATCTTGGCTCACTGCAACCTCTGCCTCCTGAGTTCATGTGGTTCTTCTGCCTCAGCCCCCATAGTAGCTGGGATTCCAGGTGCACACCACCACACCCGGCTAATTTTGTATTTTTAGTAGAGATGGGGTTTTCCCATGTTGGCCAAGCTGGTGTCAAACTCCTAATCTCAGGTGATCCACCTGTCGCGGCCTCCCAAAGTGCTGGGATTACAGGTGTGAGCCACCATGCCCGGCTCCAGTTTTCCTTTTCTTGGTGCACCCATCATTTTGTAGACCCTCCTGAGTAAAATATGCACATGGGAGGGAAAAATTGAGGATTCGGATGTTAGAGAATACCTTTATTATTTTATCTCAGATGTTTCTAGAGTAATGGTTTGAAATTAATTTTTAGTTAGCATTTCAAAGGCTTATGTTTCCACATAAACTGTTTGTTTTGGCTTTTTCCCCTCTTTGGAGGCCTTTAGGATCTTCCTTGGTGTTCTATAATTTTTGTGGTATGGTTTGTGCAGATTTTTGTTTCTTTTTGAGATTCATCTATGCTTTTGCATCTATCATTAATTTATTGCTTTTATGGATGTGTATTATTCCATTGTATGGATATGCCACAATTTGTTTATCCACTCACCTGTTAATGGATGTGTAGTTATTTCAGGTTTCGGGCTATTACAAATAAAACTACTAAGAACATTTTTGTACAAGGATTTGTATGATCATATAGTTTCAATGTGCCTAGAATGAAATGGTAAGATCATATGGTAGTTGTATGTTTAAGCAACTGGTAAACTGCTGTCCATAGTGGTTGCAATATTTTACATTGATGTAGGCAATGTATGAGAGTCCCAGTTCTTCCACATACTCATCATTAACTGATATGGTCAGTCTTTTAACTACAGACATTCTAATAGGTGTGTACTGGTCTCTCATTTGGTTTTAATTTGCAGTTCTTGAATGCATCTTTTCATGTGCTTATTGGCCATTCACATATCCTATGTGGTAAAGTGTCTATTTGGACTCTTTGTCTGTTTTTTTCATTGGGCTATTCAGTTTTTTATTGAGTTGCAACAGATCTTTATATATGTTCTTGGCTTATATATTCTGTTAGATACATGAAATATAAATATTTCATCCCAATCTGGGTCTTGTATTTTTCTTTTTTCTTTTCTGTTTTTTCTTTTGAGACAGAGTCTCCCTCTGTCACTCAGGCTGGAGTGCAGTGGCATGATCGATCTTGGCTCGTTGCAAGCTCCACCTCCTGGGTTCACAACGTTCTCCTGCCTCAGCTTCCCAAGTAGCTGGGACTACAGGCGCCCGCCACCGCGCCTGGCTAATTTTTTTTTTTTTTTTTAGCAGAAATGGGGTTTCACCGTGTTAGCCAGGATGGTCTCAATCTCCTGACCTTGTGATCTGCCGACCTTGGCCTCTCAAAGTGCTGGGATTACAGGTGTGAGCCACCGTGCCCGGCCGAGTCTTGTATTTTTATTCTCTAAGCAATGTCTTTCAAAGAGCAAGAGTCTTCAATTTTGAAACAGTCCAACTTATTTTTTCCTTATAGTGTTTTATAACGCTTTTCCAAACCCAGTATAATGATGAATTTCTCCAATGTTTTCTTCTAGAGATTTTTCAATTTTACCTTTCCAATCTATATCTATGATCCACTTTAATTTGGTTTGTGTATATGAGTTATGGATCAAAGTTCATTTTTTTCTTTTGCTTATCTAGTTGTTCCAGCATCATTTGTCAAAAGTAAATCTATTGTTTTTTCACTGAATTACCTTTATAACTTTGTCAAAAATTAGTCGTTCATTTGTCTGTGAATGTATTTCTGAACACTTCATACTGTAACTTTGATTTCTCTATTTTTACACCAATACCACAGTCTTGATTACTCTAGCTTTATGATAAGTCTTGAAGTTGTTTATTTTAAATCCTCCAATGGTGTTCTTTCAAAAAAGTTTTTTGGCTATTCTAGATCTTTTGCATGTCCATAAGAATATTAGAGCCAGCATGTCAGTTTCTTAAAAAATTGCCTGATGGAATTACGGTTGAGATTGCCTTGAATTTATAGACGAATTTAGGAAAAATGGACATCTTAACAATATTGAATTTTCTAATCCATGAACATAGTATGTCTCTCCATTTATTTAGGTCTTAGTTAAATTCTCTCACCAATGTTTTGTAGCTTTCAATATACAGGTCTTATACATCTCTTTTGAAACTTATCTGTGTTTCATATTTTGGGGCTATTGTTAATGAGTTTTAAATTTTCTATTTTTAGTCATTTGTTGCTATTGTATAAATATACACTTGATTTTTGTATGCTGATTTTATATCCTGAAATTTTGCTAAACTCCCTTATTAGTTCTAGTACCTTGTTTATACATTCCAGAGGGTTTTCTATGTAGATATTGTTAGTGAGTAAAGATCATTTTCTTATTTCTTCCTTCCTAATTTAACTGTTCCTTCCCAATCTCAACAGTTTTTTTATTTCTTTTTATTTCCTTAATGCACTAGCTGGAATCACCAGTAAAAAATTGAATAGAAATGGTCTCTTGTTCCTGATATTACAGGGAAATCTTTCAATTAAGTTTGATGCTAACCATTTACAAGGTTAAGGCTTCTATTCTGAGTCATTGAGAACTTTTATTAGGAATGAATGTTGGATTTTATCAAATGTTTCTTTGTGTACTGTGGAGAGAATCATGTGTTTTTTTCCTCTCTTTTAGTTTGTTAATGTGATTAATTGCTTTGATTAATTTTTCAAGTGACAAACCAACCTTACATTTCTGAGACAAACCCCACTTGAATCTTTTATGTACATTATCAGATTTAATTTGCTAAGATTTTAAGAAGTTTTGCACCTATATTCATAAAGTTATTAGTGTGTAGCTTTGTTTTCTTTAGTATCTTTGTCTGGTTTTGGTATTGAAGTAATACTGACATTATAGAATGATTTAGAAAGTTTCATCTTCTCTTCAATTTTTTGGAAGAGTTTGTATAGAATTAATATTGTTTGTTTATTAAATGTTTGGTCGGTTTATTAAATGTTTGGTAGAAATGTTTGGTGAAAGCCATCTGGGCCTGGAATATTCTTTATGGGAAAAATTTTAACTACAAATTCAATTTATTTGACAGCTATGACAGTATACAGGTTGTCTGTTTCTTCCTGAGGGAGCTTTGGTAGATTAGATTGTCTTAAAGGAATTTGTTCATTTGGTGTAAGTTGCCAGATTTATTGGCATAAACTTTTTTCATAGTATTCTCTTATTGACCTTTTAATATCTGTAGAATTTGTAGTCATTGTTACCTCTCTCATTCCTAATATTGGTCATTTGTGGTTTTTTTGTTTTGATCCACCTATAGGACTATAGATTTACTAAATTTCCTCGAGGAACTAGTTTTAGGTTTAATTTTTATCTTTTATACTTTACTTTGGTGCTTATGTCTTTTTATTTGGGTTTATTTACTCTTATTTCTCCAGTTTTTAAAAAATGTTACAATACGTTTAATTTAATCTAGTCATGTTTGTGTTTGAAGAAATTTTGAGGAATTCAGTTGTGAATAATGTTTTACTTGGAGCATATAAAACAAGGGATCCTCAGCCCAAAAGCTGCTTTAGCTGGTAAACAACTTCAGCAACGTTTCAGGATACAAAATCAATGTATCAACGTACAAAAATCACCAGAATTCCTGTACGCCAACAACAGCCAAGCCAAGAGCCAAATCAGGAATGCAATCCCATTCACAATTATCACAAAAAGAACAAAATACCTAGGAATAGAGCTAATCAGAAAGGTGAAAGATCTCTACAGTGAGAATTACAAAACACTACAAAGAAATCAGAGATGACACAAACAAATGGAAAAACATCCTATGCTCATGGATTGAAAGAGTAAATATCACTCAAATGGCCATACTGCCCAAAGCAATTTATAGATTCAATGCTATTCCTATCAAATTACCAAAAACATTCTTCACAGAACTAGAAAAAACTATTTTAAAATTCATATGGAACCAGAAAAGAATAGCCAAGGCAATCCTAAGCAAAAAAAAAAAAAACAAAAACAGACCGAAGCTGGAGGTATCACACTACCCAACTTCAAACTATACCACAGGGCTACAGTAACCGAAACAACATGGTACTGGCATATAAAGAAGACACATAGACCAATGAAACAGAATAGAGAGCCCAGAAACAAGGCTGCACACCTACAACCATCTGATCTACAGCAAAGCTGACAAAAACAAGCAATGGGGAAAAGACTCCCTATTCGATAAATGGTGCTGGGATAACTGGCTAGCCATATGCAGAAGATTGAAACTGGACCGCTTTCTTATACCATATACAAAAATCAACTCAAGCGGGATAAAAGACTTAAATGTAAAACTCAAAACTATAAAAACCCTGGAAGACAACCTAGGCAATACCATTTGCAATTGCAACAAAAGCAAAAATTGACAAGTGGGATCTAATTAAACCTCAGAGCTTCTGCACAGCAAACTGTCAACAGAATAAACAGACAATCTACAGAATGGGAGAATATATTTGCAAGCTGTGCATCTGACAAAGGTTTAATATCCAGCATCCATAAAGAATGGATTTTCAAGAGAAAAACAAACAACCCCACTAAAAAGTGGTCAAAGGACATGAACAGATACTTTTCAAAAGAAGACATACATGTGGCCAACAAGCATGTGAAAAAAGCTCAATATCACTGATTATTAGAGAAATGCAAATCAAAACCATAATGAGATATCATCTTACACCAGTCAGAATGGCTGTTATTAAAAAGTCAAAATATAGCAAATGCTGGTGAAGTTGCAGAAAAAAAGGGAATACGTACACACTGTTGGTGGGTGTAAATTAGTTCAATCATTGTGGAAAACAGTGTGGCAATTCCTCAAGGAGCTAAAAACAGAACTACCATTTAATCCAGCAACTTCATTACTGGGTATATACCCAGAGAAATATAAATCATCGCATAAAGACACATGCACACATATGTTCATTGCAGCACTATTCGCAGTAGCAAAAACATCAAGTCAACCTAAATGGCCATCAGTGGGAGACTGGATAAAGAAAATGTGGTACATATATGCCATGGAATACTACACAGCCATAAAAAAGAATGTGATCCTGTCCTTTTTAAGAAGAAAACATATTACCCCCTGTTCCACTTATAAATGGGAGCTAAATGATGAGAACACATGGACACAAAGGGGAGCAATAGACCCTGGGGCCTACTTGAGATTGGAGGGTGGGAGGAGGGAGAAGATCAGAAAAAATAACTATTGGATACTAGGCTTAGTACCTGAATGATGAAATCATCTGTACAGCAAACACCTGTGACATGAGTTTACCTATATAACAAGCCTGCACATGTACCCCTGAACCCAAAATAAACTATTTTATTTTTGGTACAGATGGGGTTTTGCCATGTTGGCCAGGCTGGTGTTGAACTCCTGGCTTCAAGTGATCTGGCTGTCTCAGCGTATGTATGTATGTATGTATGTATGTATGTATGTATGTATGTATTATTTTGACCATGAGAGTTCATGCTGCAAATTTCTTTATGAGCATTGTATAAACTATGTTACACAGATATTTGATATATGATATTTTTATTCAATATATATGAGGAGTTTCTGTAGAACTTTCTTTTACTAATTTCTAGTTCAATTCCAATGTATTAAGATGTTTATATGATTTTAGTTACTTTAAACTTATTAATGTTCATTTTATGGCCCAGTATATGATCTATTTTGGTGATTTTTTTCCTTGTACATTTGAGGAGACTGTATTCTGGTGTTAATGAGAGGTGTGTCTTTTAAATGTCAATTAAGCCAAGTTGTCTGATTGTGTTGCTCATATCTTCTATATCATTACTGATGTTTTTTTCTGCTCATTTTATTGATTACTGAGAGAGTTTTGAAGTCTACCAATTATGGATTTATCTACTTTTCCTTTTAGCTCTGTGTTTCCTTCATGTATATTGAAGTTCTGTTGCTTGGTGAATATACAATTACGATTGTGTGCTAATTGATCCTCTATTAGTATGTGTGCTCCTCTTCGTCCCTGTTAATATTATTTGCTTTGGAGTCGATATTGTCTGATTTTAATATGGCCATTCCTGCTTTCTTTTGATTATTGTTTGCATAAACTATTCTTCTCCAGCCTTTCACTTCTGATGTATTTGTATCTTTATATATAAAATAGTTTCTTTAGGCCACAAATAGTTAGGTCTCCTTTTCCATCCAATCTGATGATTTCTCATTTAATTGATGTGTGTAAACACTTTCATTTGATGTAACTACTAATATAGTTAAATTTAAATTTACTATCTTGCTACTTGTTTTCTGTTTGTTTCATCTGTTCTTTGTAGTTTTTTTCCTTCCTCTGCCCCTTTTGAATTGAGCTTTTTAAAATGATTCCATTTTATTTATGCTATTGGTTTACTAGTTATATTTCTTACTAAAAGTTTCTTAGCTGCCCTCTGGCTTATGATATATATCTCAAATTTGTCACGTCTCCTTTAAGTAAAATTCTAAAATTCACAAATAGTTTAAGAAACTTACAACAATATACCTTGAATACCCCTCCCTATACTTTGTGTTATTGTTGTCACACATTTTATTTCTACATGTCATAAACCCCTCAAAACGTTGTTACTATTTTTGCTTTAGATAGTCAATTATATGTTAGAATGATTAAAAATAATACACAAAGTCTTGTATATTTATTTTTACCATTTCTGCAGCTTTTAATTTTTTGAATAGATCCATGTTTCTGGCTGGCATGGTATTACTCCTGACTGAATAATTTTATTTAACATTTCTAGCACAGGTCTTCTGGCAGTGAATTCTCTGTTTTTGTTCATCTGTGAAGGTTTTTATTTTGCTTTCATTTTTGAAAGATTTTTGTTTTATTCTTAGTAAAGAATTTTGGGTTGACATGGTTTTTTGTGTTTTCCTTTTTAGTGCTTTAAAGATATTACTCTCTTTTCTTCTGGTTTGCAGTGTTTCTGATGAGAAGTCTTTTAAAATTCTTATGTTCATTCCTCTGTAATATGTCATACCTGTCTACCTTCAAGATGTTCCCTTTATCTTTGGTTCAAGCCATTTAAATACGATGTGTTTTAGTCAATAGAGGGTTTTGGTTGAATTTTTTGGTGGTGGTGAGGAATGAGCAGGTCCAGCCTTGCAGTTGTATCTGTTGTGCTGCAGCAGAGGTGTGAGTTTAGGAACATCACGTTACTGTCCACCTAACTCCAACAGAAGCCTTAGTCTTGATGTTGTCCTTGTTTAGCTGTTACTAAGGACCACAAGTTAAATGCATCCGAGACTTCCTTTCCTGAATTTACCACTGGCATTAATCTTCAGAGAACACTAGATAATTCAGATATCATTAAAAATTATTCTCATTTTTTAAATAAAGGGAATTAGCTTCAGTGAAGACCAGCAAAAGGAAAAGGATCAGCTTGGCAAAGCCCCCAAGAAGGAAGAAGCAGCTGCCCTCCGCAAAGACATTTCTGGTTCAGACAAAAGGTCACTGGAGAAGAACCAAATTAATTTTTGGAGGAATCAAATGACCAAGAGATGGGAACCAAGCTTAAACTGGAAGACCACTGTTAATTACAAAGGGTATGTAGATATTTGCATTTGTTTTCAGATGCAGCATTAGTAACCATACTCACCTAATTTTTCACAGAACTTTATTTTATTTTATTTTGTTTGTTTGTTTATTTATTTATTTATTTATTTATTTATTTATTTATTTAAGATGGAGTCTTGCTCTGTTGCCCAGGCAGGAGTGCAGTGGTGCCATCTCAGCTCACTGCAACTTCTGCCTCCTGAGTTCAAGTGATTCTCCTGCCTCAGCCTCCTGAGTAGCTGGGATTACAGGCACATGCCACCACGCCTGGCTAACTTTTTATTTTTTGTAATTTTAGTAGAGACAGGGTTATACCATGTTGGCCAGACTGGTCTCAAACTCCTGACCTCAAGTGATCTGCCCACCTCAGCCTCCCAAAATGCTGGGATTACAGGCATGAGTCACTGCGTCTGGCCAGAACTTTATTTTATAATAGAAAAATATTGAATATATATTTACATGTCCCTCCAAGGCGCAGGTTGATTCCTTTCTGCTCCTCTTTGTATTCTAAGCAGAAAGATTTGATAGAGTTTATGTGTGGAGCACTGTGAAGGGAAGAGAAGAACACAATTCACTTTTATATAGTTGGTGAGTCAGGACAAGTAATATGCAGAAAAGATGATAAAACACTTGGAGCAGTCACAGGGGAAATGTAAAAATCATGCTAGAGACCTGGTTAAGTAAGCACTGGGAGAATGTGGAATGATGAAAATTATATGGAGCTAATCAGCGAAACTGTCATAGAGATAATGTCTAACAGAACTTTAATACCATGAAAAGGCTAGAGTCTCAAAAATATGAATGGACCTATATAAAGTGGACACTGGCTTGATGAATGTATGAAATATACAAAACAAGTGCCATTTAGGACCTTCTATAAACAGGCGTCAAAGCAAAAATTGAGGGCCAATGCTACGTAAATGCTGGGGCAGTCAGAAATACCTAGAGATTTATTTATTTATTTATTTATTTATTTATTTATTTATTTATTTATTTTTTGAGACAGAATCTCGCTGTCACCCAGGCTGCAGTGGCACAAACTTGGCTCACTGCAACCTCTGCCTCCCAGGTTCAAGCGATTCTCTTGCTTCAGCCTCCCGAGTAGCTGGGATTACAGGTGTGTGACACCACGGCTGGCTAATTTTTGTATTTTTAGTAGAGATGGCGTTTTGCCATGTTGGCCAGGCTAGTCTCAAACTCCTGAGCTCAAGTAATCCGCCCACTTCTGCCTCCCAAAGTGCTGGGATTACAGGTGTGAGCCACTGCACCCAGCCCACTTTTTAAAGCTTAACAAATAGTTTACAAGTTGCAGCCTGTAGGTGATATTCTATGTTGTCCCATTTTTGGGTTAAGAACTGATTCCTGGTTGATCACACAGGGACCTTCTCCTGCAGGGATTCTGGGAATCACAGGGTCATTGTGTTTTGGAAGCAAACCCAGAGAGCTGTTTGAAGAACGGAGTCATGTGGAGAGGGGAGACACTGGCTCCTCTGATTGATTCTCATCAATTTTGGGGTGTTTGACTTTTGTGGCTCTGTTTGAAAGAGTCAATGTGAAAATGAAAAATGCATGGGCAACTTTTTTAACTGGCAAGTGAGTTTTAAAATACTGCTTTTTCCATATTCTTACTCTTTCAAGCATGAGATTCCTTAGCAGGTATTCAAGGGAGAACACAGAATGCCAAGGACTATGCAAAGCCTGCGAATACCTGGAAAACCAGGTGCAGGCCCTGTTGCAACGTTGGGTGGGGAAGATAAGAAAATAGAAAACTATAATTGGCGGCGATACATACCTAGAGTAGAAGGCATCGGGTGCAGGATTCACACCAACAGTGGCAGCCTGTGAAGACCTGTTCCTAGGTGCTGGACAGAAAGTTTCTTCAATATGTAAAACATAGGGCTGTGCTGAAAGAGTGAAAGAGACAGCTCCGAGTGTCAGAATGAGGCTGGAACTCTTGTCAGGAACACGCATCATTTGAGCACATGGAAATAACGGAGTATATATCTACATTGCCATCTTTTATTTTTTATTAATTAGCATAAAGCAATAAAGCTAATATATTTGTATATTTTTTTAAAGCAAAGGCTCAGCAAAAGAAATCCAAGAGGACAAACACACAGGAAAACTTGAAAAACCAAGACCATCTGTTTCACACGGAAGAGCACAATTACTTCGGTATGTTTCTGGTCAGCAAGACGAGTTCCCTAAAGCCACCCTCACGCAGTGGGCTACTGAGCATGCAAATTAATGGCATCCTTCCTATTAGGGTCCCCAGATGTTTACACTGACGGTTACTAGGAATGTTAGTAAAAGTGGTCACACTGGATTTCTTTAAATACTTTTTCAAGATATTCTTCTAATGCAGTTACCCAAAATACAGTGATTTACTAGTATTAGTTGACTGTGGGAAAAGAAATGTATTTAATGCAAAGAGCAGTGACCTAAGTTTAGGAACACTGGGCTCTTAACTGATGTCTTGCCTCTGAACAATCATGTCCTGGCAAAGTTATGTATCTGTCTGAGCCTCCCTTTGCTGATCACAAAAGACTGCCGATTTTGAAGTGGTCTATGTTATTGCTAACGAAAACAATTAAAAATTGAATATGAGGCCAACTAGTAAATTTTTACTTGATTTTCAGTTTGACAAAAAAAGTGACATGTCTGGAAGATAAGGGTCAGCCACTTTTATTAGCTTCAGAGTGGTGGATATTAGCGCTTTTGTTACAATCTCACAGTTCCTTGAGGCTGCGTTCACTGATTTTTTCAGTTATTTTTTTCTCTACGTTGTTCAGATTGAGCCAATTCTGTTGTTCTATCTTCAAGTTCATTTATTTTTTCTTCTGTCCTATTCTTCTGCTAATTTCATTCAGTGAGTTTTTAATTTCACTTATAATTTTTAGTTCCAAAATTTCCATTTGGTTTTTCTTTTCTATCTTCTCTTTCTTTGCTGAGACTTTCTATTTTTTTCATTTGTTTCAAGCATGTTCATATAGCTTGTTGAAATATTGTTATGATGGTGCCTTTCATATCTTTGTCAGATAATTCATACTTCTTCATCACCTTGATATTGGCATTTTAAAATTGTCTTTTCTCATTTAAGATGAGATCTTCCCCATTCTTGGTATGACAAATAATTTTCAGTTGAAATGTAGACATTTTGGTTATTATGAGACACTGGATCTTATTTAAATTATTTATTTATTTATTTGAGACAGAGTCTTGTCTGTCACCCAGGCTGGAGTGCAGTGGTACAATCTTGGCTCAGTGCAACCTCCGCCTCCCGAGTTCAGGCAGTTCTTCTGCCTCAGCCTCCTGAGTAGATGCAATTACAGGCGTGCGCTACCACACTCAGCTAATTTTTTTATTTTTAGTAGATACGGGGTTTTGCCATGTTGGCCAGGCTGGTCTTGAACTCCTGACCTCAAGTGATCTGCCTGCCTCGGCCTCCCAAAGTGCTGGGATTACAGATGTGAGCCACTGCACCTGGCCTAAATCTTTTATTTTAGAAGGCCTTCTCTGCCACCATATTGGCAGGATGAGGTATGTGTTGCTTCTCCAGGCTGGTGAGGAATTGAAATAGCAGGTTTTCCCATAGGCCTTCACTGATGCCTGGGGGGTCAGGCAAGGGAGTCCTCATTATTTCTGGAGGGTAGTGGGAGTTCATGCTCCACCTATGCCTCTGCTGATACCAGCCGGACAGTGTGACGGGGGAGTCCTTCGTTACTTTGTCAGTGGGCTCTACTGATATCACAGTTCGGATAAGTGACTTCATTTTTGCCACGATGTAGTGAGCATCTGACTCCCTGTCAGGCCTTCTCTGAGGCCACCCCAGCAGGTGGGTTGCAGCGCTTTCTTACAGTCTGATAAAGGTAGAGCCCTAGGCTCTTCACTTGGCCTTTGCTATAAGAGGTAGACTTGGGCCACGCTGTTATGTGTGGTCTTGATTGAGATAGATCATTTGTTGTCTAAACATTTTCTGTCTTATTAGGCTTTCCTTTTCTGGCCCTTTGAATTAGACAGAGCAGGACTTTCTTAGGTCCTTTTTTTGCCTGCACCTCCTGGAGTTTCTGCTTTGCCGGCTTTTCCAGTACCCAGTCTAGGAAGAATGAGACAAAAAGAAAACCCAGGGAATGCACCGCTGTGTTGAGCCACAGGTCTTCAGATCCCTAGGTAGTGCTCTTCTTTTTCTCTGCCTTTCAGAGTCACCTTATGTTTGTTTTATATACAATATCCAGATTTTTAGTTGTGCTTGGTGGGAGAAATAGGGAAAAGTATATCTACTTCATCTTTCCTGAAACAGATATTGGGCCGAAAGTATTTCAATTTTTAGTGAATTAGCTTAGGGTAATAGATAAGGTAAAGTTTTAATGTATCCAAGCAACAGCTATTACTCAGTGATAAAAATGAAAGGTTCTCTGTGTCACATCTTGCCTAAGTGGATAGAATTCTGTGGTAGAGAAGTATTTCTTAAGGTGGAGTTTGTAGATCAATTCAGCATTGACATTTGCTTCTTTTTACCTCCTGAATATGCAGTTGCGATGGGACAGGATTGGAAGAAATCATATCAAATAGGAAAAGCATTTTAAAGTTAGCTATCAAAGGATTCATCAATTGGAAAAAAAAAGACAGCTTTTCTTTGGGGCGCTGCTTTTTAAAATGGGATTGTGGAGTGATTGGGTAGACGTAATTCACTCTGCCCTGAACTCCAGGAGCTTGTTAGACTAAGGAAGGTGAATTTAGGCTTTCCTCAAAGAACTTAGGCTTATTCTACTATATGCTTCAATCTGGAATCTTTGAGTTAAGTTTAAGTCACTTCTTGAATAGACCTGATCTACTGGAAACTTCACTCAGGTGGCTCATTAAATGGGAACAGATGCTTGAATTCAGGCTTTCCCTCTTCCAGGGTCCAGAGAGCATAATCATAGTGTTTTACACACAAATTGGCTTTTGGAAGTGCAAAAATTGGGGCTCTCTGTGCCAAAAAACCTGTAAGAAATTAAGAGAATCATGGAATCTTACAAATTAATAAAATTTAAAAATTGCCTATCCTCTTCCTATGCTCCAAAATGGAATAGAACAGAAAAGACTTTTATGGACGAGAACCCACTGGGAGTTGAAGAGAGCAGAGGAGGGAGAGAAACAAAGAAAATGAGAATGAATTGATATAAGCATGAAGGCTTAAATGGACTAGTCCTTGCCCGTGAGTTTAATGTTGAGTTAGAAACTTCTAGAGCGATGAGGAATAAAGTGTACTTTCTCGTAAGTCTTTTTATAATTGCAGCACAATGATCATGATTCCACTAATTCAATTTTTGTAAATCCAAGTTAAACATCTGCAGATGGCCCGTTTTCAGCCCTGGTTGATTTCACTCCAGGTTTGCACTGTGTAGGGTGTCAATAACCCTTTTATGGATTACTGGGGACCCAGATACATTTTGTAAAGATTAATGGGAAGCCAGAATGAATACACTACTCCAGGGGGTGGCAGGCTGGATTCCTGGGTTCCTCTTACCCATGGACACTACTCTAAATGCAAACTTGAATGAGTCCTGTCTCCTCCTGGACTCTCCTCCGTATCTTGCTCTGCAATAGCCCAAATGAATCATTCTTCCACTTTGCTCTCTCTTCTACATTTTTTTCCTTGCCCCCACCTCATACTACAAGGAAATGAATTTTCTTATATCCTCACCCTATGCACCAAAGCTTCCATTCTCTCCTTTCTTGCAGTTATTGAAACTTTTCAGTGACAGCAGCTGTTCTCCTTCAGATCTTCTTTTCCCTAGGCTCTGTGTAACCACAGGGCATGGGGACCGTAGGCAGAAATCTCCTCTTTATTGCTTCAAACTACCTTACTCTTCAGATTAGACCTCCTTTCCTATGAGGCTAGTGTAACCCTCTGTCTTTCCTGGTTGCTGTTTTCTATGGATCCATTATCACTGACAATTTTGACATTGACTGACTATCACTTTCATCCTATGTCCCATCATCATCTTGAAAAACCTGAAACCCCAAGAGGAAAACCAGTACCAAATCTTGGCCTACACACTCCCTGGTTTCAGTCTTACTGACTGTTGCCTCCTGTCCATCAAGCTGCTGCTACTGCCACTTCCTGGAATTATCACCAGAAGTACCCTTCTTCCAAAATCTTAACCTAGACTGAAGTCATTTGTTCATTCACTTATTCATACTTGCTTTAATTTATTAATTCTTCTAGCAAATATTTATTGAGTGCCTTCCTTGTGCTAGGGGAGACAGTATAAAAGACAGAAATGGTCCTTACCTTTATGGAACTTACTAAGACACTACAAGAAAACGCAGAAATAAAAATTTTCTGATGGTGACCAAAGTGGACAAGGTACTGAGCTACAAAATAATGGGAACTTAGGTAATTACTCATAGACCACAGATTTGATTCTGTTCTTGCTGAACATCGAGGTAAAGACAAAAACCTAACCAGTTACTTAATTTATGTGGTCCCTAAAATGAAAACAGATCAAATCTTCAAAAACAAAACCACAGCTTTTCCTTGGAGTTTAACAAAGATACCGAAAGACAGCATTCTTCAATAGCATTCACTTGATACCTGGCAGCCAGCAGGCCCTCCATGCACGTTTGGTGAATGAATATGCCTGATAATACAGAACTAAAACACATATTTCACACTCTCTCTATGCCAGGCATTGTTATAAGCTTTTTACATACTAATTGCTATTATCATCCCCAATTTGCAGGTGAGGAAACCGAGGCACACGTAAGTTAAAAGACTACCCCAGCTCATCTAGGAGCCAAGATGAACAGCTCCCATTACAACTATGTGTTTTAGCACAGCCACTTCACTAACCATGGAGTTTTGTTCAAATTGTTATTATTATTAATATTACAGAGTGTTGCTGTGTCATCCAGGCTGGAGTGCAGTAGCACGATCTTGCCTCATTGCAACCTCTGCCTTCCAGGTTCAAGTGCTTCTCCTACCTCAGCCTCCCAAGTAACTGGGACAAGAGGCACACGCCACCATACCCAGCTAATTTTTGTATTTTTAGTAGAGACAGGGTTTCACCATATTGGCTAGGCTGGTCTCAAACTCCCAACTTCAAGCAATCCACTCACCTCGGCTTCCCAAAGTGCTGGGATTACAGGCGTGAGCCACCATGCCCGGCCCAAATTATTTTTAACTCATTATCTCTATAATGAGAGTAATGACAACCTCATAGATTGTTGAGAGAATTAAAATGAGACATTTAACCCACAGTCTGTTGTCCGGAACTCTTGTGGCCAAATGCATGGGGGTCTAAAAAACTCACTTCAAAAAAGGGTAATGAAATTCATACAATATATATTATATGATAACCTCTATTGGAGTGTGAGCCAATACCCTGTAATCAAAAACATGAGCATTTCTGTAGTGAAACATGAATATTCACACTGAATGAGAGGAATTAAGACCATAAATAGTCTATTATTGGTTCATATAAGGCCTTAGCAACAAGTTAAGTCCAGTGGGGGGAAAAATAGTTTTCAGAGCTTTTTGGATTTCAGAGTTAGAGGAAAAGTATTGTGGACTTGTGTGTTCTATTATGGTCATTGACTTTGTGACTTTGATATTTAAGGACACCTTAATATGTGATTGGCAAAAGTCATATTTTAAGTAATTTTGGATCCTTCAAAGTGAATGATTTTTTTTCTCCTCTTAATTTCTCTGACATTTCCTTGCTTGTAGAATGGGGATAATAGAGCCTGCTTTGCAAAGTGGTTGTGAGGTTTAGAAATAATGAATATAAAGTGCCTGGGACAGGCCGGGTGCAGTGGCTCATGCTTGTAATACCAGCACTTTGGGAGGCCGAGACGGGAGGATCACGAGGTCAAGAGTTCGAGACCAGCCTGGCCAACATGGTGAAAATCCCGTCACTACTAAAAATACAAAAATTAGCCAGATGTGGTGGCGCATGCCTGTAAGTCCAGCTACTCAGGAGGCTGAGGCAGGAGAATCACATGAACCCGGCAGGCGGAGGTTGCAGTGAGCCAAGATTGCACCACTGCACTACAGCCTGGGTGACAGAGCGAGATCTCGTCTAAAAAAAAAAAAAAAGTACACAGGGCAAAATAGACAAAACTGGTGGCTGCTGTTGGTATTATTTAATATTAAAATTAGCTAGAAGATTTAAAAGTTTGCTTCTGTCCTGTGAGATGAGGAATATGTGGGAAACAATATCAGGATAAATATCCTGGGTTCAGCACCTCTCCACATGTGAGTGATGGATGAGTAGTTCCTGAGACATCACTGTGGATTTGGTGACCCAATGGCAGTAACCTGGCATCCGGCGGTGGGAGGCGGAGACAAGCTGGTGTGATGAGTGTGCGTGTGCATGAGGGACCTCTGCAGGGACGTAGGGCATATATTGGATTCCAGAAGTCTCTTGTAATACTGTTGTCCATGCATCAAACCATAGAATGTGGTGTACTTCTGTGGAACTCAACACTTTGCATGGTAATGTCTCTCAGAGTTGGTGGTTAACTCTTTGGTCCTGAACCTGATTATGTTCATGTTATTGCTGTTCTTTGGCACCTTGTGCCCTTGCAAGTACTTCAGTGTAGGCATTATGGAGGGATGTGCTGAATATTGACTCTCTTTGGTAAAAGAGACTCTTTCACTTTAGGGCCTTGTGGCACTGCCCAGTTGAACTTACTGGAATAATAGAAATAGTCAATATCTGAGCTGTCCAGTGTGGTAACCACGAGGCACGTGGGCCATTGAGCACTTGAAATGTGGCTAGTGTGATTGGAGAACTGGATTTTTAATTTTCTTTAATTTTAGTTAAATAAATAAGTTCAAATACCTGTAAATATGGATGACCACATGCAATGAGTGGCAGTCTTATTGAAAAGCGCAGGCTTAGGACATTCACTGAATACCCTTGTTTATTTCTCACTGTTTTGTTTATTATGATTATTGCACCCAGAGCAATTGCACCTGCAATAGAGACAGGTTTATTCACCTCATGCAGTTCCTTTTTATTTTTATGTTTTGAGACAAGGTCTTGTTCTGTCTCCCAGGCTGGAGTGCAGTGGTGTGATGAGGTAATAAAGGTTTACTGCAGCTCAGACTCCTGGGCTGAAGTGATCCTCCTGCATCAAGCCTCCTGAGTAGCTGAAATTACAGGCATGCACCACCATGTCTGGCTAATTAAGTATTTTTTTTGTAGAGACAGAGTCTTGCTATGTTGTCCAGGCTGGTGTTGAACTCTTGGCCTTAAGTAATCCTCCCACCTCAGCCTCCCAAAGCACTGAGATTATAGGCATGAGCCACTGCACCTGGCCCCATGTAGGTCTTAATAGATCTCCACACTATAGCTTACATGTGTATGTGTGTTGTTATTGTTCTTAGGAAGAGTGCTGAAAAGATTGAGGAAACTGTTAGCGATAGCTCCTCAGAAAGTGAGGAAGATGAAGAACCACCTGACCATCGTCAGGAAGCAAGTGCAGATTTGCCATCAGAATATTGGCAAATTCAGAAGCTGGTGAAATATTTAAAGGTAAGAAAGGTCTATGGTAGTATGTTTGCAATGTTCATTTAAAATACTTTCCCAAAGATGTATATGCTGCTTCCAAGTTTACTTTACGTTTCTTTCAAATAAGAGTAGTAAGCATTCCTGTTGTTTTATCTAAGTTTGTGCAGGGCAAGGTCTTATTACCCTGAGGATGCAAGATTCATCCTCATGGAGCAACCAGGCTGCCTGGTACCAACCCTCTCTCCCGGCTGGGAAGTGGGCATGGTAAACAGCTGACACTGTGACTTGCTGCCATTTTATGATTTGTAGTATGGTATGGAAGAAATAACATGGATTTTTAAAGCTGGACTTCGGTTAAACTCCAGGCTGTTTCCCTTACTAGCAACGTAGCTGTTGAAACGTTACAGTTTTGAGCCCTAATTTTCTCAACCCATAGAATAAAATTAATATACCTGTACTACAGGACTATTATAAAGTTTAATAAAACACACTTGAACCATAGCATGGTTTCTGAGACATTGTGGGTGCTTATAGTGTGGATTGGTTCATTTTCATTTCTCTCACGTCAGATAGCATATATGAGAATATTTTACATAATAATTGGCCCATGTAACGTATTTAAGTATTTGAATTTGCAGGAGGGCAAGGGGAATGGCTCACCAAAACCCAGCTTAATATTCATTTCTGACGTCAGATATTAAGTATTGATGATATCTAGGCCTTGTGTAAAGCCGACGTCCAGAAGTATTTGTGAAAAAGTATTTGACTTAACTCATGGTTTCTTTCTGCTTTTTCATGTGTTTGGTTAAATCAACCAAGGGCATTTGCCAGTGGCTTTGCTTGATTTAATCATTGCACAATGTAAACATTTATCAAAATATCACATTGTACCCCATAAAAATATACAATTATTCTTTGTCAATTAAAAATAAATAATATTTTGGCAGGGTGCAGTGGCTCACACCTATAATCCCAGCACTTTGGGAGGCCGAGGAGGGTGGATCGTCTGAGGTCAGGAGTTCAAGACCAGCCTGGCCAACATGGTGAAACCCTGTCTCTACTAAAAATACAAAAAAAATTAGCTGGGCGTGGTGGCACACGCCTGTAATCCCAGCTACTCGGGATGCTGAGGCAGGAGAATTGCTTGAACCCAGGAGGCGGAGGTTGCAGTGAGCCGAGATCATGCCATTGCACTCCAGCCTGGGAGGTAAGAGCAAAACTCCATCTCAAAATAATAATAATAATAATAATAATAATAATAATAATAATAATAATAATGAAATAAATAAATAAATAATATTTTCATGTTTCAAAAAGGACATGAGCTTATACGAAACAAGCCCTAATGCTCAACTTGGAGATCTCTTTGGCAGGCTCCTAATGATTTTACCAACATCAATGCAAAATGAAAAATATGTTTTTAGTCTGGACTGTTTGTCATGAAACAAACCTCTAGACTATTGGAGAGAACAGTTAATATTTTGTGAGTTTTAAAATTTCATTTTAAGCGTGATACTTTATAAATATTAAATATTTTTGTGGCATCTGTCAATTTTTAAAATGGTTTTTATTTGGCATTTATTTTGTGTTAATGTTTCCCTCATTTAGTGTTTTGTATTATGAAATTTCTATATCAGGTGCACATTGTTTTTACATGTTGTTGCAATATAATTATGTCACATATTCTGGCTCATAATAATAATAAATCATGCATTTATTACATAAGTTTTTTTACAGAAAACCTCTGAAATTTTTAGCATAACTCTACCACAAAAAATGATTCACTGTTTATTATGATAGCAATGATTCACTACTATTATAGGCATTCATTATTATTTAAAGACATGTAAATGAAATGTTAGGAAAAATACAGAATAATATAATTTTGGGAACTCATGAAAATTCCTAGGAATTTTGATTGCATATTCCTGAATCTTGAAGATTAACCTGTCGGGAATTTGGAAACACTAGCATGGAGCACGGGCTAGATTCAGGCCACATGCTCCTGCACTTCCCTTTGGCAGGAGTATTTGTGCACAAACCACATAGTTCAACACAGTGGTCCAGACTGGCACGCACGGTGACCATGCCCAGCTTTGGGACATTTAGGCCACGCTTGCAACAGTGCCTCTGCATCTTTACTGAACCACAGGGCCTCCTGTGATTACCTCTCCTGGACTCCTAGAAAGCATGTCATCTGGGGGAAAGAAAAAAAGAACTGGCAGTGGAGAACTTTGCCAACACCACTCTCTCTGAGGTGGGCAGCTCTAGACAGGGCCATTGGGGCTTAGCCTGCCTTCCTTTCTTCCTTCCCTTTCCTTTCCTTTCTTTCTTTCCTTCTTTCTTCCTCCCCTCCTCGCCTCCCCTCCCCTCCCCTCCCCTCCCCTCCCCTCCCCTCCTCTCCACTCCCCTCCCCTCTCCTCTCCTCTTTCCTTTTCTCTTTCCCAGGCTGATCTTGAACTCCTGGCCTCAAGCAGTCTTCCTACATTGGCCTCCCAAAGTGCTGGGATTACAGGCATGAGCCTCTAAGCCCGTCCAAGACATAGTCTTTCAGAAGATGAATTAAGAGAGTCCTGAGTTTTTCCCAAGAGTCCCGGTCCATTATCTTTATTTCATTAGCAAAAGGAAACAAGTCAAAATGGCAGAAACAAAAGATGGATCAGGAAGCAGAATACCAGAGTAATTAGAAGCATGATCTTTGACGTTGGAAAGACCAGTTGAGTTGAAATTCTGCCGCTTACTCAATGGCCTTGGGTGAGTTGACTAACCCCTCTAAGCTTCAGTTTCCTCATTGGTGAAGATGGAAAAATAAAAGTTCTCTTATATTAGAATTATTAAGAATATTAAATGAAATACAACACATGTAAAGTGCTTAGCACAAAGTAGTTAGTAACTGTTGGCAATAATAATCATTTCTATTGCTTATTATTATTGTAGCAAATGTGTGGCATGGAGACTTAACTGACTCGTGCAGGTGGCCTTCAACTTTTACTTTCAGTTCTCTAGCAACCAATAAAAGGGGGGAAGTAGAGTGAGTTAATACAGGGAGGGAAAGTCTCTCAACGTCTTAAAATAAAAACAAACCAGTTGCCAGTGAGTATAACTGATCCTGGTGCTAAGAGCAGAAAGAATTTTCTCCCTTAGGATTTAATGGGGCAGGCACGGAGTGAGAGAGTGAACAGCCTCAATAATATCCTCCCAGTGAACATGGCAAAGAGAGTTTCTCATAATAGCCTAATTACTGGATAACTGTCTTGAGTTTTTTCAACTATTTAGGATAAGTCCTTGTAGCTTTAGGCCAAAAAGAGATGCACTATTTCTGTCCCAGTACAGCTAAAGAAAACATATATTGATGAAGTGCTACTTAAATTTGCACAAGTTATTCATCAATAAATCATGTGCAAATGTGATACTCTTGGCCAGACAGTAAATTGCTTGGAATTCTTATAGTTCCCACAGGTAAATATTCTTCACATAGCCAATAAAAGGAAAAGTATATCTATAAATGATTTCAAGGTTTTTGACACAGATAAATATTTTATATGGAGACACAAAACGATATTAAAAGTCTGTGAAATGCAAAATTGAATGTCTCTAGGTAATCTCAAAATAAATACACCTGACATTTTAATTTATGAAATTATGGCTTAAATGTAGATTTAAGCTAGCAGAGAAATATTCATGTTGACCTGACTTTCTATTTACCATTTTCCAAGTAGAGTGATGTCTCTGATTGTTGGAAAAAAAAAGATTTAACGAGCTCATTAATACCCAAACAGGTCAATGAACTATAGCTTATTATTCGTCCAGAGCTATGAGCTCATATCTTGGCACATAAATAGAGTTTGTATTTAATTATTTGGTTTGACATATGTTAATTTCAACCTGCAAGTTTTATATATGTATAAATTCTTTTCATCTGGATTTTTTGAACACAATTTAATTTTTAAATTAATGAATGTATCACATTTTTACTCACCAACCTTCCAGCTTCTTTTCTCCCCCATAGGTGATGATGCTGTACCCTAATTCTAAAGGAAGCAATGAACCCCCTTTTCAGCTACCTTACTGATAAGCACTTATGTTCTGCCTTCTGCTATCCTGATGGTTCAGGTTGTCTGTCTTACTATCTACTTCTTGAGTAGAGAGACCACATTAAATTTATTGCTGTATCTCGCAGGGCATCTTGCTAGTGTGCACAGGCTCGCCTCCCTACCTCTGCCCCGATGGTGTGAAGGGGAGAGGGCGAGGTTCCTTAGTGGCAGGGCTTTGCTGTTCTTCACTCTCAGCCCCCTGAAAGCAGTTCTTCCTGCCTCTGAGCCTGTCTTTCCTTCTGCTGTTAACTTCTTTCCTACTTTTCTTGCATCCCTCTCTCTTCCTTTTCCTGCCGTCTTTCTTGTAGACATACTAGTTGATTGCTGTATTTGCTGACTTTATATGGATATTATTTTTTCCTCTGGCCAAAATTGTTTTAAAATCTTGCAAGGAAAATGTCTTGCTTTTGATCACTTCCAGAGATTAAAGGAGATGGTTTGTTAATGTCTCTAGGCTCCATACTAAATCTATGAGTCTCTCTAAAACTTCAGTGAAATCATGCTCATTTCTAAATAAGGTAGGTGGAGAGCCCTTTTGTGAAACAGGAGAAGGGATGTAGGATATTTTGTTTGGAAATGTGGAAATAAATATTAGTTACAAGTACTATATGTTATAAATTCATGCAAATGGGTATTCTTCAGTAGAGTGGGGTAAAATGTTGAAAGGTCATAATTATAAGTAGATTTGCATTTTATACACATTATAATGAAAAAGAATTTGTGGATCCAAGGTCAAAAACACGTTGAAATCCATTTCAATGTGGATTGAAGGTGGAGTGGGTATGGTTTTAACCCTATAGGCAGTAAATCCAGTAAAACATTGAGAAGACTAGAATAATGCCGAGAACATGGTTGGTTGGTCAGCTTTTTGGTAGTTCAGAGGCATGTCAGAGGCTGGGCCTAGAATTATGCTTTCTTTCCCTTGAAGATATTTCCTAGAGCTGTCACTACAGGATAAGATGCCCGTATTGTCCAGGCACCAGCTCTAGGTTCAACAAGGGTTATATTGGCAAGCACAGTTGGATATCTGCCCATACTCTGAAATGCTTCATCCAGGCGGTCTTATTCCTGAGTACTTGCTGCAATGATGGAGGCCTCTAGGGCTCATTCCCAGGGCCATTTCTCCACATGTACCTCCTCCCTGTGGGATGCCAGCTTCTGTACCTGGGATTTTGATCAGAGTCCAGGTGGGAGAGTGGGGAAAGGGATGATGAAAGCATTGATTTGGAAAGATGAATCCAGCAGCAGGTGGTGTGCCAAGTGAATCTAATAGGAAGGGATGAGAAAACAGTGACAATGGGGTTACATTGGTAGAAAGGATGGCCATTCCTACACATTCATCCTTGCCCCTGACCCATGATGGGTTGGTGAGGGGTAGCCTAATTTGTTTGTTCTGTATCATCAAATTCATCAAACACTGGCGTGGATTTCACCTTTCACATGAGCCAGACTGCTTGCCATGCTTGTGCTCTGTAACCACAAATTGCGTATTCTCAGGCCACCAGATGCCTGGTGGATCCCAGCTTAGTAGTGGTCAATACTCTAATCCAGAGTGACATCTAAAAGACATTCACATCAGAAATGCCACCGGGCTGCCAGCTTCAGAAGGGACTCCCAGAGCTCCTCCCTGGCAGGTTTTGGGTTTCTTCTCTGGAGGTGGATTCTTGGCAAGGACATTTTTCAGACTTGAAAACCTTTGTTAAAGACTGCATTTGTGGGGCTCAGTTCCTTAATGATCTTATGTAAACTGATTAAACACACACACACACACACACACACACACACACACACACACACACACCTTAATTGGTTAAAGAGTTCTTTCGAGTGGTAATTGGAAGTTGTATGAGTTTTTGTTGTAGGAATTTGATGTACTTTGCAGTCAATTACAGTTAATTAAATTCCTTTCCCATTACTTGAGTTTTGGGTATGGAGTGGCAGGTAGTTTGATCCTTGTTTCATTGGTGGAAAAGCTGAGAAATTCTTTGCTCCAGGCCACACAGAAGGGAGCTGCAGGCCAGGACTGAGTCCAGGCTTCTATCTTTATTGCACATTGCCTGGTTGTTTGGTTCCACTGTCAAGAAATTCAGGACCCAGGAGGCCTGCAGAACTTGCTGTTGTATCTTCCTGTCTTTCTCTTGTTTGGATTTCTTCATTCGAGTGAGAGTCAACAGGGAACCCTTGCCATAAAGGAACTCAGTATTCATGTTTGGAAGGCCATATTAGACTGTGCTCTTCTGCTGTCTTTACTTAAAAAAAAAATGGAAAAGAATGTGATGGCACAGAGTTATTCTTGTTAAAAAGAGTATTTCGAAAACGGAAAACAATGCTCACTGTTCGTCCACTCGAATCAACTCCAGTAGTTAGAAAGGCAAATGAGTACCATGTTCCTGAGAAACATTCTTTAAGTTAGTAGATGTGTTGCTACATTGATGTGGGTTGAGCTTTCTTTAAAAAGTCAGTGACAAACGAATAGGACAACTTTTGTGACTTTTTTTTAATTGCTTGTTTGAAATCATAACATATTTAAATTCCATCAGCTAAAAACAGCCTACTCAGAATCTGCATTTATGCTTTCATAGATATTGTAGTATAAGAAGTGAATCCACTTTAAGTATTTGGATTACTGGTAATGTGTGTTACTTGTATGCTTATATTGCCCACAAAAGAATTTGTCGTGTTTTATTTTTGTTATAAAGGAGATTGTGGAAGAAATGGAGAGGCTCCTCTCCGTCTTTCCCAAAGGGGAATCTGTATTTAAATTTTTGAGCTTTAAACTTTCCTTGCCTCTTGGCAGTCAAAAATAAATATGTGTGGAGAAAAAGCAGCGTAAAGACAATGATAATACAGTGCTACTGACTCATAACAGTTTATGCGACCACTAGCTAGCACTATGCTACCACATCAACTTAACGACTGAAACATGACAATGTTAAAAATCTCAGGGGAGTTCCCTTAAGCTTCAACTCATTCATTCATTCATTCATTCATTCATTCATTCACTCGTGTTTATTCATGAACGTGTGCTATAAGCCAGCACAGCTAGAGCATGATATGATACACATACCCATCTAGTTATTTATCAGATTTTTGATTGGAATGAACTGTGATATCTAAGGCAGCTTTATGTAGTAGATCTTTTCGGGGAATTTCTTGCCCCATGTATTTGCAACAACACTTATTTTTGTTCCTTAAAATATGCTTTTCCCCTAAAATTCATTTGAGAAAGCTAAGTAGATTGGAGAAGAGTAGTGGTACTGGCTGGTTCCCAGTTTCGATAATGTGCTAGGCTGCTTTGCTTTCTGTTTTAAAAACACACACTCATGGCCTGTTACAGAGGCTGCATGCTGAAGAATTTTTAAATATATGAGTTGAGGAGTGAATAAGAGGCATCAGATTTGGTATAAATGATTTTTCACTTTACATCTTTATATGGATCTATTGTCATCATTATTTAAAATTGCATATTTGCAGGAAAAATATTAAACTCCATGTCCCTTTTTGGTCCATTGGCCTTTGAGATTTTTCTCGCAGGGCTGTGGTTCTTCCCAGCTCTTGCTCCCTGAGTGGGTGTGGCTGTCTGGTTGTGGCTGCTGATGTTTCTGTGACACAGGACATAGCAGAAGCACGTGGTATTCTTCCCGTTTCCCTTACTCCCTTCTGTGTTTAAAATCTTTAAATATTATACAAATAGCACACTCATATATGCTCAATGTGAAACTTCAAGCCATGCAAAGTGAAAGTCCCTTCCAGATGTTTCTCTGTTTATATACATATATAATTTATATACATAAATGAAATCCTACTATTTCTTATTCTACATTTTGCTTTTTATATTTAATATTCTGTCTTGGTGATCTTTCATATCTGCCTCACTCCTTTTAATGACTACATAGTATTTCATTAAATGTATATATCATTAAGTTATTGAACAATTGCCTTATTGATAACATTTAAGTTGTCCCTGAAATCAGTTTTTGTTACTGCAAACAATACTGCAGCTAATATTTTTACACATTGTTTGGATATATACATTATTTCTATAGGATGGATTCTTTGAAATGGAATTGCTTGAGTCAAAGAGAATGCACATTTACATTTTTGATAGCAGTAATAGGGAGTTCTATACAAGTGCCAAGATATTTATAAGATTTTTTATTGGAATGAACTGTGATAGCTAAGGCAGTTTTATGTAATTGTTCAATGGGTATAAAATTTCATTTATGAAAGATGAATAAGTTCCAGATATCTGCTGTACAACATAATACCTATAGTTAACAATATATATTGTGCACTTAAAACATTTAAGAAGTAAATCTCAGATTAAGTGTTCTTACCACAAGAAAGGCAGAGACAAAGGACATGTTTTCAGGTGATGGATATATTTATTACTTTCATCGTAGTAATGATTGCACAGGTGTTGGATTTATATGCATATACCCAAACTCATCAAATTGTATACATTAAAGATGTGCATTTTTTTATATCAATTATATGTCAATAAAGCTGTCTAAAACAAAGAGAAAAACAATATATGCACACTACAGTTTGAGAAGACTTGCATTAAAAAATTTTCAATTTAAACAAAAAATAATGAAGAGTAATAAACAAAACAAACTTGGTTTATGTAAAAAAAAGTTTCATAGCTCCTTACAGAAAGCAAATATCAATTTACACTCTACCAGTAACATACCAATAGTTTTCAACCCTGGACCTTCAACCTCAGAGTGAAATTAGCCAGAGCTGTTAAACGATGGAGCAAATAAACAGAAGACCCTTATGCCCAGGTACCATTTTTGGAAGTTTTGATTGAATTGGTTCAGGCCGGAGTCTAGGCATTGATAGACTTTTAAATCTCCCTGTGGTAATAAAACTGTTCATCTACAATGAGAACACATGGACACAGGGAGGGTAACAACACACACCAGGGCCTGTCAGGGAAAGGGGATGGGCAAGCATTAGGACAAATAGCCAGTGCATGTGGGGCTGAAAATCTAGGTGATGGGTTGATAGGTGCAGCAAACCACATGGCACACGTTTACCTATGTAACAAACCTGCACGTTCTGCACATGTATCCTAGAACTTAAGGTAAAAAAAAAAAATAAAATAAAAAAAGTTGTCAATATAGGATTGGAATCCATTGTTGTAAATTCTCATCGATGTGTAGTCTTTTTGTTATTTTTTATTTTGGCCAATTCTCACAGGGGCAAAATGTACCTTGTTTGAATTTTCATATTTCTAGTTACTAGTGAGGTTGACAATTTTTTTATATGTCAAATAGCCATTGTATTATGTCCTTTGCCTATTTTTCTGTGTGGTTGTTCATCTTTTTAATTCTTGATGATGCAAATTAATCCTTTAGCTGTTATACTAATTGCAGGTATTTATTTTCTGTTAGTGTGTCTTTTTTTTTTTTTTTTTTGAGTTGGCATCTCAGTCTGTTGCCCAGGCTGGAGTACAGTTTCACGATCTTGGCTCACTGCAACCTCTGCCTCCCCAGTTCAAGCAATTCTCCTGTCTCAGCCTCCCAAGCAGCTGGGACTACAGGAGCGTGCCACTATACCTGGCTAATTTTTGTATTTTTAGTAGAGATGGGGTTTCACCATATTGGTCAGGCTGGTCTCGAACTCTTGACCTCAGATGATCCACCTGCCTTGGCCTCCCAAAGTGCTGGAATTACAGATGTGAGCCACTGTGTCCAGCTGGATGTCTTTTTGTCTACTCTTTTGTACATTAATAAATATCTTCTATTTCTTCATGGCTTATAGGTTTTGTTTCTTAAGAACTAGGAAGGTTTTTTCTGAAGCCATTCTAAATGGACAAAAATAATTTCTAGTTCCCTCTGTTAGTTTTATAGCTTTTTTTTTTTAAGTTCAAATTCTTAATCCTTCTGGAATTCACTTTATGTATAATAGAAGGTATGCATCTAACTTCACTTCTTTTTCTCTAGAGGAACAGTCAATTGTATCAACACAGATTATTGGCCTATCTGCTTTTCCCTCCAATAATCTGGGATACCACCTTCATCAAATTCTGCAGTCTCACACGTGAGAGTTTGTTTCTGGATTTTCTCTTTGCATTAACTTATTTGGATGTTCCCATGCTAGTTACATGCTGTTTTAATTACTACAGCATTGGTATATTTTGATATTTGGTAGACCAGATAGGTACCTTAACATTTTTAAAACTTATTTTTTGGATTTTTCATTCTAGATCATCTTTAGAATGAGTTGAAAATCATGTTAACAAAACCCCAAAATTCTGTGGGCATTTTGGTTGGTTTACATGAATCTATAAATTATTTTTGGATAAACTGCAATTTTAATAATGTTGAATTCCAATAGTTCAGGCACATGGTATGACCATTCATCCATTTAATCTTTTACATAATTTAGTAATATTTAATAGCTTTTTTCCATGTGTATCTAAAACATTTCCTATGAGATTTAGTCATAGATATTTTTATTATTATTTTGCTAATCCCGACATGGGAACTTTTTTCAAGTTAAACATTTTGATTTGTTATTGTTAGTGTATAAATACTCACTTTAAAATGCTGCTCTTGTGTCCACTTTATTGAACTATTTTTTAATTAATTATCATAATTATTCAGCTCATTCTTCTGAATCTTTTTAGTAAGATAATTATATTTGCTATAAATTTTTCTGCATTGCAATGACTAGAACATTCCAATAACTGTCAATTCCTGTAAATGTTCCATGGCAAATTAAAAAGAATGCATATGGGTCAGGCATGGTGGTGCATGCCTGTAGTACTAGCTACTTGGGAGGCTGAGGCAGGAGGACCTCTTGAGCCTAGGAGATGGAGGTTGCAGTGAGCCGAGATCACACCGTTGCACTCCAGCCCGCACGACAGAGCAAGACTCCGTCTCAAAATAAATAAATAAATACAATTAGAAGAATGTATGTAGCATCCTTGTATTGTCCTTACCCATTCCTGATAAAACATTCTTAGCAGCTTGTAATACAACAACCTGAGTCTGATTTATTTAAGGATATATGTATATTTTTCTTCGGGAAACAGTATTCTCTCTTTCTCCTCAGGGTTCTGTTGAGTCTTAGGTTTTTGAGTGCTAAGTCATCAGTGTAAAATAGATTTGCAAATAAACAGAAGGAAAGCAATGTATTTTTCTGCTTTGACTCACGTGGTTATACACCACTCACTGTGAGCACTCACTTTGTACCATTTCTGATCCTGGGAGAAGAAGAATATCTCTAAGCCAATCTTTATGCTGGGCACCAGGTCCTCTGTGATCATTAATGAACAGTTACTGGCAGGGGTTTGCTTTTCTTGCTCTCTGAGTGGCATGTTTGAAGGAAAAAATGCTGAGAATGTTCAAAGCCAGCTGGATGGCCATGTGATAGTGGTGCCGATTCTCCAAGTCTCACCGGCTGCTTCTTGATTGCAGATGGAGAAGCTGTGTGGGGTAGGGACAGAACAAGAGGCCTCTGGTCCTGATCAATCTCTGCCTTCCTTCCTGTCTCACTGTGGTCATGTGGGGCTCTGATAATAACTTCAAATGATGACCCTGCAAGCGTGTTGCCCAACAGAGTTGGAGTTTCATCTACACTTGTAGCATCCTTTCCTGAACCAAGTTGATAAAAACCTTTCAAACGTTTCTTTATGGTTCGTGATGAGTCACCCTCCCCTCCTACTCCAAGTTACTTCTATTCTCTGGATCCCTGCAGTAACCTGACTGCATCCATCCACGCTTGCCCCCTCCAGCCAGCGGCCTCTGCAGCCAGAGTGATCTTTTATAAATGACATCATTGTAAATTACATTGGCCAATCTTGAAATAAAGATGAAAATTCTCAGCCCAGACTCTGGGCCCAGCAGCCCAGCTGGTTTTCAGCTCATCTTGCACCACGCTCCCACCCTGGGCTCTGGCCTTATTTAGGTGCTAAGCATGCCATGCTCTACTCCCCTGCGTTTTTGCATATACTGTTTGCTCCGACTGGTGGACATTTCATCACATCCCCTCCTTCTCTGCCTGGGAAATCGCCTATTTTCTGTCCAGATCTCAGTTCAGATGTTCTTTCCCTGTGAGTGATGCTCCAAGTTAGGTCAAAGTTCCCTGTGATGTGCTTCCACAGCTCCATGCCCCTGCCCCATGTAGCACTTCTCAGATTTATAGTTTCTGTTTATTTGGGTGAGCTTAAAAAAGTTAAAAACCTTTTTCCTCCACTACATTATAAGCTTCATGAAGGCAAGGGCAGTGTCTGTTTTGGTAAACCGGTGTGTCTCTAATGCTAACCATCCAGCATGGCAAATAGGAAGCATGCAACACATTTGTTGAATGAAATAACACAAAAGTGATTTGAGGCAGCTCACTTCCTGTTTTACTCTTGAATACATTGCTCATTTCAACTTAGCAAATGTTTATTTCTTCCTTATCAATGGTAAGGGAGGGGCATTGTTCTGTATACCAAACAGGGTAATACTTGCTTATTTCAAATATTTTATTTGAAGTAATTAAAAAAACGTAGTTGAGGAAATTATCTTTAATTCGTCTTGTCTTTCAAAAAGAAGTTTTAAGAAAAGTGAAAGAGAGCGACTTTCATTCAATCTCTGCACGTTTAAAACCTAATGGTGACAATGAAGAAATGCCTCCTGGTCATCAGAAGGAATGTCAATTGAAAAAAAAAAAATCCAATGGCCAAATGTCAATTGCAAAAAAAAAAAAAAAAAAAAAAAATCCAAAGGCCAACAGAGCCTGGAGATGTTTGAAAAGAAAAGGGGCAGGGAGACAACTAGCAAAAGAATTGCATTAATTTTAGAAGTGGAAACACTTATTGGAAGCATTTTTCAAAGCCCTTCAGAAGCTAGTAAAATCATATTTTACTCTATTTTCTCCAGCTCCTAAAACCTCAGAAATGCAAATGCGTGATAAAATGTGAAAATAAGTATTGGTAAATAATTATGTTCTTAGGGGAGATTTAATTGAAAAAGGAGTGTATTTGCATGGTTTCTTCTCAGTTCGATATTTATGGCATCTGGACAAAGTGGAACAAACATTCAAAAATCCTTTGACATAGCTGGTATTTAAAGAATAGCAATTGGCTAACATTTGTGGCTCTGTATGTTGAATATTTTGGCTCCTGTCCTCTGGTATTCATTCTGAAAGATTTATAATCCCTTTGGGAGTGTGGTCAGTGACAAGAGTAGAACTAAATCCTGAAATGTGGAAAAACTAACTTTCCCTAATATAAAACTGTTCTAAAAAAAAATCCCTCAAGCCTATGAATATGTTTCCAGATTTTCAGAAAAAAAGCTGATGATTTACAGAATTTTTTTCTATAAGGATCTAACTTCTTGATGATAACTGTAAATTGTCAGTCTTTTGCATTCCAAATTAACCTAGAGATACTTCAAAAAGCTATAAACTCTTACCTTTGGGACATCTGCTGCAATTAAATGGCCGTTATGAATTTATGTCATTGGTTATAGTAAAATTAATGAAATAAAGCTCAAAAGATGTGGAAGTTGTCTAGAAGAGAAAAATTAAGAAAACTTGAAATAGGAAACAAAGATTGTGCTGAGTGTATAAGCTCGAAAATTGCTACCAAAGAAAACATTATAATGCAAGAATAGCAGTCAAGCAAGTCCTCAGCACGAGCGATTAAGAATGTTAGGATGGGACAGTCTTCTTCACTGCGTAGACCTGGGGCAGGAGGAGGCTCTTGGCTTAAACAAGGTATGACACACTGTTCCATGTCTTCTTGCACTTTCTAGTCATACTGAAGTCTGAAGCCTCCGCCTAAATAACTCTCTCTTGCTGAAGTACTTGGTTTGGATTTCCAAACCCTTAATATAGGAACCTGCTCTGCTACTTCAGACACTCCTGGGGAGGTTTCTGGCTCCTTTTAACCATTTAAATTCAGAGAAAAAAAGAGCTTTATTCAAATGAATTGTTTTTCTTATTTTCTTTGTTCTTTCTTTTTGTGCATGATTTAATTTCCTTTAATTAAGTATGGTTAGCATGTAGATTCTCCTTTATTATTATTATTTTAGAGACAGGGTCTCACTCTGTTGCCCATGCTGGAGAGTGGTAGTGTGATCATAGCTCACTGCAGCCTCCAACTCCCAGGCTCAAGCGATCCTTCTACCTCAGCCTTCTGAGTAGCTGAGATTACAGGTGCATGCCTCCACACTCAGACTAGATTCTTCTTTATGGCTTATAAAATATCTGACTTTTGTTTTTTTAAAAGAGGAAATGGAAGTACTGGCTTATGGGAGCCTCCTGCACCCAAATATGGGGGTTTATGAACCTGACAGTTATAAAGAGAGGATTTTTAAAATTCATATTTTAAAACCAACTGTACGAAAATTGGTGGTATTGGTGGCGGTAACTTTTCTCCTTGATAGGAAGCAGAAAAGATACTAAAAGCTGTAAGAACATGACTTATTAGTAAATAGTAAAATTAAGGCTCTTGTCATTCTGAACTTAATCATGAATGTGGAGGACAGCCTGCTGCATCCATTGGGAGCATTCATGTGGGAAATGGAAATTGTCAGTGACATCTTCACGGGACAGTTGTTGAGGACATTTCTAGAGGCATGGAAGAAATTTTCTTAAATGGAGTAAGAAGAAAGGCTGACATCTAAATCTTTCTGTCTTCACTTGGGATCGTCTAGTAATCAATCCTATTTCGGTTTCTTATTTTAAAAGCCTTGTGTTGAATTCACAAGAGGGTTTGCATATGTGTACATGTGTCATAAGAAGGAGGAGGTGTGTGGGAAGCTTGTATGTAATTTCCATTTTCTGTGCTAACCCTATTATATATAAGACATGGTATGAAGGGATGAAGATAAATTGGTTAAGAGGTACAAAATACAGTGAGATAGTACAACTAAGTTCAAGTTCCCTATTGTAGTACAGTCAAGAAATTATAGTTAAGAATAATTTATTATGTATTTCAAAACAGCTAGAAGGGAGGAATTGTAAAGTTCCCACCACAAAAAAAGATGTGTTTAAGGTGATAAATATCTCAATTATCCTGATTTGATCACTACACATTTTATACATGCATCAGAATATCACATGTACCCCCAAAATATGTACAACTATTATATATAAATTTTTAAAAATTAAAAACTTGACCTATTGTGTTGAATTCACAAGAAGATTTGCAAATGCACAAGCTCGTGCTATGGAGGAGGGAGTTTGGCAGCTGGTATGGAATTTCCACGAGCTGTGCTAAGCCTATTATATGTTATCTATTTATATATAGAAATATACATTTTTATATTGGTATTTTTTATATTTATATATTATATGTAATATATTTAAACTTTTAAATTTATATATAAACATAATGTAGAATATTTTATATATTTAAAAATACATTTTAAAATTATACAATAGATAATGGGCAGTAGATAATGAATAAATTTATAAAATAGACAATGTTTACCTTATCTATTATATATATAATCTATTTGTATACATAATTATATATATATACACAATAGATAATGGAAATATAATGCTTAATAAATGGAAATAAACATAATTTAAGGTGTCTTCCCTTAAAACATTGGTACTATGTTTGAAGCAGGGATCAAAGGCTTGTCTATTACCAGCACCTTTTACAAAAATGAACAGCCTTCTTGCTTTTGTGTGTGATGCGCTACTTTAGTGCTGATGCCAGAACTCTTATCAGCCAGCTGAATAGCAGTAGTGGTAATATGCACTACTCCTTAGAAGATTTTCAAAGCAGAAATGACCAGTGGACATTGTCTAAGAGTTCCTGCAGTGAATTCTGATTTTAATCTCCTGGCAGGTCTGGTTTACTGATCATTCTTTTTTATTTTTAATCTTTTGGGTTTTGTTTTTTAATCCTGAAGGAGCATCTCACTACTACTCTTTACATGTAGCGATTCACCAAGAAGACATTGGTTTGCAAGACTCTGCGTTCAGCCAGGATTTTGCTCACCACAGTGAAGCTTGCTTTCTTCTTCGTCCTGCCCATCCCATTCATTTGCAGGTCCTGCTGGAATTGCCTCTCTTTTCCCAATCCCACGGCCCTCAAACCACCTACTCTAGGTTCCAGTATGGATTGCGGTGCTGCTTCCTGCACGTTTTCCTTTTCTCTGAGTTCTCCCTATTCCGGACTGTTCTATGCACATCTGTAGGAATAATTTTCAGACGTGCTTTGCATTATGCAATACCCTGTTCAAGAACTGGGGGAACCATCTCTTAGCTCTGTGTACATCTTGCATTCCTCAGTCAGCCTCTCAAGGCTGTCCCCATGACTCTTTAATAGATGAATACCACCTGATGTTAAAGCTGTTTAAAGGAGACAGCCTGCCTTTAAATGTTGAATCTTAATTGGAACAATGTTTTATGATGCTCTGTACAGCTTTTCCATGCTTCGGCTCTACCTGATTCATTTAACAAATTCTAGCCCACTCAGAGACATGTTTTCCAGTTCATGGATTCGTAACTACTTAGTGCATTTCTATGGGAATGCGGTGTTCCTTAACCTTTCTCTGGCATTGCATCTTTGTAGGGAGGAAATCAAACAGCTACAGTGATTGCGTTGTGTTCAATGAGGGATTTCAGCTTAGCTCAAGAAACCTGCCAGTTGGCCATCAGAGATGTTGGAGGCCTGGAAGTGCTGATAAATTTGCTTGAAACCGATGAAGTCAAATGTAAGGTGAGTGGCTCTGTCACCTTGGATGCGGAGTCTTGTTCCCACCTTCCTGGGCTCTCTTCTTAGCTCTAGGTTTCTGCCATGCCTCGTTGCCTGGTTCTTGTCTTTATCTGCTATTATTGCTGATGACCTGCTGATTCTGTTCACTGAGCTTTCTCTTTTTTCTACTTTTCTTCTTTTTTTGCTCTTCTCCATTCATCTCTCATGCTTCCTGAATGAGGATTGTTTACTTAAATGAAAGAGAATATGCCAGATGTGTGTAACCTCTGGGAATGGAAATGATTTCTTAAAAAACTTAACTGGGGAAGGATTTTAGGTATACTCGGAATTTTTAAAAACATAGCACGGGTTACATATTCGCCACTCATCTTTTTTTTTCTCACACAGATTGGTTCATTAAAAATACTGAAGGAAATCAGTCATAATCCTCAAATCAGACAGAATATTGTTGACCTTGGGGGCTTACCAATTATGGTGAATATACTTGATTCTCCACACAAGAGTCTAAAATGTTTGGCAGCCGAGACTATCGCGAATGTTGCCAAGTTTAAAAGAGCACGGCGGGTGGTGAGGCAGCACGGGGGTATCACCAAACTGGTGAGTAGCCGTGATGTTGTCATCGTCATCTAGTGCCAGCCGCCACTGCACACAGCTCCTTGCTGTCCTTTCTGGCCACGCTGGAAATTCCATAGCCATGAGAGCGTGTTCCAGGAGCCTTCTGTCTGTATCGCTTGCCCTTAAGAATTATTTTTGCATATTTATATTAGTGAGTGTCCAAAACAAAAACATCTTCAAACTCATTTTTTGAAGAAATAGGACAGTTTTAAAGCAGATGTAACTGTCACCACCTATTGTACGTTGTTAGGAATGCATCCAAGTATACATGCATGGGAGGTAAGAGATAGTGAGACCTGCTGCTCGGTGGAATGCTGAAAACTTTAAAACGTCAAAAGCTTTACAACTTAAAAGCTGTTGACATCTATGATGCCTTTTTTTTTTTTTTTTTTTTTTTTTTTTTTTTTTGAGACAGAGCCTCACTTCTGTGGCTCAGGCTGGAGTGCAGTGGCGCGATCTTGGCTCACTGCAACCTCCGCCTACGGGGTTCAAGCGTTCAAGCAATTTTCCTGTCTCAGCCTCCCAAGTAGCTGAGACTACAGGTGCCCGCCATCAAGCCCGGCCAATTTTTATATTTTTAGTAGAGACAGAGTTTCACTATATTGGTCAGGCTGGTCTTGAACTCCTGAGCTCAGGTAATCCGCCCACCTTGGCCTCCGAAAGTGCTGGGATTACAGGTGTGAGCCAACGCACCCAGCCTGAAAAGTATATTTAATAGCAAGGAATAAAATGTATAATATTTAATATTGTATAAAATCATGACAGGATTAAAAACTGTTATCTATGATCCCAGTTTTTAAAGATGTACCTACCATCTTTAAAAAAAACCACTAGAAATAAACACACAAATTGCTCTCAGGAGTTTTCTCTGAATTGACTGATTTTTCTGCCTGCATTTCTACATTTGCCAATTTGTCTTCTTTGTCTAAGTCTTGCTTTTGTAATCAGAAAAAATAATTTTCTCAATAGCTGGCATCAAAAGAAAAATACCAGAATCCTGCTTACCACCTTTGCCATCATTAGGAAAGATCTTTAAAAAGTCAACATGTTTTCACTTTCTTAGTAAGGATCAATAGATCTTGTGTCTCACCCAGAGCTGTTATCTTACTGTATTGTTTCCACTTCTGCACTTTAAGTGACAGGCCTTATTCATCCTAGTGTCTTTCACAGCACTTAGCCCAGTACCTTACCCGTATGAACGGTTAATAAATACCTGTTGGATAAATATGGATTTTAATGTAAATAGGTACACTGAAAAATGTGTTCAGAAATTTTCCAAAAGACATTCTGTGTTTTCACTTGTCATCTGTAAAGCACTATAAATGTATTTGTTTCAAAAATGAGATAGACTTATGGCTGGATAGATGGATGAATAGATGGTGAAATATGTAATAAAACGAATGTGGCAGAATGTTAATTAGAGACTCCAGGTGGTGGATGTAGGGAGGTTTGTGTGCAATCATTGTACAATTCTTAAAGCTTTTCTGTTCGAAAATTTTCATTAAAATGTTACAGAAAATTTAATTATTACTATGATTATCATTATTCTGCTTAAATAATGAAACAATTTGGTAGGTTGATGTGACTGTCTACTGACACTACTCCCATTAAATTATAAGAATGGATAATGTAACATAAAATATGTTTTATGCATCACATTCAGGAACCTAGTACAGTAAGTCTTCATTCAATATCATCAACAGATTCTCAAAAATTGTGACTTTAAGCAAAACAACATGTAACAAAACCAGTTTTCCTATAGACTAACTGATATAAACAAGAATTAAGTTCCTATGGCATTTTTCTGGTCACAAAAATATCACCAGACTTCTAAATGAAGACCCCAACACTTCCAACATTAAAAATTGAAATGACTGTGACCTATACGTACATTTAAGAAAGATTCATCAAAACAACTAAGACAATTATTTAACCAATTTTTGGTGAATCAACCAGTAGTGCTGGTCATAGTGGCAGTGGGTTAAATCAAGGAATAAATTTTTGCAAGGCAAAGATTGTGAGGAGCACCTGCTAACCACCATGCAATTCCAAAACAGTCACAAATGCTACGGGCTTTCTGAGCACTTCCATACTGCATCATTTATTGTTGTGCATCTGTGTTCAATCCCACGGTCTTAGAATTTTTCCCACGTTCCTATCCCACCTGCAGTCAGTACCTGGAAGCCTCCATACCCCATCCCCGTCTTTCCTGGGGCCATAACTAATTAGACCAGGAGTGTCCACCTGTCTCAAGCCAGTCCCACTGGATCTCTCTCCCAGGAACTTGGAATTGGGATTGAAAGACTCTACCTAGCCTAGGCTATTATTCCCTTATAAATTTGAGATTGGTGGTTACGGGCAGTATCTGTGGAAGTTGACCTTCAGGGACAGAAGAATGGAGTAGACGTGCATAGATGATGGCTCCCAAGCCCCAGATAGAGACAGTGAGCCTGCAAGGAAGGCTGACAGCCAATTGCAGCTCTAGGGAGGTCTGACTTCCCTTCCTCCATGGGGCAACCTGACATACTGCTTAATCCTTATAGTAAATTGCCTTTCCCTTAAGATCTTCAGTGACTTTAGTTATTGCAAAAAAAAAAAAAAAAAAAACTGGATGCTGGCAGTTGTGCTGTTTGGTTTGGTTGGTTTCAGTAGCACATGAGGCAGGCTATGTCCTCCAAAGAGATCTCATGGTTTTTTTTTTTTCTTTTTTTTGGTTCGGGGGGCAGGATCTTGCTTTGTTGCCCAGGCTGGAGTGCAGTGGTGTGATCATAACTCACTGCAGACTTGAACTCCTGGGCCCAAACAATCCTCCCACCTCAGCCTCCTGAGTAGCTGGGACTACACACATGCACCACCACATCCAGCTTTTTTTTTTTTTTTCCAGTGGAAACAGGATCTTGCTATGTTGTTCAGGCTGGTCTCTAATTCCTGGCCTCAAGTGATCCTCCCACCTCGAGCTCCTAAAGTGTTGTGATTACAGGCGTGAGCCAGTGTTCCTGGACAGGTCTTGTGGCTTTAAGGTGTATAGTCCATTCAGTTCTCCTTAGAAAGTGCTAATGGTTTTAGGGAAGCTAGTTTTCTGAGATGTTTGGGCTGAGGATGTGGTTTACAAATATGATTGATGTAAATATTAGAGCCATGTTAAGAAAATACTATCTTGGTGGGCTTACATTTCTTGTGGGAAGGAAATGTATAAGCTCCCAAATCTGGAGGAAGGTTTTTTGTAGGGTTTTGTTTCTTTGCTTTCCGTGGCTGCTATGGAGTACGAAAAGTGATTTTTTAAAGCATTCTTGTTTTTGACGGAGGTGAGCTTGGTAAGGAACACTGTAGCTATTGAAGAATGCCTTAAATGTTCTTTTTAAGATTTCCATGAACATTGGATTTATCTATTATTATAGGTTGCTCTACTAGACTGTGCACATGATTCCACAAAACCTGCCCAATCGAGTCTGTATGAGGCCAGAGACGTGGAAGTGGCTCGCTGTGGGGCACTGGCCCTGTGGAGCTGCAGTAAGAGTCATACGAATAAAGAAGCCATCCGCAAAGCTGGGGGCATTCCTCTGTTGGCTCGGCTGCTGAAGACTTCTCATGAAAACATGCTAATTCCAGTGGTGGGGACATTGCAAGAGTGTGCATCAGAGGTACTCATGCCAGTTCTGCTTCCCTTGCCTTCTCAACTTGACTTTCTTTAGTCCAAAAGTTGTTTCTAAGGTTATCATGATGGCTCAAGGACATTCTTTTTCTAGAAGTCAGCATTCTATGAGAAAGAGAAGATCCAACTGATAGGACGTTAATTAAATCAGTACCTGTGATATATATACACATATATGTATATATATATATCTCACACATATATACTGACATTTATATAAATCTCACACGTATATGCTGACATTTATATATATATCACACATATATACTGGCATTTATATATATATCACATATACTGACATTTATATATATATCACACATATATGCTGACATATATATCTATACACTATATATATATACACACACACAAACACACATATGTGTATATTAATTCAGTTGATTCTCTTATTGATGTAGGGATATGTTAAGCTTGGACTATGGTGATTATTTCCTAAGAAAGTTTGTTCAGCATGTTTATTAATAAATGTAAACAGTTACTTATATTCACGTCTTGAACACATAAATATGTAGGTTTTTATTCCTAGGAAAACTACCGGGCTGCAATCAAAGCAGAAAGGATCATTGAAAACCTTGTCAAGAACCTAAATAGTGAGAATGAGCAGCTGCAGGAGCACTGCGCCATGGCCATTTACCAGGTGCAGTGAACTCTCCCAGCGGTTGTTGGCGTTCTTTCTCACATAGTTTAAGGTAGTTTTCTAACCATGTGGTTTCCTTCTGTGAGAATGGGACTCAGGAATCTGCATTTTATTTATTTATTTGATTTTTTTAAGTTTTAATTTATTTTTATTTTTTTAGAGATAGGGTCTTGCTCTGTTGCCCAGGCTGGAGGGCAATGGCACAATCATAGCTCACTGTCACTTCAATCTCCTGGGCTGAAGTGATCCTCCCATCTCTGCCTCCCAAGTAGCCGGCACTTCAGGTGTTTACCACCATGCCTGGCTAATGTAGGGCTAATTGTTTTTGTATTTTTGGTAGAGATGGAGTTATTTTTATTTTTTCTGTTGCCCAGGCTGGTCTCAAACCCCTGGCTTCAAGTGATTCTCCCTCCTCAGCCTCCCAAAGTGCTGGGATTACAGGCATAAGCCACCGTGCCCGGCCTGCATTTTTAACAAGAACTCCATTGGATTTTCATAGACAGGTCTAAGAACCATTGTCCTGTGGTAATGGCAGATAACTTGTATAAGTCAGAGAAACCTGCTTTGACATCTGGGACTATTTGTTTCTAGAAGACACTTATGCATCTTTGTCTCCTAAAATAATGTACTTAGCGTAAAATAGATAAATAAGTACATGGTGCTTCTATATTGCTTTTAATATGTCCTGTTCAAATAATCTTGGGGCATTTATCTCCTACCAAGACTAGCCAGAGGAATGCGTGTGTGTGTGTGTGTGTTCCTGTTTTATCTTTTTACTGGTTTACTTATTGTAATCTACACTAACTTTTTGTGTATGATACATTTCATAGTATACCAGAAAACAGATCAGAATGGTAAAGGGAGAAAAATGGCCTTGACAAAGTAGTGGATGGCTGGTTACTGTGCACGTCTGCTTCTACCTAATCAGAGTAGGTTTGCTAGAGGAATGCACTTAAGATGTGCAGCATCAAGAGAGTATGCCAAAAAGATACAAGGGGCTGTACCCGGCCCTGCAGTCCCCGTATTCCCAGCACTTTGGGAGGCTGAGATGGGCGAATCACTTCAGGTCAGGGGTTCAAGACCAGCCTGGCCAACATGGTGCAACCCCGTCTCTACTAAAAATACAAAAAATAGCTGGGTGTGGTTGCATGTGCCTGTAATCCCAGTTGCTCAGGAGGCTGAGGCAGGAGAATCACTTGAACCTGGGAGGTGGAGGTTGCAGTGAGCCAAGATCGCGCCACTGGACTTCAGCCTGAGACAGTGAGACTCTGTCTCAGAAGAGAAAAAAAAAAGAAAAAAGAAGAGACAGATACAAGGGAGTCATTTCAGTAGAGGATTGTATTAGGTTGTGAGGGAGGGCTGCCATAACAAAATACCACAGACTGGGTGGCTTGAACAGCCGAAATTTATTTCCTTGCAGCCCCAGAGGCTAGACGTTTCAGACCAAAGTTAGTTTCTTCTGAGGCCTCTCTCCTCAGCTTGTAGACGGCTGCCTTTTCCCTGTGTCCTCCCACCGTCTTTCCTTAGTGTATGCCAGTGTCATTTTCTCCCCTTGGACAGCAGTCCTATTGGAGCAGGGCCTACTCAAGTAATTTTGAAGAGGCCATTTAGCCTTAATGACCTCTTTAAAAACTCTGTCTCCAAATACAGTCACATTCTGAGGTACTGGGTGGCTCAAGCCTATAATCCCAGCATTTTGGGAGGCCGAGGTGTGTGGATAACCTGAGGTCAGGAGTTCGAGACCAGCCTGGCCAACGTGGTGAAACCCCATCTCTACTAAAAATACAAAAACAATTAGCCAGGTGTGGTGGTGTAATCCCAGTTACTCTGGAGGTGGAGGCACGAGAATTGCTTGAACCCACGAGGTAGAGGTTGCAGTGATCTGAGATTGTGCCACTGTACTCCAGCCTGGGCAACAGAGAGCAACTCGATCTAAAAAACAAAAAACAAAAAACCTCTATATATGAATTTTGAGGGGACACAATTTGGCCCATAACAATCGTATATAGCCCTGACTTGTATATATTTGTATATATGCCTCATCAGAGTAACCACTGAGTTGATTAGAAATAGGGATTAATTTTTAGAAGGTGCCTGTAATCCAGAATTGAAAATCACGTGCAGAAGATAAACATGGCAGGTGCCTGTATGGTGCACTGTGATGAGGATTTCTTCTAGTGGCCTCCATGGGTGACACATGACACATATCTGGATCACATGGCATCAGAAAACATCTGTGTGCTTGGAGTAATTGCCAAGTCTCTGCTAACTGTATCATCTGTTGGCTCTAGAGCCCGGGAAGAATGATCAGTTGAGACCATCTGTGCAGTAAATATTTATTTCAAAGGATGACACAAACATGGATAAGCATATTTGAATAAAATGTCAGGTACTATTGATATCACTCACTGCTCTGGGCATAGAAACTTGATTGGAGAAATTGTTTGTCTCTAATCACCTGAACCCAGGAGGTGGAGGTTGCAGTGAGTCGAGATCATGCCACTGCACTCCACCTTGGGCGACAGAGCAAGAGTCTCTCTCAAAAAAAAAAAAAAAAGAAAAAAGAAAGAAAGAAAAAAAGAAAATATATTTGTCTCTAGATTTCAGGGGCCATTGAAGAGCTGACCAAATCCCTATCACTCATCTGTCTTCTCTACTATGTTTTCCCAAGACTCTGAGTTGCATCACTGCAGAAATCCTCCATTCCTTGCTAGTGGAGTTGTAGGTTTTCCACTGACCTTCGCCTCAGGAGATGCCTAGGCTATCTCAAAACTGGCTTGGGAGAATTGCTGAGTACTTAGAAACTGCTATCCATTCCCAAAGCCACATAAGGAGAGAGACATGCTGTCAGAAAGCTACTAGTAGAAAGATGAATTATATTTTACTTGGAGGCATCTTTCGAAAATGATCTCTCTAGAAAGAAGTTTCCTAGCTACTAGAATGGCAGCCTTTTTAGCATCATTGAAAGCTTGATATTCCTTGATGACTGACAGCCTCTGTCTGACTTTTCGTGCAGTGTGCTGAAGATAAGGAAACCCGGGACCTCGTTAGGCTGCACGGAGGACTTAAGCCCTTGGCCAGTCTACTCAATAACACTGACAATAAAGAGCGGTTAGCTGCTGTCACAGGGGCTATATGGAAATGTTCCATCAGCAAAGAGAATGTTACCAAGTAAGAGAAGGCTCTCAATATTCTGAAATGAAGATACGGCTTCTGAAACACCTTCTTGTCATTTAATGCCATTCTAGTAAGGAGTCAATTCTAATGTTAGTTGTAGATGTACATTCTGGATGAAGTTAGCCCAATGAAGGGATTCTTAGAATAGAAAAGAAAAGAATAGAAATTGCCCACCACCTGGCAATGACTTTTTCTGTGCCTCAGTGGCACTAAGAGGCTTGCTGACATGATTTCTCTATTTTGCATATGGGCAGCCATTTGAATTAGAAATATCTTTGATATTTTCTGTGGGGACCTATCAAGGTGAGTGGGCGGATTTCCCATGGAATCTTTAGAGATGGAAGTGATTTTGTTCTTTTTCCTTTTCTAAAGATAAACAAGATGAATCAACTAAATGTCAACTAACCAGTTACTCTTTAAAGAGTGGTCATTTTCAAACATGATTTCATCAGATTCGATTTTAAAGTATTTGTAACCTTTATGACCATTTGATTTATTTTAATTTTCAAATCTATCTCTTCCTATTTTTGAGAGATTACAATCTCAATGATGGGTATTCTGAGGCAGCTTCTCCTTGACTCCATCTGATTATTTCCTTTAACAAGAGATTCACGTCCCGACCATTTAACACAAAATAAGTTTACTTAATAAGGCGTAGTGAAGTCATGGCTAGATTAAAAGTAACCTCGGCTAATGGAACTTTTATCTTAATTAAAAACTCAGCTGCATCATGGTACTTAAATACAGCTGAAATTTATTAGGAAGGGAAAATGTTCTGTATAGAAACTAGGAATTTTCAAATATTTACCTTTATGTAGCATGCTTCCTTTTGGTGTGTGTGTGTATGTGTGTGTATTTGTGTGTGTATATATATATATGCATACATATGTGTGTGTATATATGTATGCACACATACATATATACATATATATCAGAGTGCAATTTTATGACAAGAGAGATGGTAAAATGTATTAGTGGTTAATATAGAAGATACCTGAGAGTGACTTTTTTTTTTTTATCCAAGTAGCACAAGCTACTACTCATTTCAAGAGACCTATTAAACCCAAATAGGTACAATAGAGCCATGTTTGATGCATTTGAAAACAAAAATATATAACATATAATTTATTTTTATTAAACATTTAGAAGACTTCATTCAGGTAAAGTAGTCTCTGGAAGATAGGGGGAAAAAACCCTAGTAGAGTGGAATCTTAGATCCTCAGGTTTAGAACAAGCTGTGGTTTTCTTAGAGGCTGTACTGCATGGTGATTAAGGGTGCAGGTCTGGAGCAGATGGCTGGGTTAGACGTCAGCTCTACTATTTACCAAGCTTCAGATTAACCATCCAGTAATGGGGATTTAATAATATCTGTATCATTGGGTTGTTGTAAGGATTGAATGAACATTTAGTAATTTTTAGCAAACCTTATACAAAAACCAATTCTCCTCTTTCTTATGATGAACTTAGGTTTCGGGAATACAAAGCCATTGAAACCTTGGTGGGACTTCTAACAGATCAGCCTGAAGAAGTACTTGTGAATGTGGTTGGGGCCTTGGGAGAATGCTGCCAAGAACGTGAAAACCGAGTCATTGTCCGGAAATGTGGTGGCATTCAACCACTTGTGAACCTCCTTGTTGGAATAAACCAAGCTCTTCTTGTGAATGTTACAAAAGCAGTTGGTGCTTGTGCAGTAGAACCTGAAAGTATGATGTAAGTGGCCCTGGAGATGGAAAGATTTTATATAAGTGTTAGGGAGAACACTTGGGAGGTCACAGAATAGTGTCATCACTTAGAATTGATGTGCACGAATGATGAAAAAATACAGTGTGTCATATAAATAATCACAAGTTTACCAAATCATGAGTTACAGAGCCAAAACATTACCTCATATGAGATGGAGGGCTAAGTTGGTCATATTGGGAGGATTTACAATACACGGTAATCAATTTCCCATGTGGAAACCTTTATTCAGTCAACAAAACTTTTCTCTGTCTCCTAGGGAAGTATTATACATCTATCTAACTAGGCTCCTAGAGAGTGTCAGGTACATTCTCATAGTAGCCTTCTTGTTTCTCACCTATTCAGCAAATGTATTTTGAGCACCTGGCAAGAACTGTGAACTGATGAGGGGAAGAGACAAGAATTTTAAGTAATGGTGTTGCTCCTTATTGTCTAATTAGGAAGAAAAGACAATTTAAGAACAATAGAACAAAAAGATACAATATACATATAGAGAGATATATCCATATATAAATAAATATATCTATATAAAGATATATATTCATATATTAAAAGATACATATACATATATGTATAAAGACATATATCTTTATATTTTATAAAGATATATATCTTTACTCCAACAAAGGAGGAACCTGGGTGACTTAAAGCTGTTGTATTAGGGCTTTCCAGAGAAACAGAACCAACAGGAAGTGTGGGGAGGTAAGCGTATTAGTCCATTTTCATGCTGCTGATAAAGACATACCCGAAACTGGGTAATTATAAAGGAAAGAGGTTTAATTCACTCACAGTTCCACATGGCTGGGAGGCCTCATAATTATAGTGGAAGGCAAGGAGGAGCAAGTCACATCTTACATGGTGGCAGGGAATAGAGAAGAGAGCTTGTGCAGGGAAACTTCTTTTTAAAACTATCAGATCTCATGAGACTTACTCACTATCATGAGAACAGCATGGGAAAGACCTGCCCCCATGATTCAATTAACTCCCACCGGGTCTCTCCCACAACACGTGGGAATTCAGGATAAGATTTGGGTGGGGACACAGCAAAATCCTATCAGGGGGCTTCGTCTAACCACGTATCTTATACACAAGTACTAACACCTCCTTTTGCATTTGGTTATTGGAATCTTAGTCTCCAGTGTTTCAGACACTAAGGAATACAAGTTGCATACATGATTACTTTAAGGGAAGCATACTGGCTGGACTTGTAAAACCATTTTCTAATGTATTTATGTTTTTGAAACGCACTTTGCTATTCATTAGAATCTTATAAACACTTGCCAGAAATGGCTGCATGTATTTCTTTTGATCTTTGGTTCCTCTTTATTTTTTGTCTACCCAAATCTACTTGGCCACCAACTACCTCTGATGTTCTTTGAATGCATTTCCTCCTCTCTGCTCTCAGTTGGGCTCTGTCATCTTTTACCTGGACTATTGAAATGGGTCCTATTTGGCATCACCTCTAGTCTCCGCCTCCCTTTTCAGTTTGTTCCTGAAAACATTGAAATTTACTTTCCTAAACTGCATATCTGATAATGTTGTTTTCTTGGCCCACAAAACCTTCAGTGACTTCTCAATGCTAAAATCCATTTTAATACTAAGGTGCTTAACTTGCTATTCAAAGCATTTTGTCTTATGGCCCCATTTAACTTCTTTGCTTTCATCTTTTACTTGCAAATATCAATTGTCTGGAGTTACATTCTTATTTGTTTTGTTTAGTTTGTTTTTTAGAGACAGGGACTCAGGCTGTCACCCAGGCTGAAATACAGTGATGCAATCATAGCTTGCTGCAACTTCAAACTCATGGGCTCAAGCAATCCTCCCATCTTAGCTTCCTTAGTAGCTGGGACTATATCACCATGCCCTCTAATTCTTTAAATTTTTTTGTGGAGTTGGGGGTCTTGCCATGTTGCCCAAGTTAGTCTTGAACTCCTTGTCTCAAGCAAACCTTCTGCCTCAGCCTCCCAAAGTACTGAGATTACAGGTGTGAGCCACCACACCCAGCTCCTTATTTATTCCTTTACATTAAACACATATTTATTGAGCATCTTTTGTGCTAGCCACTGGATTTATAATGGTAACCAAACAAAGCTCCTGCTGTCGTGGGGATTACATTCTATTATATGTGTGGAACATTGACTATACATTCAATCAGTTAGCAAATAAAATGATTTCCATTGTGTTAAAAGCTATGAAGACAAGAAAACAGTGTGATTGAAAGAGTGACTGGGTGGGAGTTGGTTACTTTAGCTCAAGCAGTCAGGAATGTAGACTCGGGGAGGATAATATTTAAAGCAAGACCTAAAAACTGAGAAGGAGGCAGCTTGCATGAACATATCAGACAGGAGTAGCCAACATGGAGAACCTGAGATGGAACTGGGCTTCGCCTGAGAAACCACCTTAAAATTTTCAAATATTTTCCATATAGAATTTATCATTGTCTCCCTTGTTAGTAATAATATTTTTGTATCACTCGATAGACTATATCACAAATCATCTTTTAATCTTTCTGTGACTATTAATTTCTTAATAAATATACAGATGGTCCCAACTTATGATCGTTCAACTTAGAAATTTTTAATATTTGATGGTGCAAAAATACGCAGTCAGTAGAAACTATACTTCAAGTACCTCTACAACCATTCTTTTCTTCAATTTCAGTACAGTATTCAATAACTTTCATGAGATTTCAACACTTTAGTATAAGATAGGCTTTGTGTTAGATGATTTTGCCCAACTATAGGCTAATGACGTGGTGGCTTACATCTGTAATCCCAGTACTTTGGGAGGCAGAGGCAGAAGGATTGCTGGAGGCCAGGAGTTCAAAACTAGCCTGAGCAACATAGCAAGACCCCCGTCTCTATAAAAAATGTAAAGAATTAAAGGATGTGAGGGTGTGCGCCTGTAGTCCTAGCTACTCAGGAAGCTAAGTCAGGAGAATTGCTTGAGCCCATGAGTTTGAGGCTGCAGTAATGTTCTGAGTGTATTTAAGGTGGGCTAGTCTAAGCTATGATGTTCAGTAGGTTAGGTATATTAAATGCACTTTTGATTTATATTTTCAACTTATGATGGGTTTATCGGGACATAACCCCATTGTGAGTTGAAGAGTGTCTGCACTGAATTGTATTTATTATAGATTAGAACTTACTCTTGCGAAGCCTCTACTTCTATTCTGTATCTCAGCTTTAATGATTTCTATGTAAGTCATTGCCAGGTTATCTAGTTGCCACCTTGAAATTCCTTCTAAATGTTATCATTGCATTACTTTTTGAAATGAGTCTTTAAATTCTCATTAATATAACTGTTTTAAGCAAGTATTAGATTTATTGACTTTTCAGTTGTATCCACTGAAGAAAAGCCAGAGAAAACAGCTATATTCTTTTCATATTCTGAATTGTAAAGAACCTATCAAGTTTTGAAACAATAAAATGGAAATGAAAAAAAAATCACTGATAAACAACAAGCCTGAAGGACCTGATTGAGCTGGGTAGACAGACAAGTGAAGTGATAATTTTAAAATAGTAAAGTAGATGATGAGAAGGCAGTAAACATTTATTAGTAATGCACAAAACTAGTTTGTGGAGTTTTATGAGTGGCTTGACTTCTGGTTAATGGCATGAAACCTACAAAAAGAGAGCAAAAGTAGAGAAAAAATTATATTCACCCAAACAGGGGAATGGCCACAACTCCAAATTTTAAAATGTAAAACGCACCTGCAAAATGCTATGAATTATTGACCCATATGTAATATGCTGACTTTTAACACATGCCTCTTCAGATCTCAAGATTTCCCCCCAAATAAGTGTCATGGTCATTCGAAGCATAGTCAACCTTTCTTTCTTTCTTTCTTTCTTTTTTTTTAAGAGAGCAGAGATTAGGGGAATTGAATGGGTCTTGGAAGAAGTGAAGACTTTGCCATCAGAGACCCAGTTTTGCATTATGAGGCATCAGAAGTAGAGCCTTGGGAAAAGTCATACGGACATGTCATTTTGTTTTGTCTATAGCGGCCTTCCAGCCATTTCGTAGACATTTCGGAGTGAAAAGGGTATTAGAGACAATGATTGCCAGATTGTAACACAAAAAGAAACTATAAACTTTTAGAGATTTAGAGTAAACCAGATTGACTGTTTGAATGCTCAAAACTAAATGACAACGTGTTCTCAGTGTGAAAGGGATTGCAGGTTGTTGTGTGATTGTATTTGAGGTGATTCCATCACAAAAGCAAACAGATAAATTCAAGTAACTTCCTTAAAGTCACAAGGCTGTTAAAACAGTATATTGTTTCTTAATAAGAGAATCAAAAAATTATATAAAGTTTTTGTTTGCCTTTTTCTTTTTCTTTTTTTTTTTTTTGAGACAGAGTCTGGCTCTGTCGCCTAGGCTGGAGTGCAGTGGCATGATCTCGGCTCACTGCAAACTCCGCCTCCCGGGTTCACGCCATTCTCTCAGCCTGTTTTTGTTTTTCAGAGACAAGGTCTCACTCTATCACCCAGGCTGGAGTGCAGTGGTGCCATCATTGTTCACTGCAGCCTTGAATGCTTGGGCTCAAGCAATCCTCCTCCCTCATCCTCCCAAGTAGCTAGGACTACAGGTGTGCTAATTGTTTTCAAAAAATTTTTTTGTAAAGACAGGTTCTTAAGCTCCTGCCCTCAAGCAGTCCTCCCGCCTCAAACTTCCAAAGTGCTTAGGATTATAGGTGTGAGCCACCATGCCTGGTCAAAATCATAGAAAGTTTTGCAAAAGATTTTATAAGGCAACCTAAGTAGTTTTAAAAGCAAGTAGTCAGAGCTCAGAAAAGAAATAGGAAAATCATTGAACAAAAAGCCTGGATAGGAGTAAAAGAAATATAATAAACACAACTAAAAACACAGTCAGGAATGTGATGTATAGGAAATAAAAAATAAAAATATATAAAATGTTAATAGAAAAATGTATAAATATGGAACCCAAGGAGAGCCAACATAAACGTAATTGGTATTCCTCAAGAAGAGGTTGGAACCAATGGAATATGATCTTAAGTAAAGATATAACAGAAGAAAACTTTGCTGTGAGTCTTTATCTCAAAAAGACCCCAAAAGATCTTAGTAATATTGACATAAAAAAGACCAACAGCAACACATATCCTGATAAAATTACTTGCATTTCAGAAGGGAAAAAATAAGTACATCCAGGCAAAAGAAGCAAACCATTGGCTGTAAACTTCTCTGCATCTTCTTTTAATGACACAAGCCATTGATTAAAACATCCTGAGAGAGAAAAAATATTGCCTGAGAATTTCACATTAGCCAAGTTATCCTTCAAATGTGAAGGCAATATCATATTCGTAAGCATACAGGATTGGTGAATGTAGTACTCTCTAGCTCTCCCTGAAAAAACTACTTGATGACAAAATCCCAGTCAACCAAGAAATTACTCAAAGTACTTTAAAATAGTAAAACTATGGCTAAAAGATACCAGTGGAAACCTTTGAATTCATTTAAATATTAAGCTAAGACAAAACAATGAAAGAATCATCATTAGGGAGAGTCATCTATATTTTATAGAAATGGATAATTATAATTTAATAATACAACTGACAAAAATCAAAACAAAGTCATCTCAGGGCAGATGTGTAAGTATGCAAATTTTATCATCTTTCACATAAAAAGTCAATAGACATGGTACAAAACATTATTTTATCTATCAATCGTCTCTCATCTATTCATCTGTTTTATCTATCTGCCTTATCTATCCATCAATCCTTCTATCTACCTAAAGACATACAGAGATATCCAGAATAATTTACCTAAGCAGCTAATGATTGTTATTTCAGTATGGTAGGATTTTGGGGTCATTTGTTAATGCTTTGTATTTTTCTGTACAGTCTACATGATTAATATATGTCACCTTTACACAATCGAATTTCTTGTTTAACACCTTGTACAATCCCATTTTGTTCATACGTATAGTGTATAATGGCTAAACATATGGATTCTGGAACCATTGCCTGCAATACCAGTCTCATCATTCACCAACTATTTTTCCTTTGGCAAATTGTAAATGACTCAGTGTCTTGGTCACCATATACATAAAATGGGGATAGTATGGTACCTATGTCATTGGGTTGTTGAGATGATTAAGTGAATTTATGTAAGTAAAGTGACTGACATATAATAAGTGCTGTGTGTAAATGTAGGCTAGTATTGTTGCGGTAGAAATAGGTTCAATTAATAGAAATTTTAAAAGATAATACATAACTAGAAAATGAAAGTCAGATTGCATAGTATGTATATTCATCTGTATAAGATGATTTTGCCTCTTGATTGTGTTTCTCTTATATCAAGACATGTTATTTAATTTGCCATAAATTGAAACAAGGGGCCTTAAATGGCAAATAATTCGCATTAAACTCTCACCTGCAGTAAAGGAGGTTTGAGGGCATGTCATAGATAAGTGAACAGGCAATAGATAATTCAGGTCTTTGTGTGTCATGCTAATTTGGATTTTGTTTTGAGGTCAGTCGAGGATCATTGAAGGTTTTTAGCATTAATAGAGACAGGAAACCTTGTTAGGGGATCATCATAGGTGAGAGGTGAAGGTGGCTTAAACTAACCCTATAAAATATAATGTAATAAAAATAGAGAAATCGATAGGTTAAATAAAGACCTATGATGGAAGAGAATGGATGGGACCAAGTGAATGACTGAACATGAGTTACAAAGAATAGGGAGGAGTCGTAGATGATGTTCGGTTTGCTGGCTTGGGTAACTATATGGATATTGGTACCACTTACTGGTAGAAGATGGTTGAAGAAAGAGTGAACTTCATGAGAGGAGAGACAAAGTCAATATGTTCATTATTATACCTCCAATGCCCAACCCAGGACCATGATCAGGGTAGGCACCTGACAAATGCTTATTGTATAATAAATGAATGGTGAGTTCAGTTATGGTTGTGTAGAGACATTGAGGTTCCTATGGGACACCCAAGTGGTGATGTCAACTAGTCAATTGGGTATTCATGTCTAAAGCTTAGTTAGATTAGAGGGATGGGTTGGGTGTATAATATTATGAATATTTGGTAACTTATGTCATGGATATATGTAAGAGGTTGTGAGGAAGAGAAACAGAGTGAAGAAAGAAAGACAAAAACAGAAGCTTATTGAACTCAATCATTTAAGGAGAATGAACTCAATCATTAAGGAGAATGAAGAAAAAGTCTCTGTAAAGAAACAGGCATCAGCCAGAGAGTTGAGCGGGGAACTAGAAGAGTGAGTTATAGAAAAAACAGGCAATAGAGTGTTTAAAGGAGACAAAGAGGTCAAACATGTTAAATTCTATAGCAAGGCCTGGTAAGATAAGGACTAAACTTCCCTTTTTTGTGCAACAAGGAGGTTAGTGAATCCTTTTGTACCTGTGAACATAGGCGTCCCACGTGTGTTTTTATAAATACACTAAGTTTCAGAAAACAGTATTTTAACTTTGATAAGAATCAAGACAGCATTACTCTTTGCATTATGTTTCAGGCATGGCTATTATTGCTAGATTTATAGGACCTACTGCATCTTTGAGCTTTAAGTCTTACATGGTAAGGAAATGACAAATCCCTCTCTCCTATGTAAATCTTCCATAATTCATGGGTTAGGAACTTGTTTTAATGACTAGCAGTTTTATGTTTTAGTGATTTGGCTGTGGCTATGGTAAAAACTTGGGTCACATATCAGGATAAACATATAAACCCTTAGCACAGTTTTATTAACTTTGTGGAGTAGAATTCATAGCACCTCTCTTCCTTTATATGTTTCTCAGTAGGAATAAGAAATGTCATCTTAATATTAATAGTTTGGCTACTGAAGTAAAAGTGATTTTTGTGAAACCAATGATTTTGTAAAACTCTATTGACTTTTTTCAGTACTCCAGACTACTTCTTTTAAAAACTCAATATAAATTATTTCATACTAATTATGCCTTATGCCCCACCACCAGATCTAAAATGGGACAATAGGTATCCTGATACATTAAGTTTATGAAACAGTAGATTTACGTGTGCTGAATTTTCGTTTCTTGTTTTGTAAGTATCAAGTAATGTCTATTTGATACTTATAAAATTTATCTGGAGGTAATCTGGCCTTCAAGTATATAAAATCACACCAACATTGCAAAAAACCATTAACATTTATGTTTTGGGGACCATAATTTTCTGATAAAATATTATAAAATGTCAAACAACTAAAAAAATTTAAGTTAAAAACTTCAGAAATATCTATGATTTATTTTTCCATACCTCAGGATCTTTACTTTCTTTGTAAAAAATTTTCTGCTAAATTTTACTTTGAAATAGCATTGGACTTATGGAAAAGTTGCAAAAGCAGAGAGACAACACAAAACACAGAATTCCCATGCCCTTTACTCAGCTTCCCTTAACCTTAACATCTTACATAGTCATAGTACATTTCAGAAACCTTCCATTATTCAAGTCCAGATTTTTGACTTTGAAGAGTGTTTTAAAGGTTTCTTCATATGAATTTTGTTTATTTTTGTCCGGTTAATTTGTAAGTATTTTGTCCTCTTTGTGGATTGTGGAAAAGTTTTTTTTTTTTCCGCCTCTGCCATCATGTCCTCAGACTGATTGGCTGTTTTTAATGAGCTCCGTTGAATTCTGTATGATAATTCTATATCCCGCTACTTTACAGAATTCTCTTATTGGTTGAGTTCCTTTTATTGTTAATTCTCTAGGACAATGTTTGATAAACTATGGTTTATGGGCCAAATCTTACTTTTATAAATAAAGTTTTATTAGAATGTAGTTACCATCATTAATTTATATATTGCCTTTGGCTGCATTTGTGCTACAACTGCAAAGTTGAGCAGCTGTGGCAGAGAATGGATGGCCCACAAAGACTAAAGACTAAAATAATATCTAGCTCTTTACAGAAAAATTTGCTCACCTCTGCTCTAACATTAGAGAAAGTGTTACTTTTTTTTTTTTTTTTTTTTAGCTGGAGTCTCACTCTGTCACCCAGGTTGGAGTGCAGTGGCACCATCTTGGCTCACTGCAACCCTTGCATCCCGGGCTCAAGCAATTCTCCTGTCTCAGCCTCCCAAATGTTACTCCTTTAAAATTCTTATTCTTTAAATTGATTTATCTCCTCTAATTTCATTAGCTAATTCCCTAGTACCTTCTTGAATAGTAGTGGAGATAGGGATCCTCTTTGTCTTGTTCATAATTTTAGTGGGGATGCCTCTAGTGTCTCTCTATGAAGTAAAAGAATAACCTTAGGTTTAAAGTGTATGTATTTTATCATATTAAAATTATCTCTCAATTTCTATGTTTAAAGTGTTTTTTGCCATTGTGGTGGCTCATGCCTGTAATCCCAGCACTTTGGAAGGCCAAGGCAGGAGGATCACTTGAGGCCAGGAGTTTGAGACCAGCCTGGAAAACGTAATGAGGCCCTGTCTCTACAAAAACTTTAAAAATTAGTTGAGCATGGTAGTGTGCACCTGTAATTCCAGCCTTTCAGGAGGTTGAGGTGGGAGGATTATTTGAGATCAGGAATTTGAGGCTGTAGTAAGCCATGATTGCATCACTGTACTCCAGCCTGGGTGACAGAGTGAGGCCTTGCCTCAAAAACATTTTTTAAAAAGTGTTTTTATTAGGATTGGTAATTGAATTTTGTCAAAGGCTTTCTGAGCATTTGTGGGGACTGTGCTCTATATGTTTCATCATGATTTTTTTCTTATTCCTATTAATATAGGGAATTATTAATGCATTTTCAAACATTGAACTAACCTTGCATTCCTGGAATAAGTCTCACTTAGTCATAGTGTACTGTTTTTCTTAATGTGAGGTAGGACTCTGTTAGCTAATATTTAGCATTTTTGTAATAATATTCATGAGTGATATTGGTCTGTAGTTTTTCTTTTTTCTGTTTTCTTTTTCTGGCTTTTTATAAAATCTAGTTATCAATGTTATACTTGCTTCACAAAAGGAATCGGGATTTTTTTTTTTTTTTCATTTTAAATACTCTGGAACAGTTTATTGAGCAATGGGACTACCTGGGCTTTGAAGGTTTGGTAGAAGTCTCCTATGCAATTATATGGACCTACAGTTTTTTAAAAAATTATTTAATAGCTTTCTCTAGTTCTTCTATGTAAAGTGGTCTATTTATGTTTTTTATTCTACTGAGCTCAATTTTGGAAATCTGCATTTTATTAGGAAATGTTCAATTTCCTTTCAACTTTCAAATTTATTTGAATAGTGGCCTGCAAACTAATCTCTTAATGGTGTTTAAATTTTCCTGGTTCAATGGTTATTTTTTCCTTGTCATTTTAAATTTTTGTATAATGTGGGCTTTCTTCTGTTTTTTTTTTTTTTTTTTTTTTTTTTCCTCCTAATCAATTTAGCTAGTATGGTTTCTCTATTTTGAATTTTTTTTCTGAAAATTTTTTATTTTATTAACTGGATGTACTGTTCTTTTATTTTCTACCACATAAATTTCTGGTTTTATCTTTATTCATTTTGGTCTCTTTTGGTTTATATTGTAGCTATTTTTCTAATTATTTTAATTTTTTAAAAAATAATAAAAGTTGCTTATGTTATGAATTTTCCTTTGACATTGCTTTAAATGTACCCTGTAATTTTGATGTATAGTACTTTCATTATCATCATTTTTAGAAGTGTCTTAATTTCACTTTGTATTCCCCTGTTAGCCCAGTTGCTTAATAGAATTAATGAGAAATTTTTCTTTAAAATTTTTTTTAACTACACAGAGAATTTTACTTTTTGATTTGTTAGATATTTCTCATACTACATTTTGATCAGAGTGTGTTGACTTTTTTATTTCAACTGTTAATGAAGCTTATGGATGCTTTTTTAATGACAATAGAAGATGAATTATTATGAGTGTTTTATGGGTACTGGGATTCTCTTTCTTTCTTTCTTTCTTTCTTTCTCTTTCCTTCTTTCTTTCTCTTTCCTTCTTTCTTTCTTTCTTTCTTTCTTTCTTTCTTTCTTTCTTTCTTTCTTTCTTTCTTTCTTTCTTTCTTTCTTTCTTTCATTAGACAGGGTCTCTCTCTATCACCTGGAATGCAGTGGTGTAATCATAGCTTACTGCAGCCTTGGACTCCTGGACTCAAGCAATCCTACCACCTCAGCCTCCCAAGTAGCTAGGACTACAGGTATGTGCCTCCACATCCAGCTAATTTCAAAAATTTTTTGTAGAGATGTGGTCTTGCTCTGTTGTCCAGGCTGGTCTTGAACTCCTGTCCTCAAGTGATTATCCCCCATTGGCTTCTCAAAGCACTGAGATTACAGGTGTGAGCCACTGTACCCTGTCAGTGCTTGGGATTCTTTATCAACAGAGTGTAGAGTTTGATGTGTATTCTCTAGATCTACTTTATATTACTTATGTCTTCTATCTTATTATTTTGTGTGAACTTGATCTGTCTTATGCTGTAACTGCTGTATGAAATTCTCTTATTATTAATGTACTTTTATCTAAATCTTCTTACATCTTCTATAGTAGGTGCTGTATTATTTGGTGCATAAATGTTTCTAATGGTTATGAATTATGACTTTTGATATTTCAAGTGCTGTTCTTTGTCAGGTTTAATGTGTTTTGGCTTGATTTCTACTTTGTTTGGTAACAGAATATTTATCCCTGCTTTCTTACTGTTTCCATTTGCTTGATATATCTTGATCTACACTTTTTTAGTCTTTCTGAATCACATTGTTTTAGATGTGCCCTTGCATGCAGTATATAAATGGGGTCTTGTTTTGTGAGTCAATTAAACATAGTTTTTGTTTTAATGAGTTAAACGCATTCACATTCATGGATATGAATAATGTTTAGTTTCAACAATGTCGTAATTTTTTATAATTATATTTTGCTATAAGATTTGCAGTCTTTGTTCTTTGTTATTGCTTGCTCTTTAATTTGTTGTTCTTTAGAAAGGTTTGCATTTTTGTTCTAGTGGTTATCTTTGTACCTATAAATTTTTCCAGTGTCCTCATCCTCCTTCTTATTTAATCATTCACTATTTAGTTTTTTTTGTTTTTTGTTTGTTTGTTTTTGTTTTATTTTGTTTTTGTTTTTTGAGACAGAGTCTCACTTTGTTGCCCAGGTTGGAGTGCAGTGGTGCGATGTTGGCTCACTGCAACCTCTGCTTCCTGGGTTCAAATGATTCTCCTGCCTCAGCCACCATAGTAGCTGGGATTACAGGCATGCACCACTATGCCTAGCTAATTTTTGTATTTTTAGTAGAGACAGGGTTTCAACATTTTGACCAGGCTGGTCTTGAACTCCTGACCTCAAATGATCCACCCACCTCGGCCTTCCAAAGTGCTGGGATTACAGGTGTGAGCCACTGTGCCCAGCCCATTCAGTATTTAGTTTCTCAGTTTTTATTGGTTTCTTTTAATTCTCATCTATTGCCTGTATGGTAATCAATAGGATCATTCTATTTTTCTTTTTCTCCCTTCCTTTTCCTCCCATTTTTAAAGTGCATTATTTCTGTTTTGTTATATATAACATTCAAACATTATTATTCCACCATTGACCCTGCCTTTGTTTTAAACTTAGATCAACAGTTACATATATATTTACTTATATAATCTATGCATATGTGATTCAATTAGCTTAAGTTCTATAGTCTTAGTTTGGAGCTCATCCCTCTAGGAGAATCTTCAAAAAGGGCTCAGGGGTGCAGAATTCCCTAAATTCTTATATGTTAAAACTTGCTAAAAATACTCAGTGGACAGCCTTGCTAGATATAAAGTTCTTTTATTGTTGTTGTTTTCTTTTCTTTTTTTCTTTTTTCTTTTGTTTTCTTTCTTTTTTTTTTTTTTTGAGGCAGAGTTTCACTCTGTCACCCAGGTTGGAATGCAGTGGCACTGCAGCCTTGACCTTCTGGGCTCAAGATATCCTTCCACCTCAGCCTACCAAGTGCCTGGGACTACAGGCACATCCCACCATGCCCGGCTAATTTTTGTAGTTTTTGTAGAGACAGGGTTTCACCATGTTGCCCACGTGGGTCTCGAACCCCTGAGCTGAAGCTATCCACCCTCCTTGGCCTCCCAAAGTACTGGGATTACAGGCATGAGCCAAGGCGCCCGGCCTAAAGTTCTTGATTCCCAAGTTCTTTCATTAAATTACAAAAAAAAAAATAAAATACTGCTCTATTGCCTTGCTTCATAACATTTTTTTGAAAAGTCTGATGCTTGTCTAATTATTTTGCCTTTGTAAATTACTTGATTTTTTTTTTTTTGGACTGGGGATTTTTATCTTTGTAATCTAATAATTTTGCTAGGTTTGTCTCAGAATTGATTGCTGTTTGTCAACCTGAAATATAATTTATACAAATAAGGATAAATGATTTATTCCTCCTTTTTTTAAAAAAAAATCCATTTATATATGCATATAGATATATGAGTTGTCAGGAATCCCAGCAAACTCCAAGACTGATAAGGATTTTTTTTTTTAATTACTGGAATTCATGGATCTTCATGAGTTATTTAGTCTCTACTGTTCTTTTATACAAACTACCTGGCATACATGATTCAAAACATACTAAAAGTCTAATGCTCTAAATTTTCCATTACTTCAAAATATCCTTAAAATTTAAAGGTTAGCTTTCAACATGAGTAAGTGCCTGCCTATAAAAGAGTTAAATTTCATGTTCTTTTTTTTTTCTTTTTTTTTTTCGTTGGAGGTGGGGTCTCACTCTGTCATCCAGGCTAAAGTACAGTGGCATGATGAGGGGTCACTGCAGCCTTAAACTCCTGGGCTCAAGCGATCCTCCAAATTTCGTGTTCTTTAGATCAAGGAAATTAAGGAACAGGTATTTCTATTAATATTTTGTAAGTGCCCAGGATTCTAAGAAATGTTACCTAACAATTTACATAAATAATATACTAATTTCCTACAATTTCTCTTACAAAATATTTTCCTTCCACACGTTGTAAAGTAAACATTTGTTGGACTGATTGTTACATGGCCCAGTGTTATGTGATCGTGTAATGAAAGACTCTTTCACATACACAAGGATAGAATTAAAACTTACCATGGAATCTGTAACTCTAAATTTCCTCTCTTCTGTGGTTTAAACATAATTATGTTGCATTTACATAGTTTTTTTTTTTCAGTTTTTACATTGGGTTTATTTGTTCTTTGTAAAAAGGAGAAAAAAAGTAAAGCTATGCTTGTTTGTATACAGAAGAGATTTAATCTCTCTGTGGCTGCCCAGATATGTCTTTTGCCACAGAACAAGTCTTCGTGACCTTTCAGGGTTTATGCAAAACATAAAATAGAATATGTGTTTTACATGTTTGTATCAACAAGAACATTTTTCTTTCCTCTCACATTTTCATTTTTGTTTTTCATCTGCATACTTTTAAAGCACGTAGATTTAACTGAGATGCAAAAGTGTCAAATGGAGAGTAATTATGTGAATCATTTAATCTTCCGAATCTTGGTTTTCTCATTTTAAAACAGGCTCTAGGGATTTTTAAATTTGAAGATTATGTGGGTTTTATTTTTCCACATTCTGTATCTCATCCAGCCAGTTGTGATATGCACGCATATTAATAGATGAAAGAATGGGCTTCTCAGTACTATTTACTGTGAGTGGGCTTCTCAGTACTATTTACTGTGAGAGCGCATACGTGTATATGTGTGTTCACAATAAAATAAAAAGCCTTTAAAATTTTTTTAATTTGTAAACTATACATAAGGGAAAGTGAATAATGAAAATTAACACATTAGTAAATTATTGGAAGGGAAACACTTATGTAACTGCCATCCAAGTCAAGAAATAGAATATGGTCATTATTATAAACCTCCCGGCTGCCCGTCCTCACAGCCCACTCAGTGCCACCTCTCTCTACTCTGGGGATATCTCTTTTTTTTTTGCCTTTTATGGTAATTAGGACCTTGCTTCTTTTTCATAATTTTATACTTGAGAATTCATCCCTATAAACTATAGCTTAGTTTTGTTTCTGTTTGGAGTGTATCTGAATGAAAGCATAGAGTGTTTTATCTGACATTTTGTTCTAAATTACGGGTTATTTTTACACTTAATTGTTTAGTTTAGTGAGTTTTCATAATTGTATACAGCCATATAACCAGCAGGCAAAAGTAATTATAAAACATGTCCTTCATCCAGGAAAGTTTACTCATGTTATGTTTCAACCAATTTTATTTCCATTACTATAGATTAGTATTGCATATCCTTGCATTGGAATTTCTGAGTCATCACAGAGTATGTGTTTAACTTTACTAGAAACTTCCAAATAGTACACAAAAGTGATTGTACGATTTTACACTCCTACCAGTGCCAATACTTAGTGTTGTCAGTCTTCTTTAAAAAATTTAGTCATTCTAATAGGGTGAAATGGTATGTCATTGTAGATTTCATTTTCATTTTTCTGATAACTAATGGTATTGAGTAACTTTCCATATCTTTATTACCAATTTGTATATATTGTTTTGTGGCCTGTTAAAGTCTTTTGCCCATTTTTAATTGGATTGTTTCTCTTTTGTTGAAGTCTATTACATATTTTGAACACATATGCATTATTAGATATATGTACTGTGGAGTAATTTTTCCCCAGTAAGCATTAAGACTTCCTTTTGAGCAGAAACCTTTAATATGAGGAAGGTCAATTTTTCGGTTGTCCTTTAAGGTTCATGGGATTCTGTACTGTCTGTGATCAAACTAGTTTTTAAGTATGGCATGAAAGGGGGTCAAAATTAATTGTTTCATACAGTATCCATTTGTCCCAGTACCATTTATTGAAAACACTATTTTTCATTTGATTAACTTGGTATCTCAGTTGAAATTCAACTGATTGTAAATGAATGGGTCTATTTCTGAACTAATTTAAGGAAAATGGAAATCTTAATGATATTGAGACTGCCAATCCATTAATGAGGTATATATTGCCATTTATTTGGGTCTTTCATTTCTCTCAGCAATACCTTGTAGTTGCAATGTAGAGCATTGCACATTTTCCATTATACTTTTTCTAGTTATCTACTTATTTGTGGTTTTGTGATTGATAATTATTTTTAATTTTTTTCCAGTTTTTTTTTTTACAAGTAATGGATACATAATTAATTTTTGAATATACCTTTGTATATTCAAATATACCTTTATGTATGCTGGCAAACTTGCTAACTTTATTTTTTCCAATTTTTTTTGTAGATACCATAGGGTTTTCTACATGTAGAAATACATAATCTGCAAATAATGACAGTTCACTTCCCCCCACAATCCTTATGTCTGTTATTTCTTTTTTGTGTGTGCTTTATTAGGCAGGCCAAGACCTCTGTTACAATCAAATGAGTGCAAACATATATGTTCTGTACCTAATCTTGGGGAGAAAGCATTCAATTTTTCACCATTAAGTGTGATGTTAGTGGTAGGTTTTTGTAGATGTTTTATCAGATTGAAAAAGTTTCCTTCTATTCCTAGTTTGCTGTGAGAGTTATATTTTAATAAAAATAGATTTTTGAATTTTATACGATGCTTTTTATCTATTGAGATGATCAGATGATTTTTCTTTTGTTCTATAAATAAATAAGGTGATTTTTCTTTTGTTCTATTAATAAAGTGACTCACCATGATTTGTTTTGGAAGGATGAGCCAAACTTCTATTCCTTGGATAAAATCACTCTGATCATATTGCATTACCTTTTTCATGCATTCTTGCGTTCATGTTGCTGATATTTTATATTTTGTGTTTATGTTCATGAGATATGTTGATTTGTAGTTTTCTTTCCTTGTAATGTCTTTGTCAAGTGTTAGTATCAGGTTTATGCAGGCCCTATAGGACAAGTTGAGAAATTATTTTTTCTCTTTGTTTTCTGATAGATTTCGTGTAGGATTATTTTTTCTTAAATATTGATATAATTCACTTAGCAGAATTATCTAAGTTGGAGTTTTTTTTATGAAAAGGATTCCTTTTTAATTGGTTTTTAAAATTACAAATTCAATTTATTTAAAGATATGGCACTATGTAGATTTTCAATTCCTTCTTGGGTCAGTTTTGGTAATTTGGAAATATGTTCATTTTATTTTATTTCTTAGCCTAAAATTATTGCAATATCCTTGTATTATTCATTTTATTATTCTTTTAATCTTTGTAGATTCTATAATGATAGTAGTTCTCATTTTTCTCTCTCTCCATCAGTCTCTTTTTTGGGAGGACCATGGTCCATTAAAAAAATAATCTGTGAGCTAATTATCTTTATATTTTCAATTGGTTTTTCAAACAAAAACAAAAACAAAGCAAAGACTATTCAATAGAGCTTATATGTTACCTACAAAGCCTACAATATTTACTATCTGGACCTTTACTGAAAAAGTTTGTCAACCTTTCTTTAGTGGTTTACCATTTTTATTCACCTTTTAAAAGAACCTACTTTTGACTTTATTTTCTCTATTTTTGTCTATTCCCTGTTTCATTAATATCTGCCTTTATTTTTAATTACTTTATTTATTGTACTTATTTGTGTTTAACTTTTGCTTCTTTTTCTAGCTTCTTAAGGTAAAAGCTGTGTTCATTGGTATTATAGGCCAATTCTTGTCTTATATAATTTTTTAAAGGTATACATTTTTCTTTAAGCACAGTTTTAGCCTCATCCCACAAACATAAGTTGTGATTTCATTTTTATTTAATTCAAAATAGTTTCTATTTTTTGTGTGATTTACCTTGGACCCAGGGATTATTTACAAGTGCTGCTTAATTTCTAAAACTGGTTATTTTCCAGATCCCATGTTGTTATTGATTTCTAGTTTAAAACCACAAGGTCAGGGATGATATTATATGTGATTTCAGTTCTTTCATATTAGGCTTTATGACTCAGCTGTCTGGTCTGTATTTGTCAATATTCCATTTGCACTGAGAGAAAACTGTGTATTCTGCAGTAGTTTTATGCAATGCTTTTAAAATGTTGATTAAGTGAAATTGGTTAAGTGTGTTTTTTCAGTCTTTTCTATCTTTATCATTTTTTAAATTTTATTTTATCAACTCCTGAGAAAGGGGTGTGAAAATTTTCAATCATGATTGTAGATTTGTTTATTTGTAGTTTTTTCTTCCTAGAGCTGTCCCTTGAACAACACAGGGGTTAGAGACGCTAACCCTCCATGCAGTCGAAAATCTGTGTATAACTTTTGGCTTCCCCAAAACTTAGCTACTAATAGCCTACTGTTGACCAGAAGCCTTACCAATAGCATAAACAATTAGCACATATTTTGTTGTTATATACTGATTTCTTACAATAATGTAAGCTAGAGAAAAGAAAATGTTATTAAGAAAATTCTAAGGAAGAGAAAATATAATTACTATTCATTAAGTGGAAGTGAATCTTCATAAAGATCTTCATCTTGGTCATCTTCACGTTGAACAGGCTGAGGAGGAGGAGGAAGAAGAGGCGTTGGCCTTGCTGTCTCAGGGGTGGCAGAGATGGAAGGAAACCCACATGTTAAGTGGTCCCACACAGCTCAAACCCATGTTATTCAAGGGTCAACTGTATTTATAATTCTCTTCATTGACAGTGAGAAACTGACCTCCGTCCTTACTTATTTGATCAATTTCCCTGTATGTAACCAAGCTTTCATAATCATCCCCATCTCCTCCCCTTTGCAGATGCTCTCTTCACCCTGTGCTTGTTCTGATTTACCATGCTGGATTACCCAGCCTCCAAAATGTTCTCTTCACCCCATTCAGGCTCTAGTTCCCCATGTTAGGCCACCTTCCCCTAGTATGTCTGCCCTCCTCACCCTGCTCAGCTTTTGATCTCCTGTCATGCTGCTCTACTATATTGGCACTTTCTTTCACACTTTTCAGTCTCTGTCCCCACATACCAGGCTAATTCTCAGTGGGGATATTCCCCTTATTCTGCTAGGGTTCTGACTTCCCGCGTTGGGTTGCACCACTAAAGATTGCTTCAATCACTCTATTTAGGTTCTAATATCTTGTGACTGTTTCCCCCTACACTTAGAGAGATTCTCTCTTCATCCTTCTTGTGCTCTAACACTCCATGGTGGACCATTAAAACAACCTTGTTGGCTCACCTGCTAATTGAGGCCATATATATGAACAAATGTGAACAGTTTGTGTCCATATTGTAGGCATGGTTAAGATCATAGAGTTTCTTTCTGGCAATATCATGGATGACTACTTTGTTCTGCCACACACAATGGTTTTGTGTGCTCCACTTACTGGCTTTAGGGCTAAGGCAAGGGGAAGAGGATTTACTATCCCTTTTGAAGGATGTTTTCACTGGATACAGAAGTCTAGGTTGACAGTTCTTTTCCTTCTAGCATTTTATAAATGCCATTCTATTGTCTTCTTGCCCTCACTGTTTCTTATGAGAAGTCAGAATTTAATCGTATCATAATTCCCCATACCTACTGTGCTATATATACTGTTCCCTCACATTTAGATGTTGAAACTTAATCCCCATTGTGAGAAAATTTAGAGCTGAGACTTTTGGGAAGTGATTAGGACGTGAGGGTAGAGGCCTCATAAATGAAATTAATGCCCTTTTAAAAGAGTCCCCGGAGAGCTCCTTTGCCCCTTCTACCATGTGAAGTTAAGGTGAAAATATGGCTGTCTGAGAACCAGTAAACAGGCTCTCACTAGACACTGAATCTGCCTGCCTTTATCTTTGACTTCCCAGCCTCCAGAACTGTGAGAAATAAATGTGTGTTGTTTACAAGCCACCCAGCATATGGCATTCTGTTATTGCAGCCTGAAGGGACTAAGACGTATGCATTTTTTTTCTTTGGTTGCTTTTAAGATTGGCTTTTTACCTTTGGGTTTCAGCCATTTGATTATGATGTGTGTAGGTGTGGTTTTTACTTTCATTTATATTGTGGCTTTTACTTTTATTTAGGGTTCGCTGAGCTTCTTGGACCTATGGATTAATGTCTGCCATCAATTTGGGGGAAGATTGTGATTATCGCCTTCACAAATATTCTTTGGTCCCATTCTCTCTCTGTCTTCTTCTTGGTATTCCAATCATGCATATGTTGTTTCATTTAATAATATTTCACAGACATTGAACTCTGTCACTTCTTCTTCAAAGAGAAAAGGTCAGGCTTTTCTCTTTGTTTTTCTGTTTGGATATATTTTACTGCCTTGAATTTACAGATCCCTTTCTCTTCTGTGTCTAGTTTGCTGTTAAGCCCATCTAATGAATTCTTCATTTCTAATACTGTAGTTTTCAAATATAGCATTTCCATTTTATATACATATATAAAGTATGTGTATACATGCATATTTATATACACACACATATATATATACACACACATACATACATATTTATAAATAATGGAAATGCTATATTTCTCCTTTGCCTACAGAGGAGATAACCACAAATTGGTCATTAAAGGGAACAGATTAAACATATATTCTGCCTTTATGGAGAAACTGTAATTGAGCTCTAGTTAATGAAAGAAAAGCTCTTTTTCATAGAATAATGTCAAGTAACAAATTGAGAAAATGAACAGAATTAGAAAAATCACTATTTTACAATTCCCAATAAAATAATTATTTTAGGCAAGGATAATTAATGAATGCTAAAACTTAAAATAGGGAATGATTGTTGGAACAGAACTTTCTCAGGGAGACATAATATGACCCCACAGATTGTTATACAATGAAAAGAAAAAATGGCATCTTTAAAATGGAAAGGTCTGGTGGTCACCAGCGTAATTAAAGGACCAAACTCAGCATTGCTGAAAGTTGGACAACTAGATATTTTGTGCCTCTCGATGTGTTTCAATGCATGGGATATAATTGGCTCTCACTTAATATTTATTGTTTGATCTCATTCTTTTTTATGGCTGTGTAGTACTCCATGGTTTGTATGTACATTTTCTTTATCCAGTCTACCATTGATGGGCATTTAGGTTGATTTTATGTCTTTGCTACTGTGAATTTTGCTGCAGTAAACATATACCTGCATGTATGTTTATGGTAGAATGATTTATATTCCTTTGGGTTTATACCTAATAATGGGATTGCTGGGTTAAATGTTAGTTGTTTTAAGTTCTTTGAGAAATCTCCGAACTGCTTTTCACAGTGGCTGAACTAATTTGCATTCCTACCAGCAGTGTACAAGCTTTCCCTTTTCTCCACAACCTTGCCAGCATCTGTTATTTTTTGACTTTTTCATAATAGCCATTCCGACTCATGTGAGATAGTATCTTCTTGTGGTTTTGATTTGCAGTTCTCTAATGATCAGTGATGTTGAACATTTTTTAATATGCTTGCTGGCCACGTGTATGTCTTCTTTTGAGAAGTATCTGTTCATGTGCTTTGACCACTTTTCAATGGGGTTATTCAGCTTTTGCTTGTTAATTTAAGTTTCTTATAGATTGTGGATATTAGACTTTTGTCAGATGCATAGTTTGCATATATTTTCTCCCATTCTGTGGGTTTATCTGTTTACTGTGTGGATAGTTTCTTTTGCTGTGCAGAAGCTCTCTTCAGTTCAATTAAGTCTAATTTGTCCATTTTTATTCTGTTGTAATTGTTTTTGCAACAACATGCATAGAGCTGGAGAACATTATCCTAAGCAAATTAATGCAGGGATAGAAAACCAAATACCGCATGTTCTCACTTATCAGTGGGAAGCAAACACTGAGTACACATGGACACAAAGAGGGAAACAATAGACTCCAGGGCCTACTTGAAGATGGAGGGTGGGAGGAGGGTGAGGATCGAAAAACTACCTATCAGGTACCATGCTTATTATCTGGGTAACAAAATAATCTGTACACCAAACCCCCGCGACACGTAATTTACCTATTTAACAAACCTGCACATGTACCCCCAAAACTAAAAAGTTGAAAAAAGGAGAAACATATTTACTATATGATAATTTTTCTGACAAAAAAGATTTCTAGAGTCTTTCTAATCATATTGTTTATACCAACTATGAAAGCATAGGCTATCCTCCTGCTTTCCAAAGGCTAAAGAATTTCTGACATACTTATCCCAAGACTGCCACATTCACATCTTTTCTCCAAATTTGTTGTCCCATAGCCTCTTTGGAATAACACATAGAGGTAGAAACGTAAAAACCTTAAGGATTTTTTTAAAGGTAAAATTCTCTTCTAATCTGTTTTTCCCAGGGATGATCATTTTAATTCTGACATACATTTATGTTTCCCATTTTACTGAATTGCCAACTTGGTTTCAAAACTTGTAGATGACAGTCGCATCCTTTAATGTTGTGGTTTAAGAACGTCATGTTCTTTTAAGCAAACCACACTTAGTTTGAGCCACTGTCATACAATGGTATTTATCAGTGTAATTTTCACCAAATACTGTGAAGTTTTTAGAAAACATGCAAAATTATGATTTCAAAATAGATATGTTGATATTGCCAGAAAGAAACCCTACAACCTTGCCTGTGCCCACAGTATGGGCACAAACTGTTCACATTTGTTCATATATATGGCCTCAATGGGCAGGCGAGCCAGCAAAACTTCATAGCAGTCCTGGAAAATGTTAACATAACAAGAGCCTGAGAAACGTAGCAAACAGCTGCATCTTTTTGGTTTGTTTATTTTTTTTTAAATAACCAAAAGCACGTACATGTATTCATCTTTCTAGAGCTGTTATTTTGCCAGCCAGGCAGTTTGATTTCTGAGATAAAACTGAAGATCTTGAAAGCATGTAATTCAGTTTTGTTTTTATAATGTCAAGAAATTAATTTAGGATTCTATTGCTATGCAAAATGAGAAGAGCTACCATACTGCTGGAAATGAATTCAGAGCAAGATGCTAATCAAATTAAAGAACTATATAAGGGGTAGACCTGTTGAAAATGGAGAGTGGTATAAATTAACACCACCTATAAGCCCATCAGTGTGTATGCAGAAAGCAATGAAGTTGTCAAGAAATTCTGAGAAAATACACTTTCCACTTAGAGACAACTTCAAATGAAAACTTTACTGCTCCGATTTAGAATTTGAACGTGTATTTTGCAAGTATGAGGTTTAAGGAGGAGTGTACTTGTGTTGGGAGAGATTTTTGATGCAATGAAAAAGAGTAAGCAAAGGCTGTCTTGTTTCAGATCCATTTCATCAGTATTCACTGGTGTGGTAGCCTGCTGGGAGTGTGGTGGGAAATACAGAATTCCTGCTGTCATGGAGATTACATGGTAATTGGGGAGATAAGAAGCACACAACACAAGACTACAAGGCAAAGTAATGTGGTATGAGGGGCAGGAAAAGGGAGTGCAAAATTAAAAAGAAGCTTAAAGGAGGAAGATGCCAGAGAATTTGCGAAAGAGGTTTTGTTGTAGACCTTAAGTGATGGATTACTATGTAAAATACGGAGATGGCTGGGAAACAGCAATAGTTGAAAGTGCATAACGGGGAGAAGCTCTGTGGCCTGTGAGTAAACTGGTGTCTTCTGTCTGTGTTCATGTGAAACTCCACGCTCACATCTATTGCAGCATTTATTACAGATTATAATGGTCTGTTTATCACCCTCACAAGACTGTAGTTTCCCAATGGTCCATTAAAATACAGTCAGTCCTCATTATTTGCAAATTCTGAATTGATGAATTCATACAGTCTCTAAACTTTATTTATAACCCCCAAATCAGTAGTCACATCACTTGCGCTGTCATTCCTGGACACGTGCAGAGCAGGGACACATTTTGAGTCACCTGGTGCATATGTTTTCTGCTGAGGTCCAAAAAGGTGACATTCTGACTTTTCGTTCCAGCTCTCACACTGTGAACAGCTTGTCCATTTGGCAATCTGTTTAGTGCCACGTTTTTCACAGTCTGTGCTCTGGGATGGTGATTTTGCTGTTTTAATATGGTCCCTAAACATAGTGCTGAAGTGCCGCCCAGTGTTCCTAAGTGCAGGACGGCGGCGATGTTCCTTTTGGAAAAAAATCTGTGTATTCCCTAAACGCCATTCAGGCACAAGTTACAGAGCTACTGGCCATAAGTCCAATATTCATGATTCAACAATCTATATTTAATAAGGTGTCTTTAAAGAGAAATACACGTGAAACAACGTTATATATTGATTGGTTGATGAAAACATTCTGACTAGAGGCTCACGGGAACCCACTTTATATATACCCTAGGAAGGGTAGTTCACTATTTGTTCATCAAAGGTTTGCACTGACTTGATAGAACATAACTTCCCCTGATGAGAATTGACTGTATCTGTTTTTTTGTTTGTTTGTTTGTTTTTTGTTTTTTTGAGACAGGGTCTGGCTCTGTCATCCAGGCTAGAGTGCAGTGGCGCAATCTGGGCTCACTGCAACTTCCACTTCCTGGGCTCAAGTCATCCTCCTACCTCAGCCTCCCAAGTAGCTGAGATTAGAGTCGTGCACCACCATGCCTGGCTAATTTTTTTTTGTATTTTTTGTAGAGACAGGATCCTTTGTTGCCTGGGCTAGTCTTGAACTCTTGAGCTCATGCGATCCACCCACCTTGGCCTCCCAAAGTGTTAGGATTACAGGCGTGAGCCACCGTGCCTGACCCAAGTGTATCTGTTATTTCTGTATGCCTAGTACTTAGTGTTTAGTAGATAGCCAAGGAGTATTATGAGAAATTCCAGCCCCCTAAAAAATTTAAATACCGAGCTCTGGAATTGCAGGTTTAATACCATGAAGGCAACGGGAAGCCATTGGAGACTTTTTTCCCTAGGAGTGATCTTTGGGTTGAGAATCGTTTAACAAGCGCTGATCAAATGTGCTAGCTAGTGTCATGAACAGAATGAATATCCCTGGCATCCTGATCTCAAGGAGCTATTGCAGAAATTCTAAAAGTGTCTTTAGGAAAATTAATTTTGCTGGGATTTATAAGATGGATTGAAATTGAGAAAAACTGAGGACAGAAAACCAAGTTATTCCCTCACACAACGATCCTGATATGAAATGGTAAAGACTGGGATTTGGGTGCTAAAATAGAAAACAGGGAAATGGGCAGATACTTGAGTCATTGTGAAGTAAAATTTAGCAATAAATGACTTCATGCAGAGGATGAGGGAGATGGAAAGGATAAAGTTAAATTCTAACTTACTACTCCTGACTTTGTTAGTTCCTATGGTTGCAAATGTTTTTCAATCATGTTCTTGTCATAGGAAGTTATCATTCCGTAGTGTTCTGAGTCTTTTTTTTTTTTTTTTTTTTTTTTTCAAATGAAGACTCACTTTGTCGCCCAAGCTGGAGTGCAGTGGTGCAATCTCGACTCACTGCAACCTCCACCTCCTGGGTTCAAGCGACTCTCCTGCCTCAGCCTCCTGAGTAGCTGGGACTACAGGCGCGTGCCACCAAGCCTGACTAATTTTTGTATATTTAGTAGAGACAGGATTTAGCCACATTGGCCAGGCTGGTCTTGAACTCCTGACCTCAAGTGATCTGCCTGCCTTCGCCTCTCAAAGTGTTGGGATTACAGGTGTGAGTCACTGGGCCCCGCCCCTGAGTCTTCTTTTAAGACACCAGTAATGAGATCAAAATCCTCACTCATTATAGCTAAGTAGCTGATGAATTGCCTAAGGTTTGGGGTGAAAATGGTAAATGATAGATCTAATTTTACAATTATAGTGAATTTTTATAGTTAATTGTGAAATTTTGTCTATAACTTGTTTTAAAGTTAATTGTGAAATTTTGTCCAGGATTGAATGTTCCTTTTTTTAAATTGCAAATTTGTGCCATCCAAATGACTTCCACTGCAATGACAAGTTATTTCTGTCCAGCAATATACAGTTAAATATCACTAATGCCAAATTTGCTGCGAAATTTTCAAGAAGATAGGGCAGGCCATTATTCACTGTTGTTCATTGTGAAATTTTATGTGAAAAAAATAGAGGCTCAGAGATTGGCGTTAGTTATATTTTAAGTAGCATATGGAAGGCAGTATGACTTTTCAATTTAAATTTGAAAAGCAAATCCTTCATTGTGAAGTGCTAGTATGTTTCTTTAGAGTTTCCATTAATTGAGAAATAAAACTGTTTTCTCTCAGCATGGTATGAAAGTTTTAGGTTTGAAAACCTACTTACTTAAGCTTTGCTTTAAAATAATTTTTACGTGTATTTTTTCTTATTAGAAGTCCTTTTTAAGACAGTTTTTATCTTACTATCGGCTATTTACATCACCAGTTTTTTTCAATGCTCTTTTTCAGCGTCACCAATTTTATAAAGTTATGCAAAACTGATCTCCTACTTGAAAACTTTGGAATAATACATTTTTCCCCCCTGGTAAACTCATCTAAGATAATCAAGACATCTAGATGTTTTTACGTCAATTTTCAAGGAAGAATTTGAATGGCATTTTAAGCTAGTATTTATTCTATCTGTGGCTCAATACTACATGTGTTTAATTCAACTTGAGATTAAAAATCAAAGGAATTTTGATGCCCTTTATCTTTTTTCATCTGCTTTGAGTTTAATATACCTTTCCGAAACAAAGCCATGTTTGTAAAGGTTATTAAGTTTTGTTTGGCCTTCTTCTCCGCTGTGAGTACCCAATGGACCTTACTGCGAGGTTATGCTCCTGGACTGATTGATATATAAACAGAAGACAGATGGTGGAGAGATGGCTCTGATGATAATTCATTTTTCAGCTAGTCATGAAGCTATTTTGATTACAGTGTCTTTAAGTAATTATAACACAGTCTGCAATGTTAGTCTTGCTGGGAAGGGTGCACATGGAAAACAAGTTACCTGTTATTCATGCCCAACAAAGGATGCACTGTGGTGTAATGATTTTAATTCCTAATGCTAGATTAGGACTGAAAGCATTTAAAATATGTCATACGGTAAGGTAAGTCAATTAAACATAGACCAAATAAAAAAGGTAACTGCACAGTTTTGAGGCATAAATATTTGTTTTGGAAAGTATTTAAATGTTACTATATGAAAGAAACCCGTATTTTTACATTTAGGTAACAGGTCTGTGTACAGCTAATTAAAAAATTACATGGCTTGATTTTCAGTTTATGTGAATCGTAATCATCAAGCAGCTTGTTTTCTGTGTCATGGATTTAAAACTGAAATCAGAGGGCTGACAATTCAACAGCATGTTATCTCCCTACTGTTGATGAAGTTTTGCAAAAAAAAAAAAAATTCTAAGCAAAATATCAAAAGGAGAAAAAATAATTAAATAAGTGGGTCATTAAAATGTTTGTCTTCACATACTAATGACAGTTTATATCATGATTTTGGGTTCCACGATAGGATAATTGATCGCTTAGATGGAGTTCGTTTGTTGTGGTCCCTGCTGAAAAATCCTCACCCAGACGTGAAGGCCAGCGCAGCATGGGCACTCTGTCCATGCATCAAAAATGCAAAGGTAAGAACGGACTGCAAGTCAGTCTCTTCTAGAATCTCTAATACTATACTGAAAAATGCCACCACAGGTTACTAATTGCTTTTGACTTATTGTAAGTCAGATTTATCTGGTGGGAGAGGGTTGCACAATGTTTATGCCAAAATAATTTCGGAGCATTGCTTTTTTTCTGGTCAGTTTTAAAATGCAAAGCAAAACTAGCCAAAGATGTCAGTGCTTGCCAAATTCTAGCTGATTGGTGCAATGGAAGCAAGCATCCCAGGTAAATCAGAGTGAGGACAAGTTGACTGTTCTTGTCTCTTGAGGGATAAGAAATTTGTCTGCATTTACCTGCTATCCAGAGAGAGTGCAGCCATGGGGGAGACATGACTGCTTCTATTGTCCTTACAGCCTGCAGTGAGAGAGCACTACGTTCTGTGTTGCTTTGAAAAGGTCACATGATTTCAATGACTCTCACTTTTCTTATCTGTCACTAAAAACAGGAGACCAGAAGTTTCTGAAATCGATTTTAGCCCTTGATTTGTAAATTTTGTTATTTTCTTTGAAGATCACTTTTGAGCCTATTTCTCTTAACATTTTTTCTATAGGTTTAGAGATTGCCCTTTAAGATCCTTGTTGCTGAAGTTATTTCTGCCTGTTGAATTTTTTTTTAAATTATACTCTAAGTTCTGGGATACATGTGCAGAACGTGCAGGTTTGTTACATAGGTATACACATGCCATGGTGGCTTGCTCCACCCATCAACCCGTCATCTACATTAGGTATTTCTCCTAATGCTATTCCTCCCCTAGTCCCGCACCCCCTGACAGGCCCCGATGTGTGATGTTCCCCTCCCTGTGTCCATGTGTTCTCATTGTTCAACTCCCGCTTATGAATGAGAACATGCGGTGTTTGGTTTTTTGTTCCTGTATTAGTTTGCTGAGAATGATGGTTTCCAGCTTCATCCATGTCCCTGCAAAGGACATGAACTCATTCGTTTTTATGGCTGCATAGTATTCCATGGTGTATAAATGCCACCTTTTCTTTATCCAGTCTATCATTGATGGGTGTTTTGGTTGGTTCCAAGTCTTTGCTATTGTGAATAGTGCTGCAATAAACATATACGTGTGCATGTGTCTTTATAGTAGAATGATTTATAATCCTTTGGGTATATACCCAATAATGGGATTGGCAGGTAAAATGGTATTCGTGGTTCTAGATCCTTGAGGAACCGCCACACTGTCTTCCACAATGGTAGAACTAATTTACACTCCCACCAACAGTGTAAAAGCATTCCTATTTCTCCACATCCTCTCCAGCATCTGTTGTTTCCTGACTTTTTAGTGATTGCCATTCTAACTGGTGTGAGATGGTGTCTCATTGTGGTTTTGATTTGCATGTCTCTAATGACCAGTGATGATGAGCTTTTTTTCATACGTTTGTTGGTCGCATAAATGTCTTCTTTTGAGAAGTGTCTTTTCATATCTTTTGCCCACTTTTTGATGGAGTTGTTTTTTCTTATAAATTTGTTTAAGTCCCTTGTAGATTCTGGATATCAGCCCTTTGTCAGATTGATAGATTGCAAAAATTTTTCCCATTCTGTAGGTTGCCTGTTCACTCTGATGATAGTTTCTTTTGCTGTGCAGAGCTTTTTAGTTTAATTCAATCCCATTTGTCAATTCTGGCTTTTGTTGCCATTGCTTTTGGTGTTTTAGTCATGAAATCTTAGCCCATTCCTATGTCCTGAATGGTATTGCCTACGTTTTCTTCCAGGGTTTTTATGGTTTTAGGTCTTACATTTAAGTCTTTAATCCATCTTGAGTTAATTTTTGTATAAGGTGTAAGGAAGAGGTCCAGTTTCAGTTTTCTGCATATAGCTAGCCAGTTTTCCCAACACCACTTATTAAATAGGGAATCCTTTCCCCATTGCTTGTTTTTGTCAGGTTTGTCAAAGATCAGATGGTTGTAGATGTGTGGCATTATTTCTGAGGCCTCTGTTCTGTTCCATTGGTCTATATATCTGTTTTGGTACCAGTACCATGCTGTTTTAGTTACTGTAGCCTTGTAGTATAGTTTGAAGTCAGGTAGTGTGATGCCTCCAGCCTTGTTCTTTTTGCTTAAGATTGTCTTGGCTATACAGGCTCTTTTTTGGTTCCATATGAAATTTAAAGTAGTTTTTTGTAATTCTGTGAAGAATGCCAGTGGTAGCTTGATAGGGATAGCATTTAATCTATAAATTACTTTGGGCAGTATGGCCATTTTCATGATATTGTTTCTTCCTATCCATGGGCATGGAATATTTTTCCATTTGTTTGTGTCCTCTCTTATTTCCTTGAGCAGTGGTTTGTAGTTCTCCTTGAAGAGGTCCTTCACATCCCTTGTAAGTTGTATTCCTAGGTATTTTTTTTCACCCACAAAAAAGGATTTATTTACAGTGTAAAATTTATCATACATTTCTTTTTTTTGAACTGAAAATAACCTCGAGATTTTATTGTCTTCATAATAAAACAAAAGATGAAATTTAGAACTGAATCACTTGGCCCTTTCTCTTCTTATCTCCTCCTAGTTCAAAATGCTTGCATGTCCTCATATCCAGCATCGTCTTAGATCTGCAGCTGGGCTCAGCGCTCAAGCCTCAGCACCATCTCCTTTGTAGTTTTAGCCTTTTTATTGGAAAATTGGCTTACTTACAGAAATCAATGGCCTTGATAAACACAAACAATATTTATGTTAAAGGACTTAAGAAAAACCCATGTATAATAGCAACAAAGAAGCATCCCTTTTGTGTTTTGAGTGGGAAGACATCCCTTGTTTTTGGCTATCACAGCTCATCATCAAGATGCCCATTCCCTCCAAGTTGATTTATAAATTGAATGCCATTCCCATAAAAATGCCAACAAGCTTTGTTTCATGGAGTTGGTAAGTTGATACTAAAGCTTCTATGGAAAATAAACATGTCGGAATAGCCAGGGAAAAACTGGCACAAAATGGGCTAGCCCTATGGGCTATTAAAACAAACCATAAAGCCTCTGTATTTAGAACAGTGTGGCATTGGCCATGTGAACAGGCAGACAGACCAATGGAATAGGATAGAAAGTACAGAATAGACCTAAGTACAAATGGGAATTTAGTATATGATAAAAGTGGCAAGTCAAATCTCAGAGGCAGTGATGGACTTTTTATATTTATTTATTTATATTTTTTATTTATTGAGATGGAGTCTCGCTCTGTCGCCCAGGTTGGAGTGCAGTGGCGTGATCTCAGCTCACTGTAACCTCCACCTGCTGGGCTTAAGCAATTCTCATGCCTCAGCCTCCTGAGTACTCAGCCCAAGATTCCCGCTCTGCTTCCTGCCATGACGCCATGTTCCCCGCGCATACACAGCATCCTTGCCTTTCTTGTCCTGTGCCACTTTGTGGGGTTGGTGCTTGCCACACTTCTTACAGAAAGTCTGGAAGGCTTTAGGAATGTGCACCACATTGCAGGAGCCCTATCACGTGGAAAGCTATTGTTAATTTCTAAGTCATTTATGCTTACAGAGCTGATAGGAGCTAAACTAAGGTGTGGGTCATTCTGTATGAGGGAACAGTTTGGGGAGTAGTCAACATAGTGGTCAGAAGAGTTTTTTAAAACTCCAAACCTCAGATTGTTGTCTGCATATACCCTTTTTGGCAACAGGTAGTCCTTATTTGGAGAAAACATAGATTGTATTATCTTGAGAAGGTCTAAAGGGAACCCCAGAGGGGAGGAAGAGGAGATACAGGAAGTCTTTCTGGTTGGGACAGTGGTCTCCCTGGTTGGTGGACACCCTTGTCTTGGTGTGACCATAGAACTCATGGAAATGACAGGCAGCCTGTGACACCAGCTTTTCAGAGGAGAAGGGTTTCTTGCATGTATTGGTGGGGCCTCAGCTGTATCTAATAGGAGGTACCGCACTGGAGGCCTCAGATGGCCCTATTCCTAGGTATTTTATTCTCTTTGTAGCAATTGTGAATGAGAGTTCACTCATGATTTGGCTCTCTCTTTGTCTATTATTGGTGTATAGGAATGCTTATGACTTTTGCACATTGATTTTGTATCCTGAGACTTTGCTGAAGTTGGTTATCAGCTTAAGGAGATTTTCGGCTGAGACGATGGGTTTTCTAAATATACAATCATGCCATCTGCAAACAAAGACAATTTGACTTCCTCTCTTCCTATTTGAATACTCTTTATTGCTTTCTCTTGCCTGATTGCCCCGGCCAGAACTTCCAATACTATATTGAATAGCAGTGGTGAGAGAGGGCATCCTTGTCTTGTGCTGGTTTTCAAAGGGAATGCTTACAGCTTTTGCCCATTCAGTATGATATTGGCTGTGGGTTTGTCATAAACAGTTCTTATTATTTTGAGATACATTCCATCAATAATTAGTTTATTGAGAGTTTTTAGCATGAATGAGTGTTGAATTTTATGGAAGGCCTTTTCTGCATCTATTGAGATAATCATGTGGTTTTTGTCACTGGTTCTGTTTATGTGATGGATTACGTTTATTGATTTGCATATGTTGAACCAGCCTTGCATCCCAGGGATGAAGCTGACTTGATCGTGTTGGGTAAGCTTTTTGATGTGCTGCTGGATTCGGTTTGCCAGTATTTTATTGAGGATTTTCGCATCGATGTTCATCAGGGACATTGGCTTGACATTTTCTTTTTTTTGTTGTGTCTCTGCCAGGTTTTGGTATGGGGATGATGCTGGTCTCATAAAATGAGTAAGGGAGGAGTCCCTCTTTTTCTGTTGCTTGGAATGGTTTCAGAAGGAATGGTCCCAGCTCCTCTTTGTACCTCTGGTAGAATTCTGCTGTGAGTCCATCTGATCCTGGGCTTTTTTTGGTTGGTGGGCTATTAATTACTGCCTCAATTTCAGAACTTGTTATTGGTCTATTCAGTGATTTGATTTCTTCCTGGTTTAGACTTGGGAGGGTGTATGTGTCCAGGAATTTATCCATTTCTTCTCGATTTTCTAGTTTATTTGTGTAAAGGTTTTTATAGCATTCTCTGATGGTAGTTTGTATTTCTGTGGGATCAGTGGTGATCTCCCCTGTATCATTTTTTATTGTGTCTATTTGATTCTTCTCTCTTTTCTTTTTTATTAGTCTTGCTAGCAGTCTATTTATTTTGTTAATGTTTTCAAAAAACCAGCTCCTGGATTCATTGATTTTTTGAAGAGTTTTTCCTGTCTCTATCACCTTCAGTTCTGCTCTGATCTTAGTTATTTCTTGTCTTCTGCTAGCTTTTGAGTTTATTTGCTCTTGCTTATCTAGTTCTTATAATTGTGATGTTAGGGTGTCGATTTTAGATCTTTTCTTGTGGGCATTTAGTGCTATAAATTTCCCTCTAAACACTGCTTTAGCTATTTCCCATAGATTCTGGTACGCTGTGTCATTGTTCTCATCGATTTCAAAGAACTTATTTATTTCTGCCTTAATTTCGTTATTTACCCAGTAGTCATTCAGGAGCAGGTTGTTCAGTTTCCATTTAGTTGTGTGGTTTTGAGAGAGTTTCTTAATCCTGAGTTCCAATTTGATTGCACTGTGGTCCGAGAGACTGTTTGTTATCATTTCTGTTCTTTTGCATTTGCTAGGGAGTGTTTTACTTCCAATTCTGTGGTCAATTTTAGAATAAGTGTGATGTGGTGCTGAGAAGAATGTATATTCTGTTGATCTGGGGTGGAGAGTTATGTAGATGTCTATTAGGTTCGCTTGTTCCAGAGCTGAGTTCAAGTCCCGAATATCCTTGTTAATTTTCTGTCTCGTTGATCTAATACTGACAGTGGGTGTTAAAGTCTCCCAGTATTATTATGTTGGAGTATAAGTCTCTTTGTAGGTCTCCAAGAATTGTTTTATGAATCTGGGTGCTCCTGTACTGGGTGCATATATATTTAGGTCAGTTAGCTCTTCTTGTTGCATTGATCCCTTTACCATTATGCAATGCCCTTTTTTGTCTTTTTTGATCTTTGTTGGTTTAAAGTCTGTTTTATCAGAGACTAGGATTGCAACCCCTGCTTTTTTTGCTTTCCATTTGCTTGGTAAAGATTCCTCTATTCCTTTATTTTGAGCCTATGTCTGTCTTTGCACGTAAGATGGGTCTCCTGAATACAGCACACCGGTGGGTCTTGATCTTTATCCAATTTGCCAATCTATGTCTTTTAATTGGGGCATTTAGCCCATTTACATTTAAGGTTAATATTATTATGTGTGAATTTGATCCTGTGATTTTGATGCTAGCTGGTTATTTTGCCCATTAGTTGATATAGTTTCTTCATAGTGTTGATGGTCTTTACAATTTGGTATGTTTTTGCAGTGGCTGGTCCCGGTTTTTCCTTTCCAAATTTAGTGCTTCCTTCAGGAGCTCTCATAAGGCAGTCCTAGTGGTGACAAAATCTCACAGCATTTGATTGTCTGTAAAGGATTTTATTTCTCCTTCGCTTATGAAGCTTAGTTTGGCTGGATATGAAACTCTGGGTTGAAAATTCTTTTCTTTAAGAATGTTGAATATTGGCCCCCACTCTCTTTTGGCTTGTAGAGTTTTTGCAGAGAGATCCACTGTTAGTCTGATGGGCTTCCCTTTGTGGGTAACCCAACATTTCTCTCTGGCTGCCTTAAGATTTTTTCCTCCATTTCAATCTTGCTGAATCTGATGATTATGTGTCTTGGGGTTGTTCTTCTCGAGGAGTATCTTTGTGGTGTTCTCTGTATTTCCTGAATTTGAATGTTGGCCTGTCTTGCTAGGTTGGGGAAGTTCTGCTGGATAATATCCTGCAGAGTGTTTTCCAAGTTGGTTCCATTCTCCCTGTCACTTTCAGGTACACCAATCAAAAGTAGGTTTGGTCTTTTCACATAGTCCCATATTTCTTGGAGGCTTCATTCGTTCCTTTTCATTCTTTTTTCTCTAATCTTGTCTTCATGCTTTATTTCACTAAGATGACCTTCAATATCTGATAACCTTTCTTCCGCCTGATCGATTCAGCTATTGGTACTTGTGTATGCTTCACGAAGTTCTTTTGCCGTGTTTTTCAGCTCCATCAGGTCATTTCTGTTCTTCTCTAAAGTGATTATTCTAGTTAGCAATTTCTCTAACCTGTTTTTCAAGGTTCTTTGCTTCCTTGCCTTGGGTTAGAACATGCTCCTTTAGCTCAGACGAGTTTGTTATTACTCACCTTCTGAAGCCTACTTCTGTCAATTCGTCAAACTCATTCTTCCAGTTTTGTTCCTTTGCTGGTGAGGAGTTATGATCCTTTGGAGAAGAGATGTTCTGGTTTTTGGAATTTTCAGCCTTTTTGTGCTGGTTTTTCCCCATCTTTGTGGATTTATCTACCTTTGGTCTTTGAGGTTGGTGACCTTCAGATGGGGATTTTTTGTGGACGTCCTTTTTGTTGATGTTGATGCTATTCCTTTCTGTTTGTTAGTTTTCCTTCTAACAGTCAGGACTCTCTGCTGCAGGTCTGCTGGAGTTTGCTGGAGTCCCACTCCAGATCCTGTTTGCCTGGGTATCATGAGCGGAGGCTGCAGAACAGCAAAGATTGCTGCCTGTTCCTTCCTCTGGAAGCTTTGTCCTAGAGGGGCACCTGCCAAATGCCAGCCAGAGCTCTCCTATATAAGGTGTCTGTCCACCCCTGCTGGGAGGTGTCTCCCAGTCAGGAGGCACTGGGGTCAGAGACCGACTTGAGGAGGCAGTCTGTCCCTTAGCAGAGCTTGAGTGCTGTGCTGAGAGATCCACTGCTCTCTTCAGAGCCAGCAGACAGGAATGTTTAAGTTAGATGAAGCTGTGCCCACTGCCACCCCTTCCCCCAGGTGTTCTGTCCCAGGGAGATGGGAGTTTTATGTATAAGCTCCTGACTGGAGCTGCTTCCTTTCTTTCAGAGATGCCCTGCCCAGAGAGGAGGAATCTAGAGAGGCAGTCTGTCTACAGTGGCTTTGCGGAGCTGTGGTGGGCTCCGCCCAGTTCGAACTTCCTGGAGGCTTTGTTTACACTGTGAGGGGAAAACCACCTACTCAAGCCTCAGTAATGGCAGACTCCCCTCCCCCACCAAGCTTGAGCATGCCAGGTCGACTTTGGACTGCTATGCTCACAGCGAGAATTTCAAGCCAGTGGATCTTAGCTTGCTGGGCTCCGTGGGAGTGGGATCTGCTGAGCTAGACCACTTGGCTCCCTGGCTTCAGCCTCCTTTCCAGGAGTGTGAACAGTTCTGTCTCGCTGGCATTCCGGGCACCACTGGGGTATGAAAAAAACACTCCTGCAGCTAGCTGGGTGTCTGCTGAAATGGCCCCCCAGTTTTGTGCTTGAAACCCATGGCTTTGGTGGTGTGGGCGCCTGAGGGAATCTCCTGGTCTGCGGGTTGCAAAGACCGTGGGAAAAGTGTAGTATCTGGGCCAGAGTATACTGTTCCTCATGGCACAGTCCCACACTCCCCCTTCCCTTGGCTAGGGGAGGGATTTCACTGATCCCTTGTGCTTCCCAAGTGAGGTGACGCCCCAGTCTGCTTCTGCTTGCCCTCCGTGGGCTGTACCCACTGTCTAACAAGTCCCAATGAGATGAGATGGGTACCTCAATTGGAAATGCAGAAATCACCCACTTTCTGTGTCGATCTCACTGGGAGCTGCAGACCAGAGCTGTTCCTATTTGGCCATCTTGCCTAGGTCTTGTTGAATATTTTTATATAAAGGATAGTTCTACAATAAATTTAACTTGACTCTAAATGTCATCCTAAATATAATATTTTTTAAAAAGCGAATTGTAATGTGTGTTTGGAATAGAGGAGACCTATTATAAACCCATTAATGGAATCATTTGTTATCACAGCCAAAAAATTAAAAAGATCTCAAATCCTTACTGGAATCACACTATGTTATACATTGCAGCAGTGAAAAATCAATGTATTTTGGCAATGTATTCGTCAATATCAATACATATCACAAATATGTTGAACAAAATAAAAACTTGCAGAAATAGATATATAATATAATTCCTATTAAAGTTCAAATATATTTTTTAAAGTGCCAAATTTAAATAATATTGTTTACAGGGAAAGAAATAAGCCAACTGGGGAAAGATTGATACAAATCCTTGAAGGATAATCTTAATCAGTCACTTTAACTAATCAGTCCAGTCCTTCATTCATAAATTTAAACAAAGATCACTATATATTTAAGGAATACTAACCATGTTAAAGACACACACCCACATGAACTAGCAGAACTGACTTCAGAAGAAACAGAGATAATGTAAGGAATGAAATAATTTTAAAATTAATATTCTCAGAAACACCTAAGGGTTCACATAAACTGTTATTAAAAATTCATAGGCTTAAAACTGTTTTTTTTGGAAATTGAAGATATATTTGGCAAAACCACAAATTTAGTAGAGAGGATGAATACTAAGATGAATATGGCTAAATAATCATAACTAATATAATAATAACTAAAGTCCTTTCCCTTTCCTAAAAAAGGATGTTATAGATACTGATTAACTGTCAATGGTCATTGAAAATCTATATTTAAATGTCAAATTTAATATTATCATTGGTGAGTTGCCATTTTGATAGATATTATTTCTGCTTAGTGCTATTATTATATGTAAAGTGTGTTCTGTCTTCTTATGAATTTCAACTCCAAATCTAATTATCTATTATTGGGCTTAAAAGATTTTTCAGTATTTTCATATTCATTATTCTCACATGGGCTTTCTTTCCTGAATATCTGGCTGGTCTCGTATGCAAGCAGCCTAAAACATGACCCAGCCCACCTCTCTCTTTGCTCTTGGCCCCAAGGTCTAAACTAGATCCTAGGCTACTGAAAGAGCTTCTTCCTGTTCCATTTCTCTTGAACTTCACCTACCCTCTGAATACTCCCTGCCTCCAGCCCTCTTCTTGTCTTAAAGGAAAGACAGCCTCCTGAAAAAGATCTCTGCTTGATCACATCTCTCACCAGGAACTGCCCTCTCTTGTATGCATTTATCATTGCGGCAACACGAACATTTGAAGAATCGTCAACAAGAAAGTGACATGAGCCACATGGCTAATTAGAAAATAAACCATGTAAGAATGGGTGACAAATTGGGCTATTACAGTAGTTCAGATGAAAATGATTAAAATTTGACCTAACACCATGGCAGTGTGGATGGAGAGAAGAGACAATATAAGAAAGAATTGAAAAGTAGAATCAGGAATTGGTGAGTGATTGGATGTTTGAATTTTGGATTTTTTTTCTTTAATGTTGACAGCTAGGAACATGATAGAATTTTTACCAAACATGGGAATAACATCGTCTGAGGAAAAGATGATGGAGTTGCCTTCCTCCAGGTAGAGATGTCCAGTCATTTGAATACACGAATCTGGATGTCAGGAGAGAATTCTGGATGGAGATATATGAGTAGGGCTCATTAGCCTTTAGGAGGTAGTGGAGGTCTGAGTGTAGGTGGAAGGGAGAAGGACTGGAGTGAGAGGAGACCACCAATGACAGAGTGAAGTAAAGAAAGAAGGCAGGCGGGTGGGAAGGGGATGGGAAAACCAGGAGAACTTGATTACAAAAAAGCCAAGAAAGGAGAGAAATCAAGAGGGAGGGAGAATGTTCAACAGTATTATTTACCCCTAAGAAGACAATTTCCCTTGAAAAGTGAAAAGAGTACATTAAGTACAGGAATTAGGCGGTCGTGGTTGTAGCCATTTCCACTGAGAGGCGAGAGTTTAAGTTGGATGGCACTGGAGCGAGAAATGAATTGAGGGGAGGAAATAGAGGAAAAAAGGATTCATAGTTTTTTCTAGAAGCTCAGCTATTAAGAGAAGGAGGCTAGTATGAAATCCAGAAGATAGCTCAGGTTTAAGAAGTGATAAACATGGAAGAGGCATGTGTGTGTGATTTTGTGCATGTATCTATATATCTATATCTATATACATATATCTACGTATCTAGAAAGAGTACACATACACAAGCACAGATGGAGAAAAAAAGACAGGCCTGGCTCTCACTGTTCCTTAATCCTATAAACACATTGCTCTGAGTACTGTAAAAGATTTCTAGAGCACCAAGCAAAAGGATGGTTCTAGAATGCCTAATTCCTGAGGGCAAGTCCAGGAAGAACAAAACCAGAAGAGCAAGAATAGAAAGGAATACTGAAAGAGGCACCTCCTTATTTTATCCAGGCAACAAACGCATGGCCTGCTTATCTATCTCTCTATCTTTCAATCAATCATCCATCTATTACCTATCAATCTATGTACTTGAATTTGAATATTGCCTACCCATTGATATCTTTGAATTTCAATCCAGAAGTGAGAAAGTTATCAAAGGGATCCTAATTAATACCTTGATATGAATTTAAAAAATCAAAGTCAGACTTTTCCTAGCAGATTACTAATTTGGCTGATTATTTCAACAATGAGCACTGGCTTTTATGATTAGGTAATAAGGAAGATATTTCCATTTATTGAATTAACTAAATATGCAGGGACAAAATTTCATTGACGTGTATAATATCAGAAAGTAAATCTTTGTGGCTAAATTCATGATGAACATTTTTAGATGTCAATTCAAAAGAGATGAAGAAGATACACAGCTTTTCAAAAGTGCATTGGGATATGTGAGCAAAATGTTGAAGACACTTGTCTAGTGAACGCTTGAAATGAGAGAGAGGGAAATTTAAAGCATCTTTCCTTAAGAAAGTGGCCTGATTTGCAAGGCTGTTTCTTCTTAAAAGGTCCTATTTTTCAGGGTCAGAAGCTGAATATTATATTTGTCTCCCACCTTGCGTCCTTCTACAACAAATCACATTCTTCCAAGGCAGAAGGGTACTTCAGGAGTAGAATATGACAGAGGTCATGTGCTCAGAAAGGCAAGAGGAAAGAAAGCACATTTATACTGTTTAATAATAGCATCTCATTATTTACACAGATCTGAATCAAACCATGGTTAGGGCAACTCTATTAATAGCACTTTGCGTGATGATGAAAAGGTATTGTTCAGATACGGCAACTACTAGCCACATGTGGCTATTCAGTGCTTGGAATGTGACTAGTAGGGCCAAATAACTGAATTTTGAGTTATATGCAGTTTTAATTAAAGTTTAGGTCAGGTGTGGTGGCTCATGTCTATAATCCCAGCACTTTGGGAGGCCGAGGCGGGTGAATAGCTGGAAGCCAGGGGTTCAAGACCCAGCCTGGCCAACATGGCAAAACCCCATCTCTACTAAAAATACAAAAATTAGCTAGGCTTGGTGGCGCATGCCTGTAATCCCAGCTACTTGGGAGGCACAAGAATCATTTGAACCCAGGAGGCTGCAGTTGTAGTGAGCAAAGATTGCTCCAGTGCACTGGGTGACAGAGCTAGACTCCATCTCAAATAGGAAATAAAAATATAAAAGTATAAATAGTTACATGTAGTTAGCGGCTATCGTTTTGGTGCCCAGGTCTGAGATATGCAAGTAAGACAGAGTTGTTTTTGTAAGCCATCTGCTATGAAAAGTTGTAAACCTCAAGAATTAAATGAGTTTGTGTGTGCTTACATGTTCATTATATAAGTTTTAGAAACTAAAGAAAAGCAAATTAAAAAAATCACCTGTAATTTTAGCACTTGGGGATAACTGATATTAAGAGCTAACAGTTTTTTTTTTTTTTCGTACCGATGACTAGTGAGTCTCTCTCTAATTCTCTCTGTATGTCTTTCCATATGCCTGTCTAATTTTCTTTGGCTATATAGTATTATATTGTATGGATATATCATAATTCATTTACATAATTAAGTTTCCAGTGTTAAGGAACAGTGAGGTTGAGTGAAACAAAAATTTCATTTGAAGCCGGGCAAAGTGGCTCACACCTGTGACCCCAGAACTTGAGAGGCCAAGTGGGGAGGATTGCTTCAACTCAGGATTTTGAGGTCAGCTGGGGGAGCATAGGGAGACTCCTCTACAACAATTTTTTTTTTTTTTAATGCACATGCCTGTAGTCCCAGCTACTCTGGAGACTGAGGTGGGAGGATTGCTTGAGCCTGGGAGGTTGAGGCTTCAGTGAGGCGTGATTGCGCCACTGCACTCAAGCCTGGGCAACAAAGCAAGACCCTGTCTCAAAAAAAATTTCTTTTAAGCCTTTCTAGAATGTTCTTTCACACAGGGAGAGAAAATAGTTACTGCTGACCCTTTGGTAAAAATTTTAGCATAGCTCCCCATATATTTGTTTTATCAGTAACTTTATATCATAGGTTAATCAGTGGTGATTTTCTTGGTGGTACATAAAATAATAGTTTATTTTACGATCAACTGCCTTTTGGATTAGTGGGAAATAATATGACCAAAGATACATGTAAATGTATATCCGTGGAGGTTATGTGTACTTGGAATTTTTTTGAGGTCTCATGTTGTATTTATATCACTATCCAAAACTTTCCCCACTTGGTTATATTGAATTTAGCATTTTCAATGAATATTTTGTAAGTTCTATGATTTTTAGATGGATTAAACTTGTTTTCTAATAAGATTATTTATGTATTTATTTACTTATTTATTTAAATATTTATTTTTTAGAGATGGTGTCTCACTCTTGGCCCAGGCTGGATCACAGTGGCACATTTGCACACTGCAATGTCAATCTCCTGGGCTCAAGCAATCCTGCTGCCTCAGCCTCCAGAGTAGTTAGGACTCCAGGCCTGAGCCACCATGCCTGGCTAACTTTTTCAGATCAAGATAGGGTCTTGCTCTGTTGCCCAGGATGATCTCAAACTCCAGGCTCCAGGTGATCCACCCACCTCGGCCTCCCAAAGCACTGGGATTACAGGCCTGAGTCACCACACCTGGCCTTCTAATAAGGTTATAAATTCTGAGGGACAGTAGGGATGGGAAATGTTTTTTGAATATGCTGGGGCATCCAGCTTGCAATAAAACAGTGGAACTAGAAGAAGAGATCATACCAAATAGTATAGCCCTTTCTTTCTCCCCGTCACTGCCCCTGTCCTATTTAGGTAAGTTAATGGCTCAGCTTTCTAGGAAAGAATTGCCTTTTATTTTGTACGGAAGCATTTCTACATTGTTTTCAACTACAATGCTTTTGCAAGTAACTTTAGACTTATTAACTTATGAGTCATAGGATTTGGCATCACTTTGAAATAACGTCTTTGTTTGGATTAATGGCACTGACAGTAATGCTGCAAAAACCAGCCATTGTTAATTATAGCTGAGAGCCACATGAAAGGGAAGAAAGCACCAGCTACGCCTTTAGACAAGCTGTTGCTACTTCAGGGCCCCTACCACGTCTGTCAGGCGTCATGAAACCTAAGTTCACCATGTATATGTGTGTCCCTGTGGTGTGGACATGGTGAAATGTCAACTGTTCAAACCAGATGTTATCCGTTTTTTTATATTGTTATACACATTAGAACACATTTTCAGATGTATGTGTTAAGAAAATAAGATGTGAATATTGCTTCTAGTGAATGTAGAACATCTTTTCTTTATTTCTTTTCTCTTTTCTTTTACTTTTCTTTCTTTCTTTTCTTCTTCTTTTTTTTTGAGAAGGAGTCTGGCTCTGTCGCCCAGGTTGGAGGGCAGTAGTGTGATCTTGGCTCACTGCAACCTCTGCCTCCTGGGTTCAAGCGATTCTCCTGCCTCAGCCTCCCGAGTAGCTGGGATTACAGGAATGGACAAGCATGCAGCCCCATGCCTGGCTAATTTTTGTACTTTTAGTAGAGACAGGGTTTTGCCATGTTGGTCAGGCTGGTCTCAAACTCCTGACCACAAGTGATCTGCTCGCCTCGGCCTCCCAAAGTGCTGGGATTACAGGCGTGAGTTACCACACCCGGCCGTAGTACATCTTTTCTTGTTGGAAACATTTAAAGCTACCTATCAGTGATTGAGCCAGGCAACGAAGTAGCAGAATCAAAGACTTCAGTAATGAATTACAGGATAATTGAGAGAAATAAAGATTCACAGTGTAAGTTGACATTGCTTTTGTGTTATAATTATTTTGTTATTAAATGCATAAAACAAATGGAATGTGGGATTTTTGTAATAAGAAGTATTGACCTTTTTGTTGGTAGACTAGTGTTTCAGTTAAGTTTAAAACTTCATTTTGGAGAAAGCAAGTATGTAATAGTTATTGATAGCTTATTGGTGATAAATAAAATGTACTAGGTGAAACAGATATGTTTTTCCAGCTTAAAAATTATCGGTCCATTCATTATCTGATAGGAAAATCGGAGTGTGAAATGAGAGTCTGTTTTACAAAGATCACTTTGTAAACCTCGAAATAATTTAAGACAGGAAATAAGCATCTTCACTTAGAAAGCCGCACGGTCTTTTTTAGTCTATCAAGAACCCAAGAACAGAAGGTCAAACTAAAGTGAACTAGTCATAAAAAATAATCTGCATATTTTTAAAGAAGTTTTATTTGAACATTTACCATTTAAGATCTTTTCTGTGTTATGTCTAAGAAAAGTTCTTTTTTCCTATTAAGATTGCTAAAAAGGACAGAGATCCTAAGATTCGACCTCTGTAGTGATGTTATGTGTAAATTTCAAGAGCTGTAAGTCTGATTCAACTAATAACTGCTTTGTGAAAAATGTGAGAGATTTGTAAATAGAAGTGTAAAACTGTTTCTTTCAAGCTGAACGATCAAACACATTTTTGGAGAAAAAGGGTAGTTGAACAGGTGTTCAGTATTATGAAGTTGTGATGTAAAGAATGCAACTGAATCTGGTAAAAGTCCATATATTAAATTCTTTGTTCTTAAGAAGCAAAACTGTCTGCTGCAGAAAGTCTACTCAAATTTGTGCTCCGTGAACATTAAGATACTGAAAATATGAAAATTTATATAAAAATTTAATTGTGTCGTATCACACGATTATTTTCATGCCTTTTGCCAACATTTGTAAGAAACATTTTTTCTTAAATATCAGTGCATTTTTAATATTATTTGTTTTGTGAATATCGCAAGATAGTGCTTAATTTCCTTAATTCTGCTTCCTTTCATTAATGAGTTTTTAAAAGTTTTTATTAAGAAAAAAAAGATGTTCAACTATATTTGCATTTTCATAAGAAGTAATAGTATAATTCATATTAATGTATCATCACCATTTCCTTATGAATTAGATAGAAAACAGGTATTCTTATCTTAGAATAAATACTCTGAATGTATAATAAGTCAGTTGTTGGGTTAGGAAGAAAACTCAATATGTCTTCCAAATCAGTAATATATATCCATGAGATCATTTGGCCTTGTAACCTTCCTAAACTTAATTTTGCTACTTGTTTAGACAATGTCTGGTTTTGATCTTGAAGGAAAAAAAAAAAACAAAAAACTCTAGTAATTTGAAAACCAGTGACCTAAAGTTCTGCTCCAAACTGAGAAGCCAGTCAGGAATTTGAGAATGATTCCCCAAAAGAGAAGAGAAGTTAATTTCTGTGAGGTTGGGATACATGCTTGGGTAATTTAGCCAGGAATGTTGAGGACTGAGTATGGATGAGGCCAGTTTCCTGACCACAGGTGTGACAGAACACAGCTGATCAAACAGGACAGGAATTTGACATCACCCTCTGTTTAACTTCAGCTGCCCAACGGTCCATGCCCAATCAGGGAGCCAATGAGAACTTTGAGAAGAAGGCTTGTGGAGGGGTTTAGTTTCATGCTAGGAATATTGCTATAAACACAAGCTCTGATTTAGCCATGTTTGGGCTGTCGAATATATCGCTGTATGACATGGTGCCAAATAATCAACTTTTTTTTCTAAATCCAAAACGTCTTTAAAATGTAATCTGCATTTGGGTTCTGCCTCCCTGTTTGGGGTCAGTTGTCATTTTCAGTCACCAAATAGTTCTAAGTATGCACCCATCTGGCCCCCAGATCCTAAAATCCTAAAAGATTAGAGTAACGAATGATAATACAAGTTTTTTTTTTTTTTAAATATATATATACCAGATTTTCAAGTGGGGACATAAGGGGTCCAAACAAAAGTGAGGGCCTTAAAAAGCCTGTCTTCAGAGCACAGCCGAAAGAATCACTGGCCATAGCTCAAATCTATCACTTTCCTTTCTCCTCCCTATCTCTCCACTACTGCCCTCCCATTCCCTACTCCACAGAGGGCTGCAATAGAGGCTGCTAGTCTACAAAGGGATGAAATTGACAGAAGAGTAACACAGTGTACAAAATGGTAACTTACAACGAAAAGCATTGCCTATTCTAAACAGGGATATATAGAATTGTGTACCAGCCACTAGCTATTCATGAAACCACTTAACCACTTAATTTTGAAAGCACAGTTGGTTATCAGTTTTCAGTTACTTATTAAATTAATAACTTCATCTATTAAATTATGTCATTATATTCACCTCAGCCAAGAGTGCCCAGCATCAAACAATGCATGCTGTCGTGATCAGATCAGAAACTGTGCCATGTCAAAATTCATTGACTCAGACACCTGACTGGGACCCCAGATGGCCTCTTCTTCCAGTTCACTTGCTTAAGCACTCCCATTGCACTGTGACCCCATCAGGCTCCCTGCCCATTGACCTCACTGTTTTTTCCATCCACCAGCCTTTTGCTATCTTCGGTTCCCTCATTGCACACATTTGTTCCATGATCTATCATTGTACTTGCTCCATTTTTTTGATTATGCATTTTTTATTTGTATAAATTGGGTACAAGTGCAGTTTTGTTCCATGGATATATTGCATAGCACTCACTGCATTTCAAATACCCTCAAGTCCATATACTCTCTTTCTTTCCATGGTACCTGCCTAATGAACTCCCAACCCTGGAAAGAGCATTTATCCATCTTGTCCATGACTGTAGTCTGGCTGGTGAATGTTGCAGGAGAAACTCATGTAATTGGGCCAGTTACCATTATTATCAACATGAGATCACCAATCTCAAATTGGCCAACAAAACTGAGGTCACGGGGCTGCTTAACCGTGAGACTGTTCTACTGTGAGAATGCATAATTGCAGAGCTGCAACATCATTGAGTACACAGGGCTGGGAGACTTGAAGTCCATGGGAGTGTCCATGTGTGAAACTGTGAGATCAGAATGTGGGACAGTGGGACTGAGGGACAGCACACCAAAATGTGGGACTGCAGAGACTTTGAGGTTGTGGAGCTTCAACACCACCAGTAGAGACCCATGAGATCATAAGACTAAGAGACAGTGGAATTCAGAAATCCCTCTCCATTTTCCAGCCTGGCCACCCAGCTTTCTTACTGAGCAAAATTCCTGTGTGAGAGAATCACTTACGATGATTATATCTGTGCTTAGGAATTATTCTGATGTCAAATTTGATATGCTGTGTCCATCAAAGTGTGGCTGTTTTCTCTTCTTTCATCTTCTTTCAGGCAGACTGTCCTTTTCCAGCATGCCCGCTTTTCTACCCAACAAGCCCCTGCTTTAGCAACTACCCCGAGTGTGAAATCTTCCTTATCCCTTGCTCAGTTTCTGGTCAGAAGGTTGGGTCCAACTTGATCTCTCTAGGCACACAGCTTCATATAAGAAGCAGCCACAGGCAACCTTTAGTAGTAATGTTTTTCTATCTCCTTTCATGTGGAAGCCCCTTTGTATAACTGTTTTCAAGAAGTGAACTAGATTTGGCACCCTTGCCTGAAACACTTTTGTTTTATTGTCCTGTAAAATCTAAACTAAATGCTGCTTTGTCTGTTTCTGGACCTAAACTCAACATGCTTAGAACTTCAGCTACATTGTGCTTTGGATGTTTTCTTCTAAAAGTTTTATAGTTTCAGGTCTTATGGTTAGGTCTTTAATCCATTTTGAGTTACATTTTTGCATATGGTGTAAGGTAGGAATTCAAATGTAATCTTTTGCATGTGAACATCCAACACCATTTGTTTTCCCAACAACATTTTTGAAAAGACTTTCCCCATTGAATAGTTTTGACACCCTTGTTGAAAGTCTTTTTAAAAATTTTTTATTTGTATAAATTTAAGGGGTACTGTACAGTTTTGTTATGTGGATATATTGTGGGCACAAACTCAAAAATAGACAAATGAGAATTAATTAAATTAAAAAGCTTTTACACAGCCAAAGTAATAATTAACGGAATAAATAGACAAACCTACAGAATGAGAGAAAATATTTGCAAAGTACATATCCGACAAGGGACTAATATCTAGATTCTACAAGGAACTCAAACAACTCAACAACAAAATAATCCCATTAAAAAGAGGGCAAAGAACATGAATAGACATTTTTCAAAAGAAGACGTACAAATAGCCAACAGGAATATGAAAAACTGCTCAATATCACCAATCATCAGAGAAATGCAAATAAAAACCACAGTGAGATATCATCTTACTCCATTCAGGATGGCTATTATTAAAAAGTAAAACAAACAAAAACAATGTATGTTGGCAAGGGTGAGGAGAAAAGGGAACACTTATACACTGTTGGTGGGAATGTAAATTAGTGTAACTTCTATAGAAAACTGTATGGAGATTTCTCAAAGAACTAAAAATAGAACTACCATTTGATCTGGCAATACCACTACTGGGTATCTACCCAAAGGGAAGAAATTGCCATATCAAAAAGATACATGTACTTGTATGTTTATCACAGCACTATTTCACAATAGCAAAGATACAGAATCACCTTAAGTGTCCTTTTCTTCGTTGGGAGGCTTTTTATTATTGTTTAAGTCTCCTTACTCATTACTGATCTGTTCAGATTTTCTGTTTCTTCATGATTCAGTCTTGGTAGGTTGTTTGTTTCTAGAAATTTGTCTATTTCATCTAGGTTATCCAACTTGTTGGTGTACAACTGTTCATACTATTCTCTTACAATCTTTTCTATTTCTAATTTTAGTTATTTGGGTCTTCCCACTTTTTTAAAATCTAATTTAAAGTCTGAATTTTTTTATCTTTTTGAGTAACCAACTCTTGCTTTCATTGATTTTATGTGTTGTTTTTCTAGTTTTGTGTGATTTCTTCTTTGACACACTGGTTGCTTACAAGTGTGTTGTTTAATTTCCACATATTTGTGAATTTTCCACTTTTCCTTCTGCTGCAAATTTCTATTTTTATTCCATTGTGTTCAGAAGAGATACTTTATATGACTTCAATATTTTTTATTTTTAAAGACTTGTTTTGCGGCTTCATATATGGTCTATCCTGGAGAACGTTTATTGTACACTTGAGAAAAATGAGTATTCTGCTGTTGTTAGGTGGGGTGTTTTGTATGTGTCCATTAGGTACAGTTGGTCTATAGTGTTTTGAAGTCTTCTATTTCCTTATTTATGTTCTCTCTAGTTGTTCAATGCATGATGGGAAATGGGATATTGAAGTTGCCTATTTTTCCCTTCAACTCTGTCAATGTTTGCTTCATTTATTTCAGAACTTTCATGTTTGGTGCATGTATGTTTGTAATTATTACATCCTCTTGAATTGACCTTTATATATCCTTCCTTGTGTCTTGCAACAATTTTTGATTTAAGGCTATTTTGTCTGTTATTGGTATGGACAATCTTGCTCTCTTTTAATTACTATTTGCATGGAATGTCCTATTTCAACGTTTGACTTTCAACCTATGTGTATCCTTAAATCTAAAATGATGCTCTTGTAAATAATATATTGTAGAATTGTTTTTTTAAAATCCATTTTGCCAATGTATTTTGATTAGGGACTTTATTCCATTTACATTTAAAGTATAGGAAAGCACTTATTTTTGCTGTTTTGTGCTTTGTTTTCTGTATGTTTTATAGCCTTTTATTCCTCATTTTCTTCATTACTGCTTTTCTTTGTGCTTAGTTGATCTTTTTATAGTGACACATTTTGATATCCTTTTGTGTATATTTTATGGTTATTTTCTTTGTGGTTACTAACATGGAGCTTACATCTACCATTCTAAAGTTATAACAATCTCTCTTAAATTGATAGTAACTTCATTTCAATTGTATACAACTCCACTTTTCTCTCCACCCACACACTACGTTATGAATGCCACAAATAACATCTTTATATATTGCATACTCATTGACATGCATAATTTTTATGCATTTGTCTTTTAAATCCTGTAGAAAATAAAAAGTGGAGTTACAAAATTACTGTAATACTGTTATTTTTATTTGTTCATCTATTTATTTTTACCAAAGAACTTTATATTTTTGTATGGCTTCAAGTTACTGTGTAGAATCCTTTTATTTCAACTTGTAGGACTCTCTTTTGCATCTCTTGTGTGACAAGTCTAGTAATAAATCCTTCAACTTGTTTCTCTAGGTTAGTCTAATTTTTTCTTCATTCTTGAAAGACAGTTTTGATCAATATCGAATGTTCAGTTTATAGTTTTATTATCATTTTAAATATGTAATCTCACTGTCTTTTGGCCTGCAAAGCTTCTCTGGAGAAATCTACTGATATGTATATTGTTGAGATCCCTTGTACATGACATGTTGCTTTTTTTTTTCACTTTCAAGAACCTGTCTTTGTCTTTCAACAACTAGGGGATGTGGTGTCTTGGTGTGATTATCTTTTTGTTTGTCCTACTTCGAATTGTTTGAATTATTGGATTTGTATATCTATCTCTTTCCTTAAATTTGGGACATTTTTGGTCATTATTACTTTAAATAATTTTCCTGTCCTTTTCTCACATTCTTTTTGTTTGTTGTTTTGGTTTTTGCTTTCCAGACTTGATAATTTCAAATGACCTGTGTTCATGTTCACTGACTTCTTCTTCTGCTGTTATATCCTATAGTGAATTTTTCAATTTAGTTATTGTATTTTTCAGTTCCAGAATTTGTTTGGATATATATAAAAATATATATATATTTTTATATATAAATATATATATCCAAACAAATATATATTTTTATATATAAATATATATATCCAAACAAATATATATATTTATATATTATATATAATATATATTTTATATATATTATATATAATATATATTTTATATAATATATATAAAATATATATTATATATAACATAATATATTTTATATATAATATATAATATATATTTTATATATATTATATATTATATATTATATATATTTTATATATAATATATTATATATAATATATATAATATATATTTTATATATTTATATTTATATATATTTTATATATATATTTATATTTATATATTTATATATATATATATTTATATTTATATATTTATATATATATATATTTTTTTTTTTTTTTTTTTTTTTTTGAGATGGAGTCTCACTCTGTCACCCAGCCTGAAGTGCAGTGGTGAGATCTTGGCTCACTGCAACCTCCACCTCCCAGGTTCAAGCCGTTCTCCTGCCTCAGCCTCCCACGTAGCTGGGATTACAGGCACATGCCACCATGCCTGGCTAATTATTGTATTTTTAGTAGAGACAGGGTTTCACCACGTTGGCCAGGATGGTTTCGATCTCTTGATCTCGTGATCTGCCCACCTCGACCTCCCAAAGTGCTGGGATTACAGGTGTGAGCCACCATGCCAGGCCTATTTTTTCTGTCTCCTTGTTTATATTCTCATTTTGTTTATATATAATTTTCCTTATTTATTTTAATTATTTGTGTTTTTCTTTAGTTCCTTCAATATACTTAAGACAGTTGTTTTAACATCTTTGTCTAGTAAGTCTGATGTATTTTCTTTTTTCAGTTTTGGGAGATTTGTTCCCTTACATAAGCCATGCTTTCCTGTTTCTTCGTATGTCTTCAGATCTTCTGTTGAAAACTGGGCATTTAAAGAAACAGCCACTTCTCTCAGTTTTTGCAGACCAGCTCGGAAGACCTTCACTAATTAACAAGTTTCTGAGCCTGGGATCATCCCAGAGTAAAAGCAGAAGGTCTTCTTGGGTCTTTTCTGAGCATTCATCCTACCTGAGCCTGTATGTATGCTTTTAATTTTTTTCCCCCATATACATGGCTGTTCTTAAATGCCTTAATTTTCCAAAGAGGCTCACCCCAGCTTCTTCTTGGGATCTTAGGCATTCAGTTGTACTTCTGTGCCTGTAATCTCTTGCCCCCAGGTGTCTGTGAGTCTGCAGTCTCCCTGAAGTTTTCCTAGGCCACAGTATCTACCCTTGCTTTTCATAGCTTCTGCTAGCTGAAATCTAGACTCTGCCATGGTGTTCTGTCTGAGCTCTGAGTCAGATAAAACAGAAACCAGTCCCTCAAGTAGCCCACAGATAGGCCAAAACATGGCAAGCAACTTCCACTTTGGTCCTTCCGGCTGAAGGAAGGAAATAAGACTTAAAGTAATGCCTCCTGACTGCCCCATGCTGTGCCAGAGAAGGGGTGGAGAAAGTGCAAATAAAAGTGCCAGGAAATTTTATGTTTCAAGTGTGGGTTTTTTGTGGTTTGGCATTTTCTTTAGATATCTGAGCTGATTTTCAAAGCTTTTATAAAATTGAGTCAGTCTGTAGTTGTTTATTTAATGTTTCCATAGGAGAATGAGGGTTTGGAGCTTCCAAGTTCACCATCTTGGTAACATCTCTACACTTTCTGATGAAAAGTCAGCTGTTGAGCTTAATGAGGTTCCCTTGTTTGAGTCATTTTCTCTTGCAACTTTCAAGATTCTTTGTCTTTCAATAGTTTCACTGTGATGTGCCTAACTGGGGATCTCTTTGAGTATATTCTACATAAAATTCATTAAGATACTTGCATATGTAAAGTTTCTCATCAAATTTGGAGAACTTTTGGCCATTATTTTTTCAAATATCCTTTCTGCCTCTTTCTCTTCTCTTTCTCCTTTTTTCTAGAATGCTCATATGTGTATGTTGGCATACTTGATGATGTCCCCCAGGTCTCTGAAGCTATGCTTATGTTACTTCATTTATTTCTTCTGCCTGTTCACATTGGATAATCTGAATTGACCCATCTATCATGCTCACTGAGTGTCTCTTCTGCCTGCTCAAATCTGCTGTTAAGCCCATCTAATGAATTTTTCATTTCAGTTATTGTACTTTCAACTAAACTGAAGAAATTCAACTCCAGAATTTCTATTTAATTTTTAACACAATTTAATTCTCTTTATTGATGCACACTACTTCCTGAAAAGTTTTTCTCAAACTTTTTTGGGGCATAGTTTCCTTTAGTTTCGCAAATATGTTTATAATAACTGATTTTCAAGTTTTTCTAATAAGGCCAACATTATACAAGCTTCTTGAGGGTCAGAATCTCTTGAATGCTTTTTCCTCTGGTGCATACTTTGAGGCATACTTTTCTCCTTTGTTGTATGTATCACATTTTTTGTTAAAAGCAATATTTTAAATAATTAAATATGAAAATCCTAGAAGTCAGACTCTCCCCTTCCCGTGGCCTGTATTTGTTGCTGTTTGTTGTTGCTTTTGCTATTGTTTATTTTGTTATTAACTATCTTGGGCTAATTCTGTAAAATATGCATTTTTTGTCATGCATGACTCCAGAGGTTTCTACTCAGCTTATTGGTCAACAAATGAGTTGACAGATATTTCCTTAAATGCCTTGCACTCTTAAGTCTGCCACCCTGTGATAAGGGTTCTGTGTGCATTAATATTACTACAGTTTACAACTCTCAGACTTCACTTCTGCTTGTATAGAACCTCAAGGTCAGCCAGCGGTGAGAAACTAAGGCCTTCTGAGATCTTTTCTGAGCATGCACAGAACCTGACACATGTATGTAGCCTTTTAGATTCCCAGGAATGTGTTGTTTTTCAAATCTCTGTACACACTTCTCACTTCTAAGATTTTTCTTTTAATTTTTTTGACCAGCCTCTTATTTACTGCAACTGGTATGCTTATCTCAAGCAGCTTTTTTTTTTGTTAAATAATTGCCACTGATTTTGTATAACAAACACTCTAGGGATAAGACTTTACTTACTGTGTGAAGTCTTAGGTCAAGTAAAGACAAGGCTTGTGATTGGTGCTTTTCCTAGGAATTGCCATACAGGCAGTTTTTAGAATGGAGCTTTTGTGGGGCTCCAAACCTATTCTGTCCCTCCTATGGTTTGTAGGCTGCAGATTTCCCCAGATTCCGCGGTTGCAAGGTTGCTGATCTTCAAGGCTACTGTGGAGCTGGAGAGAGGGAGATTGGAATAGAGAAAGTTAAAATACCACAAAGCTCACTTTTCTTACTGAGATTCAGGCATTTTTCTTGAATAGATGCTGTTTGTTGCAAGCCTTTTATTAAATTTGAGAGTTCTAGAAAATGTTGATTTTACCACTTTTTGCCTGTGTTCTTTTTGTTATGGAGGATAAGATTTTTGGAGGTCACTATTCCACCATTTCAGACATGCTTCCCCTCTGTTTATTCTTAAACTTAAACATATGCACTTGTTGACACTATGCTATAATTTTGGAGGTAACAGCAACACATTTTAGAAATTATCCAGATAGGTAATCCTCTACCCTGGCTACACATTAAAATAAACTTCAGAGCTTAAAAAAAAATTTTATTCCAGAATCCTATCCCTGTTCAGTAAATCTTATTGAGAATGAGATCAGAGAGTTCATATTTCTTTCTTTCTTTCTTTCTTTCTTTCTTTCTTTCTTTCTTTCTTTCTTTCTTTCTTTCTTTTTTTTTATGACAAGGTCTCACTCTGTCACCCAGGCTGGAGTGCTATGGGGAATTGTGGCTCAATGCAACCTCTGTCTCCTGGGCTCAAGTGATCCTCCCACCTCAGCCTCCTGAGTAGCTGGGACTGCAGGCACATGCCACCATGCCCAGCTAGTGTTTTTTGTACTTTCAGGAGAGAAAGGGTTTCACCATGTTGTCGAGTCTGGTCTCGAACTTCTGGGCTCAAGCAATCTGCCCACTTCAACCTCCCGAAAGGATTACAGGTGTGAGCCACCATGCCCAGTTTGAGCATTCATATTTCTAAGAAATCACCCCAAGTAATTATAATGTGAAACCAGGGCTGAGAATCACTAATCAAGGTTTTATTTATCTTTGAATCTCACAATGTACAACACATAGTACCTTATATTTCTGAGGCTCCTAATTTACCAAATGAATTAATGAATAAAAGTGGTTTTAGTTATATAAACATAGAATTATTATCTAATAATAGTCAAGGATGTATTTTTGCCGGCTCATTCTTTTCAGTGTTTTTTTGAGACGGGATTTTGCTCTGTTGCCCAGGTTGGAGTGCAATGGTGTGATTATAGCTCACTGCAGCCTCAAACTCCTGGGCTCAAGTGATCCTCTCACCTCAGCCTCCCAAGTAAGTGGGACTACAGGTGCGTGCCACTATGCCCAGTTAATTTTTAATTTTTTTTTTTTTGTAGAAGCAGAAGTCTTGCTATGTTGCCCAGGCTGGTCTCAATTCTCCCACCTTGGCCTCCCAATGTGCTGGGATTGTAGGCATAAGCCACCACTCCTGGCCTTCTTTGGGTTTTAAAGTGGCATTGAATATACAGTACAATGTTTGTTGTTACCTGAGTTATATATTTTGAACACATTCATAAGGGTTAATGACATGTGGAATCAAATAAATTTCAAGTGGTTATTCATTAGATTGATTATTTTAGTTATGTAAACTATTGGTAACACATACTTTCTAAAAATAATAATAAAAAACAGTATTATCATATACCAGACATCTTGCTGTATGCTTAATATGTATCCTTTTAACAATCCTGAAGAGTAAAATCTTATTAGCTCCATTTTACAGATGAGGAAATTGAAGCTTAGAGAAGTTAAGTAGTTTGCTGAAAGCCACATTGCTGATAGTGATGGATGCTAGGATGTGCTCCCCAATTTTTTCACTATGGGACTTACTCTTAAGCTGGTAGTTTCCAAACATTGGGTTCACGTAGAAATCTTTATGATGCTGCCTTCCATTCCCACCCACCAATGAATACATTCTGAATCAATTGGTATTGGTGCAACTTGGGTGACTTGATCTATTTGTGCTCCTATAACAAAATACTACAGACTGGATAATTTATAAAGAACAGAAATTTATGTCTTACAATTCTGGAGGCTGGGAAGTCCAAGATCAAGGCACTGGCATTGGTGTCTGGTGAGGGCTGCTCTCTGCTTCCAAGATGGCACTTGGTTGCTGTGTCCTCACATGGCAGAATGGGGAAGGGCAATAGGGCCTCTTGCTATGTGTAGCCTCTTTTATAAAGGCATTAATTCCACTCACTAGAGCTCCATCCTCATGACTTAATCAGCTCCTAAAGGTCCCACATCTTAATATTACTACATAGGCAATTAAGTTTCAACACATGAATTTTGAGGGGACATAAACATTCAAACCATAGCATTTGAACTTAGGAAGTTTTAAAAACTCTCCAGGTAATTCCAATATAAAGTAAAATTTGAGAACCACTGTCTTGAAAACTACATTTTCTGCCTCCCAAAGGAATTTTTTTAGACATAAGAATGCTCAGATAAATTATTTACTTCAAGAAGACATCCAGATAGCTCAACTGGTTTCTCTAAGTATTACATAGATTTAGAAAAGTTTCACAAGGTGAAATTTATATCTAAAAGATTCTCTTTTGTAGGAAAATTGTTCAACTTGATTAATGCAATAAAGGGTAGCTAGAAATCCTGTAAGGGCAGGACAGGGGAGTCCTGGCCTGTATAATTCACTTGTTAAAGATACAGGGATTTCAGCTAACTTTAAAGCTTAATGTGAACAAATAGAGTAACATGAAGCTGAAATAGCTCATGGAGTTTGCCACACCAGCAGAACTACCATGTCTAGATCATAGAAGATAAGAATTCCGCTACACTCTGCTCTTGTCGGACCACATCTGGAATTCTGCATTAAACTCTGTGTTTATTTTCAGAGGAACTTCGATAAATGAGAGAGTAGGCCTCTGCAAACTATTTAATATGAAAATTGGCTAAAGGTACACAGCAGAAAGGATGAGGGAGACCAGACAGCTGGCTTGGAATATTAGGAGAGCATTCATAAAGATTAAGATTAGTTACAGTTAATATAATGTTATATTTTACATTCATTATGAGTTAGTAGACTCTTATCTACCAAGTTGGGAAGATAACCACATAGCTTCAGAAAAATGTATGTAACAGATCCAACAAGTAAACTTTTGGAAAACAATCTCTTCATAAATTGAAGACTCCCTGTTTTTGGAGTATAATACATCATATAGTTAGATTTTTTTCTTGTAATTATGGTTTCAAGTGTTGTTCTTAGCCTAATCCGTACAACTCACTGTTTAGAAGCATCTGTCTGAACCTGAACAGGGAATTACTTTTCTCTTCTTAATCTGTGGGTTACTGAGTATAAGCAGGAAAGACATTTAAATATATATACATTTTAAATTATTTAATATATACATATATTCCTATATAAAAGACATATGCATAGATATACACACATAGCTTTATAAATAATAGCTATTTTATGATAATATATTACTTACATTTGTATAGCACCTTATACTTGTTATAAAGTTCTTCCAAATACATCATTGGTTAAGAATGTCATGTAATTAACTCTGTAAGCCTCTGGTTACACAATGGTACCTCACAATTTAGACCTCCTCATAAATGGAATACTGCATCTAAAGCAGAATCAACCCAGGGCATGGTAAAATGGAAAAATCACACTTATCTGTGATATTTAAGAAAATTATGTCAAATCAGGCTAGAGAAGCAGAAACAAATCAACCATTCCATTTATTTTTTTGCTTTTCTTGTGATTCAATTCGTTAAAGCTACCCTCAACACGTAATGCATTTTTTTGTTATGTAAGTCTAGACTATAACGATTGTATCATTTCTTTTACCCAAGCTAATTTTCCTTTCCTTTGGTTCACAAGGACAAGGGTAATAATTGATATTCTAATTTTGATTTTTGAAGTACTACATTTGGTAGGGTAAGGTAAGTCTAAAACAGCAATAATTTTTTTTAAAGTTGTTGGATTTGTTAACAACTGGGAACAGAACAAGGATCTTATTGTGATAGAGGAACACAAACAAACTCTCTGTGCTTGAGGATATATAGGCTGTATTGAGAATTTTTAAAGGATTTAATTCATTAAGTATACTTTTGACGACAAGATTTGCCCGTTCAGTTTTCACTTCTCTGACATGCTATTCTAATGTTAGTGTAGGATTAAAAAAAGTTTGTATGTGATGTGCTATTTTAAAATCTTTTTCAAATACTATATTATGCATCCTGTGGTCTCTATATGGCCCAGAGTGGTGTTTTTATAGCTCTTCTGGTTAAAAATTTTTGTCTTGAGTCATGTTACGCTCGCCTTGTATGTGCTTTAAAGTTGCATTATGTATATCTCACCTCATCAGAAAACTGCCAGTGCTTTTCGCTGGAGGCAAGAGAAGGAATTTCATACCCATTAATTTAATTGCTTTACGCCAAAACACCCAGTTTTCTGTTTTATACATTAATCTGTAAATAATGTCTCAATATTTTTCCCATTAGTTGAATTTTAACCAAATGTATTTGCTGTTTTATATTTTTCATCTTATTTGTGCAATCTGTTTGATTTTGTTTACTTTGAACTTCATACCTTTTCCTACTTATTTAAGCATCCAACCTTTACTTTAGTGCCATTATAAAGGCATTTCATATTCTCTTTCTCAATGACTGTTTTTGTTTGTCTTAGGGAATGATCTTGGTAAAATAACTTCATCTTTTTTTAAAATTACTAATCTCCTAAGTAGTGAAGGTTCTTTTGATTCTGTATGAGCTAGATTTAATTTAATAAATAATTGTTGGTGCTTTCAAGTCTTAAGTGCACAGTGTATAGTGAAAAAATGTTAAACAAGATTTCAGAAAAGCTAAGTTTTTTGTTTTGTCACTAACTATACATGAACCTCAAGCCTTTGTGTCTATAGAACAAAAATTTCATGCCCCCTTAAGACAACGTTGTGAAGATCATATGAGATAATGCATGTGGAAGTCCTTTATAAATTGCAAAATTTAGCCTGTTATTTTTACTATCATTGTTATTATTAAGGGTTTTGCCATTACAGATGAACATTTGAATTGTGCATAACCAATATTGTACCAGTGGTGAAACTGGCAACGACTAGGTTTTTAAGACATGTGAGAAGGTGGAAAATGTGGTGAATTTGCCCAGTCGTTCAGCATTGGTGAAAGACAGTTTTGGCAGAATAATTACTTTTTCCATCCTCAGATATACTGCCTCCCTTTCCATAGAAACTATGCGAGGCAAGACGTCATATGTTTAAAATCTTTAAATCTAAAAAGGAAAAAAGAAAAGAAAGAAATCTCACCTTCAAAACAAATAAACTTCAGAGGGACCTGCAGGGTTTTGAGCCTAATGTTTCCCTGTCCCACAGATTAGGAGTCATTAGGAAGCTTATGGGACCCTGTTGAACTGTGCCCATGATCTCACGGGGACTTTGGCTCCTGGTATCTCATACCATGCACCTTAGGAAGTTCTTGGATCAGAGGCAGATGTGATCACTTTTGTCATTTTTCCCAGTATGGCCCCAGTGCTGTGGCTGATTGTCTCTACTGATGAAGCAACTGGAGAATTGGGAAGTCATTAGTCGCTGTGAGGTCAACTCCAGAGGAGCAAAACTGATTTGAAATTTGGCTTGTTGAACTGATCTCATCAATTTATATTCCATCAGACACAGCTAATACTCTGTTCCTTTTAAGTGTTTGTAACTATGGCTAAGTATCTTAAAGTTAAAACTGCCTTTTTTTTTTCACAATTCAACAAATATTTTTGAATGTTCACTGAGTGATAGACATGAGCCTATATCCCAAGGGAGAATCAAAGAACAAGAAGACTGAGTCTCTTTGTCCTGGAAGAGCTCAAGAATTAATGGGGGAAGTATCTGTAAGAAAATTATTACAATATGAAGAACAAAAGGCTACAGATGCCTTTAGCTGTGAATGACCACATCAGATTTTAGGATTAGTCAATTCTGCAGCTCAAGAAGTTCATCAGGGAACATGCATATAGAGATAAGTTGTAACACAGTAAGTGTACTGGAAAGTGTGCTTGGACAAACCAAAGTGTAGCTGACCCCGGATATTTTCCTTTCTATTTTGCCATTCCTTGGTGTGACCTGTGATGACTCCTGCCTATAAGTAGGAGGACTCCCAGAGGATTCCTCAGAGACGTTATCTCAGACCTCATTGCCCATAATTGGGCCCTAAGCAAATAATTGGCTGCTATTAAAAGTTGAGTTAGAGTTTGCAGGGCTAAGTGGGAGTTTGTGGGAGTTTGAAAGGGAATCCCAGTAAAGAAAATAACAGATTCATTAGTTTTCCTTCTAACAGTCAGGACCCTCAGCTGCAGGTCTGCTGGAGTTTGCTGGAGGTCCACTCCAGACGCTGTTTGCCTGGGTATCAGCAGTGGAGGCTGCAGAACAGTGAATATTGCTGAACAGCAAATGTTGCTGCCTGATCGTTCATCTGGAGGCTTTGTCTCAGAGGGGTACCCGGCAGTGTGGGGTGTCAGTCTGCCCCTACTGGGGGGTGCCTCCCAGTTAGGCTACTCGGGAGTCAGGGACCCACTTGAGGAGGCAGTCTGTCCGTTCTCAGATCTCAAACTCTGTGCTGGGAGAACCACTACTCTCTTCAAAGCTGTCAGACAGGGACATTTAAGTCTGCAGAGGTTTCTGCTGCCTTTTGTTTGGCTATGCCCTGCCCCCAGATGTGGAGTCTACAGTGACAGGCAGGCATCCTTGAGCTGCAGTGGGCTCCACGCAGTTCGAGCTTCCTGGCCTCTTTGTTTACCTACTCAAGCCTCAGCAATGGCGGGTGCCCCTCCCCCAGGCTCGCTGCCATGTTGCAATTCAATCTCAGATTGCTGTGCTAGCAATGAGCGAGGCTCTGTGGGCATGGGACCCTCCGAGCCAGGCGTGCGATATAATCTCCTGGTGTGCTGTTTACTAAGACTGTTGGAAAAGTGCAGTATTAGGGTGGGAGTGACCCGATTTTCCAGGTGCCATCTCTCACAGCTTCCCTTGGCTAGGAAAGGGAATTCCCTGACCCCTTGTGCTTCCTGGGTGAGGCAATGCCTTGCCCTGCTTTGGCTCATGCTCGGTGGGCTGCACCCACTGTCCTGCAGCCACTGTCCAACAAGACTCAGTGAGATGAACCTGGTACCTCAGTTGGAAATGCAGAAATCACCTGTCTTCTGCATCACTCATGCTGGGAGCTGTAGACTGGAGCTGTTCCTATTCGGCCATCTTGGAACCACCAAAACTAACAAACAGAAAGGACATCCACACCAAAACCCCATCTGTACATCACCATCATGAAAGACCAAAGGTAGATAAAACCACAAAGATGGGGAAAAACAGAGCAGAAAAGCTGAAAATTCTAAAAATCAGAGTGCCTCTCCCCCTCCAAAGGAACGCAGCTCCTCTCCAGCAACGGAACAAAGCTGGACAGAGAATGACTTTGATGAGTTGAGAGAAGAAGGCTTCAGAAGATCAAACTTCTCCAAGCTAAAGGAGGAAGTTTAAACCATCACAAAGCAGCTAAAAACCTTCAAAAAAAGATTAGATGAAGGGCTAACTAGAATAACCAGTGTAGAGAAGTCCTTAAATGATGTGATGGAGCTGAAAACCATGGCACAAGAACTACGTGACGAATGCACAAGCTTTAGTAGCCGATTCAATCAACTGGAAGAAAGGGTATCAGTGATTGAAGATCAAATGAATGAAATGAAGCGAGAAGAGAAGTTTAGAGAAAAAAGAATAAAAAGAAACAAACAAAGCCTCCAAGAAATATGGGACTATGTGAAAAGACCAAATCTACATCTGATTGGTGTACCTGGAAGTGATGGGGAGAATGGAACCAAGTTGGAAAACACTCTGCAGGATATTATCCAGGAGAACTTCCCCAACCTAGCAAGGCAGGCCAACATTCAAATTCAGGAAATACAGAGAACACCACAAAGATACTCCTCGAAAAGAGCAACTCCAAGACACATAATTGTCAGATTCACCAAAGTTGAAATGAAGGAAAAAATGTTAAGGGCAGCCAGAGAGAAAGTTCGGGTTACACACAAAGGGAAGCCCATCAGACTAACAGTGGATCTCTCGGCAGAAACCCTACAAGACAAAAGGGAGTGGAGGCCAATATTCAACATTCTTAAAGAAAAGAATTTTCAACCCAGAATTTCATAGCCAGCCAAACTAAGCTTCATAAGTGAAGGAGAAATAAAATCCTTTACAGATAAGCAAATGCTGAGAGATTTTGTCACCACCAGGCCTGCCCTACAAAAGCTCCTGAAGGAAGCACTAAACATGGAAAGGAACAGCTGGTACCAGCCACTGCAAAAACATGCCAAAATGTAAAGACCATCGATGCTAGGAAGAAACTGCATCAACTAACAAGCAAAAGAACCAGCTAACATCACAATGACAGGATCAAATCACACATAACAATATTAACCTTAAATGTAAATAGACTAAATGCTCCAATTAAAAGACACAGACTGGCAAAGTGGGTAAAGAGTCAAGACCCATCAGTGTGCTGTATTCAGGAGACCCATCTCATGTGCAGAGACACACATAGGCTCAAAATAAAGGTATGGAGGAAGATCTACCAAGCAAATGGAAAACAAAAAAGGCAGGGGTTGCAATCCTAGTCTCTGATAAAACAGACTTTAAACCAACAAAGATCAAAAGAGACAAAGAAGGCCATTACATAATGGTAAAGGTATCAATTCAACAAGGAGAACTAACTATCCTAAATATATATGCACCCAATACAGAAGCACCCAGATTCATAAAGCAAGTCCTTAGAGACCTACAAAGAGACTTAGGCTCCCACACAATAATAATGGGAGACTTTAACACCCCACTGTCAACATTAGACGGATCAACGAGACAGAAAGTTAACAAGGATATCCAGGAATTGAACTCAGCTCTGCACCAAGTGGACCTAATAGACACCTACAGAACTCTCCACCCCAAATCAACAGAATATGCATTCTTCTCAGCACCACATCACACTTATTCCAAAATTGACCACATAGTTGGAAGTAAAGCACTCCTCAGCAAATGTAAAAGAACAGAAATTATAACAAACTGTCTCTCAGACCACAGTGCAATCAAACTAGAACTCAGGATTAAGAAGCTCACTCAAAACCACTCAACTACATGGAAACTGAACAACCTGCTCCTGAATGACTACTGGGTACATAATGAAATGAAGGCAGAAATAAAGATGTTCTTTGAAAACAATGAGAACAAAGACACAACACACCAGAATCTCTGGGACACATTTAAAGCAGTGTGTAGAGGGAAATTTATAGCACTAAATGCCCACAAGAGAAAGCAGGAAAGATCTAAAATTGACACCCTAACATCACAATTGAAAGAACTAGAGAAGCAGGAGCAAACACATTCAAAAGCTAGCAGAAGGCAAGAAATAACTAAGATCAGAGCAGAACTGAAGGAGATAGAGACACAAAAAACCCTTCAAAAAATCAATGAATCCAGGAGTTGGTTTTTTGAAAAGATCAACAAAATTGATAGACCACTAGCGAGACTAATAAAGAAGAAAAGAGAGAAGAATCAAATAGACGCAATAAAAAATGACAAAGGGGATATCACCACCGATCCCACAGAAATACAAACTACCATCAGAGAATACTATAAACACCTCCACACAAATAAACTAGAAAATCTAGAAGAAATGGATAAATTCCTGGACACATACACCCTCCCAAGACTAAACCAGGAAGAAGTTGAATCCCTCAATAGACCAATTGTTGCTCTGAAATTGAGGCAACAATTAATAGCCTACCAACCAAAATAAGTCCAGGATCAGAGGGATTCATAGCCGAATGCTACCAGAAGTACAAGGAGGAGCGGGGACCATTCCTTCTGAAACTATTCCAATCAATAGAAAAAGAGGGAATCCTCTCTAACTCATTTTATGAGGCCAGCATCATCCTGATACCAAAGCCTGGCAGAGACACAGAAAAAAAAGAGAATTTTAGACCAATATCCCTGATGAACATCGTTGCAAAAATCTTCAATAAAATACTGGCAAACTGAATCCAGCAGCACATCAAAAAGCTTATCCACTATGATCAAGTGGGCTTCATCCCTGGAATGCAAGGCTGATTCAACATATGCAAATCAATAAACGTAATCCAGCATATAAACAGAACCAAAGACAAAAACCACATGATTATCTCAATGGATGCAGGAAAGGCCTTTGACAAAATTCAACAGCACTTCATGCTAAAAACTCTCAATAAATTAGGTATTGATGGGACGTATCTCAAAATAATAAGAGCTATTTATGACAAACCCACAGCCAATATCATCCTGAATGGGCAAAAACTGGAAGCATTCCCTTTGAAAACTGGCACAAGACAGGGATGCCCTCTCTCACCCCTGCTATTCAACATAGTGTTGGAAGTTCTGGCCAGGGCAATCAGGCAGGAGAAAGAAATAAAGGGTATTTAATTAGGAAAAGAGGAAGTCAAATTGTCCCTGTTTGCAGATGACATGATTGTGTATCTAGAAAGCCCCAGGTCTCAGCCCAAAATCTCCTTAAGCTGAGAAGCAACTTCAGCAAAGTCTCAGGATACAAAATCAATGTGCAGAAATCACAAGCATTCTTATACACCAATAACAGACAAACAGAGAGCCAAATCATGAGTGAACTCCCATTCACAATTGCTTCAAAGAGAATAAAATACCTAGGGATCCAACTTACAAGGGATGTGAAGGTACTCTTCAAGGAGAACTGCAAACCACTGCTCAGCGAAATAAAAGAGGACACAAACAAATGGAAGAACATTCCATGCTCTTGGATAGGAAGAATCAATATCGTGAAAATGGCCATACTGCCCAAGGTAATTTATAGATTTAATACCATCTCCATGAAACTACCAATGACTTTCTTCACAGAACTGGAAAAAACTACTGTAAAGTTCATGTGGAACCAAAAAAGACCCTGCATTGCCAAGACAATCCTAAGTCCAAAGAACACAGCTGCAGGCATCACGCTACCTGACTTCAAACTATACTACAAGGCTACAGTAACCAAAACTGCATGGTACTGGTACCAAAACAGAGATATAGACCAATGGAACAGAACAGAGCCCTCAGAAATAATACCACACATCTACAACCATCTGATCTTTGACAAACCTGACAAAAATAGGAAATGGGGAAAGGATTCCCTATTTAATAAATGGTGCTGGGAAAACTGGCTAGCCATATGTAGAAAGGTGAAACTGGATCCCTTCCTTGCACCTTATACAAAAATTAATTCAAGATGGATTAAAGACTTAAATGTTAGACCTAAAACCATACAAGCCCTAGAGGAAAACCTAGGCAATACCATTCAGGACATAGGCATGGGCAAGGACTTCATGTCTAAAACACCAAAAGCAATGGCAACAAAAGCGAAAATTGACAAATGGGATCTAATTAAACTAAAGAGCTTCTGCACGGCAAAAGAAACTACCATCAGAGTGAACAGGCAACCTACAGAATGGGAGACAATTTTTGCAATCTACTCATCTGACAAAGGGTTAATATCCAGAATCTACAAAGAACTCAAACAAATTTAGAAGAAAAAAACAAACAACCCCATCAAAAAGTGAACAAAGGATATGAACAGACACTTCTCAAAGGAAGACATTTATGTAGCCAATAGACACACGAAAAAATGCTCATCATCAGTGGCCATCAGAGAAGTACAAATCAAAACCACAATGAGATACCATCTCACACCAGTTAGAATGTCGATCATTAAAAAGTCAGGAAACAACAGATGCTGGAGAGGATGTAGAGAAATAGGAACACTTTCACACTGTTGGTAGGACTGTAAACTGGTTCGACCATTGTGGAAGACAGTGTGGCGATTCCTCAAGGATCTAGAACTAGAAATACCATTTGACCCAGCCATCCCATTACTGGGTATATACCCAAAGGATTATGAATCATGTTGCTATAAAGACACATGCACACGTATGTTTATTGTGGCACTATTCACAATAGCAAATACTTGGAACCAACCCAAATGTCCATCAATGATAGAGTGGATTAAGAAAATGTGGCACATATACATCATGTAATACTATGCAGCCATAAAAAAGGATGAGTTCATGTCCTTTGTAGGGACATGGATTAAGCTGGAAACCATCATTCTCAGCAAACTATCGCAAGGACAAAAAACCAAACACCGCATATTCTCACTCATAGGTGGGAAGTGAACAATGAGAACACTTGGACACAGGAAGGGGACCATCACACACTGGGGCCTGTCATGGGGTTGGGGGATGGGGGAGGGATAGCATTAGGAGATATACCTAATGTAAATGACGAGTTAATGGGTGCAGCACACCAACATGGCACATGTATGCATATGTAACAAACCTGCATGTTGAGCACATGTACCCTAGAACTTAAAGTGTGATAATAATAATATTAAAAAAGAAAATAACAGATTCAAAGATGTACAGGAATCTGGCACTTTAGGAAACAGTTTCCAGGAGGCTGGAGTGTAGACTATGCCAAAGAGAAGACTGGGAGAGAAAAGATTGAGATTGGGAGAGAAAAGATTGAGGTTGGGCCAGATCGGGAAATGCCTGAATGTCATGCTAATGATTATTCTGAAGAAAAATGAAGCCAATAGAGGATTTTAAGACATTGACAGCCCTTTTGTTAATGTCCTTCTAGACTTTTTGGAGATCTGACATTCATTCTCAAGTGAAGAACTTGTGTTAACATCATTCCTGGAAATCTCCCATGTTTATAAAATTTTATACTTCCAACTATATATATATATATTTTACTTTGAAGGTCATTTTGACTCAATATTAGAACACTGATTTGCATTTGCTCTCCTTGAGTAGCTTAGAGGTGTCACTCCCTTCCCCACATCATCAAACATCACTGTTGGAAAGTCTAATGATAATGTCTTATTCTTTCCCTTAGAAGTGACTTGGTCGGCCAGGCATGGTGGCTCATGCCTGTAATCCTAGCTCTTTGGGAGGCCGAGGCAGGTGGATCACTTAAGGTCAAGAGTTCGGGACCAGCCTGGCCAACATGGTGAAACCCTGTCACTACTAAAAATACAAAAATTAGCCGGACATGGTGGCATGCACCTGTAATCCCAGCTACCTGGGAGGCTAAGCCAGGAGAATCATTTGAACCTAGGGGGCGGAAGTTGCAGTGAGCCAAGATCGTGCCAATTCACTCCAGCCTGGGCAAAAGAGTGAAACTCCATCTCAAAAAAAAAAAAGAAAAAGAAAAAAGAAAAAAAAGTGACTTAGTCTTTTTGCTTGCTGATTATAGATTTTTTTTTTTAAGTCCAGAAGTTGTACCAGAATATATCTTTATATTACGCCACTCTGGGTCAATTTTTCCAAATATATAACTTTTCAGTATACTCTCAGGTTTTATTTATTTCAGGAGAAAGATTTTTTTATTCTAGATTTTAAAATGTGCCCTATTGTAGAGATTTGTTTTCTTTCTTGGGGACTCTTACATACATGTGTTAGATCTTCTCTGCCTATTTGTTGCCTTGAATTTTTTGTTAACTATTTTTACATTACCCTTCAGTTTTCACATCTTCTATTGACAAAGATTATCCATTATCTTTATTTGTTCTTGTGCTCCTTCTAGTTCACTCTTCATTTCAAAAATGCATTTTTATTTTATATCTAATTCTTTATAGATATCTTTCATCTGTCTTTTAAAAAGTTGCTTTTTTAAATTAATCACCTAATTACAACTTCAGCAATTCTAATTTAGGTTTTTCATTCATTGCTTTTATTATTTTCCTTTAGCTCCTATTGAAATTTTATCTTACAGTTTTCATCTGTTTTGTAGGCATGTCTTTCTAATGTGCTTTCATCGTAAGAGCATGATTTTGCTCCTTATTCTCTTTTTTTATGTTTACAGGAAAATTTTATTTTATTATTTATTTTTATTTTATTTTATTTTATTCTAAGTTCCAAGATACATGTGCAGAATGTGCAGGTTTGTTACATAGGTAAATGTGTGCCATGGTGGTTTGCTGCACCTATTAACCCATCACCTAGGTATTAAGCCCTGCATGCCTTAGTTATTTATCCTGATGCTCTCCCTCCCTCCGTGCCCCAGCAGGCCCCAATGTGTGTTATTCCCTTCCCTGTATCTATGTGTTCTCATTGTTCAGCTCCCACTTATGAGTGAGAACACGTGTTGTTTGGTTTTCTGTTCGTGTGTTAGTTCGCTGAGGATGATGGCTTACAGCTTCATCCATGTCCCTGCAAAGAACATGATCTCATTCCTTTTTATGGCTGCATAATACTCCATGGTGTATATATCTACCATATTTTCTTTATCCAGTGTATCATTGATGGGCATTTGGGTTGATTCCATGGCTTTGCTATTGTGAATAGTGCTGCGATAAACATATGTGTGCATGTGTCTTTATAATAGAACGATTTATATTCCTTTGGGTATATACCCAAGTAATGGGATTTCTAGGTCAAATTTTATTTCTGGTTCTAGATCCTTGAGGAATCACCACACTGTCTTCCACAATGGTTAAACTAATTTACACTCCCACCAACAGTGTACAAGTATTCCTATTTCTCCACAGACTCACAAGCATGTTGTTTCTTGACTTTTTAATGATCGTCATTCTCACTGGCATGAGATGATACCTCATTGTGATTTTGATTAGCATTTCTCTAACAGTCAGTGATATTTAGCTTTTTTTCATGTTTGTTGGCCGCATAAATGTCTTCTTTTGAGAAGTGTTTGTTCATGTTTTTTATTTCTTATAATAACTGTATATGGAAATTGACTGGAGTCTTTTTTATACTGCTTTTTTTTTTTCTTTTTGAGACAGAGTTTTGCTCTGTCACCCAGGCTGGAGTGCAGTGGAGTGATCTCAGCTCACTGTAATCTCTGCCTCCCAGGTTCAAGCGATTCTCATGCCTCAGCCTCCCAAATAGCTGGGATTACAGGTTCACGCCACCATGCCCAGCTAATTTTTGTATTATAGTAGAGATGGGATTTCACTTTGTTGGCCAGGCTGGTCTCAACCTCCTGACCTCAAGTGATCCGCCTGCCTCAGCCTTCCAAAGTGCTGAGATTACAGGCGTGAGCCACTGCACCCAGCCCTTGCTTATTTGTAAGTGAAATGAGTTTTCCTGGTCTTTTAGAAGGGAGATGTGGACTAGGATGGCACTGCTACTTTCTTGATTCCCAGGATTCCATTGTCATCTTCACAGTGATGCAGGGTGCATTCTGGCCCCTCTGCTTCCACCCTCCCTTTTTATCTGAACTTTCTTAGTCCTTCATCCCAGTGTCTCTGCGTTGCTCAATTTGGATGATGCTATTCCGTGTAGTTTCTCTTCTGTGCATGGCTTTGTCCCAGAAAAGGCTTCAGTTTGTAGTTTTACCAATTCATGGAACTCAGGCCTAACAGAACACCCCAGCACCATCAGACTTTGTGGCATTGTAGTCTTATCCGTTCATCACAGCCTGAAAAGTCCATTCGCAGCTGCTTCTGCTGCTGTTCTGGAACTTTCCAGTGAGAACTTCATGGCCCTTTGGGGTTTCTTGGCTCTCAAGACCTTCACAAATGCCTCTGCCTTCCCACTGTGGTTGCTAGTTTGTCCCTCCAAGTCTGCTTGTGCTTTGGGGTCAGTTGTGGGTATCTTGTTCACCTACTATGGTGTATATTGTCCATTGTGTTTTTTGTTTTGCTCTACTATCTGCACTGTTTTCATAGGGAGAATGAGATTCAAACACTTTGCCACTATCATCTGTCCAGAATTCCTCCCGGTTTTCTTGAGAAAAAAAAAAGAAGTTCTGTGATTTTGTCATTGACAAATGTATGAGACTATTGACATCTATAACATCATTGAGATAGTTCGGATATTTTCCCCTCCAAATCTCATGTTGAAATTTGATCCCCAGTGTTGGAGTGGGGTCTAATGGGAGGAGTTTGGGTCATGGGGGCTGATCCCTTATGAATGCCTTGGTGCCAGCTTTGTAATGAGTGAGTTCTTCTTGGTCTATTAGTTCCCACCAGAACTGATTGTTAAAAGTCTTTTAAAAAGTCTGGCACCTCCCTCCCCTCTCTTGCTTCCTTTCTTTTACCATGTGATGCCTACTTCCTTTCACCTTCTACCATGAGTGGAAGCTTCCTGAGGCCCTCACCAGAAGCAGATGCTGGCACCATGTTTCTTGTAAAGCCTGCAGAACCATAAGCCAAATAAACTTATCTTCTTTATAAATTACCCAGTAATTTATAAAGTATCCCTTCATAGTAACACAATTGGACCAAGATGATCCTTGGAAAAGTTGAGCTTTGGGGCTATGCTTTTGAAGTCCCCTGAAATTCTAAGAGCCCCTGTTTTTGCTTTTGAATTTACATGTGCATGGCCTCATTTGAGCCAAGTATATGGTTAGGATTTACAAATCACAATATTGTGAGGGGGCTCTGGGGTCAGACAGATCTGGAATCAAATCCTGCTTCTGCCACTCTGTCATTTTACCTTTTACATGTTAATTTATTCCTCTGGGTTTTCTTCATCTATGACATGCAAATACTAAAGCTCCATCTACCACCACTAACTGCCTCAAAGGGTAATTAGGATTAAACAGTGTTGGATATTTCAAGGTTAATACATTCATGTTTATAGTATTTTGATTTGAGAGCATCCTAATGCATAGAAGTGTAATAAAGTGACAGTATAGAAGACAATTGAAAATATAATCATTTCTTTTGTATTACACAGAAATCTTTATTGTAGAATTTTACAAAGAATGGCAATTAACTATTTTTCCAAATAAGCTTATGAATACATCAGAATTTAGAAGTATGTCCTAACTATCAGAAATTGTATTTAGATTTACTATTGAGAACCAGCCCACCAATATTGCTGCTGTCACTTCTCTCAGCAATCAGGTAAGGCAACGTGTTACAGAGAGAAAGTGGCTTCGCCCTCACACTTGCATAGAACCTGACTCGTGTCCTGCCTTCACCATTTAGTAGGAGTTTAGTTTGGTTTGTTGTAACCACAGTGAAAGCTTTCTTTTAAGGCTATGAGTTTGCAAACAATCAAATTCAATGAATGTTAGTTGAGTATCTACTAACTGCTAGAAACTGGCATAGGTACCAGGCATTCAACAATGAATGAGACAGCAAGAGTCCTCACCCTCCTGGGACTTACAGTTCAGGGTCAAAGACAAACAAAGAAACCACAACTATGTGCAGTGATAGGTGCTGTCATACAGGAGAACCAGGTATTATGGAAGATGCCACTTAACCCAGACTTGAGGTTCAGGAAAGGTTTCCTGAAGAAGAGCATACCTTAGTTGGCAGCTGAAGATGTGTAGGAATTCCCAAGCTAACAGGAAGACAGACAGAAAAGGTTTGTGCAGACTTGTGGAGACATGCACATTTGAGGACATGAAAACTGAAGGACTAATTCATAAAGTAGTGTTCCCTCTACTGGCTGGAGAGTTTTTAAAAATACAAATATTTTAGTGGACCTCACCCAGACTTAATGAATCACATTCTCAGGGAATGAGTGCCAGGGTTCTTATTATTAGCTCACATAGAGAGCCACTGGCTCAGGGTATATGTGGGGGAGGTTGGAGAAGAGGTGTCAAGGCAGGGAAGTTGAGGCTGGAGAGATAAACCAGGGGTGCACCTTGAAAGGTTTGCAAACAACGTTGTGGAGTTTGAATTTTATCCTAAGGGCAGGGGTTGCTGTGGAAGAATTTGGTGGGTATGGAGATGGGATCATCAGATTTACGGTTTCTAATGATCACTCAGTTGAGTAACACATGGTGCCTACCTTCATGAGGGATACAATCTATTTTATAAGGTTCAACCTCTTTGAGCCTCACTTTTAAAAACCTAAAATGGAAATAATACCCATTTTGCATGATTCCTGTGAGGTTTAACTGAAATAACTTATGTGAAGTGCGTAGTACCATGCCTGATACGCCGTTGGGATGCAAAAGATGTGAATTATTATTATTTGAGAAAGTGATAGAGCCAAGTAATTGGTGGACATTACACTCACCCCCATACAACCTTAGAGAAGGTGGAGATCTGACTCCAAGATCTTCTGACAAATTCTTTTCCTTGGCCCACACCTGGGACACCAGAAAGAGCCCACTATCACCCCACTCCTCACTCTCCCCTCACTCCCCACTCTCACCTCACTCCCCACTCTCACCTCACTCCCCATTCTCACCTCACTCCCCGCTCTCACCTCACTCCCCGCTCTCACCTCACTCCCCGCTCTCACCTCACTCTCCACTCTCACTTCACTCCTCACTCTCTAATTTGCATGGCTTTAGTTACAGTCTTTATTCTGATGAATTCCAAATCTCCACTTCCAGCCTGTTTTTTTTTTCTAAGCTCCAAGCCCATACATTCATCTGCATCCTAGATAGTTCCACTTAAATGTCTGTGGGTACTTCATTCAAATTAGGTCTTCTAATATCATATGCCACCCCAAGAAAACCAAACCAAGTCAAACCAAACCCAGCTCTTCCAACATTAGCCCTACTAAGTTGAGCCAGAGACGTGGGAATCATCTCAAATCACTCATCTCTATCTTCTCCAAGCAAGCTTCCCAAATCCACAATCTTCTCTCCAGGCATAGACCACCACCCTCCCCCAAACCATCACCACTTCCCATGTGGTCTAGCGAAATAGCCCCTGTGTTCCCTATACCATTCTTTGCACCCACTCCAACCCTGCACCCTGTAATTCTGAGAAATCTTCTAAGATAAAAAATTGATAAAAATCCTTCCCCCACACTTCAGCCTCTTCAGGGGCTTTCCAATGCCCTTAAAAATGAACTCCAAACCCTTTACCAAGATGCTCCCTGAAGGATCTTAAAGGTGAGACCCTTCAAGATCTCACCTCTTAAGTCTCACTTTCTCCCATGCTGCCTTTCTTATTTTGTGCTCCAGTCATTCTGAACTAGAAAAAAAAAAAATCACCTTCTCTCTCGCTGTCAGATCTGTGCAACATGATGATTTGTCCAACCAGAATCCCTTTCACGCTGGATAACTTTTTGTCCCTTAGGCCTTGGGGAGTCAGCCCTTGAACCTTTATATTAGTTGAGGTTTCCTCATTGTATGGATTTGTAGTCTCTTCATCTCCTCCTCCCTCCAGTGCTATTTGTTATACTTGTAATTTCTTAATGCCCATCTTCCCCACCAGTTGTAGGCAACATCATGGCAAAAGAATATATAAAGTCGATCCACATTATTCACAAATTCTCCTTGGGAATTTGCCTACTTGCTCAAATTTACTTGTAACCCCCTACTCAATATGGTCATTCTTGGACATGCACAGAGAAGTGAAAAATTTGAGTCGTCCAATGCACACGTTCTCAGCTGAGGCTGAAGAAGGCGATTCTCTGCCTTCTTGTTTCATTTCTCATACTGTAAGCAAGTGTCCATTTTGCAGTCCATTTAGTGCCATAATTTTTGGATTTTTGTGCTTTTTGTTGGTTATTTCACTGTTCACAGTGGCCCCCAGATGTGGTGCTGAGGTGCTGCCTATGGTTTGTAAGGGCAAGAAGGCTGTGGTGTGCCTGAAAGAGAAAATATCTGTGTTAAATAAGCTCCATTGCATGAGCTATAATGCTGTTGGCCATGAGTTCAATATGAATGAATGAACAATATATATGAAATCAGGTGTCTTCAAACAGAAATACACATAAAACAAGGTTATGTATCCATCAACTGATGAAAATGTTGTAGCCAGAGGCTTGCAGGAACCTAGTCCTATGTTTCTCCTAAGAGAAAAAGTTTAGTATTGGCTGATTCAGTGTTTGCAATTACTTTATAGAACAAAGCTACCACAAATAGTAAGAATCAACTGTACTTTAATAACTTTGATATCCTCAGTAGCTAACACAGTGACTCTCCTGTAATATTCAATAAATATTTTTTGAAACTGAATTTTTATATGTGCTACATATGTATATAGACTTATACATATGTACACACACACACTTTATACATATACATGTAGAAATAATATATAATATAGAAATAAATTAAGTTGAAGTAGTCTTTCATGCCAAAGATGTACCTCACAGCTGTATTGTTACTTTCTGCCTCTTAAAAAATGCCTAAATGTAGGTTTAGTTTTGATACCATCTTTACTTTTATTTTTGTCTAGGATGCTGGGGAAATGGTTCGTTCCTTTGTTGGTGGTTTGGAACTTATTGTCAATTTACTGAAATCAGATAACAAAGAAGTTCTGGCAAGTGTATGTGCTGCCATTACCAACATAGCAAAAGATCAAGAAAATTTAGCTGTTATCACAGATCATGGAGTTGTTCCTTTATTGTCCAAACTGGCAAATACAGTAAGTAACACATCTTTTTGTTTTACATGCATATTGTCCTGAGATATCATGGTGTAGTGATGAAAACAATGCATTTGCAGTCCAGAAACCTGGATTCAAGTTTAATACCCATTGCTTATGAGGTATGAGATTTGGTCAACTCATTTAGTTTCTCTGAGACTAATATATGTGAAAGCGTATTTTAAACTATAAAATGTTAGTATTACAAGATCCTTGTAAAATAGAAGCTGTTTTTTATTTGCCACTGGCAAGTAAACTGGCAAATACAAGTGCTATTATGTAAGTGTTAACTATCATCTTCACCGCCACCATCATGGTTATGATTCTCGATGGTTCTTCATGCCAACGTTAGAAATCAAATGTGCCTCCCCAGTTTAGCAAGCTTCAGTCGATGGCATTCTTGAGCTAGAAGACTTTGGCAATCATTTCATTGTTTATCCAGAGCTGTGCCAGACAGAATAAGCAGCCTTGAGAGACAATGACTTCACCATGACCAGAGGTATTTGAGCATAGCTTGGACTACCACTTGGCAGAAAAGTCATAGAGCAGAAATTCAAACCCTGGAAGGATGCTTGGTCTAGAAGACTTTGAGTTCCTAAGAATATCTGTCAGATTCAGTTAAGGACACCAAGTTGTTGCCTGAATCAAGAGAGCAGTACTCTTAATAAACACAAAACCATCCGATTCAGTAATAGTATGCCCATTACAGGGCAATTACGTATACAAAGAAGGATATCGTCTGCATCAAAAAATACAGAAAGGAAAATGGAAGACCCAAAATGTGTCTTCGGATTTGCTGCACTCTCTTCTCCCTCTCAGGAGCCAAGGCAACCAAGGTGTATTACTGATATCAATGTATTCCTAGGGTGGAGAAATCCAGTCAATCCACTTATCCCAGTTAAGTGCAGTATCCCTTTAAGGATATCTAATATTCTATAAATATTTGGATTACAAAATAACTTGCTGATCTGTAATTTTGCGTTGTGTAGTAGACTCACTCTAAAGAAAATCTAGCCTTGAGCTAATGACTGATGTCAGATGCTTGGTCACCTTTGAGTGCACTGACTACATTCAGTTCATAAGAAGAAAACTCAAGATTGAACGTTGGTCTGTTGGTGACCCACCAAAAGTCTAGTTCCTTCAGCTGGGTGCAGTGGCTCACGCCTGTAATCTCAGCACTTTTGGAGGCCAAAGTGAGTGGATCACTTGAGGCCAGGAGTTCAAGACCAGCCTGGCCAACATGGTGAAACCCCTTCTCTACTAAAAATACAAAAATTAGCCAGGTGTGGTGGCGGGCACCTGTAATCTCAGCTACTTGGGAGGCTGAGGCATGAGAATCACTTGAATCCAGGAGGCCGAGCTTGCAGTGAGCTGAGATGGCACCACTGCACTTCAGCCTGGGCAACAGAGTGAGACTCCATCTAAAAAAGACTAGTTCCTTCAAAACATCACCTAGGTAGTCAGCCAGCTAGCCCTTTTCTCTAGACTCATTGGTGTCTTAATGGTTAATAAACATAAAGTGCTTATAGACATGATCTTGCAGGGTCATTACAATGCACAGATCCCATTTCATTTTCCCTTGCACAGAATAACAATAAATTGAGACATCATCTAGCAGAAGCTATTTCACGTTGCTGTATGTGGGGCAGGAATAGAGTGGCCTTCGGTGAGCACAAAGCAGTGGCTCCACTAGTGCGTTATCTGAAATCAAATGACACCAACGTGCATCGGGCGACAGCTCAGGCCTTGTACCAACTCTCAGAAGACGCCGATAACTGCATCACCATGCATGAGAATGGTGCAGTAAAGGTACAGTTGAATGACTTTGTGGTTTAGTCCAAGTTTGGTAAATGTAGCCTGGAAAGAAACTTAGGCATCACTAAGATTTCTCTAAAGGAGGTATTCAGAGACACAAAAGTGCCTGCCTGCTGCATCATGGCTGCATTCAAGCCATGTGTTATCATGACTTTTTTTTTCTTTTTAAACAAGGTCTCGCTGTGTTGCCCAGGCTGGAGTATAGTGGTGCAATCATAGTTCACTGCAGCCTTGAACTCCTGGGCTCAAGTGATCCTCCTGCCTCACCCTCCCAAGTAGCCAGGACTACAGGTGCATGCCACCATACCTGGCTAATTCTTTTAATTTTGTATACAGACAGGGTCTTGCCATGCTGCCCTGGCTGGTCTTGAACTGCTGGCCTCAAGTGATCCTCCTGCTTCGGCCTCCCAAAGTGTTGGGATTACAGGAGTGAGTCACAATGCCCAGCCAGTGTGTTATGATGATTTATGCTGCAGAAAAGTTGTATGGAGATAGAATTTTTCTAAATTAAAGCATAGAAATGTACTTAGTAAAATAATCATTCCATAATTTGATTTTTGATGAAAGAAAATGTACAGCATATGGACAAGCAGTAGTACTCACAATTCTATTGGCTATAGTGTTTACTTAACACATAAATAATAAAGGATAGAGGCAACCATAGGCACCAACTAAACACCAAAGGAACTGGCTGAAACAATAACTAGATGGAGCTTGTTAGTCTAAACCATAACAACAATAGATAGATTCAAAGACATGTTTGTTTGTTTGTTTGTTTGTTTAAATCTGTGCATCAGTAGACAGGAAAGTTTCTGTAAAGAGACTCTAACTTACCTACACATTGCAAACCAACTAGAATATTTTGCTGGCAATAAGTATAAAAATACTTAGAGTACATGAACAGCTCACATGTATTAGGAAAAATTGATTTAAAATATTAGTTCTTTTCTATAGCCTGTTTCCTTGTACAATATAATTTTACTGCTTATTACCTTCATTTGGAGCCTATGACAACCAGATGCATTTACATCTTAAAACAGATGCCCAAAGTGGACTTGTTGGTTTAGCAAAGAGTTAAAAACCCCAGTTAGTCATATCTAGTCAAATCTAGATATGCTAGATATGAAACATCTTAGGAGGAATAGTACTCTTAAAATACCAATTGGCAATTTTTGAGGCAATTATTTTAATTAATTCTTGAAATCTATTCCAGTAGAAGAATATGATGTTAATTTTTCTGAAATTAAACTCAATATATGTTTGAATGTGTCAACCTTTCCATTATAAATCTGTTTTTATGGCATGTAAATTAGGCCAGATTAGTTTCTTCAAGCAAAAATCTGGCCAAAGCATCTTTTAAACTAAGTAACAATGTTTAAAAGTAAACTATAAAAAACATATTGGACCATTAACTTCAAGTTGTTCAGGAATGCTAAAAAGGCCATTGTCTCAATATGACTGCGTTCCCATTTCAAAAAGGAAGATATTTCTAATTTAAAATTATGCATACTTTTATTGAACAGGGACTTGCACAACCTAAGTATGCAGTCTTAAAAAAAAAAGAAACTATAAAATTTAAGTAGCCAGGTAAAAATGTCTGACATATAGCATATGCTTAGACAATTGTCAGTTAGTTTAAGCTCAAAAAGTTTAAAAATGTATAGGCATGCACCTGTAGTCCCAGCTACTCGGGAGGCTGAGGCAGGAGAATCGCTTGAACCTGGGAGGTGGAGGTTGCAGTGAGCTGATATCACACCACTGCACTCCAGCCTGGGTGATAGAGCGAGACTCTGTCTCAAAAAAAAAAAAAAAAAATGTACTAAGGTGTACATGTAATGGTTCAGTTGACATAAATGCCTGGTGTATATGCAACTCGCAATTATTTCTTCTGATGCAAGCCAATAGATAATCCAAAATCATTTATGAATATTATCCTACCGTGTAAAGTGACCAAACTGTGTTTGGCCCACCCACACAGTTAGGAAAGTTTCTGTAAAGAGAAACTTTAGAATTAGAAAAAGAAAGGCAATAAGAAAGATTAGAGTGAAGGACAGAAAAGAAAAAAGCAAAGAAGGAAAATTGTGTCTGTTGTGTTCTAGAGCCTTTCCCAGATTATCCTTGGGTTTCTTGGGGGCCTTTCTCTTTAGTCTGTTTGCATTTCCAACAACCTGTTACTCCTACTGGAGGAAAACTGTAAAGAACAGGGTACTTTTTTGTAAATTACTCTGCAATAACATAGAGGCAGACCTTACCATGCTGTGTTACCAGCAGAAATATGCAACCTGGAGATTGTCTCTCTCGACCTCTTCTTCCTACTCTGTTCTGAGCCCCAGAACTTGTGGGGTCATGGGGGAAGCATAACAACCTGTGTTTCCTTTCTCTGGTTTTCTTTAAGGAGGAAAAAAATGTGGGTGTGGCATACTGGGTGTTGGTAGAATCATAATTTGATATTTGCTTGGATATGGGAATAAAGGAAAGCATAGTAAAAAAAATGATTCCAGATTTCAGCCTAGATGAAGAGGAAGATTTCACGAGCCAGGTAATGCAAAAAATTTTGGCACATCAGGGTGGTTCAATTACCTGCAGAGAATGTGTCACAACTACATGTGTGACTGCTAACATTTCTGACTTCGAATGCATGTAAATTTTATCCAGTATTTTGGCAAAACCCTGGCTGTCTTTGTTCCTAATTCCTGCTGCCGACTTCTCGTCAAATGCTTGTTATTTTCCAGTTGTACAAACATTCCTGCTGCAGCTGCCAATGAGTGAATGTTGACAGGCTCTTTAACAATGACCAGAGTCACCGTGTCGCCTATTCATAAGTAATTGATCCTAGGATTAGCTGCTTTGTTAGACAATTTCCTCAACAGCAGTGGCCGATGTAATGCGGTGTATCTGTCTCCTGAAGGCTAAGGTTTATTCTATCCTGACAGTGACGGAGCAGGGTCTGAAATATAATGAGTTCAGTTTCTAATGTGTTCAGTTTGAATAGTCAGTTTGAATTTTAGGTGTAAAGCAGCGCTGCCCAGCAGAAATGTCACATAAGCCATGTATGTAATATTAAATTTTCTAGCAGTCACACTTTAAGAAAAGATAAAAGGAAACAGTGAAATTAATTTTAGTAATATATTTAACCCAATACACTTGACCTTTGAACAATGCAGGAGTTAGGGGTCATGACCCACTACACTGTCAAAATCCACATATAACTTTTGACTGCCCCAGAACTTAACTACTAATAGCCTACTGTTGACCAAAAACATCAACAGTTGATTAATACATATTTCGTATGTTATATGTATTATGTATTAGTACAATAAAATTAGCTAGAGGAAGAAAAGTGTTATGAGAATCATAAGGAAGAGAAAATATATTTACTGTTTATTAAATGGAAGTGGATCATCATAAAGGTCTTCATCCTTGTCATCTTCACGTAGAGTAGGCTGAAGAGGAGGAGGAAGAAGTTGAGTTGGTCTCGCTGTCTCAGGAGTGGCAGAGGCTGAAGAAAATCCACATATAAGTGGACTCGTGCAGTTTAAACTTTTGTTGTTCAAGGGTACATGGTGTATATCCAAAATATTGTTATTTCAACATATAATCAATATAAAAATTACTTAAGATACTTTATATTATTATTATTTATTTATTTTTGGGACGGAGTTTCGGTCTTGTCGTCCAGGCTGGAGTGCAATAGCTCAATCTCGGCTCACTGCAACCCCCGCCTCCTGGGTTCGAGCGATTCTCCTGCCTCAGCCTCCTGAGTAGCTGGGATTACAGGCACCCGCCATGATGCCCGACTAATTTTTGTCTTCTTAGTAGAGACAGGGTTTCACCATGTTGGCCAGGCTAGTCTCGAACTCCTGACCTCAGGTGATCCACCCACCTCGGCCTTTGTACCCAAGTCTTCAAAATCTCTTGTGTGTTTTCTAGTATGTCTCGGTTTGCACCAGCCACATTTTAAGTGCTCACTAGTGGCTAGCGGTTTCCTTGCCAGACTGTGCAATTCCAGAGTGGAGAGTGGAGAGTGGAGAGATTCAGAAATTCAGCAGGGGGTATTAAGCCATTAATGAGGGTGGATGAGATGTTTTTGGCAGAGAGTTTAGAGAGCCCTGGGAAATATCTACATTTTCACTTTTGGGGCATGTAAACTAGGAAGAGCTGTCAGACTAGACTGGAGAAGTTAAGAGGTTAACCAGGAGTTCTAGAAGCCAAAGGAAGAGCAAGTTTCAAAAGGGTTTGTGTTTAAATACTGGTAAGAGGTCAACAAGGATTTCCTGATCCACTTATGTTGAAAAATCAGCTTGTGTTTTAGAAGAGGTAAGAATCTCTTCTAAATGTGTTAATCAATCCCCTCCAATACAGTGTGATAGGAATATTCAATCCTATTCTCTTTATGATTTTGCACAGACTTCCTTTTCAAATGTATCAGCCCAGGGATTTGTATCATTACAAATTTGTGAATATGGATGCAGATTTGTTGGAAACTATGTGGAAAATATGAGAAGTCTAAGAGATATCCAAGTTATTTGCTAATTATAACAAAACTGTAGCAAAGGAGAGTAATGGGGAAGAATAAATTGCAGGAAAAAAATTCATCAAGGCAAGCCCTTTCCTAGGACAGAAAAAGTGATCAACTAGAAGACTGATGAGCACCTATTAAAGGCATCAAGCTTCTTTCCCCATGGTGTCATTGGATTTGTTTTTGCAAATGTCTATACCAGGCAAGTGAAAGCTACATCATGGCTTATAACTTTCTGAAAGGCAGGAAATTGAAGAGATTGCAGACAAATACAATCAGAAGTATGTCCAGCATTGGCAGAGTGAGTGGAGAGCAGTTCAATTGGAACTGCTGAATTGGTACAGCCAACAGGCTAGCTGCCTCCTAGGCTCAGTACATGTACTGGCGTTCCAGAGAGCCAGAAAGATGATCCCAGACGCAAACACACCCATCGTTTTTGAAGCCTAGCACAGGGACAAAAAAATACTGTTAATGTTTGTGAGTCAAGTAAACGGATTTTAGATACTAAGGTCACCTAGAAACACTCATTAAGTGCCCATATACTTAATGTTTTATCTAAATATATTTCCTGTTAATTAAAACTCTTAATGTCGCTGTAGTTTTGAGTGTTTTTCTCCCATTCCAGACATTCCTTGGAGTGCCGAGAAGAGTTTACTAGGTGATATGCTATTAAATAATTTAATAGAACCAATTGGTATCGATGAATATATACTACATATAGAGTAATAAACAGACTTGTTTCTGATTGGCTTTTTAATTTTTATTTGTATTTCTCCTGTAAAGTGAGAAAGAAGTTCATGATTACTGAAGGGGTCCAGTAAGTCAGAGTTTAGTTCATCATGTTTAACTTTAATATCATATGTACATCAAATGCTTTTCTTATTTCAATTTTTTTTTAATTTTAAGAGATCTTGACAGCTTTAAGGAATAATTGACATACACATGCACATTTTAAGGTGTACACTTTGATAGATTTTGACATATATATGCCTACACCCACACATACACATGAAACTATTACCAAACCAAAATGTTGATCACCCACAGTTTCCTGGTACCCTTACATAATCCCTGTCTCCTGCCCCACTCTGCCTGGGCCAATCACTGGTCTGCTTTCTGTCAATATAGATAAGTTTTCATTTTCTAGAACTTAAGAAAAATGGGTTCCTACAGTAAGTACTTGGTTTTTTTGTTTGGCTTCCTTCACTCAGCTTACTTATTTTCGTATTAATTCACATTCTTATGTGGCTCAATCAACTCTTTTATCTCTGAGTGGTAGTCCGTTGTATGAAATTATCATAATTTGGTTATCCTTTCTTTTTTTGTTTTGTTTAGTTTTGTTTTGTGACAGAATCTGTCTCTGTGGCCCAGGGTGGAGTTCAGTGGCGCGATCTGGGCTCACTGCAACCTCTACCTCCTTGGCTCAAGCAATTCTCATGCCTCAGCCTCCCGAGTAGCTGGGGTTACAGGCATGCACCACCACACCGGGCTAATTTTTGTATTTTTGGTAGAGACTGGGTTTTGCCATGTTGGCCAGAGTGGTCTCAAACTCTTGACCTCAAATGATCTGCCCACCTCATCCTCCCAAAGTGTTGGGATTACAAGCGTAAGCCACTGTGCCCAACCTCCTTTCATTTGTTAATGAATATTTATTTCCGGTTTGGGTTGTTACAAATAAAGCTGCTACGAACATTCATGTACAAGTCATTGGGTGGACATTTGCTTCCTCTTCTCTTAGGTAAATACCTAGGAGTGAATGGCTGGATCATACGGTATGTGTACCTTTAACTTTTTAAAAAATTGCCAGATCGTTTTCCAAAGTGTGCCATTTTTGCATTCCCACCAGCTGTATAGGAAAGCATCCTTGCCAACACTTGGTATGGCCAGTCTTTTTGATTTTAGACATTCTAACAGGTATGTCATGGTATCTTATGATTTCAATTTCAATTTTTCTAATGATTAATGATGTGGACATCCTATGTGCTTGTATATCAGCTGTATAACTCCTCGGGCAAAGTGTTCACATTTTTGACCACTTTTTAATTAGGTTGTTTTCTTATCATTGGGTTTTGAGAGTTCTGTATACATTCTGGTTGCTTACCATATGTGTAATTTGCAAATATTTTCTCCCCGTCTGTAGCTAGTCTTTCATTCTCTTAACTGTATCTTTTGAAGAGCAGAAGTTTTTAACGCTGGTGAAGTCCAATTTATTTTTTTAATGAATTGTGTTTTTGGTTGCATATCTGAGAAATATTTGCCTAACACATGGTCTCAAGGATTTCATGCTTTCTTCTGAAGTTTTATAATTTTTGGTTTTTCACTTTTAGTCTATGACCCATTCGAGTAAACTTTTTTATGATACTAATTATGAATCAAAGTTCATTTGGAGGGCATATTAGCATTATTTATTGAAAAAACTGTTTGCTCTTTTCTCACTGAATTTCTTTTGCAATTAAAAAACAACTGGACCAGGCAGAGTGGCTCATGCCTGTAATCTGTATTATTATAAAATGGTCATCTTTATTCTTGGTCATATTCTTTGTTTTGAAATCATTTTCTGATACTAATATAGACACCCTTGGTTTTTTTGAGAGGGTACTAATATTAGCATACTAAAGTTTTATAGCTTTTAATATCCTTTAATCATATTTGTGTCTTTTCACTTAAAGTGGATAATAGTAGGCAGCATATAGTTAGGGCTTACTTTTATTTATTTATTTATTTATTTATTTATAGACAGAGTCTCGCCATGTCGCCAGGCTAGAGTGCAGTGACAACGATCTTGGCTCACTGCAACCTCCACCTCCCGGATTCAAGCGATTCTCCTGCCTCAGCCTCCTGAGTAGCTGGGATTACAGGCATGTGCCAGCATGCCCAGCTAATTTTTGTATTTTTAGTAGAGACAGGGTTTCACCATGTTGGTCAGGATGGTCTCAATCTCCTGACCTCGTGATCTGCCGGCCTCGGCCTCCCAAAGTGCTGGGATTACAGGTGTGAGCCACTGCGCCCGGCCAGGGCTTACTTTTTTATTCAGTCTTTTATACAACCTCTGCCTTTATTGGGAGGGGAAGTGGTTACACTATTTACATTTAATGTGATATTGACACGGTTAGCTTTTCTTTTTTTTTTTTTTTTTTTTGAGACTGTGTCTCGTTCTGTCACCCAGGCTGGAGTGCAACGGCGCGATCTCAGCTCACTGCAACTTCCACCTCCCAGGTTCAAGCGATTCTCCTGCCTCAGCCTCCTGAGTAGCTGAGATTACAGGCTCATGCCACCATGCCTGACTACTTTTTGTATTTTTAGCAGAGACGGGGTTTTGCCATGTTGGTCAGGCTGGTCTCGAACTCCTGACCTCAGGTGATCCACCCGCCTCCGCCTCCCAAAGTGCTGGGATTATGGGCGTGAGCCACTGTGCCCGGCCACGGTTAGCTTTAAATGTACCATCTTGTTATTTGTTTTCTATTTTTCCCATCTGCTTTTTCTCTTTACTCATCTTTTTCTATCTCCTCTTGGATTATTTGAATATTTTATCATTTCATTTTATCTCATTTTTGGCTTATTAGTTATTATTCCGTGTTGTCATTTAGTGATTGCTTTAGAGTTCATAGCATATGTATTTAATTCAGTATAATGTAAGTTCTAGTAATGTTATACATATAAACATATAATTTAAGAATTGTACAACCATATGCTTCCATTTTTGCCCTCCCCACTTTTATGCTATTTTTATCATACAAGTGTTATAAGCTCAACTGTATTGTTCTTGTTTTTGACTGTAAACAATTGTCTTTCCCAGAGATTTAAATACACAGGAAAATGCCTTTTCTATTTACCTTCATAGTTACTGTTTCCAGTGCTATTTATTCCTTTCTGTAAATGCAGATTTTCTCCTGATATCATTTTCCTTCTGCCTAGAAGACTTTTAACTTTCCTGGTAGTACAGTTCTGTTTATGATAAATTCGTTCAGGTCTTATATATCTAAAAAAGACTTTTTATTTTGTCTTTGTTTTTGAAAAATATTTTTGCTGGGTATAGAATTTTATGTTGACTTCTTTTCTTTCCCAACTTTAAACATGGTGCTCCATTTTATTATCACCTGCATTGTTTTAGAGAGGAAATCTGTTATCATGCTTATGTTTGTTCCTCTGTATGTCATGTATCTTTTTGCGTTGGCTGTTTTTAAGATTTCATCATTTTCACTGGTTTGGAGAAATTTGATTATGATGGGCCTTGTGTAGTTTCCTTCATGTTTCTTGTGCTTGGACTTTGCTAAGCTTCTGAGATCTGTGGGCTTGTGGTTTTCATCATATTTAGAAATTTTTCAGCCATTATTTCTTCAAATATGTTTACATCCTGTTCTCTTTTTACTGTCCTTGTAAACGCCACTTTCACCTGTATTTGGTGAAAATATAGGTAAACGTTTTCCCACAGCTCCCTGAGACTTTGTTTACTTTGTTCTTTCTGTGTTTTAAATTAGGATTTTTTTCTTTGTCTTCAAGCTCACTTTTTTTTCTGCAATGTTTAATTTGCCTTTATTGCCATCTAGTGTGTTTTACATCTGCAATACTATCGACGTTTCATTTGGATCTCCTTTCACATCTTTCGTGTCTCTACTTGACATGTTGAGTCTTTTTCTAATCTCATATGTAATCCAATTCTAATATTATTTCTGGGTTGCTTTCAATTCCTTGAATGTTAACATGTTGAGTGATGGGTTTTTATTTTTTGGGGGAACAGGATATCTATAAATATTCCCGAGCTTTGTTCTAAGAATCAGATTGCTATTTTGAAACAATTTGATCCTTTCAGTTCTTACTTTTATGCTTTGTTAGCAAGACTAGAGTAGGGATAATTTTTTCCCACTACTGAGGCAAGACCTCTGGCTACTCTACCTGATACCCTGTGCATTATGAAGTCTTCCACTCTGAGTGGTGGACGGACACTGTTCCTCCCCTTGCAGGAGTTTAGAAGATTATTCCTTCTAATCTTTTCAGGTGGTTCTTTTCCTGCCCTCAAACAGTTTCTTCTCATACAGGTGCTAAGCAGTACTGAGCCGAATATTCAAGAGGCACCTTCCGCAGACCCCAGGTTTCTCTGTTCCACTCCCCAATCTCCATTATCTGCCCTGAAGACTCTAGTGGCTGTGGTTCTCCCAGACTTCCAGCTCTGTCTCCTCAACTCGGACAGACTGTCAGGCTTTGTCTGGGCTCTCCCTCCCTGTGCTGTAGCCTATAAACATTCTCCCTGGAGTTAGTCTGGGTCAATCTTAGGGCTTACCTTTTTTGTTTTCCTTCTCTCAAGAATCACTGTCTTTTGTTGTCTGATTTCCAATATTTTGAAAGTTGTTGTTTCACAGTTTTTTTCCATTTTTAAATTATTTTAGACAGGAAGGTAAATCCAGTCCCCGTTACTCCATCTTAACATGAGGCAGTCTTTTCTTTTGATATTTTCTCTTAGAGAATAAATTTATAGAAAGTTAGGGCTGGTAAAGCCAAGGTTTTCATTTTATTTATTTATTTATGTAGATGTTTATTTATTTATTGGGACAGAGTCTCGCTCTGTCACCCAGTCTAGAGTGTAGTAGTACGATATCAGCTCACTACAACCTCCGCCTCCCACGTTCAAGTGATTCTTTTTTTTTTTTTTTTTTTTTTGAGACGGAGTCTCGCTCTGTCGCCCAGGCTGGAGTGCAGTGGTGTGATCTCAGCTCACTGCAAGCTCTGCCTCCCAGGTTCACGCCATTCTCCTGCCTCAGCCTCCAGAGTAGCTGCGACTACAGGCGCCTGCCACCACGGCCGTCTAATTTTTTTGTTTTTGATAGAGAGGGGGTTTCACCATGTTGGCCAGGCTGGTCTCAAACTCCTGACCTCAAGTGATTCACCCGTCTTGGCCTCCCAAAGTGTTGAGATTACAGGTGTGAGCCGCCACGCCCAGCAAATGTTTTCACTTTAAACACACAGTTCGCAGACGAGGAAACTAAGGCCCAAATTAGTGAAGTATCTAAACCTACACCATCAATATATGATGTGACATCATAAATTATTGTAATATTCACTTTAGTGCTGTGTCCATTTGATTAGTAGATTTCAAACCGTGACTCATGGAACTTCGGGTTCCCCTGACAGAGATCAGGGACTGGTACTCAGAGCTCTTGCTGGGTGGTTCACCTACTGCAATTAGAGCAGCTACTTTTTCTGTTTTACAAATTAGAATCATGCACAAGCTCCTATTTTAGAGTAGCTTTTGCGACTTTAAAAAGAATTGAAAATTACTGCACTTGGCCATGCTGCCCTTTAGTAGTTCTGTTTATGAAACCCATTAGGAACTATTTTTTCACATTTATTTAGCACTTTGCTTCTCTATGATAGAGAAGTTTGCAAAATCAGATTATCTTCAGTAGGAATTAAGAATTCTCATCTTGAATTTTATACTAGAGGATGACTCTTTAAAGCCACTTTTTTCCCTCTCTTTTTAAGTTTTCCATGGGGAGCTCTAGGCAATGCTTTTGCCTCTGAGGTGATTCAGCTGACTTCTTTATTATTATTATTATTATATTTTAAGTTCTAGGGTACATGTGCACAATGTGCAGATTTTTTACCTATGTGTACATGTGCCATGCTGGTGTGCTGCACCCATTAACTCGTCATTTACATTAGGTGTATCTCCTAATGCTATCCCTCCCCCTCCTCCCACCCCACGACAGGCCCCGGTATGTGATGTTCCCCTTCCTGTGTCCAAGTGTTCTCATTTTTCAATTCCCACCTATGAGTGAGAACATGCAGTCTTTGGTTTTCTGTTCCTGTGTTAGTTTGCTGAGAATGATGGTTTCCAGCTTCATCCATGTCCCTACAAAGGACATGAACTCATCCTTTTTCGTGGCTGCATAGTACTCCATGGTGTATATGTGCCACATTTTCTTAATCCAGTCTATCATTGATGAATATTTAGGTTGGTTCCAAGTCTTTGCTATTGTGAACAGTGACGCAGTAAACATACGTGTGCATGTGTCTTTATAGCAGCATGCTTTATAATCCTTTGGGTATATACCCAGTAATGGGATGGCTGGGTCAAATGGTATTTCTAGTTCTAGATCCTTGAGGAATCACCACACTGTCTTCCACAATGGTTGAACTAGTTTACAGTCCCACTAACAGTGTAAAAGTGTTCCTATTTCTCCACATCCTCTCCAGCACGTGTTGTTTCCTGACTTTTTAATGATCGCCATTCTAACTGGTGTGAGATGGTATCTCATTGTGGTTTTGATTTGCATTTCTCTGATGGCCAGTGATGATGAGCATTTTCTCGTGTGTCTATTGGCTTCATAAATGTCTTCTTTTGAGAAGTGTCTGTTCATATCCTTTGCCCACTTTTTGATGGAGTTTTTTCTTGTAAATATGTTTGAGTTTTTTGTAGATTCTGGATATTAGCCCTTCGTCAGATGGGTAGATTGCAAAAATTTTCTCCCATTCTGTAGGTTGCCTGTTTGCTCTGATGGTAGTTTCTTTTGCTGTGCAGGAGCTCTTTAGTTTAATTAGATCCCATTTGTCAATTTTGGCTTTTGTTACCATTGTTTTTGGTGTTTTAGACATGAAGTCCTTGCCCATGCCTATGTCCTGAATGGTATTGCCTAGGTTTTCCTCTAGGGTTTGTATGGTTTTAGGTCTTTAATCCATCTTGAATCAATTTTTGTATAAGGTGTAAGGAAGGGATCCAGTTTCAGCTTCCTACATATGGCTAGCCAGTTTTCCCAGCACCATTTATTAAATAGGGAATCCTTCCCCCATTGCTTATTTTTGTCAGGTTTGTCAAAGATCAGATGGTTGTAGATGTGTAGTATTATTTCTGAGGGCTCTGTTCTCTTTCATTTGTCTATATCTCTGTTTTGGTACCAGTACCATGCAGTTTTGGTTACTGTAGCCTTGTAGTATAGTTTAAAGTCAGGTAGTGTGATGCCTCCGGCTTTGTTCTTTTGGCTTAGGATTGTCATGGCAATGTGGGCTCTTTTTTGGTTCCATATGAACTTTAAAGTAGTTTTTTCCAGTTCTGTGAAGAAAGACATTGGTAGCTTGATGGGAATGGCATTGAATCTATAAATTACCTTGGGCAATATGGCCATTTTCACGATATTGATTCTTCCTATCCAAGAGCATGGGATGTTCTTCCATTTGTTTGTATCCTCTTTTATTTTGTTGAGCAGTGGTTTGTAGTTCTCCTTGAAGAGTACCTTCACATCCCTTGTAAGTTGGATCCCTAGGTATTTTATTCTCTTTGAAGCAATTGTGAATGGGAGTTCACTCATGATTTGGCTCTCTGTTTGTCTGTTATTGGTGTATAAGAATGCTTGTGATTTCTGCACATTGATTTTGTATCCTGAGACTTTGCTGAAGTTGCTTCTCAGCTTAAGGAGATTTTGGGCTGAGACCTGGGGCTTTCTAGATACACAATCATGTCATCTGCAAACAGGGACAATTTGACTTCCTCTTTTCCTAATTGAATACCCTTTATTTCTTTCTCCTGCCTGATTGCCCTGGCCAGAACTTCCAACACTATGTTGAATAGCAGGGGTGAGAGAGGGCATCCCTGTCTTGTGCCAGTTTTCAAAGGGAATGCTTCATTTTTGCCCATTCAGGATGATATTGGCTGTGGGTATGTCATAAATAGCTCTTATTATTTTGAGATACGTCCCATCGATACCTAATTTATTGAGAGTTTTTAGCATGAAGTGCTGTTGAATTTTGTCAAAGGCCTTTTCTGCATCTATTGAGATAATCATGTGGTTTTTGTCTTTGGTTCTGTTTATATGCTGGATTACGTTTATTGATTTGCGTATGTTGAACAAGCCTTGCATCCCAGTGATGAAGCCCACTTGATCATAGTGGATAAGCTTTTTGAGTTGCTGCTGGATTCAGTTTGCCAGTATTTTATTGAGGATTTTTGCATCAATGTTCATCAGGGATATTGGTCTAAAATTCTCTTTTTTTTCTGTGTCTCTGCCAGGCTTTGGTATCAGGATGATGCTGGCCTCATAAAATGAGTTAGGGAGGATTCCCTCTTTTTCTATTGATTGGAATAGTTTCAGAAGGAATGGTCCCCGCTCCTCCTTGTACTTCTGGTAGAATTTGGCTGTGAATCCATCTGATCCTGGAATTTTTTTGGTTGGTAGGCTATTAATTGTTGCCTCAATTTCAGAGCAACAATTGATCTATTGAGGGATTCAACTTCTTCCTGGTTTAGTCTTGGGAGGGTGTATGTGTCCAGGAATTTATCCATTTCTTCTAGATTTTCTAGTTTATTTGTGTGGAGGTGTTTATAGTATTCTCTGATGGTAGTTTGTATTTCTGTGGGATCGGTGGTGATATCCCCTTTGTCATTTTTTATTGCGTCTATTTGATTCTTCTCTCTTTTCTTCTTTATTAGTCTCGCTAGTGGTCTATCAATTTTGTTGATCTTTTCAAAAAACCAACTCCTGGATTCATTGATTTTTTGAAGGGTTTTTTGTGTCTCTATCTCCTTCAGTTCTGCTCTGATCTTAGTTATTTCTTGCCTTCTGCTAGCTTTTGAATGTGTTTGCTCCTGCTTCTCTAGTTCTTTCAATTGTGATGTTAGGGTGTCAATTTTAGATCTTTCCTGCTTTCTCTTGTGGGCATTTAGTGCTATAAATTTCCCTCTACACACTGCTTTAAATGTGTCCCAGAGATTCTGGTATGTTGTGTCTTTGTTCTCATTGTTTTCAAAGAACATCTTTATTTCTGCCTTCATTTCATTATGTACCCAGTAGTCATTCAGGAGCAGGTTGTTCAGTTTCCATGTAGTTGAGCGGTTTTGAGTGAGTTTCTTAATCCTGAGTTCTAGTTTGATTGCACTGTGGTCTGAGAGACAGTTCGTTATAATTTCTGTTCTTTTACATTTGCTGAGGAGTGCTTTACTTCCAACTATGTGGTCAATTTTGGAATAAGTACGATGTGGTGCTGAGAAGAATGCATATTCTGTTGATTTGGGGTGGAGAGTTCTGTGGATGTCTATTAGGTCCACTTGGTGCAGAGCTGAGTTCAATTCCTGGATATCTTTGTTAACTTTCTGTCTCATTGGTCTGTCTAATGTTGACAGTGGGGTGTTAAAGTCTCCCATTATTATTGTGTGGGAGCCTAAGTCTCTTTGTAAGTCTCTAAGGACTTGCTTTATGAATCTGGGTGCTCCTGTATTGGGTGCATATATATTTAGGATAGTTAGCTCTTCTTGTTGAATTGATCCCTTTACCATCATGTAATGGCCTTCTTTGTCTCTTTTGATATTTGTTGGTTTAAAAGTCTGTTTTATCAGAGACTAGGATTGCAACTCCTGCCTTTTTTTGTTTTCCATTTGCTTGGTAGGTCTTCCTCCATACCTTTATTTTGATCCTATGTGTGTCTCTGCACATGAGATGGGTCTCCCGAATACAGCACACTAATGGGTCCTGACTCTTCATCCAATTTGTCAGTCTGTGTCTTTTAATTGGAGCATTTAGCCCATTTACATTTAAAGTTAATATTGCTATGTGTGAATTTGATCCTGTCATTGTGATGTTAGCTGGTTCTTTTGCTTGTTAGTTGATGCAGTTTCTTCCTAGCATCGATGGTCTTTACATTTTGGCATGTTTTTGCAGTGGCTGGTACCAGCTGTTCCTTTCCATGTTTAGTGCTTCCTTCAGGAGCTCTTTTAGGGCAGGCCTGGTGGTGACAAAATCTCTCAGCATTTGCTTATCTGTAAAGGATTTTATTTCTCCTTCACTTATGAAGCTTAGTTTGGCTGGCTATGAAATTCTGGGTTGAAAATTCTTTTCTTTAAGAATGTTGAATATCAGCCCCCACTCTCTTCTGGCTTGTATAGTTTCTGCCAAGAGATCCTCTGTTAGTCTGATGGGCTTCCCTTTGTGTGTAACCCACTGTTTCTCTCTGGCTGCACTTAACATTTTTTCCTTTTTCCTTCATTTCAACTTTGGTGAATCTGACAATTATGTGTCTTGGAGTTGCTCTTTTCGAGGAGTATCTTTGTGGTGTTCTCTGTATTTCCTGAATTTGAATGTTGGCCTGCCTTGCTGATTCAGCTGACTTCTAAAATATCCAGGAGCACTTGGGAAAAATTGAATGTGCCTAGAAGGGGCTGAGCTAATAGACTGCTTGTCTTCTTCATCCAAGCTCTGCTTCACTATAATGGATCCACCTTGCTTCTGCTAAGTCAAATCCAACTCCTTCGCCACCACCCCATCGCTAGCCAAATAAATTTTCCTCCCCTTCTTAGAGCTACAAGTGAGAAGAAATGAAAAAGAAAAGCTAAGTATAGTAAAAGAGCTAGATAATAATGGAAGTCATATCGTTTTTGTTTTTTCAGCTTCCTGTGTGCCAGACATTTATTCTAAAAGCACATTTACACAGAGTCTTTTATTCAATCTTCTCCATAACCTATTGAGTTGGAAACTTATTATCTTAGTTTTACAGATAAAGAAATTGAGTTTCATAAAGATTAAATAACTTGCCCCAAATCACCCAGGTCATAAGAAAAGGACTCAAGGAGCGTGGGTTTAGAGGCTCCTCTCTGAACCACCATTGGAAGGTATTGCTCAAGTGCCAGATGCACATATATGTGTGGACTCCTATGCTTGCAGTTTTTTCTGAAGGACTGAGCCTGGTTGAGAAACTCTGCTTTATAGGCTAGAGCACAAAAAGGAAGGGGACTTGGCAGAGAGTTTGCTTGCTTCATGGTGGAATGATGTCTGCCCTTCCTGTTAGAACTCCCACATCCTCTTTTGAAAATCCATCCCAAGGGCTCCATTTCTCTTTTCAGTTTTAGCAATTTTCCAACCTCCTTTGCTGCTCTTGCAGCTGGTATATATTCTTAATTTATGCCAATTATTCTTTTTTTTGGTTTGAGACAGGGTCTTGCTCTGTTGTCCAAGTTGGAGTACAGTGGCACGATCATAGCTCACTGAAGCCTCTAACTCCTGTCAAGTGGTCTGTCTGCCTCGGCCTCCCCAGTAGCTGGGACTGCAGGTGCATGTCAGCATACCTGGCTAATTTTTTTATTGTTTGTAGAGATGGGAACTTGCTGTGTTGCCCAGGTCAGTCTTGAACTCAGCCTCAAGCAATCCTCCGACCTCAGCTTCCCAAAGTGCTGGGATTACAGGTGTGAGCATGTTGGGCAGAATTAAACATTGTTGCTAGTAGTGGTTATAGTATATCAAGTTTAAACCAGATTCTTTGTGATTTTTTGAAAAAACAAATCTTTATGTATATTGCATCTTCAGACTATTAATATTCCTAATTTTCAGTGCTAAGTTTTTTGTTTTGTTTTTTTTTGAGACAGAGTATTGCTCTGTCACCCAGGCAGGAGTGCAATGGTGTGATCTCGGCTCATTGCATCTGTGCCTCCCAGGTTCAAGCAATTCTTCTGCCTCAGCCTCCCAAGTAGCTGGGATTACAGGCACATGCCACCACACCCAGCTAATTTTTTTCTATTTTTAGTATAGGTGGTGTTTCATCATGTTGGTCAGCCTGGTCTCAAACTCCTGACCTTAAATGATCCACCTGCCTTGGCTTCCCAAAGTGCTGGAATTACAGGCGTGAGCCACCATGCCCGGCCCTCAGTGCTAAGTTTTACAGTTACCTCTCAGGTAATCAGGAATATGTAGAGCCACTCTGCATCAGCCAGTTGCTTTTTTACCCAGTTATGCTGGGTGGTACACTACACCATCCGCTACAATTGCATTCAAGCTTTGTATATTTTTATAGATCACTGGAATGGTTTGTACATTACTATTGATTCAGCTCGATCTTTTCTAAACCTTCAAGATTTTCATGCACAGATTTGTTGCAGATAGGCTGTTTTTATTTTAAGACTTTGTACTCCACAGTAAACAGCTTCAGCTTATTTTTTAAAAAAATAAACTATGACACCAGTTTCTAATTTGTTCCAGATATGGTTTTCTAATTTATTTTAGATAAAAGTTTCCAGTTTATTCTAGGGAATATATAACATGTGGCCTTAAATGTAATCACAGACATTCTTTACAAATCATACAGCACTTATCCAACATCTTGAGAAATTTATGAAGGATAATTTGAACATGAATCTTTTGTTTTAGGATCCTCTATATATTAAAAGAGTCTATTAAAAATAGTGCTGCTATGAGCATTCTGGACATGTGTTTTGGTGCATATAAGCACTGATTGATGTTGAGTATATGCCCAGGAGCAGAATTGCTGGATCAAAGGGTATATGTATAATTAGCTTTAGTAATTATTATTAAATTATTATTTTTACTCCATTGATTTCATGCCAGATGAGGGTTCAGATATAAAACCTGGATAAATATTTTGTTTGTTCAGAATTTTAATCAATCATCTGACTTGACTTTTTCTTTCAGCATATTTAAATTTAAAGATTTTACTGTGGGGAATTATTTTTGGCTTCTACTTTTAGTTGATCTGGACATGGCCCATGGCTTTATAGAATGTTCTTAAAGACATTTATATGTTTTTGAATTTTCTGTTTAATAAATTAATCTTTCAAATGGTAGAAGATTGATAACTATTTGTGAAAAATAGTTATCCACTCCATTCCCATATATTGCTTGTTAATTTATTGTAATCAGAGGAAAATATGTATTGCTAATTGGAGGCACAATCTCTTGAAAAGTTTGGTCAAGAATGATCATGTATGCTTAGTGTCTATCCAGAAAATGACATTCTTCACAAGGGCACCCTTTTTTCAAAGAAATGAAATAAAGATACAGTGTAGAGATTCTCCACATGGGCAGGACCTGTCCTTCTATTCACCATCCCCAGAATTCAGGAAGAGAGAGCAAGCCCAAGGCTCGCATAACCCTCTCAACCATTTAAGAAGAGACGGGTCAAAAACATGTAAATGGACAAAATAATTACCAAGTGTGCTGAATGCTGTAAAGGAAACAAAGGGGGTCAAATGAAGACTAATGAAGGGACAACCCATTTTATACAGGGAAGTCAGAGAAGGCATCTTTGAAGAGATGCATCTTAACTAAGGAGAATGAAGTGAGGAGAAGAATTTGCAGCCAGAGGGAAAGTGTTTGTTCAGCGGCCATAGGGTAGGAATGTGCCTAAAATTTCTGAGGACTAGCCTGGGCAACATAGGGAGACCCTATCTCCACAAAAAATAAAAATAAATAAGCCAGGCATGGTGGTGCATACCTGTAGTCCCAGCTACTCAGGAGGCTCAGGTGGGAGGATCACTTTAGCCTGGGAGGTCGAGGCTGCAGTGAGCTGTGAATGCACTACCATACTCCAGCCTGAATGACAGAGCAAGATCCTTTCTCTAAACAAAAAACAAACAAAAAAAGATGATCACTCTTGGAGGTGTATAGGGACAGGATCAGAAAGACTGGAAGCAGATCTGCCGGGGTGGTGGCTCATACCTGTAATCCCAGCAGTTTGGGAGGCCGAGGCAGGCAGATCACCTGAGGTCAGGATTTCAAGACCAGCCTGGCCAACATGGTGAAACCCCGTCTTTACTAAAAATACAAAAATTAGCCGGGCATGGTGGCGGGCACCTGTAATCCCAGCTACTCAGGAGGCCGAAGCAGGAGAATTGCTTGAACCTGGGAGGTGGAGGTTGCAGTGAGCTGAGATCGCACCACTGCACTCCAGCCTAGGTGACAGAGCAAGACTCCGAAAAAAAAATAAAAATAAGAAAAAAGAAGGGAAAGAAAAGAAAAACTGGAAGCTGATCTGTCTACGAGGCTGGTGAGCTGTAAGCGCATGAGAAATGGTGGCTTAGTTACAGATTGGATGAGAGATTAAGGGAACAGGAAGAATTAAGAATCCATTCACAAACCTTTTTTCTACCACAAAGAGGGAAATAATCATAGTAATAACAGTTGCTAGCAAGCCCATTTTTATTTTAAATTTCATTAGATAACTTGGAGTACCCATTAAGTGAATAATTATCCAATATTAGAATATTAGGCTTAATAATTACACTAGCAAATAGTCAATATAAATAGCTCATATATATGTTACAAAATGTGTATTTCAGGTTGATCTATTTTAAAAAGAATAACAATCAATTACTGAGCATTCACCCGTGGCCTATGTGCTTTATTCCTTATTTCATTTAATCTTCACTGTACCCCTGTGGTGCAGGCATTACTCTCCCATTTTAAAGACTGGGAAGCTTTAGCTCGACAGTCTGATGCATCCAAAGTCCTACAGATGCAATGCAGGATCTGCTATAAATCAATAAATTACTTCATAACTCAAACTTATGCACCAAAGAGAATTCCCATGGGCAAGAAAGCAGCAGAGCCCTAAGAAGGCGCTGAGCTCCAAAGCCTTTAGCATCTTTTTTCCAACTGCCATCTCTCCACTTTTCTTATTTGTTTCCTTTTATTCTTTCTATGCCAGTTGGCTTCCTCTCTTTTGCCACTGTTTTCTTTACTGCTTCTCCTGGATCTAGGTATCCAGCCACCCAAGGAGGCCACATATTTTCTCCACCCCCATTTTCAGTTCAAAAATCTCAGACAAGGGAAGCTGATTGGCCCAGTTTAAGAAAAGTACCCACCCCCTTGTCCAATCAGTGGTGGACAATGAAGCATGTGATACTTTACAAGATGGCTTCCAAGACTTGCCATTGGAGGTGGAACACAAAGGCAGTCAAGGGCGTTCATGATGTGCTGGGAAGGCACTCCAAAAGATGTGCACGAAAGTGACAACTCAGAATTTAAATTTCTGAACCAACTGACATGAGAAATTCTTAGGTCAGTTGATATTCACTATCTTTTGTCACACTGTTATTTAGGCTGTTTTAGAGTCAAATATATGCTTTTATTATGAGGTTGTTATTGCAGTTGTTTTAAAGATGTACGTAAATATGTACAAATAGATCAATAAAAATAGAAAAAAATGTACAGAGGGCATTTTACCCAATATTTAACTTGTAGAATATTTTACCTCAGTTGTGAAAATGACAAATTCTTGCTGACAGCTTTGGCTGGTTTTATTTATTATTATTGTTTTATTTTTATTAAAGAACTCTTTCATAAGGCAAGCTTTGTGAGTTAAATCGATGTAAATTATTAATGTGAAAGGTAATTATTTATAATATTTTTGAAAATATTCCAGACTCAGCTACTGCCAACTGCTGGTATGGATTTAGCATCCTGAAATTTAAACAGAATAACAGTTGACTCTTTTTTGTCAAATACTTTGTGATTATAGGAGGTGTACTATTATACTGTCAACCTGAGTTTAAGAAAAGATACGCTCCTTCACCATTTTAAATCTGTGCAAAACAGTCTTCACTTTATGCACATATAAACCTGTGAAGCATTCCCATGTTGGTTTGGGGATTTTAAACTTGGCAAATTATACATCTTTATATGTTATATCTGTCGCTGTTGGCTCCCAACTTTATGTTTAAACCACAGCGTTTTTCTGGCGCTCACATGAAGCTAATACTCTTCCACTGCTTTAAATTAGCTGCTACTTAATGATTAAGAAAGTGCACTAGATGGCAAATAACATTAGTAACAATAATATTTCCAAGTCACTGTCAGCTATACGGTAGGCCTCAATTTGGGGCTGTTTAAAAACCAAATATCTGACCATAATGTTGCACTCAAAAACTTCATAGCAACAGGTGAACACCCCTCATCTTTTGCTTTTGTTTGGTTTAGAAGAAACTAATAAAATCTGAAAACAAAAAGTCATTTCCCTCTGAGTTACGTAAAAAGCTTATCAGGTGTGAGCCTCTCTTTCCTGAGTTGAGTGAAGCCAGAAGCCATTGCCTTCATACTTGCTGCCGCGTGTCATATTTTTAGAGATTGTTACTTATATATCTTCAGAAGTTTACTATAGAATCACTGCCAGCTCAGAAAAAAATTCAGGGTTAAGAAGTATTGGATTCCACAAAAATTTGATTTTGGACGGGAGAGTTATTCCTTTTCTTAACATCATCATGTTACCAAAATTAGGAATGTTGGACTACGTTACAGTTTTTCTGATCACAAATAGAAGAAAACGACAGAGCTGGGTAGCTTATCTTGCCTAAATTGAACAGTCCAGGATTCCTCCAAATTTAAATAGGTTTGGATATCAAAAGCGTTAGATTGGCATAAGATGATGCTGGCACATGTTGAAGCATCTTTTGGTTTCAAAGAAAGACGCTTTCCTGACGACCTGTAGGTCCTTGGATCTGTTCAACAGTAGCTATGTCCCGCAGCTTTTTTTGTTGATAAAAGATCCGTTTCAAATAATTGCAGCCAACTCTGTAGAAATAATTGCCTTCTAAAAAAGAGAGTTTTGGAGGGTCAAAAATACACAAACAGTATGGTAAAATAAAGTATATGCTGCTCCTTTTAATGGAAAAGATTGCTACTGGGTACCTTTGCCAAATTCAATCAGTGTGCCAAAAAGTCGAGGAATCTGGCAGATGCTATAGAGAGCAGTTCCATCTTTCATCTATATTTCGTTTCTGTATTTATCTAGCTTTAGAAAATGCTGGGAATGTCTTTTCCTTCCGACTTGGCCCTTTTGCTAAACCACAGAAATACACCGGCAGCTTCTTGTAATTGTTTGGTTACTTAGAGTGCAGTCAGTCTTTAAACTTGTGAGAAATATATTCTTTCCATTGGAAATTATGAAACACCAACAACTATTTGTTCTCACTTTCTGAAATTTATCACAGGAAAAAAATCCATTATATTAATTGGCAGCTATTTGACTCAATACACAAAGGCAGAAAGCCAACTCATTATTTTTAGCCTTCAGCTGACCCAAAATAGTGTTCTCGTATAAGAAGTTATTCACAGATGCTAAATGTAAGAATTACTACTACTAATAATGGTATTTCAGACTTCATGAGTAAGTAGTTTTTGGCACTCAGAAAATATCTTGTTTTTTCCCTTGAAAACAGCAATCCTGTTAAATACAAAAAGTAAACAGTGCTTGAATTAGTACGTTGGAGTTTTTAATGTGCCAAAAATATGCTCGCATTAATATTCCCTCCTAAGACTCCTTTTTTTTCAGTTTCTTCAGGATTAATCCATTTTTGTTATTTAAAAAAATACAAAAATCTTAGATTCTTAGGATCTTTGTTCTCTGTGTTTCCCAATCCATCGCCGTGGGGTAAGATGTCACTTACTGAAATGTCTTCGGAAATAAAAGTACAGGAGCTAAAAAAAAGTTACATTAAAAATCAAATTTATTACACCTTATGCAGATTTCAGTCAGAACAACTATTGTCTTTAGGAGTGATGGACCACAATGGCTTATCCTTATGGTTGACAAGTCAGGGCTTGCGGATGCTGTGTTCATTTACAATACACTTGTGGGAATAAACACTTGATTCTCTACGTCTTTGTTTACCCATGAGCAAAAGTAAGAGAAATATTTATAAAGTTTATTTTGTCGTTCTTTATGACCCACGTTTAAATTTTAATCCTGGCAGAGAGAGGGAATTAGAAAAGCACCCTAATGTTCCATTTACAGCAGTGAAAACCATCATTCAGTTTGATGCCTTAGTCTGTATTTATACCTCTGCTTATTATAAGAACATAAAATATACACACTAATGACTGAAAACGCTGATATTTTCTCTAGACCCATGATTTTCTGATTGTGGAAACCTGATCAAATTTCTGTGAAAATAAGTTTCTAAGGTATTTTTTCTTAGATGATCACTTGCCTAGGAAATGACTTGCCAGAACGTCAACCTGATATTTTCATTCATTCCATTTTGCATACAGAGAAGTAAAAACAAAAACCTCCTTGGGAATTAACTGTCTTTATCAAAGAAGTGTAGAAACACTCATCTAAGATGTGTGGCCAGGATGGCCCCCACGATAGGTCTCACTCTGAGTGACCAGTACGGGACCATGTGGTCACAGGGCAGCACAGACAGGGGTGGGAGCATCCTTGCTGTGACCCAGAGAGGCAGCCGAGATGCTGGTGTCTTTTAACGGTGGAATTGTGTGGACAACAAATTTTCCCTCAGGATGAATATGACCTTTCTTGCATCAGAATTTGTCTTCAGTTACACTCCTACGAGTCCCAGAAATCCTCACGGTGGGCAGTTTAGGATCTGGAAAGGCAACTCAAGAGCCTGACTTAAGCGACATTCCCTGCAAAGCCAGGGAAAATCCTGATTTATATCTTTGAGGCTTAGTCGTGAACTGCTGAGCTATACTCTTTAGGTTTGATGTTTATGAAATAAGTCCTCTGTGTTTCAACACCATTTCAAGTTTTTGCTCTGATAATTATTCAATGAAATTAACAATTGATTAACCAACATTATTAATCAATCAATTGATAGTAATTATTATAATTAATTAAGTCAAAACCACTAATATGGCTTAAGTGTATTTTTCGTATTCCTTGAAATCCTAAAGAAATTATGTCCTACCATAAAACTAATGATTTGAGAGTCAACCATAAAGGTAAGAACCCTGCAAGCTCATAGGCCCTAAAGCTGCCACAGGCCATTTTTCAAGAGTTGGAACATCAGAGGTTTCTAATGTACTTTTTATAGGATATAGCAGTGACTTGTTTGCAAATTTAGATGAGTTTTGCAAAAAATCATTTTAGATGGTATAGATATGTTTACATATTAGTATAATTTAGGAAGATGTCCCCAAACTCTCTCATTGATCAAGTTTAGAAAACTGATAAATCTTTTTTATTTAATGACGTAAAAAAGACAGGATGCAGGGAAATGAGTGTGTGTTTGGTGTTAGCAGATCTGGGTTTGGATTCTGGCCCTGAGTTCTGCTGCCAAGTCACCCAGCACCACTGGTCTCTGTGTCCTTATCAGTTCTATGAGGATGATAATATTTTCCTCAAAGAGTTATAGGAAAGATGAAATACCTTTCTATATACACACACATATACATGCATATGTATTCAACTGTGTATATGTACTGAATATATATACAGTTGACCCTTGAACAGCATGAGTTTGAAGTGCATGGATCCAATTTTATGCAGATTTCCTTCTGACTCTGCCACCCCTGAGACAGCAAGACCAACCCCTCTTCCTCTTCCTCCTCTTCAGGCTACTCAACGGGAAGATGACGAGGATGAAGACCTTTATGATGATCCACTTCCACTTAATGTATAGTAAATGTATTTTCTCTTCCTTATGATTTTCTTTTCCTTTTTTTTTTTTTGATGGGATTTTCACTCTTGTCACCCAGGCTGGAGTGCAGTGGTGCAATCTCGGCTCACTGCCACCCCTGCCTCCCGGGTTCAAGTGATTCTCCTGCCTCAGCCTCCCGAGGTAGCTGGGGTTACCAGTGCCTGCCACCATGCCCAGCTAATTTTTGTATTTTTAGTACAGACAGTGTTTCGCCATGTTGGACAGGCTGTTTCTTCCTTATGACTTTCTGCATAACATTTTATTCTCTGTTAAACTTCTCTTATTTTAAGAATACAGTATATAATATACATGATATACAAACTAGGTGTTGATCGACTGTTTATGTTATTGTTAAGGCTTCTGAGCAACAGTAGGCTATCAGTCCTTAAGATTGGGGGCAGTCAAAAGTTATATGTGGGTTTTTGACTGTATGAGGGCGTGGTGCCCTAACTCACATTTTTCAGACATCAACTGTACAGAGAGAGAGAGAACACACCTGCCTCACAGTGGGTGTATCTGAATGTTGCTGCAGCGGTTGTTGTTGTTATAGGAGTAGAATTGTCAAGTTCAGGCTACAGGTGTGAGATGGGTGACTTTCGAAGTTGCTCTTTCTCACATCTCACCTCCCTGAATTAAAGTCCCGTTCCTGTACATTGAACCAACTCAGACAGCAGGTATTCAGTCCTCAGCCTCTCTGTTTTCCACTATAGACAGAATTGGAGGTGCTGGCTTCAGCAGCCCATCTCCTCAGGGCCAAGAAGCCATGTAGATGGGTCCTGTGTCTGTGGCAGGATTTGACGCTCCTCCAAGGGCCTGCTGGTGGGACTGTGCCGGCCTTGAGAGTGGTTTTGTTCTCTGCCCTGCCCTGCCAGGACGCAGGGCCACGCGATGTCTACAAGTACGGATGTGCTGTGCCGCAACCCCTGCGCCTTCGGTTGTGTGTTCTGTCGGGCCTGGGTGACCTTGTGAAAACTCAGAGCCACATCACAAGGTCACTGACAGTGTAGAGCTGCATAATATAGGATAGCTCAGGTTTCCATCCACAACTACAGAAAAACTTTCCATTAAAATCGGAGCTTCCAGGCAATTTCTTTGGAGACTCTATGACTTAGGTGTGTTCTGCATGCAGAATTTGGGCTGTTGGTAAACAAGGACATCTGAGAATTAAAAGAGAGAATCACTAGGAAACCTCAGCTTGTATTTACCCTAATCAAGCCTTCTCTGTAATAGCCTTTTCTGCAAGCAGATACCCATAAATCTGTCACTGCTCTTTTGAAAACACTAGCATGGCTTCCCTTTGCTTTAAACAAGCCCTTTCACGATCTGCCCCCTGCCTGCCTCTCCATCGTTATCTCACTCCTTGCCCCCACCATCCTTCCTCGTAGCACAGTCCCCTGGATGTCCACCAACCTTCATCCTCCCCTCTTTGATGATAGCACATGGCAGCCAGCCAGAGAAGATGCTTCTCAGCTTCCCTTGAGTCTTGGTGTGGCCGTGTGATGATTAGGTTATCACCAATGGGAAGTGAGAAATGATGCATGCTGTTTGTGTTTCTTGCCCTATGTAAGGGATGCCTGTGGTGTCACGGGTTGTATGTCTATTCCAGAAGGCCAAGGGATAGCGCCTTTGGAGCAGCTTTGGACTCATTGAGATTGGCCAACACAATGAAAGTGGCAGAGCGATGCTACCAGCCCTAGACCACATGCACGTATAATGTTACGCCAGGGAAAACAACCTCCTAGATTATTTCAATCACTACATTTTAGAGTTTTTAGGTTAAAACAGTTTATCCTGGACTCAAATCAATGCATTCATAGGACTTGTCTTGGCAATCATCTGCTACTTTTGTGTCCTTTGGTGGGTTGTCAGTGACACACCGGGATGTCCAAGCTGGAGAGCAGAGCAGGGCCTGGATGTCACTCACCTTCTGGCCAGCACCTTGGTGCTGCACACACTGCAAATCCCTGTAAGGTGGCGCCATGTGGAACCTTCACCGCTGTCCTTTCTCGGCTTGGAATGTTCTCCCAATCCCCATGTTACACAGTGCTTTGTTCATAACCATCTTTCAGGTTTCAGATTTGCTCTTGTTCTTCAGGGAGGTGTACCTTTACCTTGCTGTCTGTAGTCGCCCAGGACTTGCACGTCTCTTCTTCCCAATTGTAACAACATAATTGTGCATCTCAGTAAACTGCAAGACCCCTATGGAAGTCAAGCCTTTCTTGTCTACTCCTGCATTTCCAGGAACTAGTTCAGTGCCTGCCACAGAGCAGAACATAGCAGATATTTGTTGAATGAAGCAATGAACTATTTTCCCCAATTTTTTGTCCCACACATAACCATAATATCCTAATATCAAAATACTCTTCAAATGTGAAGACAAAATAAAAAGTATTTGAGGAGAGATACATACTTACAATATTTTTCTTCTACGTAGCCACATAAGCCACAGAGTTTAAATTGTTTATTTTAATTTTTAAAGAATACAGGGAGGGGCTGAGTTCCTACGATGCATTTTATTTCCAATGCTGTATTTTCCGTGCTGCTAGAGAAGTTTAATTTTCCTCCTTGATTTTTTTTTTCAGTTTGTACCCTGGAAAAGTAAGGTGATAAATACAGGCAATCATTGCGAAGTACGACTATTGCCGGGTGCTAATGTTTTCAAATTGCTGATGATTTTTAGGGACACCACAAACTGGCCACACTGTCAGAAGCATTTGGCAGTCATAACTGGCAGCAATAAATCAGACTGTAAATTTAGAAAGCATGCACTGTATTTGAGAATGCATCCCAGAGTCACCTCTAAATATGTCATGGCCATATAGCTGGGGTTCAGAGTAAATTGAACTACCCTTCATTATGTATTTTGTGGTATATGAAAAACTTCAAAAAGCACGGCCAGGCAAGGGGGAAAGCCAATCTCTTAAGGTAACAATTTCATCACAGATTCCACCTGCCCCTGCCAAGTTGGAAAAGCCATATTGCACTGATGCTTTCCTCATATATCCTTCGACTTTACTAAAATAATTTGAAAAAAATTATTCCTATTACTTATTCTTTTCATGATAAGTCGGATAATTTTCTCAGTAGCTGCTTAGGTCACAGTAAAATGATATGCTGAAAAAGAGATGTTTAGTTCTAACCCACGAGAGCTTTAGTATAGCATGGGACCATGATAAATAGGATACCCATTGTGAGTGTATCCTGCTGAAATGCAACATTAAGTCCTTTTGCCATATGTGTTGAGCAATAACGTTTAAGGAGAAAAGTAGCATTCCTGGTCACGTGTGCTCTGGTAATTCATGAAATGTGCTAACCAGTAACACCAAAAGGAGCCCGCCAGATCATTATGTAGATTTCCAGGATGTTTTTGACAAAGTTCTATACCAAAGTAATTGAAAAGAAATGTGTGTGTGTGTGTGTCTGTGTGTGTGTGTGAACAACATGGGTGGGGGGAAAGTTGAGCTTGTGGATAATTAGAGAACCTGGCTGCGATACAAGGGACAAGAGAGAAAGTAGTCAGCTAGCAGCATGTGACATATTCCTGGACAGTATGCTTCTAGGGTTGGCACTAGGAATAATCTTATTGAAGAAGCTAAAGGTATTTGAAAGAGGGCATGCGTGATAAAATCAAGTCTGTGTACAAGTAAGGTGTGAGAAACATCAAACCAGAGAGACCCAGAGACATTGTGTCCAGGCAAAAGAGTGATTAATAAGTTTCATTGTGTACCAGAGAATTATTCAAGGATATGTTTTAAGGATTCTGAGTTGAAATCAGTGAAAGGTTCCGAGGAGTGGTTTTTAAATCTTCTCAGCCTCATTCGTTGCTGCAGCTGAAATACGCCAAGCATCTGAACTTCAAAATACTGTTTATTGAGTTACCTCTGTGTTAGCCCCTGAAGATACAAAGATGAAAGTATGTGGTCCAGCCTTCAGGGGAAGCCCCGAATATGCTTGACTGTGAGTCCAATGTTGTGCAGGAGCAATGATGCACTGTGGGTCAAGGCAGGCACCTAGAAGGGTGACCCTCAGGTAGGTCCTGGTGCCCTCACAGACTGCATATGGCATGCAGGGGAGAGGGGAGCCACATATACCCATGGACCCACAGGGAGGGTTTGCAGAAACAAACAGGCTCCATTGAGTAGAACAACTGCAAACATAAAGACACACAGCTGGGACTACAGAGTATGAGCATGATGGCCAAAGGGCCAGAGAGGACCAGCTATGCCTCAGAAAATGCCAACCCCAGGCATCCAAGAATGAGGCCAGGCCAGCTGCCTCTGTGTGGGCACGTACGCCAAGGGAGGCCATCTGTATGGCAGATAAGAGCATGGAATCTAGGGCTTGGGTTCAAATCCTGACTTTGCCAAGATCTGCAACTTTGGGCAAGTTGCTTAATCTTTCTATGCCATGGTTTCCTCATCTCTACATTGGAACGTTAATAATAAAATTTAGCTAGGTTTGCTGAGAACTTCAAATGAATCAGTATCTTATAAGGCACTTTGAGTAGTGCCTGATACATGGTAAGCACTCACTGTGGAAGTGTTAGCTATGGTTCCTATTGTCCTTTTCCTTCTTGAAGGTTCTCTAGCCCCTCTGCCTTTCCTGGGTCTATAACGGTGGATTTGGGCAGGGGAATGTCGTTTTCGGTGATGATGAAAAAATGTACAGATTTAATATTTTATAAATGTTGCCTCCAATTCATAGAGCATTTGAATTAGTATCAAAAAAGAACAAGGAATTGTTCTGATAGATCAGAGTCCATCAGTGTTGCAGGCCGAGGTAGCATTATCTGCAGAGGTAAGGATGCATCCAAGCACAAGGCAGATGGACTTCTGGGAGCACTGTCTCCTGGGCCGTTGGCCTCCAGATCCCTCCTCATGCCTCTTCCCTCCCCCATCCACTCCTCCAGGGCTGGACTGTGTTTTTCTCATGGTGCCTTTAACATCACATCTCAGCTGATCAGCAGTATCTCTACCTGATAGAACAAAGGAAAAAGGACCTGTCCACCTGCCAAACTTATCCAAAAGATGTACTAGAGAAAAACAATTATTTAAAGAATCTTGCCAGAAGTATAAGATGTGCACTGAAGACAGCCATATTAACACAAAATAAGTATTGGCATGAATAAGCCATTTCAGTGCCCCAGATCCAAACTGATATTAAAGTAAGATCAGTATTGAAGGAATGACTTTATTGAATCTCCATCAGGAACTCTGGGTTGGTCCTGGAAAAGGCTTAGAGATACAATCCACTCCAGTGCTCCAGGGAGAATATTCAGACGAGTCAGTATAACATAAAAATTATGCTCTTCATGTATCATTTTAGGGGGCCCCCAATGGAGACCTTCCTAAATAGAACTGTTTCACTAGGCTGCCTGAAATGCACGTATGATATTGCCACATAATTTGAAATTTCATAAGTTAAAGATTTGGCTGAAAAACTCTCTTCTCTAAAATTTGTAAACACACATTTTAAATCTGGGAAGATTAAGCAAGGCTATCTATCAGCCACATAAAACTCGGTAGGCATGTGTTTAAACTGTGTTCTTCCAAGTATCGAGTTGAGACTCTCAGAATGAGAGAATGAGAGCTTCAGGGACTATGGTGCAGTGGTTTGGGGCAATTGTTAGAAGAGTAAGTGCAGATTGAGCAGATTTGTGTGGAATGAATGGAACATGAGGAGGCTACTGTCACCAGGTAGGAGTGAGCAGCAAGGGGAGGTGTTATGTGGTGAGAAAGACATTCCGGGAAACCAGGAGGTGAGGAGACCAAGGATTAGGCTCCACTCCTATTATGAAGATGAACAGTTTTTAGAGTATCATGGAGTTGGAGAAGGTACTTCAAGGATCTCTATGGGGAGCAAGAAGGAACAGCTAAGTTCCACCATCCTGTGCCCTACTTTCTGTTCAGACGTTCCATTTTATCCTACATATGTATGTTCACATATATGTGGATTTCATAGAAGAATTAAGTTTTGTCTGGGGGAAAAAAGAAATGGGTTCCACTGCTTACATTTTTTTTTTTTTAATTACTGCCTGAATACCTTGCTTAGGGCCAGTCCTGAAGCTCTGAAAACCTAAGTTGGCAAAAATCATGTAAGATGGGCTCTGAAATGAACACAGTCTTTGCCAGAGAGGAAGAAGTATTATTCTGTTCTAAAACTCATTCAGTTTCTTTCACTGAAATGTGAAGTTCTTATATAGATGAAATTGAAAAGCATCATTTTATAACATTTTAGCAAAAAGACAAATTAATATCTAGTTGCTTATTAAAATGTTAGGGGATTATTAGGGGGCTTTTTCAGAGTGGGTAGAAACATTGCTTTGTGAAATTTTACGATAATATGTTTTAGGTTTCATTTTTAAAGGTCTTAGACAAGTCCTGTTAGAAATAAGTTATAAAAAAGAAATAACAACCACATTTGACATATGCCTTCCAAAAATTATATGAGACAAGGAAAACATTCCTCAAATTGGTAGCAAATGACAAGACAGACTCTGAAGATACACTTGATATCAACAGGGTAAATGGAAGGAAAGGCCAAGGAGGCCTTGAGAATGAGGTTAAGTCAACGGGAGTTTGAAAAAAGCAATTACTGGACCAAAAGAATCTTTCACTTAAGGTTATTTCCCAAGAAATTAGTCATTTATTTTCATCTTTATGAGTTTAGTTCCGATTTAGTAGGAGCAGGGAAAGCTATTTATTTGACATCGAAGAAGAAAAATTGTGCTCTTCTTTCCAGCCCTGTACTTTATTTTTTCTATATTAATCTGCTTTTGAACGCTGAACCAAAATCAAAATAAAATTAGGAAAATAGCTTAACAAAAGGATTTTGTTTCTTTTTTTTTCCTTTTTAATTCTCTGGCTTCATCTCTTCTGGATAATATCTGTTCTAATTTTATCCACATGAGGGATGAATTCTATATCCCATCATGTATTTTAAATATTGGCTTGTCTTTGGTTTCGAATTTCTTCTAATAATGTGCCCATTTTGGAAGACAGATACATATAAAGGCAAACATAACATTAGGAACTTATACTTTTTCTAATGTTAAGGAATACTGTGGAACTAATTATTCATTTTTAATATGGGTATAATTTAGAGAATTCTCAGTTTGGCTTTTTTCTTATATTAAACAATTTTGAATTTTTCTTACTTGGTAAGATTTGACAGTTTTGCAGCAGATTACACAAATTCTTAGCATTTCCTAGAGTAAAGTTATAAACCAAAACAAAATTATTTCATGGAAAGCTTCTTTATATAATCAAGGTAATTGTTTTCTAATAAATGGTGCATATCTTTTATTGCTTTAAAAATATTTCCTTGTTAAATTATGAACATAACCATATGTCTGCATTAAGTAGGGATATTACTCAGATGGATTTGCCTTTGATATTTAAGAAAATGAAGTAAAAGCCAGAAAATACCTCAACTTCCTGTCCCACACCTACAAACTTACCTGTAGTTACCTTCAGTCTAATCATCTTCCTTCTGGTCTTTGAATATTCCTTCTCCCGGCCTTTCCCATCCTCCGTAATGGTGATCTCATTTTGACTTCTCCAGAAGCTGGAAGTTCTGACACTGACTATTCCCTCTCACTTCTGCATATTTAGCCTTAATCTTCCTTTCCCTACTTGCTCATCTCCTAACTCCCTATCAGTTGATCACACCCACTGGGGAAATCATCATATCAGGGAAGTAGCATTCTCTCAAGAGCCTCCTTGCCCCAGCTGCTCCTAGCTCTTCAGCTCACTGTCTTCTGACTTTTGCCTTAGAAACTTCAGAGATGTCCCTATCAATGATCCCTAGGATTTTCAAATGTCAGAATCCAAGGGACTGTTTTCATCTTTCATGGAATTTAACCTCCCCGAGGCATACTATAATATTGACATCCCCATTTCCTTAAAGTGTTGCCTTTCACTGGTTTCTATGATTTCATGGCCTCCTGGTTCTCCCCTTCCTCTCTGATGACTCCTTATCTCCTCTGCATCTCCTTCTGGCCAATCCGCTTGCTAGAACTTTTAAAGTAGCACAAGTAATATATAGTCACAGAAAAAAGAAGAGAAGCTAAAGATGAACAGAAGGGGACAATATCACTGGAGCCTGCCGAAGACCCTGTGAACCTTTCTGGGGAATTAAAATTTGACATTGGGGAGCCATTAAAATATTTTGAGCTGGAGAATCAGTGGGTCCTATTGACCCTTTAGAAGTTACTCTGGTTTGAGAATGGATGGGAACGGGGCTGGAAGATGAGTTAGGCAGTCGTCCAGGGAGAGAGAATGGTGGTTGCAACTAAAATGATATCCCTGGAGATGAAGAGAAATGGGTGGATTCAAGAGATAATTGACAAGTAAAAACAAGAGGAGTTTGTGACATTTTGGATGTGATGCCTGGGGAAGAGGGCAGAGTGATGATGTCTAAATGTCTGACTTGGACAGCAGGATTTAAGGAGGAGAGAAGAAATCTGCTTGTGGGGGGAAATGAGAGCTCATTTGGGACACAATGGCTTTGAACATCTTGGAAAACTTAAAGCAGAAACATGGAATATATATATATATATATATATATATATATATAGTGTGTGTGTGTGTATGTGTGTGTCTGCTATGTATATATGTCCTTAAAAACACAGATTTGAGAGCAGTAGTTCATGAAATAATGAGAGTGAATGACATTTCCTTTGGAGGGTGTATAGACAAAAAAATGAGGTTGAAGGACATACCATGATGTCCTGAGTCATATCATAATGGGTTAAGAAAGGGATTCCTGGAAAGAAGCAATTAAATATTAAAGAGGTGAAAATACTAACAAACAATCAGGAAAGTGTTATTTTCACAAAGTCAAGAGAAGAGAATATTTTAAGCACAAGAGCATGACCAATGGGACAAGTGTTATTGAAAAGTAATGTAAGACAAGAACCAAAAGTGTCCCCTGGATGCATAGCAAAGCGATTACGAATGGCCTTGAATAAGAAGTGAGGAAATAGGGGCAGCAAGTGGAGGTCACCCTTGGAAAAGTTTGGCTGAGAAGGAGAGTGAGGATGTTAGCTGGAAAGTGGTAGCTGGAGAGTGAGGATGCTAGCTGGAAGGGGAGGTAAAGGAGGTCTTGGTGGTTTTCCATTGTTTGTTATGTTTCTGTTCTGAGATAGCAGATATGTTTAAATGTTAATTGGCAAGAGCAGGAAGGAGGGTGAAAGAGGCAGTGAAAATACCGGAAAGAGGGGGGTTAATGGCGCAGTCAGCTTCCAGAGGATGTGGAGAGGGAGGCAGGAGGATGCAGAGCATGAGGGCAAGGAGATGAGCCTGGGCAGGAGGAGACACCTCTTCCACATGACAGATGGGAGGAGGAAAGGACGGGTGCACTTGCAGCGGGAATCTGTGCGTGTGGTGGCAGTGAGTTGGGCCACTTCCCTTTTCGTGATTTCTATTTTCCCCACCAAGTAGGAGGCAAAGACATATGCTTGAGAGTGAGGGAACTGAAGTGGTGGGTTAGGTAATTTGAGGAGAGTGGAGCCGGTTTTAAATAGCTGCTGTGGAGAAAGTTGATGAGAGAGACACCTGGGTGGATGACCGGGCAACACGGAGAGCCGATGGAAATTAGAGATCATAATGTGTGTGCCATTGCTGCAATGGATGTACATGATCCGGAAGCCTGGTTGAGAGCCAGGATTTCAATTTGTAATATCACTATAGGAGAAGAATGATAGAGAACAGAGAGTCAAACCTGGTGACAGAAAAGCAGGTGTCATGGTGGACCAGAGCAGGGAGACTGCACTGGTAGATCAGTGCCTCTTGATGTTCTTGATCCCATTCTGCGTCCTCCAGAACCTGGAATTTCTGATAGACAGCAACGAGAGGCAGAGATGAAGCAGTCACTGGTATTACTAAGGTCCGGGTATGACCATAATAATGGTTGATTAATTAATGTGGAATTGAAGTGAAGATCAATGGAGTTGAGGAGGTCAAGGTCTGAAGTTAGAGGCGAGGTGCTTGGAGGAAAATATTTTTGTCTTGTTTGTTTTCTATGAGGATGAGGTGTCATTTTCAGTTATGATTTTATTCATATATTAGAAAAACAGATTCAGTAGCTCAGGTGTTAACAAGGGCTACTGTTCCACTTATTGTGTAGGAAACATTGGCTCAAGTCTCTTTCTGCTTTCCATGCCCTAGGCAAAGTCTAATTTGTAAAGGATTCCAAATATTGCCACAGACATCTCCAGCTTCTGATAACCTTATCCAGGCTATGGATTGTCTTGTTCCTGTACCTGTTGTCCCTATCCTATGTGGAGCTGACCTAGATTTGGAACTCAACCCTTTTTACCTGTCCTCCTCATTAATAGCTTAGTCATGAAGACAACAACCAAACCAAAACATTTTCATAAGGTCATTGTGTACAAAGCAGAAGTAGTCAAAGTTTTGAAGTGATGGAAGGACATATACATTGCAGCAATTCCAGCAACTTCTGAGTTCAGTATTAGGCATGTCAGTTCTTAAAAAGACTCATGGCCATTTCTAAAGGAGGCTACCATCCTCCCAGATCACTAAGTTGTCTTTTCTCTTCTCTGCTGTCTCCCCTTGAAGAGAAAGAAAGGTTTTATTACATTCTGAATCTGAGCATTTTTGTTTTCGCTAGGCTGCACCTTTAAAGTCAGCTCCAGATCTTTTTGCGTATTGAGAACTTGGCCTAATCATTAAATTCAGTTCAAGAGATAGTAGTGGCTCAGACCAGTGATGGTAATGGGAAGATGTCAGGACAGATTCTGGGTTTATTTTGAAGGTAAAGCCAACAAATTTTGTTCATGGCTTGGATAAGGGCTATGAGAGAAAGAGAGGAGTCAAGGATACACCAAGATTTTCAGCCCAAGCAACTAGAGAGATGAGTTGGCATCAGCTGAGTAGGGGAGGCTGTGGGAAATAAGGTTTGAAAGGGGAGGATTAGGAGTTCAGCTCTGTCCCTTTTGAGGTGTCATTTTTATATCCAAGTGGAGATGTCAAGTAGGAAGCTGAATAGTCTAGAGTTCAGGTCAGGGCTGGAGACTTAAAATTCTGGGGAAATCTCAGTAAAATCCAGCTTGTTCCACTGTTTGACTATTTTATACATACAACCTTTCCCCAAGAAATCTATTTCCAAATAGTCTCTCAGAAAATGGATCTAACAACAGAATACAGACAGCCAACAGATTTTCAATCTCATGCCAATGGGAGAGAACCCAAGTTAAATGCAGGCACTATATTCAGAGTTTATATCAAGAGGGCAATTTTCTTACAGTCTGGAGGAAACCTATGGATTGTTTCAAATAAAGAGATCTATGGATCGTTCTAGATAATTTAATTCATGTCTTTGCTTACCTGTGGGGTTTTAGTCCATTTTCTGCTGCTATAACAGAATATAGACTGGGTAATTTATGAGGAAAAAAAATTATTTCTCACAGTTCTAGAGGCTGGGAAGTTCAAGAGCATGGCACCAGCATCTGTCAAGGGTCATTCCATGGCAGAAGGGCAGTAGGTGGAAGCAAGTACATGAGACAGAGAGCAGATGGGGGCCAAACTTACCCATTTATTAGGAGCCCAACCCCCCTGTAACAGCATTAATCCGTTCATAAGGGCAGAGCCCTCAGGTCTTATTCACTTCTTAAAGGCCCCACTTCTTAATACTGTTACAATGTCAATTAAGTTTCAGCATGAGTTTAGAAGGGGACAAAATTCAATCCATAGCAGGATTTGATGTTCTCCTAGACTAGAGACTGATACAAGAGAAAACAGTAATTTGAATAAGAACTTATTGAACTATTTTTTTTTTTTTTTTTTTTTTTTTTTTTGAGACGGAGTCTCGCTGTCGCCCAGGCTGGAGTGCAGTGGCGCAATCTCGGCTCACTGCAGGCTCCGCCCCCTGGGGTTCACGCCATTCTCCTGCCTCAGCCTCCCGAGTAGCTGGGACTACAGGCGCCCGCCACCTCGCCCGGCTAATTTTTTGTATTTTTAGTAGAGACGGGGTTTCACCGTGTTAGCCAGGATGGTCTCGATCTCCTGACCTCGTGATCCGCCCGCCTCGGCCTCCCAAAGTGCTGGGATTACAGGCGTGAGCCACCGCGCCCGGCCTGAACTATTTTTATGAACATAGAGATGTGTTAGTTCTAATGCCTTGACTTTTGTTTTTGACTATCTAACGGGACACCATGAACCTTATGTTAATGTATTAATTTTCAATGTAACTAGATTAAAATTGCTTATTTGGATCAGTCCAACAGGAACTGTAGCAGAGAAAATGAGCTAACAGCAAATATTAATGCCTCTGGTCAACAACAGTCTCCAAGTCAATATAACAAGAGTAATAATAATAACAACTATAATTTAGGGGCACATAGCATGAGCACTTTACATTACGTTTCCCATTTAATCCCATATCTATCTTATTAGGAAAGTACTATTAAAAATCCTAATTTTACTGATAAGAAAACTAAGGTTTAGAGAGAGTTACCTCAGGTCACATACAGTTAGGAAGATGTGAAGTCAGGATTCAAATTCAGACTGTCTGAACTCAAAGCATAAACTCATAGCCACTTTACTGCATAATCTATGGGAATATTTTTTTCCAGAGAATTGCCATCTACACTTTGATCTAACCAATAGCAAAATGCAATTCTAAACAATCTTATCCACATAGATTTTTTTAATCCATCCTTATCCTATTATTTCTTTAGCATTCTTATGTAGGAAGCCCCTATGTGTGCCAATATTCTTTATATTTAATAGGAATAAAAATCCAAGAGCAACTTGAGGCCATTCCAAATGACACCATGAGCTTCTGCCCTGGGCAGGCAGAAACTTATCACTTCCTTTTCCTCTGATATAGGGTGCTGAGCAATGTCCCACAATTCCCTGACCCAGCCAGTCATCAAGTCATTCTCCATTTCTAGCATTTTTAGAAGAAAGTCAATAGGGCTCTCTCTATTATATATCCCATTTCTACTCCCAATACTATAGACCCAATGTGCGAGTCTCCTGTCTGTCTGTTTGGGCATTAAAGCTCTCTAGTGGAAAGTTCGTGAAGAAACATGGAAGAAAACCCAGAGGATAAACTTAGGAATGTCCACACAGAAAGAGCACTGGATCCAATAAGCAGATCCAAGTTTTGCAGACATGGACCTCAGATCACACACACACCTATCACCTTGAGGAGGACAGACACCAATAAAGGCAAGCCCCTTGACTCCCTTCACTGACCAAATAGAACCAAAGGTTTTGCTCCAGCCAGCAAATGTTAAATATGTTTTGAGGCCCCCGGCTTTGGTGAGCTGTCATGTGAAATGAATTACCGAGGCTCAGAGTCTGGATGTGCAAGAAACTGCAGTGGAGCCTCTGTTGGAAGAGCAGCAGAACCCCAGCCAACTCAAATAGTTGGGAAGCCATTCCATAGGCGGACACAGTCCAAAGGCATTTCTTGTTACTGGGTTGTGCATGAGTGCTACAACGTCACTGCAATGCCTTGTAAACAGGAGAATGTCAGAAGGGTTCCCAGTTCAAATCAGCTCTGGGCACTTAAGATCTTTTGGGAAAACCCCTAAGCCTGGTAGGCATTCCAGAGCTCATCCAGCTCTAATTAAAACTCCTGATTCTAGGCTGTGTTCACCCAAACAATGTCAAGTCAAACCACAAGAAAATCTGTTATCACTCAAATTGGTACATACTTTTCATACAACTGAAATATTATATAAAATCATAAACTGTTAAATGGAAATGTAAAAATTGAATGCAGACCCAATTCCCATGCTACCTTTGTCACACCTTCCAGGAGATGTGAACTGTGGGTCACAGCTGCATGCCGAGGGCATGAACCTTAAGATCAAAGCCTTTTACACCAGAGGAAGCATTGGTGTTAACCCAATCTACAAACCAGTCCTTGTGCCTGTCCCCACGTTCTTGTTCACTCCAGTGTTGTAAAAAGTTATTTGTTTGAATGATGTTTTAAAGTGCTCTGTGCAGTTAAGTTTTCAAAAGCGTGGGGGCTAGTTTTCCTTCAGTGTATATATGAAACTCCCAATAAATTTAAAGTCTTTAGGTGTGTTTTAGGGGAGGCGGAGGATTAAAAAGAGAAAAGTTTGAAAGGAACAAGGACTTCAAAAAGGTAAGCCCCTTAGAATATTAAAACATGTCTTTATAGTTGGAAAGAAAGTCTATAGATAAAAAAATAGATACCAAAAAAGTGTATACCAATTTCATAATCACTTGTACCAAATTTGTAGTTCACTTTCCTGAGAAAACTATTCCTTTTATGTAATTATGACAAAGAGATTAGAAACTGCCCTCACCTTGCTCCGTGTGTTAGTGATTTGAAAACACGAACTGCACTTTCATTTATATTAGCTCCACATCAAATTCAGGATTTTGTACCAACTTTCTGTTGTGCGAGTATTTGCTAGTTTTAAAGAAACTAGTGCCTTAGTTTAAAGAAATTAGTGCCTTAGTTTGCTTGTGAGGCTCGTAGGAAAATGAAAACATATTCCTGAGCCCAATTCAAAACCAAGACACATATATGCTACATATTTTTCAGATGGTGGTTTGGGACAGTAACATAACCTTATTCAATTTGTAAAACACCTTTAGATGCCTAGCCCCTCTGGGTGTATAACAAAGCAATGAGTAACAGTTATTGAAAATAAAGTAAAACTCGGGAAAAACAATACAGTTAGTTAGCGGCAAAACTCAAAGAGGGTCTTGGGGGTACTTCTCAAATATTCATACCCGGAGCACACAGAAAATTCTAGACTTCCAATTCTACACCCTTGATTGAGACTGTACTTAGCTAAGTAAAATGGACAGAGCAGGCTAAATTCAGCAGTAAAGAATAAATCATAGTTCTTCAAAATAGTGGAATGCTGGCTGGGCACGGTGGCTCACGCCTATAATCCCAGCAATTTGGGAGGCTGAGGTGGGCAGATCACTTAAGATCAGGAATTTGAAACCAGCCTGACCAACATGGTAAAACCCTGTCTCTACTAAAAATGCAAAATTAGCCGGTGTGGTGGCGCATGCCTGTAATCTTAGCTACTCAGAGGCTGAGGCAGGAGAATGGCTTGAATCCGGGAGTCAGAGGTTGCAGTGAGCTGAGATCACACCATTACACTCTAGCCTGGGCAACAGGAGGAAAACTCCATCAAAAAAAAAAAAAAAAAAAAAAAAGTTGCTGGGCTTCATTGGTTTAATTGTTAAGCTAAAATTTAACCAACCAGCATATGGGATATAGAATGAAGCCTTGTGGTTAATGTGAGAAACTTAAGGCAAAATAAATTCCCCAACAAAGAGTAATCCTCTTGGTACACTCAGGACTAGAAGTTACTCAGGTAAAGAAAAATTTAATTTATAGAATAGAGTCATAAAAAGGGTACCTGCTTAGATTAAAAGTTTTCTTCTAACGTAAGTCTTGTGAACACACAGGAGATGCTGTTTCCAGCAACCCTTATCTGGTTGACTCCGGGAATAGCCAACACACAGCAGCTTTCTGTATGCCAAACATTATGACTCATATGCTTGACACTCACAGTCCATTGGTTTATGCAGTGGGAAATTATGTAACTGGATCAAGAGTTTGGGAATAAATACAACCGACTCTTAGAAAGCCCAAGCAGAGACTGCAGAACAATGACCAGGTCTGAGGGAGGATGGGCGAAACGCAGGCTAGATTTTGACAGGCATCAGGTCAAGGGTTTCCTTTCCAAGAGAGCCGTACAGGGTGGCAGCAGCCAGTGGCATGTGGAGCCTGGGCCATTGGTGTCCATGGAGGTCAGCCAGCGACAAGGCAGGGCCTGGAGCAGGTGCTGACAGAAGCTAGACTGACCTCTGGGCCAAAATTCCCTCTTCCTTCCAAACTAACCAGGCCAGGCCTCCAGGAAATAACACCAGAACCAGACTTCTGAACTGGCAAAAGAATCACCATGAGCGTGAGTAGCATTCATGGAACGCTTGCTTTGTATTGGGCACTGGACTATGCGATTCAAATGCATAACCCATATGAAGCCAGGCTGCCTCTTGGTCCAGTCCTGATCTAAAAATGCAGTCAGAGAAACAAAAGCCTAGCAACCCAATAGCACTTGAAAGTATTTTTTTCTTTCCTTTTTTTTTTTTTTAAAGAGATAAGGTCTCTTAAATCTAGATGCATTGTGCTGATCACTCCTTCCTAGAAAAATCACTATCAAACCATAGTCAAGGGTATGGGTTTTGAGGTCACAGCAATGGCGCAATCATAGCTCACTGCAGCCTTGAAGAGCTGGGCTCAAGCCATCCTCCCGTCTCAGCCTCTCAGACCCACCCAGCTACCTAGACTACAGGCGCACGTGACCACACCTATGTCTGGTTAACTTTTTTTTTTTTTTTTTTTTTTTTTTTAAGAGACAGGGTCTCACTATGTTGCCCAAGATGGTCTTGAACTTCTGGCTTCAAGCCATCCTCCTGCCTTGGCCTCCCAATGCACTGGGATTACAGGCATCCACCCGGCCTGAAAGTAATTTGAATCCTAGTTTTACTCTCTCGAAGATAGAGAGTACAATCATGCACTATTAAGCTTTAAGTCCTTAATCTTTCATAGTATATCTCTCTCACCCCAGAGTTGCCTTTAAAATAATCTTTCTACTCCAAACCCCTCAAACTCTTCAAAACAGGGTGAAGTTCTCTTTCCCCCTTTTTCATTCCTTCTATTTCTGTTGCTCTTTTCTGTCCCATAAGGAGTCCTCTGCCCTTGCCAGTGTAAATTCCCCCGACCTGTGCTCCTCCACTCTTCCCTCCCACACACTGCAGACTTGGGTTTGCAGAAGGCTGGGGGAATCATCAGACAAAATAGGAAGGGGAAAGATCAAAGGACGTAAAGAAAGGAAGAGACTGTGAATACAGGTGTTCAAACATCTATTAAAGATGTATGTTTAATTCATCTTTGCAGTGACCCCCAGAGGTATGTGATCCCTTTACACATATGAGAAGGTTGGGTTAAGAGGTTCAGTGATGTGCCCAGTGACTGGGAGAGTCAGAGTACAGATCCAAGATGCTGTGACCTCAAAACCCATACCCTTGACTATGGTTTGATAGTGATTTTTCTAGGAAGGAGTGAACAGTATAAGGCATCTAGATTCCTTCTCAGGTAGTTGAGCTATGGACTAGGACTTTATTTCACTTCTTTCCAGATTTAAAAAGCAACAATGACCAGAACTATGAGCGGGGAGGCCAAGGACTGGAGCAGAAGCGAGGCGGGTGGCCATGAGAGGTAGATATTAGGTGGAGTTGCTGTAGCTAGCAATCTATTCTCCTCCTATTACCTAAACAACAAATATAGGGCAATTGGAGACTAGATTTTTTTCTAAATCTCATTTGCGTATGGAAATCAAGCTCTTAGTATAGGATTAGGTCCTCTAATCCAGGGCCCAGAAACACCTACAGGTAACTGGCATTATTCATTGTGATGACCTGGCTGTAATAACAAAATTCATAAAGTAATAATTATTGTCTATTAAAGTGATTGACTGTTGGGAGAGTTTTTCTGCTATATTTTGTATAACAATGGAGTCAAGACAGGGACTCATGAACCCTTATGAATCATCTACTTGGGAGAAGGAGTGAGAAAATAACTCAGGTAAAAGGGAAATTAATAACTTTAAAATCCTATAATCGAGGGGTTATACAATTATGTAATCAAAGGATCAAGTCAATCCCTTGATTATATAATTTACCAAGAAATTAGTTGGAACGTTTTGTTTTGATATAAGAAATAATTTAAAGATCAGAAAGCAGAAGTGAGGAAAAAACAGGCCCATTGGGCATAGAGACATATGAATATCAGGATCCATTGGCATCCAGGCTGGCAGCGCTCACATTCAATTATTTGGTAGTGATGTGGAAGAGTGAAATCTCCAGGCTTACAGTTGGCACTCCATACTCCAGGATAACAAAGGTTACCATGGTGGATGTGGGCTACGAGGAGGTCAGTAAAAGCCATGTGAGTATGAAAAATGGTGAATGGTGCGAAGTATGTATCTAGAAGAAATCGTCTAAATTTCATAAAGTTGTATCTGCTTTAAAGACTGTCTGTAAACAGCCATTTGATCCAGCAATCCCCCTACTGGATATATACCTAAAGGGAAAGAAATCACGGTGTCAAAAACATACCTGCACTTGTATGTGTATTGCGGCACTATTCACAATAGCAAAGATATGGAATCAACCTAAGTGCCCATTCATAGAGTATTGGATTTTTAAAATGTGGTACATATATGCCATAGAATGCCTACTCAGTCATAAAAAAGAATGAATCATGTCTTTTGCAGCAACATAAATGGAACTGGAGGCCCTTATCCTAAGTGAAATCACTCAGAAACAGAAAGTCAAAACTGCATGTTCTCACTTATTAGTGAGAGCTAAACAAGGGGTACACATGGAATAATAGACATTGGAGACCCCAAAAGATGGGAAATGGGGAGGGGGAATGAGGGTTAAAAAATTACCTATTGGGTGCAGTGTTCACTATATGGGTGGTGGGTGCATTAAAAGCCCAGACTTCACCACTGTGCAATATATGCATGTAAGAAATTTGCACTTGTACCCTCGAAATATATCCAAAATTTTTGAAAAGAATTTTAACTGTCTATACAGTAAAGTGAGGTATAAACAAAGAGATCAATAAAAATTCTGAACCATAGATCATGAGTTAAAAGTTGTGAGCTAGGAAAGGGATTTAAGTGTGAATAGCTATACAAAGACATGTAAGCCATGTGTTAGGATAACCAAAGAGAGTGGCTACTCTGTTCTTCCTGCTCGTTATTTTTTACATTATTTCCTCTTCCTACAGTGAGAGAGGGAGAATGAGAATATAAAAGTGTGTATGCATGCATGCATACATCTGTGTGTATGTATAAAACTGCATAACAGGCCGGGCACGGTGGCTCATGCCTGTAATCCAAGCACTTTTGGAGGCCGAGACGGGTGGATCACCTGAGGTCAGGAATTAGAGATCAGCCTGGCCAACATGGCAAAACCCCGTCTCTACTAAAAATACAAAAATTAGCTGGGTGTGGTGCCACACGCCTGTAATCCCAGCTACTCAGGAGGCTGAGGCAGGAGAATCACTTGAACCCCAGGGGACGGAGGTTGCAGTGAGCCAAGATGACACCACTTCACTCCAGCCTGGGCAAAAGAGCGAGACTTGTCTAAACAAACAAACAAACAAAAAACTGCATAACAATCTTATACTGACCTACATTCCCATGGTCATACCATGGATCTTGTCAATACTCAAAGGAACTTCATCTGTAAAATCTTAAACTCCAAATATCTCATTCTCAGATGAGAATGTCTTATTTTCACCCTTTTCCTATGCTTTGGTCCCACCTAAACTGTTTTCCTGCATTGTTGAGGCCTCACTTCCTAATTCTCCCAGTGATCAGTAGCCTCCTGTTTTCACTTCCCTTCCAGCCCAGCACAGACCATATGGCTGTTCAAATGAATCACAGTCCTATAATCTATTTCCTCTGTGTTATGCCTAGGATATTGAACGATGCTGGAGAAAAGGAATGATACAAAACTCCCAAGGCATGAGCCCCTCCAAACTTCCCTGTTTCCCTCATACAGAACAGAATCTTCCTTTCTCTTGAATCTCAGAAGATTGATCCTGTCTTATTTCTTCCTGTTTCTCAAAAACATTGTATCTTATTAGTGAATTTCACAATTTAGGCAATTACTCTAGATACAGTATGAATAGTTCATCAGACAGGGACAAGACAGGGTGCAGGGACAGTGGGAAGTAGGCTTTACTGGGGTGAATGACAATAGCAATAAAGAGAAGTGAATGACTTTGAAATATGTGTAGGCAGCTGAATCACAAGAATATGATAATCAGTTGGATGCAGCATAGGGGAGATGAGGGTGGGAGTGAGTGTGAGGCACGCAGATTTCCGTCTTGAACAACTAAGTGATAACATCTATTATGGATACAGGAAAATACTTGGAAAGAGATTCATGTTTATATAGAAAAAATAAAAAATTTCATTTGGAATCTATTAAGCTTGAGGTGGCTGTGAGACTTCCAAGTGGAGATGGCTAAGAAGTGTTGGATATGAAGTGTTCCATTCCAAAGAGGTTTCTGGGGTGGAGATAGAAATTTAGAAGATGGTTCCATATGAATGCCATTTGAATTCAGGTAGTGAAAGATGTCATCTAGGGAGGGGGAACAGAATGAAAACAGAAGGGGAATTTGTTCTGATGAACTCTAACAATTTTTGTTTGGGGGAAGCAGACAGAGCCATGGATGAAGATTGAGAAGATGAGAATGAATGGATACGAGGAAAAGCAGGGGAGTACGGTAGAAGAAGCCAGTGGCAGAGAAGGAGGAAGTGGCCAATTATATCAAATGCTGTTAAGGGGTCAAATAAGATGAAAACTCCTAAGTGTCCACTACTCTTAGCCACATGGAAGGAAGTTACTGACATCCTCTGAGAGGGTTATTTCAGAGGAGAGCTGAAGGCAGACAGCAGCCTGGAGTCAGTGGGATGGAATTTAAGACTGGAGATAGGAATTCCAGACAACTCTTTAAAGAAATTTGGCTATGAAGGGAAGAAAATGGGGTCAAAGTGGTGTCTTTTTGTTTTGTTTTATTTTTAATGTGTAAGACGTGTTTAAATGATAATGGAATCATTAGAAAGGAAGAGGTGAAAGCTAAAGTAGAAGAGAAACAGGGAGTATTTGGTAGTAAAATGTCCTAAGAAGAAGAATGAATGAAGAATACAAGTGGATGGTGGGCCTTGGATAGGAGAGAGCCATTGTAACTGGAAGGTAGGATAAAAAGATCTGCTAAGACGCTGGCATGGTTGCCGTTTTAGGTAGAGTTGTTGCTGTCTAATGGCTTCGATCGAGTTTATGAAGGAGACCTTATTGGTCATCTTCTGGAAATGGGGGCTAAAAAGAAGAACTGAAGATTGAAGAAGAAGGAAGATTTAAAATAGGCATTGGAAAGGGAAAGTAACCTAATGAGAGGGACACAAATTTTGATTGCTGGGCAGTGAATGAGAATCCAGTTGAGGTTGAACTGATAGAGGATGGATTTGCCTTGTTGTTGACATATGCCTCCCGCAGGACTCAGTTATTGGTGAAGGCACAGGGAAGAACAGAGTTGGATTTATGGACAGTTATGGTTTTCCTGGAGGGATGTTGTAAGGAGGTTTAAGAAACTGATAAGAGAATGATTCAAAAGACGGACTATGCAATCTAAGCTGGTTATGGAGGAAGCAAAGACGGAAGATGGTTAAAGGAAAAGTATGTGAGCCCATGGACAAGAGATCATGATGAGAACAAACAAGTAAGATGGTTGCATAGCCAAATCGTGGGAGGAGACATTGTGGTCAGAGAGTTTGGAGGTCAGACTGTTGAAAGTGATGAAAAATCAGGGCCCAGATGTAACTCTGAAGGTGGAAGGCTGAAGTGTGAAGATCAGTGACAATGGCAGGCCAAGGAACTGAGAGGGCAGACATCCTTCAGTGACCCAATTTGAACAAGATATTCTCATATACAACCTTCTAAATGTTTTGCATTGTTCCTTTCTTATTTAATCTCATTGAGACAGCCGGGTGGGAAGGGGTCCCCAGAGACTTCAAATGGCCTGCGCACTGGGAGGAATGTGCACTGGGGTGGAGCCACAGAAGTTCATGCTGTTTGCAGCAGGCAGGAGCCTGACCCCTCCTCTTCCTGGGTGATAGCTGGGATTCAATCTGCGAGTCAGGAAGTGCACCCACAGGGACTCTGGCTTTGCGGAGGGTCCCTGTTTCCCTTTTTTCCCCCATTTTGCCCAATAAATTCCATTTTTCTCCCCCTTCAAATTGTCTGTGAGCCTAATTTTTCATGGCCTTGTGACAAGGACCCTGTCTTTAGTCGAACCAAGAAGAGACTCCTACAACATCATTAATCCATCTGGAATTGCTATTTATGTATGATGTGAGATTACCATTTTTATTTTCTTCTATTTGGATAAGCAGTTGTTCTGGGGCCATTTATTGAAGAGTTATTTCATCCCAAATATCGCTTGAATTTGTTCCTTCCTCACTATCCTTACCTTTTATTCCATCCTGTCACCTCTACATGAAGTAATACAGTACCCTTCCTCCTCTTTTCTCTACAGTCTATATAATTTGCTGTAAGAGCTACCTTTCTAAAATACAAATATGATCATGTCATTCCCCTGAGTAAAGTGCTTAAATAACTTCTTTTTATTACCTATAGAGTAAAAGCCACACCCTAAGCCTGGCATATGTAAGACATCTCACGATATTTTTCTTAGTAAGATTTCTTTGCTTATCAAATCATCCTCGTTTTTTGGCATCATCCACATTTGCACTCAAATGCTATTGGGTAAAAAAATATGTGATTCAAATTTACTTTTAAAAAATCTTTTACCAGGATTATTAATTAGAATCATAATTGCTAGATTTTAAATGTTCTAATTCATTTGTTTGTCTTCTATGCATTAGATACTGTACGTTTCTTTAAGCATTTAGAATCTAAAGAAGGACAGAAAGCATTAAGCCAATTATCTGTTGAAAAGGGAAAAATACGTGTAGCAACAGACATTTGAGTAAACTGCTACTGACAGCCTGATGAGGAATAAATGGCCTTTAGTTTGATGGAAATCTTGGAGGCTTCGTGGAAAAGTTGGCTAGGTCTGTTTTGAAAGATGGATAAAATTGACCAAGCCAGAGAAGGGGATGGGAAGGCATTTTAGATAGGGGATAGCATCAGTAAAGCCAAGAGAAGTGGGAAAGTTATGATCTTGGAGAAGAGGAGAAAGATGAATAGCTGGAAATGCATTGAGGCCAGAGTGCACAAACCCTTCAAGGACTAGTTAATAGATCAGCTCTAGTTAGTTGGCACTGAGAGTCCCTATTAAGTGACTGATATAATGAGGTTGTGACATGATCAGGTGGATTGGAACTCAGAGAGATTAAACCTAAGTGGATGCCCTACTAGTCTAAGCATGGTATGCTGTTGGCTTGTTCTGAGAGGTGGAAAAGACAGAAAAGATGCAAGAGAAATTTCAGAAGCAGACCCAAAAATAGCAGTTAGATACCCAGAGAAAGTGGGGAGGAAGGAGTCTAATTCAGCTCCAGAAAGGTAAGAAGTGCATGAGGAATTCCTGTATCAGATTAAACACTGTTTATATTCGTATTTGCTTAAATGGAATTTCTTATGCTTTTTTGGTGGTTTTAAAAAAATTTACTATTGAAAATTATTTTCCTAGCCTAACTTTATGTCTTTAGATTAATGTTTTTATTCTTGTGTCCCTTCTTCTCCTCCTTATGTGTGACAGCTTCTACTGGATATGGTTGGGTCCCCTGACCAGGATCTCCAGGAAGCTGCAGCTGGTTGTATATCCAATATCCGCAGGCTGGCTCTTGCTACAGAGAAGGCAAGATACACTTGAAATTTAAATGGACATTACAAGCTATCAAATTCTACATGACACAGGACATGTCACTCCCATGGCCAGAAAGCCTAAATTGGGAAACAGTTGTTAGCAAACCCTTTCAACCATCTAAATGAAAACACACAAATTGAAAATGCACAGAATGTTTTTCATCTGAAAATTGCATGGAGACTTTTGTTTCTATTTAATGTTTTCGAGATATGACATGTGATAAGATGGAAAGCCAATAAACCTGTGATAAGTTTCTAAGAATATGAGAATATACGTATATGATGTATTTTTAGTTCAGTGATGCTTTTGTATTTGTGGCGATTTTAATAAAAAGGATATGGCCTTCCCAATGCACAGTTTCATAGTTGTTCATGAACGTCTCCACAGTTCCCTTTCTGTTAAACCAATCTAACTGTCCTGTCATTATGGCTTTGTCTGTTTGATCACTTGCAACCCACGGGAGAGTTCCAAGGAGATGTGCTGATTTCACAAACTGTTATTAAATAGAATTTAGAGTTAAGCAGCTGGACTTAGAGAGATCATCCCAAGGTCATCCCAAATTTCTCCTAAATACTAGCAAACATCTGAAAGGACAACGTATAACTGTCACTGTACCAGATCATGCAAATCACAAGAACATAAGCAATGAGTTTTTTTGTTTTACACTTTGACTTACAGAGCATAAACAATTGTATGTTTTATTTCTCACAGAGATTTACCAACATTTTCTTGAAAGCAATTAATTGATACTGATGTAAGGATAATATGACTTCACATAAATTGCTTTGAATTTCTGAACTTGTTTTCAGCACACAAAGTACTTTTTAAAAAGTGGCTACAAAACAAATAGCATTTTATCGGGTTATAGAAACATTAGAACCCACTTAGAAGAATCACACATGTAAGCTCGGTGTGCTGAAATGTTTGGGAACTCACTGTCCCAAGTATCGTAACACTCGCCAGAAAAATTGCTTTGTATTCATCAGCGCCATAAACGGACAATCTCAGTTAATGCTTTAAAAAGGCGATCAAGGAGGTTTTATTGAAAAATATTAGACGATGGATATGTGTGTCATCATTTCAAGATCATAAACTTAATTGAATTAAATGTAAATTATTTGTATGAAATGAAAAGCCTGTACAGGATGAAAATCATACGAGGGATACACACTGCGATGAAAAGATAAGTCCCTTCTGAGAATTTTAAGGTTTCGTAAAACACCAATTCATTGTCATGACTTTTCAAAGGAGGTTCTAAAAGAGGATAATGCAAAGAACAAGAACATGGTATTCATGCGAACTAAAAACTGAAATGTAAATAAGAGGAAATCCCTTAACTTTCAACAGCAGAGATTTCTAATGTTAAAGTCACCGTTTAGTTTTGTTTCATTAGGCATTAAAAATACATCTAGAAGCCATGGATTATGACAGCGACAGGAAATGAATAAACACATTGCTGTTGTAGTATTATTAGAGGAAGCTTCTACCATCGTTCTCAGATTTTAAAATGTTCTTGAATCACAGTGGTCCCGGGAGTGAAAAAAAGCAACAGGTAAAACAACACAAAAACAACAAAAAGAACCGTATGAATGCTGGAAAGGATGGGTCGTTTCTTTACCATGTGCTTGCTAGGAGGAAAACCTGGGGCTTCTGTTTTTATGGTTAATAAATGCATAAAAGAAAGGCAACAGTGCCATTTTAAAAGAGACTAAGTACTTGGAAACAGAGAAAATTAACATGAAGATTGTCTTGTATATTTCTAAGTAGGATTTTTTTTTAATTGTTAAACACCAGAAATGTAGTAATTTCAGAGTAAACAAATGAGAAGTTGAAATTAAATGTCCATTTTTGGCTTATTTTTGTGAAATGGCATCACAGAACACTCTGGTCTTGCAAGAAAAATGTCAAAGCCAGTCGAACCCCCAGCTTTCAGAAAACACAGGTATGGATGATCGCACCATTGTTTTGCTACCCTGTGCTGTGTGAGTACTCTTTTTCTTTTTCATTCGTTTTTGTATGAGGGATTTTTTGGTTATATTTATTTTGTGCTATTTATGGCTGACAGTCTTAATTCTTTGTAAGTTTTCAGTGACAAGGTTCTTTTTTAGACTTTATTCTCCCCCAGGACGTCGAGGGAATACAGTATGCTCTCTTAGTAACTGATGGCTGTTACAGTTTGAGAGGGGTTTAAGGTGGAAAGAATTTTAAACAGATATTCTTTGATGTTCCAGTCTCTTTAATTTGTAAGGTTTCCTCCTAGAAATCCTTGCTTTGATCCTTCTGCTTTTTGCAGTCAATGTTCTTTTGCTAATATCAAGATGACTTGTACTGAAAATGACTTGTTTCTTACAAAAACTTTTCTAGCTTCTGAAAGTGAATGCGAGGATAGTTTTCATAGGGCCTGGCATTGAGAATCCTTTTATTTTTGATAGAGTTTGATGTTACCATTATACATCCCTAAAGCATTTGCATGGAACTGAGAGACTATAATTAAAAATATTTAGAAAATTTATTGCTACTCAGGAGAATAAGAATCTCAGTTGTTGATAAACAGATGAGACCCGCAGCTGTAAGTAAATCCATCTTTCTTCCTTTACCTAGTGGGACTGGATTAGCAAAAATAAAGAAACTTCTCCAGTCCAGATAATTTAAAGCATTTCATCTCATTCCATGAAGATTTGGGAATGGAATAGTCTATGTCCATTCCTGTAACTCAGTGAAAACAATAAGGACACCCACTTATTTAAGAGCCTCACTGCTTCACATTCATTAAATAGCCCCCCAAAACCAATGGTCCCCATGAACTTAAGCGTAAACAGTGGAACTCTCTCTCTAAATGAGAATGAAGTAGAAAGGAAACCAACTTTTATAAGATGCTACTCTATGCAAGCATTGTGTTAGGTATTTTGTACTAATGATATCATTTAAAATACAAGAGAACTGATAAAACAGACACTCTCATATCTGACTAGGGCCTACCTAAATGGGCACAATCATTTTGCAAGGTGAATTTGGCAATGCATACCTAAAGTGTTATAATTTTGTATGCCTTTGTGCTATGTCCAAAGATTTATCTACAATGATGCTCACCACACCATTGCTTTATTTCAATTATGGTTCAATCACACAATGAAAACATTATAGAATAATAAAATAGCTAATGACATAAAACACTTTTCAGAATATATCAAGTTGAAAATCAGGTTCTGACATAGTATATACAGTGTGAGCACATTTAAAAAATTATATACATAGCTAAATAGTTACAATGAAAGGAAGAGCTGAGTTATCCACACATATTCCTGAATACTGAAATAAGAATGATTTTTGTTTCCTCTTTTGCTCATCTGTGTGTTTTCTGATCTATTTCACAGTGAACATGAATTTCTGTTTTTTAAGGGAAACCATTATCAATTAATTTTACTTCTTTATCATTTGGAAACTTCTAAGCCAGACATTGTTCCTACTTTCTAGCACTAACTTTAAAAGAGAAGTTCTCAGTTTACAAATGGAGTACACAACATGCTTTTTGGAAATATAAGAAAAGTAGCTTCAACATCTGAAACACCATAAAAATACTTAATCTACAAAATACATATTTGCAATAGCCTTAACCTACAAATAATAATGCTGCCATATAATTGAAACATGCTGAAGTGGCCCATATGTAAATTCTGACTGTTTCCTTATTTGGTTTTTGTCCATTACAAGGAGCTGAATTCTACCCCAGGAGTACAAAAAACACACAAGTGAAATAACAGTTCCAAAGATCATTAATAGATTGCTTCATACAATGTTGTTTTGAGAAGGAAAGAATGATTTGGGCCCATTGACTTGTTTACTCCATCGTAGATGCCTAAGATGAATAATATTGTGATTTACTAAGTCTCTTTATATATTTTGCCTGAATAAATCTAATAGAAGTACACTCTCAACCAAACTGCCAAGCAATAAGTAAATATAGGACAGTTTCCTCGACTTCTGTTCTCCCTTAAAGCATTATGTTTTTCTCCTTTGTGTTATTTCTTTATGCTCTGATTGTTACATTAATTTCCCCTCATTCCAACATTTGTTTCCCTTCTTTTTTTCCCTCCACTCTAATCTCCATGTTTCCAGCTTCTACTTCCATTTTCTCTGACAAATGGTTATTACATTTTCTGGCTCTTAAAATATTTTATGCTTCAATTTCTATAAATGCAAGATGTAAAGTTGATATTTCAATATGTTTCTGATGTATAATTGTCATGGCTGACTTGAAATCATGTAACAGATGGAATCCTTATACTCTCAACCCATTATTTTCAAATTTTCAAGTAAAAGTGACTTATTCTTTATTCGCATCTGTCAAGACAAAAGGAAGCTTTTCTTTTGCCAATTCATGCCACCCTGATTTATTAGTTGATAAAAGACATCTTTTATAAATTACATAATTGCCCCATGATGTTCAGAGTTAAGATTTGTAGTTACAATTTAGAATTATGTCCTAATTTATTTTCATGATTGAAAGATACATTCGTGCATATCAGCATGGTTCTTATAGACTTGAAGAATCTATAGTGGTTGGCTTTCCCATTGAGGAAGACTATACATATATCAAAAAGGAAGTTCAGACAAAGGAGTATGGATAGTGCGGTGCAACTCCTTTCTCGCTATTGGGGAGAAAAAAAAAGTTGTTGTTTGTCATTAGATTAGCTACACGAGCAACTTCAAACCTAAATGTCCGTAAGTACCAGGCAAGTAATCTAAATGAGAGAAAATAGCTAGATTAAAAAAACTGATACAATTGCCAATTGACTTTTAGCCTCCATATCTGGGAGACAAAAGGGATGGGTGGAGACCATGGTGAACTGGAGAATACAGACAATTACTACTCACTACTGGACAACCATTGCCAGATCTTACAGCTGTTCAGTAGAAATACATATTTTTTATAGCCAATCTCCCACGTTTTAAATATGGCAGCTGTATTTGTCTGCTAGAGCTGTCGTAAAGGTAAACCAAAGACCAGGTGGCTTCAACCATAGAAATGTATTTTTTCACAGTTCTGGAGGCTGGAAGTCCAAGATCATGGGCCCAGCAGGTTGGTTTCTGGGGAGGCCTCTTTTGCTGGCTTGCAGACAGTCATCTCTTTGCTGTGTAAGAACCTGGCAAATCAGGCGTTTGAGGAGGTATAGTCATGCATTAAAACGCCAGTAAGGTGTTGTAACTGTGCCACTTATGAGTGCCAAGATGACCTAAAAAAATGACACTCTCTTAAGCTCTACTGTCTGATGTTTAGATTGTGCTAAAAGGCAAATGTCAGTTTTCTGCAACTCCTGTGTGCAATTAAGCCCTTTTAGAGAGAAAAAGAGGCAGAAGGCCTCTGAAAAGTTTGTGCTTGAGCTGTGAGAAAGATTTCTTGGGTGCGATGCTGCCATAAGAATCTGCTCAATTTGCATTGTGGATTTAATTCATACTACAAACAGGCCTGTGAAGATGGCAAGACTGGTTCTTTGACTGCTTGGAAATGCCGCTGTCTGCTTCTGCACCATCTCCCCCTCTCTGTCTATAACCCCTCCCTTCATTTGCAGAGCAACTGTGGCTCCAACTGAACCTCATCTTGCTTTAAATGTTGTGCACACATGGGGAGAATCTCATGGTTAGCACCAGGTTTTGCTTTGGAGGAGATGTGTTGCTTTTTGAAGCTTTGATGGTCATTCCTAATCTTCAACTGCAAGGCGTAAAACATTAAGGGATCACCTTGATTATTTTGTCCTGCTTGAAGCAATAAACAGCTGCTGATACTGATTTAAAACAGAAGACAAGCTAATGCGTTTTAATCTGTGAGGTTGATTTATTTAGATATTCTCTTAAACTGAACTAATTATGAGCTAAAACAACAAACTTGAAGGTGTAAAGGAAAGGAGTGTCTTTGCTTTTCTGCCTATGAGTGTCATGAATGTGCAAGACAGATGTTGGAGACAGATGTGCTCTAGCCAAGATGTGTGTTTGGTCCGCTTGGAGTTCTAATGCAGAATCTGCTCATGGGCCTATAGGAGCCCGACTTTTCTTGCACTGTGGCTATATGAGGTTTCCCTTTCTTTCTTTTTTTTTTTTTTTTTTTCCCACCAAGGCTGGAGTGTAGTGGTGTGATCATGGCTCACTGCAGCCCTGACCTCCCAGGCTCAAGTAATCCTCCCACCTCAGCCTCTTGAGTAGCTGGGATCACAGGTGTGCACCATCACACGCAGGTAAATTTGTTTATTTTTAGTAGAGATGAGGTCTCCCTATGTTGCCCAGGCTGGTCTCGAACTCCTGGGCTCAAGCAATCCTCCCTCCTTGGCCTCTCAGTTTTCCATCTTTTTGGATAATATCGTTAATAATTTCCTCAGAAAGGAGATTATTTTTATTTATATCCTTTCAGCAGAGAACTGAGGCTTCAGAGAAGGAATGAGGAATGCCTTATAAGCACTAGAAAACCTTCAATTTATTCTTAGTTCTTCAGATGTAGTCCTGGCCAATCTATTCAGAGGCGATCAAAGGAAATTGATATGAATGTCTTAGATTTCCCTTTCCTCAATTCAATTCATTCTAATTTCAATCTACCTCCCCGTTCTTACCTCCCACTATTCTCCTTCAAATATATTCTACATGTAGTCTGGTCCAAAAAAAAAAATCACATATGTTGACTCAGATGTGAAAAAATTTACGTAACTTCCTTTAATTTTTACATGTCTTTCCACTGATGGGTGAAAAGCTTGACTTTGCCAATTAGAAGTGTCTAGCCTCTTTTGATTAAAAATAGCTCCTCTTGGTTCACTGCTACATCTTTCAAAGTTGTTCCCCCTTCTCAAGTGTTCTCCCCTTCCTTCCCTTCTGCCCTCCTGGGCGCCTGTGAGCTGAGTTCTGGGAAGAAGTGTAGGAATCTCCAGGAAAGTTACATGCCCCTTGTCGTTCCTTTATCCCTAGCCTGCCTCCTCCTTGTCTTGCTGCGGGTAGCTTTGAGTGTCCCGGTCACAGGGCAGGCTGGCACCTGTGCTGATGCATGGAGTGTCTCATGGATCCTAGTCAAGAAGCCTCCACCTCTGGCACCTCTCTTTAGAACCCCTGGCCCAGTCTGGTGTCTGGATCGTCTCAGCTCTGCTGGGCTCTCCCAGGAGGCTGGGAGCTGCTGGCTGCTTTCCCTGCACCACAAAATCATGCATGGGCTCTTTCAAAGCTGCCCTAAGCTCACCGGCTTAGAAATCTCCCTTAGCCAGGCCAGACATGGTGCCTTGCAGAAACTGGACCTTCCCTGAGGGGCTTAAACCCCTCCAGGCTGACTTTAATAACTTTTATTTCCTTCAAAGTAAGCCAAGCTCTCCAAGCAACCTCCTTCCCTTCTCTTCTTGCACTTCCAAGCTGTCCTCCCCAAACAGGGGAGTTTTACTCTCCTCTGTGTAGCAGGAGCTTTTTTGGAATCGAATTCTCCATTTTTTTCTGATCCCAATCCTCCAATCCTCCTTTCTTTATATAAAACCTGCTCTAAGAGGTCTGAGAAACTGCCGACTCCTGCTTGAAAGCCTAATTTTGGAGATTATTATTTATTTGCAGACTTTATTTTTAAAATCTAGTTCGAAACTCAAAGCTGAGCAAGGACTTTTTTGTCCTGGGTGGCATTTTGTCTCTCTTTCCCTGCAAAAAATTATCTTCAGCATCTTGGCTTAAAGAGAGGGAAGGCTGCAAAGCTTTAAAAACAACCAACTAACCGAACTAACAAACAAAAAAAACCTGACCCTGGAAATACTAAAGAGAAAAAAAAATACATCATATGGTATTTCAAAATATTGCCTATTTCAAACAGCCAAACTAAACTGCTTCTCTTTCATGAATATGCTGGACTCTCCTGGTTCCACATCTTGTCTGCGTTGATCCCGTCACTTCGAATAAGTCCTGGGGTTTAGTTTTAACTTCATACTTGCTTGTCTGTTGCGTGGCTTTTTGCCTTACTTGTTGTGAATAATTTCTCCTTTCATTCCTGATTTATTAAAAGGAAAATTAGCAATGAAAATGGCTTGTTACTGATGTCAGAGCCAAACCAGTGGGCCACACATTTTCTTTGGCATCCACTGAGAAACAGACGAAAAGACAAAACATTACGTATGAAGGTTAGAAGTTCTGGATAACCTGATGTCAGCTCCTTGTCAACGAGCATTCTCTGCGTGGTGGGGGTGATCTTATCCACTCAGATTTCGATAAAATCAGCTTGAACACAGAGAGGGGAAAAACTCAGCATTCTTCCAGTATTTCCAGGAATTATTGAGTGGGACCTATTTTTCCATGTTACCTCCTGATCCTGATCATTGGCCGATCATCTAGATGTTCAGGTCTCTCTAGTCTCACCTCTTGCAAGTATTCCCGTTTCCTTCTTTCTTTCATGCCCTTGTAACCTCAGACATGTAACACAACCCTTTTTCTTTGATTTCTGAAAAATACCACTGGCCTCAGGCAAATAGAAGTAGGAGATGTGGAGTGATGATCCATGGATGAGGGCTGGGACTGAAGAAAGCTTTACTCTTTAAACCCACACCTAGGTTCTGTCTCCCAGCTGTTCTCACAACCGAGAACCTCTCACTGGCATCACTGGCCTTGGGCTCCTTCTTTCTCACCATCTATTTTCCTCTCCATTGACTTCCCCCCATTTCCAGAACTGCTACCCCACCCACAGATGCTATCCTCAGAAATTTAAATACTTCTGTATCTATTCGCTTTTGCTGCTTAACAAACCATTGCCAACAGCCATTTGTTGAGCATGTGATTCCACTGGTCAGCAATTTGGACTGGGCTCAGGTGGGCGCCTGCATGCATCTGCTGTCACCTGTAGGTTGACTTTGCTGTTTCAGCCGGGCTTTCACTTGTCTGGGGCCTCAGCTGGGACAACTGGGATGACTTGAATGCGCTCTACGCAGTCTCTTGTCTTCCAGGAGGCAAACCCAGGCTTATGGAGGTTGCACTCAGTTTCAAGAGAACACCCAAAAGCATGTAAGGATCCTTGAAGCCTAGGGACAATTGGTACATCATTTCTTCTGCTGCATTCCATTGGTCAAAGCAAGTTACAAGGTCTCCCCTTGATAGGGGGCTACAAAGTCATCTTGTGAAGAGATGTGTATATGGGGGAGGGATGGGTGGGGGAAATATATAGGACAAATGCAAGGGCTTGTGTTTCCACTATCAAAATAGTCCTTAAGTTGTTTTTACTTAAAATACATTTCTTTCCTCTTGGAAGAACTTTGCAGCCACCTCTTAAACTTCTAGGGTTTTTCTTCCCAAGATCACAAGAAAATAATATCAGTATGTGAGTGTGTTTTGGGAACAGGGAGAGTTGTAAGAAACGAAAGTAATTGTTTTTGCTCCTGGGTTTTGCTCCTGGGTAATAATTTTTTATCTTCAAAACTTTTATTATAGGGACTTTAAGATAAGCAAATGATATAAATGTATATTTACTCCTGCTTTATTTTAGTATATCCCACCCAAAATTACATGAGGACAAGTATCCTAACACCCCAATGTGGTATGTTTAGACAGGTTTCTAGCTACCCTGAAATTTGCTGAAGAAAATGGGTCAGCCACCAACTGTGAAACTGATTTTTAAGTACACTGGAGATAATTACTTGTTACAAAATACATCATAAGACAAAGATCCTTTCTAACTCCATTTTCAATAATGGCAGAATTAATAGAGAACTAAAAGAGGATTGAACCTTCCGTGAAAGTAATATATAAAGGGGAAAAAAAGGCACAGCGTTCCTTTCCTAAGGAAAAGGAAAGAAACTGATGAGGAAAAAATAATTTGGGGAAAGCAAATTTCAATAAGTTTAGGGCACTGGTAAAATAAATAAATACATATTTTGGAAAACCTAATGGGAAGAAAGCCATCCAGAAGAGATGGATACTCTTTAAACAAACAATGCTGGCAGGTGAACAAACTGTATGGGAAGTGCAGGACAGGGAACAGGGTGCCAAACTGGCAAGACAGAACTGTGCAAAGTTCTGAAAGGCAAATTAGAGAACCGTGAAATGATGTCCAGCCAGATCACCAAAGAAGAACAAAAAGAAGGGACCGGGAGGTGCAGGGACCACATCAAAAGTGAGAAAGACACTGCAGTGTGGGTAGACATAAAAGACATCAGGAAGCTGTTAATCAACTGCATTAATAAAATCCAAGTTATTCCTGACCATGTTACCATTTGGCTAAACAACGAGCCCTGGATTTCACATACAGTATTTCTCTGCTGGCCTGTTGCCTGGCTCCATAATCAGCATCGACTAAAATGTTTTTGATTGCAAATAGCAAAACCTTAACTCAAATGGCTACTTTTTTTTTTTTTTTTTTTTTTGAGACAGAGTCTTGCTCTGTTGCCTAGGCTGGAGTGCAGTGGCACGATCTCGGCTCACTGCAACCTCTGCCTCCCAAGTTTCAAGTGATTCTCCTGCCACAGCCTCCTGAGTAGCTGGGATTATGGGCATGCACCACCACGCCTGGCTAATTTTGGTATTTTTAGTAGAGACAGGGTTTCACCATATTGGCCAGGCTGGTCTAGAACTCCTGACCTCAGGTGATCCACTGGCCTTGGCCTCCCAAAGTGCTGGGATTACAGGCGTGAGCCACCGTGCCCAGCCAAAATGGCTTTTTAAATAATGGGAATTTGTTGATTCATGTAAACAAAAAGTCTAAAGATAGAGTGATCTTTAGGTAAAGTTTGATCGAGGTTTGAATTCTATTTGTCTGAAATTATCTTGGCTTTGCCCTTTTCTGTACCTTGGCTTCATTCTCAGCTGGCTTCCCTCATGGTTGCAAAATGGCGCAGCAACTCCAAATCTCATATCCTCACATCCCACTGTTCAGAGGAGTTTCTTTTCCCCCAACCACAAAGCAAACTGCCTGGGCTTCACATGGATTGAACTGACTCAGGTCATTACCATGTGGATTGGCTGAGTCCTAGATGTGTTCATCCCTGGAGAACCAGGCACTAGTAAGGAGATGGATTTATGCTGACTTGCTTGGGTCATGTGTAGACTGGAACATGGTGGGATCCATGTCATCCAACCCACAGGGCTGATACTTAATGGGGTGCCTGTGCAGGAAGCCAGTAAAATGCCTCAGGTAGTCTGAGCAGAAATGGACTCACTGTTACATTCTCTTCTGGTTTGGGTGACTATATAGGCAAGTAATCAGAAACAAGGTTAACATGTAGCAAACCATGGCAGGTTAGACAACATTCTCAGGGCATGAATGTCAGCCTGGCTGTATCCCACATCTGCCCGAAAGAAAAGCACCAGCTCTGTGTATTAAAAGCATGAATAGCCGCTCTGCAGTCATCTTCTCTCTAACTTACTGTAATCTCTAAATTTGTAGGAATGTGAATACCCTTCTCTCACGTTGGATCTTTGAAAGGTCAAACATTCTTGTGCTTACACCTCACTTCATGATAAAGCTGAAAACATTTCAAAGTAAATTAAATTATTCCATGTGTAATTATCATCTGCATAAATTTAATTTTAATTTCAATGAAATTTAATTGGTTAGAATAAATGTCCAGACACATTTTTATGCTCTTAAATGAACAAAAAAGGTTTTTGCTCTATAAAGGATAATTTCCATTTTTTTCTCTATAATTACTACCATTGATGTCTTTGAAATTTCTAGAAAAACATTTTTATCTCTTAGAAGAAATGACTAGAGTGAACCTCAAAACCTCATCTGCAAAGTAAGTATAATTACACCTACTTCATAGGGTGTCATGAGGATAAAAGAAGTTAACATATAAAAAGTAAGAACAACAGTGTCTGACACATCTAATATATCAATATTATATATGTAATATGCAAGATTATTATATAACAACATCATTATTACCTCATTTTACTAGTTTTCACTCAATGCTCAGGCTAGACCTAGGAGGTTAGTATTTATTACCACATTTTACAGAGGAGACACAAACAGATGATAAATAAGGCATTGGGTTTCCAAGGTATTGAAGTGGTATAACTTTTTCTTCATAAGTTACTAAGATTCACATTAAAAATAACTTCAGACTTGCTAATATCTTTTACGCTTTCCTTGAACTTTCTTCTGGTTACTGAACCGATTCAGTGGAAACTCAGCAAATGCATGCATGAGAGACTATCTCTGCTATTCATTCATGGTCAAAGCTACCCTACTGGGTGTTTATTTTCTAGATACTCCTATCTTCCAGTCTCTTCCTTTTGTTATTTTTAGTTTACAGATTACATAATGTGTAGGCTTAAACATCTATCCTTACAGTTAGATTTAAATATTTGGCACTTAGTAGGTAGTCATTAACATTTATTGAAGGAAGGAAGGAATGAATCACAACGTTGATTTATAAAGAAAAACAAAGGCTTACAGGAAAGATAGAAACTCTAATTCTCATGCCACCACTCAGGCCAATGATATGACTAAAGGAATATAAAAATTAGAGAAAGCCTGAACTAGCTGTGGAAAATAGTAAAAGGTGGCATTTACATACCAGAAACGTAACAAAATTTCTGCTAAATATAACGGGAATGGAAACAGACTAAAGGAAGTCATGAAGGGTCAACTGTAAATACAGTTTTACAAACTGCTTTTATCATCTAGCAGCATGACTTGAAAGTTTTTCCAGGTGAATATCAATATTACCACTTCAATTGCTTATAAACATTTCATTATTTGTATGCATAATAATTTAATTCTTGCCAATATTTAGATTGCATCAATTTTCATTTTTACAAAAATGTCATTGAACATCAAAAATCTTATTTTTAAAGGCAACTGTTGCAGAATGAAGATTATAATTTTCAAAAATCATAAGAAAAAAGCAAATCAAATATGTATAACAAAAGGTTGAAAGCAAAAGAAACTGCAAGGAAGTTGAAAATAGCAAAATACGAGAACGGAAGAGCAAATATATTATTAAATGAATGCAAATGAATGAATGCACCTCTTAAGAGGTCAAAAAAACAACCCTCTGTATTTAGGTCCAAAGCAACTCAATTTTATTCAGTTTAAGCAAGGCTCTAAAAGAAAAGCTACACATAAAAATAAAAAGGCTATGCAAAAATCAATTAGGTAATGGTTGCATGAAAGACTTGAGTTCTTTCCTTCTCTCTCCTCTGACATCCTCTATGTTGGTTTCATTTTTTTGGCTTGTAGTAATACAGCTGCAGCAATTTCGAGTGTCATAGCAGAAATAGCAATATTCAGGAGGAGATAAGAGACCCTGGCTCTTGCTCAGAAAAAGGAAACTTTCCCAGAGGCTACCTAGCTACCAGCACACTTCCTTTTGGCCAGGATTGGACCTCATGCCCAATAAACATTCAACTGGAAAGCATAGTGGAGTCATCCTTTGACCAATCAAATCTTCGCCTGAGACACTTAGCTATTTGGGAAAGAAGTGGCTACCGAAACAAATCTGAGGTTTAGGAAGGAAGGGGAATAAATGGATTCTAGCCAGGCAAGCGGTGATGATCACAACACCAGATCGATATTGACAAAAGGAAAGCTGATGTATACTAAACTGACTTAAGGACATAAAGGCATTAAGTAAGGATCAAGGGCTGCTTTACTTAATGATAGATTCACCAGGAAGACAAATTATTCTGATGCTGTATTCATCTAAAAATATAGCTTCAAAATACATGAAGCAAAAAGCAAGCAGAAATATAAGGTTATATATATATATATATATATATTTTTTTTTTTTTTTTTTTTGAGACAGAGTCTCTTTCTGTCACCCAGACTGTGCTCTGGTGCGATCTTGGCTCACTGCAACTTCTCCCGGGTTCAAGCAATTCTCGTGCCTCATACTCCCAAGTAGTGCACCACCACACCTAGCTAATTTTTGTATTTTTGGTAGAAATGGGGTTTCACCATATTAGCCAGGCTGGTCTTGAACTCCTGACCTCAGGTGATCCGCCCACCTCAGCTTCCCAAAGTGCTGGAATTACAGGCGTGAGCCACCGCACCCAGCTGGCAATATAAATAATTTTATATAATTTTAGGTCATAGTGGAAGATTTTTAACATACTTTTTCCAAGGACATTGAGCAGAAGAAAACTTAATAAGAATTGAGAAATTATGAACGGCAGAATTATTAAGCTTGATGTAATTGATACGTGTGTGTGTATATATATACTGTGTATGTATACAGTGCTACAAACAAAAAATATTAAATACATATTTTCAAGCACATGTTGAATATCTATAAAAGTTGATCACATACTTGACCACAAAGCGCAACTCAGTAAAAAATCACAGCAGTAAAACTACAAATGAAATCAATAGCTAAAGATAGCCATGAAATGAATACATTTAGAAATTTAAAAACCCACTTCTAAATAATTCATGGGTCAAAAAAGAAACCATACTGAAAATTGTAAAACAGAACTGATTGGCAATATAAACCCTACATATTAAAAACGAATGCAGGATTATTTGCAGGGAAAATTCTTTCTGAGACAACTGGGGCTAGTCTTTTTTCTAATAACATATTTCCATCCAAAACTTTGACATTGACAGAAAATTTAAGAAAACATTACACTTCTTCCATGTATTTTGGGAAGACTGCCCTCTGTTCTTTCTTTCCTTGAGTGTTTTCATGAAGTCTCAGTTAGAGTCCATATGCCATTTATTTTCTCCTTATTAAGCATTTTTGTGGCAATTTTATTCAAATAGCCAGAGCAGTAACGGTCAGCCTTTCTACACTACCACTCCACAGGGGAACATTTTCCTTATGCTAGTAAGGTAGCTCTCAGAGGAGTTTCTTATTGCCCTCTCTGGCCACTCCACAGAGGAATCTAAATTGCTCCAAGTATTGCTAACCTGGCCATCTCCTTGTGGACTCTGCCACTAGCTTCACAACTCTGCGTATTAGTAACCTCTTATTGCTAGAACATCCGCTTTTGTGAATTTCAAAATCGAAAGCTATGCAAAATTTCTCTTTTACCATTTACTCTAATGAATTGCATGCTCAACTTGATTCAAAGGAGGGAGGAAGAAATGAACATTTCACTGCCTGCCCTGTGTAGAGAGAGTTTGTAGAGAGCTTTTCATTTGATTTGGCTAATAGGGATGATAGTAAATCCAAATAAGAAAGATGAATAGAATGATTTCTGCTTCCAGGTTTATTATACAAATAATACATTATTATTTTATTTCAAGTTGATTTCTTGTCATGAGTAGTTAAAATGCACAAATATTTTTACAGATCATCTGTTACGGTAAAGAACGATTTTGCACATGGTTGCATTAAGGAAAACCCATTTTAGTTCCTTTCGACTTCATCCTAAGATCACAAATGTTGGCACTCTTAACCGAACAAAGGATAGACTTCCTTAAGCATGTTTCATGATAATAGCTTTCATTTTATTTTGGTTGGCTAGATGTATATTGCCTCTCCAAGACCTCAATTATATAACCTGGGATTTCCACATTGTTTTTGACAGAAAAGTAGAACAAAAATAAGTTATGCAGACAAAATTTGAAACACATGATATGGAATTGAAAGGACTTAGTGATGAAAAAGTTGTCTGACTTCGTGGTAATCAAATCTTGAAATAGATTTCTCCTTAAACAAGCAAACAGTTCAAAGTATTTATCTATGCATCACTGTTTTTTCAAGCTCAAACAGATTATAGTGCTCCATCTCTCAACTATAGTATATTTACAGCCGGACTTGGAAACTGATGCAGTAAACATCAAACTCGTACTGCAGTCTTGAATGATACTCTCCATTGGGCAGCTTTTGCAAGACTCTGGCCTCACAGTCACAGAGGGGAGGCAAGACTGTAGAACTGAGGAAAAAATAACAAGGTTTTGAAAACCATGGACTGTTACAACAGATGTTCTCCTTTTGCCTTTCCAATTGGAGTAAGCTGCTTTAATCTTCCAATGCTATATTAACTTCCAATAATAGACACTCTTATTTAGTATCTATTATTCAGTACCTTATAGATGCTTAACCTATTTTGGGGTTATAGATCCTTATGTGCATTTGATGAAAAGTATGGATCTGTATCCAAAAATACAAAACAAAGCATATAACCCTCAAAATTTTGACTATAATTTCAGTTGACTCATGGATCCATAAATTCACTCCTGGACCCCAGTTGAGAACCCTGACCCTAAGGATTCTGAGCCTGCAAACCCTGGAGAAAAGGTAACTTAAAGAGTATTTTTTCTTTAACTTTTGGAATATAAAATCCTTTTATTGAAACTCCACTGTACACAGGGACCATCCATTGTAAGTACATTTTATTCAAAAAAGGATTTATGAGAATTAGGCCAGCTGCAGTTGCTCATGCCTGTAATCCCAGCACTTTGGGAGGCCAAGGTGGGAGGATCATTTGAGGCCAGGAGTTCGAGATCAGCCTGGGCAACACAGTGAGACTCCATCTCTGTAGTTTAAAGAATGAAAGAAAGAAAGAAAAGGAATAAAGAGGAAGAGAATAAAAAAGGATCTAGGAAGATTTTTAAAGAAAAAAACACGTAATTTTTAGAGGAATTTTGACCTTTGCAATCTTTTTACCAAAAATCTACATGCATCTCAAAAATGGATAGCTAAAGCATTAGATCAGTTTCCATATCCAAATGCTTTTATTTTTTCTTCTTTATTCTACTAGATAAGAAAATTCTAACTCACGTTATAAATCATCAGAGCTGGAAGAAAATGTTTTATGGCTCTGACAAATGGTTCTGGGTATTTGGATTGAAGCTAGGAAGAAATTTCCAATTGAAGACTGCTATACACTCTAAAGCTGAACTCTTGTATGCTTTGAGTTGGGAGGTGGGGTAAATGTTTTCCGTTCTTTGATTGCATTTGACTCCAGAGAGCGTTCTATAATTTCTGTTAACACCATATGCATGTGGTTTTATAATATGCTCAATATGATGTTATTATTATTTTTTCTCTAAAGAAGGAAGAAATTTGAGATTTGGTGTTAAAAAGAGTCATACACACAGTGACAGAGCTGTTTCCACACAGTTTGATTGTCTTAAAAAGTCCTCTCCAATGTTGAAATCAAGGGATTTTTTTGTTTGTTTGTTTTTTGTTTTGTTTTGTTTTGTTTTTGCTCTAATGCATTAGAATCAAGCAAGTAACAAAACCAAATATACTTCCAATACATGCTACTTTAGCAAGTCACTTGGAATCTTGGAGATGTTCTTTGCTGGCACTTTTTTAGCGAAACTGAAATATATGATATAACATTTCTCATTAAATTGAGGCCTTTTCTCTCACTTTAAACATGTGATAGAGCTGATTATTATACATATTGTTCATTTGTTCACTGAGCACACAGAATACAGCTTAGGACCACTGGATATTACCTGATTATATTCCTATTTTCCAGCATGATCGCAAGTTTAATCAAGAGCGGGAAGTATGTTAATGGTTACTATATCAATTAAGCCATAAGTACTGCTGCAGGTCAAACCAGAATACAGAGCCTGGAACAAGAGAGAAGCTTATTTCTCTCCATCTCATAAACTTCCAAGCTGTTCCGTAAAATTGTCAGGTGTCCATGCTCCTTCTCTTTTGGTCTAGTGCCATTCTAGCATGTTGCTTGTCTGCAATATTCCACAACAGCTCACAAGACCCGTGATTATGTGGCAAGGAAGAAAACGGAAAGGGAGGGTTTTACACATCTCCTACCCATTAGGGCACATTCATAGGCCACACTTACCTACAAGAGATGCTGGGAAATGTCGCCTTTATTCTGAGTGGCCATGCGCCCAGCTAAAATAGTCTAATACCATAAAAGAAAGGAAGAATGGCTCTTGAGTGCAATCAGCAGTCTCTGCCAGAGCCAGCAACTATTTCCTGTGAATTAAGTATAATGGGTTTGACTTTCAGTTGTCACCTTTTATTCCCAAGTAGCACCTGTCTTATATACAGTGCTTGTGTTCCATCACAACTGTTTCCAATTCAACTTTTTTTCTGATCTTTATCATGGATCACAATAGTTAACAAAAAAATCCTTTGTCTCTAATAAGGGCAAATTAGTCCATTCTCACACTGTTTATAAAGACATAGCCAAGACTGAGGAATTTATAAAGGAAAGGAGTTTAATTGACTCACAGTTCCATGGGGCTGGGGAGGCCTCAGGAAACTTACAATCATGGTGGAAGGGGAAGGAAACATGTCCTTCTCCACATGGGGGCAGCAAGGAGAAGTGTAGGGAACAGCCCTTTATAAAACCATCAACTCTCATGAGATTTATTCACTATCACTAGAACAGCACAGGAAAAACCTACTCCCGTGATTTAATTACCTCCCACTGAGTCTCTCCCACAACACATGGGGATTATGGGAGCTACAATTCAAGATGAGATTTGGGTGGGGACACAGCCAAACAATATCAAAATGTTATCAGTAACAAACAGAACAAGAAAAAAATCAAAATGATGGAATACTTTCTCCTAATACTTTCACGGTACATATTCCTTGAACAGATTAATAGTAAACATATAATTTAATGCAATTGTAAAGCAGAATATCTGCTAGCATGCATGCATATACAATTAGAGTTTTCTTTAGGTCTAACCAAATGGAAACCTGGCAGTTCTTGTACCAAGGACATCCAAGGTGTGCTCCTGGCTTCCAGCACCAGTTGTCTAAGAGCCCACATTTGGGAACACAATTAAGGCTATGCATCAGAGTTTTTGTTTATTGCAAACAACAGAAATGGACTCTGGCTAGCTCAAAGGGAAAAAGAAGGGAATTTATCACAATGATATGGGGGTTGCTCATACAAAAATAAGCAAAAGGAGCAGGTGTCAGAAGGACAGAAGTCATGGCAAGGTAGCCCTGGGAAAAGACCCTTAGAACAGCCCTGCCATTATGACTCAGCCCTTGGCATGTTCTGTCCTCATCACTGTGCTCTAAGATCTTCAGCCTCCTAGGAGGAGACTCTGAAGGTTGATGTCATGGGCTAAATTGTGCCCTCCCAAATTTGTCCTTTAATGTCCTAATAACCAGAACCTCAGAATGTGACTATATGCAGAGATTGGGTCTTTAAAGGAGTAATTAAGCTAAAATGAGGTCATTTAGGTGGTCACTAATCCTACTGGCATTCTTATGAGAAGAGAAAATTTGGTCACAGACACACACAGCAGGAGAAGGCCAGGTGAACGTGAATTCAAATGGCCATCTGCAAGCCAAGGAGAGCGGCCACAGAAGAAACCAACCTTGCTGACACCTTGATCTCAGACTTCCAGACTCCAGAACTGTGAGAAGACAGATTCCGATTGGCTAAACCACCCAGTCTATTGTACTTTGCTTACCTAGCAAACAAATAAGCTTGGCTTGTCTTTTTGCTTAAGACCACATGCAATGAAGCAGAGGTAATCTACTAAAAGAAAGCAGAAAGGAGAAAATGTGTCCAAAATAAAAAACATGATACATCTCTAGGAATAGTCGAAGCCTCTGCATTTAGAAGAGAGATTAAGTTTATTCCATATTACTCCAAAAAAAGAAAAGTAGTGACATTGGAAGTTCTGAGAAAATACAAAATGGTCTAAATAGAATAAAACGCTGCCCCATAACTAGAATGGAATGAATTACCTTATAATTGTCTTAAAGCAACTACTATCCTTATTACAGCTAGCATTTACTGAGTGCTACTATGTGCCGTGAACTGTGTAGGGTACTTTTCTGCATTATGTTATTTAATATGCCAATGGCCTCATGAATAAGTGAGCATTATTAGACCCATGTAAAAATAATGAAACTAAAATTAGTAAATAGTAAAAGTAATTTCAAAAGCCGCAGTTACTTTTGCACCAACCTATAACAAAAGCCAGATTTTGAACCCAGGACTATTTGAATTTGGAGCTAGAATTCTTATCCTAGTAGCAGTCTTGGTTTCAACTGTTGAATTCTAGAGGTATTGTACTCTTCTTTGTTTCAGCTCTGGTTGGTAGATTCTTAGGGGAAGCAGAGGCTGGGATTTCTAAAGAGCAGTTGTCAAGAGAAGATTTGGAAGGTTAAGAGATTGTCAAACTATGTGCTGCACTGTATTAAGATAATACTGAGAATGATCGCAAGATATTTAGCTTGACTATGTTTCTACCCATGTTGGAAGAAAAGGCCTCGTACCACAGAAGTGACTCAGTGCTATTTTTTTTGGTAACAAGCCTGCTTTTTGAGGTCAGATTGAAATGTTTAGAACTATCTCCTATAGAATGGAATTGTTTGTCTTATAATAGCATCTGCCAGCCCAGACTGTGCATTAGAACACCTGGGAGAGCTGTTAAACAATATATAAGTCTGGGCCTCCTTCCCAGAGGTGGTAATTCAGTTGGTCTGTGATGGGGCGTAGGCATGAATATTTTTAGAAAAATCCCCCAGTGCTTCTAATATGCAACTAGGGATGGGAAGCGCTGCTTAAGAACTATACAATCTAACTGCACTTCAAACTAATAATGAAACCCGTTTTTCTATAAGAAACCTACCTGATTTGTTTTTCAGCTAGAAAAGCATCAGACTCTCCCTCTGGTTTTTATCCTTCCAGGTATGATAGTATCAATAAGTCCACCTTGTCAAACAACATGGGCGTGAAACATTTTCCCATTCAGTATCAATGGTGCAACAGATTCCTGGTATCATCGCAAAGCTTGATGAAACGATGGCTATGTCTTTTTGTTCTAGCTGCTGTATGTTCATATTCTGTTTAATTAAAAAAATTATGTACATGAAGGGAAGTTGTCTAGAAATGGGACTTTAGTTAATGTATCCTTATCTATTGCCATAATAATGCTGTGTAACAAACCACAAACTCTCACCGGCAGTGTTTATTGCTCATGTGTCTGGAGTATGTTGAGGATTGGCTTGGTGGCTCTGCTAATCTTGGCTGGACTAGTTTGCTCCATTGGGAGTCAGCTAGCCATTGTCTGATCCATGTAATGACTGGCGGGACTAGGCATGACTGGGGACTTGGCTCTGCCTACGTTTCTCACATCCTCCAGCAGGCAAGCCCAGAGATGTTCTCATGTGATGGCAGAGGTGCCAGAGAGCAAGTCACATGCATAAGCCCTTTTCAAGACTTTGCTTATGACAGGTCAGCGAGAATCCCCTTAGCCAAAGCAAATCACCTGGCTGAGCCCAGTGTTAGTGGATGGGCAGTCACTCCACCCACTTGCAGTGGGAGGGCAAAAGGTGTGAACACTGGGACGGGGAAAGAACTGGAGCCATCATTTAAATTCAAGAACTGTTGGGAAAACACTATAATATCAAACCCTGAAATAGAGTAGAAGGACTAAAGAAAGATGATAATATGGTGAAATAAAAAGCTGGAAAAACAAAATTTTTAAACGGAAATGCGAGACCAATGGTGTGGCATTGTCAACTTTCAATTGGCTAGATGCCAGAGAATATGAGGGAAGGAACTGGCCTCCGACTTTTTACTATTGCTCTTCTACCTAAAAGGTAACTGTTAAAGTCTATGGAGTGTGGACAAATTATAAGCTATTCAAAGAAATGGGAATAAAAACATGTGAGTATATTTCAAACCAAGTCATTTTGTATCATAATACATCAATGTCACTGAGATTTTTAGGGGATAAATATGTGTTTGAGTCAACTACTTAGAAATACATTAATTAAGTACAGTTAGCTATATCTTTAAATCTCTTAATGATTTGAAAACAACTTTAAGATACTATTCTATCAATTTCATATTATTTGTTTACCTGACTTTGCATAATAAAATAGATATTTGGGCCAACATTATTAAAATAAGAACCCTGGCATCTTCCTGGTAAATCTGTACCACCGTTTCCTTGGTCTTCTCAATTTCAGCTAGGTGTTCCTTGAAGTCAATTTTATTTATAGGCAAATCCAAATAAAAGTGATTCTTATGCCTTTTCTTATCCCCGAATTTGACCCAGCTCTTGATCTGAGTAACAAGATGTAGTTTTTTAACTTTGCAAAAATACTTTGAACCAGCTGCAGGATATTTAGTGAAATGACTGCCTTATTCTGAGGTTTGGGAATACAGAAGATGGGTTTCTGTGTAAATATTAAAATTATTTTTTCTTTGGATCAGATTAATTACAGAAGTGAAAGATTTATTACTAACCACTTCTGCATATAAGACACAGAAAAATAGAAATCTGTAGTAGAAGTCTAAAATTTGGAGTAGCTGAGATAATAAGAACTTACAAAGTGCATTTTTTTAATGTTTAGCTCTCATTTTTTTCCACATTAAAGAGTACTTTTCCATAAATGTGTTTATATATATATGCACATATATACACACATATGTGTGTGTATATATATATGTGGTATTGGAACATCAGTATATTTTTTAGACAAGAACATTTTTGTACTTCAAGGAAACTTAGAGGTTACCTTATTTAGCCCTCAATTTATAGAACTGAAAAAGAATCCTCAAATAAGTTGAAATGATTTTCCCAAAATCATGCAGCAATTCAACCACCCACCATCATGATAATATCTAGTACTTACGTAGTTTACAAAGCATTTTTATATCCATAATGTCCATTAATTTTAACAACTATGTTCAAGTATGTAGTACAGTCTTCACTATCTATTTTTTAGATAAGTAAACCAAGGTATACAGATATTGAGTAACGTATCCACAGGCACTAAGCTGTAAGACACATAACAGTGTCTTCTACCTCTACCATGTCAAAGTATCCCAGCTGGAAATTGGTGTTAAAACTACAATGAGATGCCACTATGCACCCATCAGAATCAGAATGTCTAAACTCAAAAAGACTGACCCTGCCAAGTGTTGGTGAGGATGTGGAGGAGATGGAGCTCTTGTACCCCACTGGTAGGGTGGGACATGGCATAGCCGCTTTGGAAAACAGTTTGGCTGTTTCTTTAAATATCAAGCATACACCCCCCCATATGACCCAGCCATGTCATTCCTAGGGATTTACCAAAGAGAACAGGAAGTCTATATTCATACAAAGACTTGTACACAAATGTTCCTAGCGACTTTTTTGCAATGGCCCTAACCTGGAAATGCAGCAATATAGATGACTCTCAATACGGTTACACTGATTGAAAGAATCCAGATGAAGAAGAGTACATAATTTGTGACTTCATTTACTTAAAATTCTAGAAAATGAAAACTAATCTTTAGTGATAAAAAGCAGATGGAGTTGTGGGAAGGCAGCAAGGGTCCCCAAGGATTACAAAGGACCAAGAAGAAACTCGGGACTGATGAAAATGTTCATTATTTTGATTGTAGTGATGTTTTCACATCACACACACTATACATATGTCAAAATTTATCAAAGTGTGCACTTTAAATCATCCAGCATATTATATATTTCAATATGTTCGTGTACCTTAATAAAACTGTTGAAAACAAAAAGTGGCCCAGCTAAAGTCAAGATTCTGAAAAATCTGCTTAATTATACACAAACTTACTAAGATCACACGAATACAAGTGTCTTTCTGCTTTTGTGATTGAAATAAACCCTAGCAATCAAAATTTACATAAAGTCTCTTAAAAATGGGAATAGCATTGTGACACCTCTGTGCCTTGTAAGGCAATTGCAGTGATTTTATTATCACCACAGTGCTATTAATTCTAACAATAAGAAGTTATTAATGGTCGTATGTTTTGTTAGTTTATTTAACAAAAGAAAGTTTCAGTCAGAGAGCGACATTTACTCCATGCTGTTGGGTATGCAAATGAATCTTCTGGGGACACAATTTGGCATAAATGTTTCAAGGACTTTAAAATCATCCTTTTCTTCAGTCCTGTTCTTCAGTCGGGTAATTACACATCTGGCAGTTTAACCTAAGAAAATGATCTCAAAGCCAAAAAAAAAAAAAGCCTTTTGCAAAAATTGTTCCTCCCAGCATTATTTATAATAGCCAAAAATGGAAATAAATTTAATGTCTAAAAGTAGGGAAGAGTTCTTAAATAAATCATGTTACATTCTCTTAATGGACTGTTTATAGCAATTAAATAAATAATTTGTAATAGGTTTTAGAGAATCACGGAAGATGCTCCGAGAAAGAGTGAAACCAAATTGTAAAATATCCCTCCCCTTAAGGGGAACATCACACACCGGGGCCTGTTGTGGGGTGGGGGGAGGGGGAGGGATAGCATTAGGAGATATACCTAATGTAAATGATGAGTTAATGGGTGCAGCACACCAACATGGAGCGTGTATACATATGTAACAAACATGCACGTTGTGCACATGTACCCTAGAACTTAAAGTATAATAATAATAAAAAAAATCCCTCCCCTTGACAATAAAGAAATGAACAAAAATAGGTAAAACAGAAGAAACAAAACCCCTGCACCCAGAGAGAAGATCAACTTCTTCTAATAGTATTTGAAAAGAAGCATCAGGGTGAGAGAAAAACCAAAAAGTCGTTTGGATTAGCTCCTGACTCTTCATCCCCAGGCAGTGGAGATGAGACGGAGAAAGGTGAGCAGATGAAATCCTAAGCAGTTTTTTGTTGTTTTGAGATAGTCTCACTCTGTCGCTCAGGCTGGAGTGCAGTGGCATGATCATAGCTCACTGCAGCCTTGATCTCCCAGGCTCAAACCATCCTTCTGCTTCAGCCTCTGGAGGACTAGCTGGGACTACAATTGCGGTCTACTGCGCCCAGCTAATTTTCTTTTCTTTTTTTTTTCTTTAATTTTTGTAGAGACAGAATCTCACTATGTTGCCCAGGCTCCTAAGCAGTTTCGATAATCCTGCTCAGTTTGGGGAGAGGCAAATTGGAATAGAGAAGGAGAGATGGAGAAAGAAAAGCAGCAAACTCCTGCAGAAAGAAAGTCTCTTGCACTCGGGTTGGTGCTCACTAGTGAAGAGAGAGCATTGCCGTGGCTCGCCACTCTGGACTAGGAGAAGACATGGAGGGGACTGTGAGCAGTCAATAGTGAGGCACAGAAAACTAGCTCAGCCATAAACAAGACTTTGCCAGGACAGAAAGCAAAGAAGAGAGAAAAAGAAGGCAAGACCATTTGCAGGAGTAGAAGGATAGAGCGGTGGGGCCAAGAGAAATCTCTGCCACTCCTTGCCCTCCCGCCCCACTCCATTCCCATAAAAGACCACCTGGACCAAAACCTGTGGAATTTTTCCCTTTTAAACCCCTGAGTTGAGGCTGGGTGCAGTGGCTCATGCCTGTAATCCCAACAGGCAGAAGGTGGAGGAGGGAGGATGGCTCGAGGTCAAGAATTTGAGACCGCTCCACACACAAAATTTTTTTTAAATTTAGCCTGGCATGATGGCATATTCCTGTAGTCCCAGCTACTCAGGAGGCTGAGGCAGGAGGATTGCTTGAGCCTAGGAGTTGGAGGCTGCATTGAGCTATGAACATGCCACTGCATTCCAGCCTGGACAACAGAGTGAGAACTTATCTCTAAAAAATAAATAAATAAACCCTGAGATATTACAGCATTATTCATAATAGCCAAAATGTGTATGAACAACCCAAATACCCATTAACTGGTGGGTGAATAAGTAAAATGTGGTATATTCGTACAATGGAATATTATTTGGAAATAAAGAGGTGAAATGCTGATACATGCTACACATGGGTGAAACTTGAAAACATCATGCTAAGTGAAAAAAAAAAGCCCATCACAAAAGGTCACATCTTATATGATTCCATTTACATGAAATATCCTGAACAGGCAAATCCTTAGAGAGAAAGTAGATTAGTGATTCTTGGGACCTAGAGGAGAGAGGACAATAGGAGGGACTGCTAACGGGGAGAGTTTCTTTTGAGGGTGATGAAAATGTTCTAAAATTAGGTGGTGGTGGCCGGGCGCAGTGACTCATGCTGGTAACCCCAGCACTTTGGGAGGCCAAGGCAGGTGATCACTTGAGGTCAGGAGTTCGAGACTAGCCTGGCCAACATGGTGAAACCCCATCTCTATTAAAAATACAAAAATTAGCTGAGTGTGGTGATGGGTACCTGTAATCCCAGCTCTTAGGCTGGGGCACGAGAATCACCTGAACTCGGGAGGTGGAGGTTGCAGTGAGCCAAGATCACATCACTATACTCCAGCCTGGGAGACAGAGTGAGACTCCATCTCAAATAATAATAATAATAACAATAGGAAGTGGTAATGCTTGCACAATACTGTGAATATAGGGGAAAAAACCCCACTGAATTATACACTTTAAAAAGATGACCTCGGTCATATGTAAATTATATCTCAATAAAACTATTATTTAAAAAAGAAGAAGAGGGAGAAGCATGTGAAGGATTTCTGGGATTGCTGGCACGAGTGACAAGAGTGACTCTTAGCTGATGTGCTATATCCTGAATTGAGGAAAGGATCTGAAGCTTGAGGAAACTACCCAAGGGAATAAGAAAGGCCACTGCTTAGTTGGAAGTAACCCCATCACAGGGCTTTACATTAAATTATAGAAGAAAGATCAGAACTCATTCACCAAATCCGACTAACCTGGTACTTCCTGAGCACTCTTTTGCTGTCCAGAGCCTCGGGCTTCCAAATAGAGCCAGAACGGCAGGCCCAGCCCTCCACATTCTGAGGTCTCAGGTAAGTAAGAAGCAACCCAAGATGGCACACCAACATTGAGATGAAAGAGAAAGCCTTATTAGATCTGCCTGTGGTGAAGAAATAACATAGCAACCATAGAAATACCCGACAGCAAAGAAAATAATAGAAAGGATTATAGAAAGATAACATGTGAGCAATCCTTGGTCATAAAATACACAATAGCAATACAGAAGAAAACTCTGTATAAAATAGGACTATGTGCTATACAGAACATGCAAAGGACATAATCAGGAAAAATACCAATATTTTAGAACCATGGAAATTGTGATTTCAAAAATGACAGTACATGAAAAATATGCAACAACACTAAAAAAGGCTCCTAGTGTAGTGCTAACTGGAGAGATATGCAGGCATATATACTATAGGGTTACAGATATATATTTAATAGAATTATAAGAAAATTCCTGAGCCTGATAAAATTGTTTTAGCCATGTGTAGTGGAGTTCATCTGTAATCCCAGCTACTCAGGAAGCTGAGGTTGGGGCATTCCTTGAGCCCAGGAGTTCGGGATCAGCCTGGGTGACATAACAAGACCTCATCTATAAAATAAAATAAAATAAAATAAAATAAAATAAAATAAAATAAAATAAATTGTATTGAGGTGATTAGTCAATGCATCTTTTTTTCCTTCTTTTTATGTTTGTACATTTTACAAGTTTTCTATAAAATGCATGTATTACTTTTGTAGTGAAAACCATAATAAAACATATATTTTTAAAAATAATGGTTTCTAAGTGCCACTGTTGTGGGACATGCTTGTGCATAGGTCAAGTTTTATGTGGTCAGTGTGTAGCAGCAAGCAATTTTCAGTCTAAATGGCAGACTGAATAAAACTACGTGTGGATTTATTACCCTTTCTCCCCAAATCTCATTGAAATTCCAAAACAGATAAACAGTAGAAGGAATGAATACATAACAGTGCTGCAAACCAACAAAGAATAGCATCAACAAGCCAAATACTGTGAAGAATTTCTGTAGGACACAAAGCAAACACGACTGGATTTATGGGGAAACCAGAGCCCAGCCTTCCTAACTCCAATCACATATAGCAGAGGACTACCAGAGAAGCAAGTTACCATCTTCCCATCAAGAACTGTAGGCTAGAGTCAGCAGGGCCATGGATCCAACATGAGCCACACACTATTGAACGGATACCTGATTAAAATGTTGCAGAAGAACTAGGCTAGTATCATACAGAAATGGTGGCATTTTTCACCAGGATAAAGCCTAAAAAACAGTTCTCTAAATAAAGCAGAGGGATGAAAACTGTGAGTTCCTTGTGGAGCCAAAGGCTAAAAATGGTTATTGGGGGAAAAAAAGTAGTGGAAGAAAATTCCATACTTAAGAAAGACAAATTTTTCAGATAAAAAGATACCCACTAGCCAAAAAAAGCTGAGCAAAAATAACAAAAACATAGAGCAAGAGAGACAGTTAGGCATAGCCCGAAAAAGACGAAAAGCTACCCAAAATATCTTGCAAGGCTAATATAGCCTTGAAACCAAAACTGGACAAGTACAATAGAAGACTAAAGAAGAAACTAGTTCCACCCTGGAACATAGATGCAAAATCAAATCAGCAATGTATAAAATACTCATACAGAATGACATTAAAGAGTATGTCCCATTAATAATAAAGTGTTTCAATGTTAGAAAAAAAACCTAATTATGTGGTCAAACACCTTAAAATATTAAAGTAGAAAAACACATTTCTATCACTGAGAAAATTTTTGGGAAAATTCAAATGTGCATAATTAATAATAAACAAACCTAGAAAATTAGGAATGGAAGGTAGAAAAAACAATGAGTGTCTCCTCATCAGTCAGCTTCACTTCTTCCTAAAAGAACCTCACCTTTATTCACTGTCCTCTGATGGCAATTGTGGTGGTTCTGAAATATGTCCACAAATTCCTTACCACTCCTCTGTTCAAGAGATGGATTGCATGCTTGGTCAAAGAGGACGACCTTCCCTGATAGAGGAGGTCCCTTCTTTGGTCAAGGGTGTATGAGTAGCTGCACTCCCCTGCTAGAATCTCCAGACAAGCTCTCAAGAAGCAGAGCCTAACTAGTGACTCAATTCTGATGAATCAAGTGGAAGTGACAGTCATGAAGGGCAGTGCAGCCCCCTCCTGGATCTCTTGTGTAGTGCTTTCTTTAGGGGAAGTTAGTTGCTATGTCATGAGCAGCCCTTTGGAGAGGCTCACATGGCAAGGAACTGAAGACCCCAGCCAACAGTCCTCAAGGAACTGTGGCCCCCAGCCAAAAGCCAGCAAAGAACTGAGGCCCCAGCCAATAGACAGAAAGGAACTGAGGCCCCCAACCAATAGTCAGCAAAGAACTGAGGACCCCAGCCAACGGCCAGCAAAGAACTGAGGCCCCCCAACCAACAGGCAGCAAAGAACTGAGGCCTCCCAACCAACAGGCAGCAAAGAACTGAGGCCCCCGGCCAATATGCAGCAAGGAACTGAGGCCCCCAGCCAACAGCCAGCAAAGAACTGAGGCCCCCAGCCAATAGGCAGCAAGGAACTGAGGCCCCCAACAAGTAGCAAAGAACTGAAGACCCCAGCCAACAGTTATCAAGGAACTTAGGCACCCAACCAATAGGCAGCAAAGAACTGAGGCCCCCAGCCAATAGACAGCAAGGAACTGAGGCCCCCAGCCAATAGCCAGCAAAGAATTGAAGACCCCAGCCAACAGCAAAGAACTGAAGACCCCAGCCAATGGTCAGCAAAGAGCTGAATCCCCCAGCCAATAAGTAGCAAGAAACTGTGGCCCCCAACCAATAGGCAGCAAAGAACTAAGACACCCAACCAATAGGCAGCAAAGAACTGTGGCCCCCAGCCAACAGGCAGCAAAGAACTGTGGCCCTCAACCAACAGGCAGCAAAGAACTGAGCCCCTTAGCCAACAGCCAGCAAGGAACTGAGGTCCCTGGCCAACAGCCATGTTGGTGAACCATTTTGGAAACAGATCCTCCAGCCCCAGTCAAGCCTTCAGATGACAGCCACCCCATCTGACACCTTTACTGCAACCTCATCAAAGATCCGGAACAACAACTATGCAAATAATCAATTCCCAGATTCCAACTGTCACAAACTGAGTGAAGTAATAAAAGTTTGTCGTTCTAAGCTACTAAATTTGGAGATATCTGAGTAATTTGTTGTGTCACAATAGATAACTAAAACAGTCTTCTGGGAAAGGCTAGACTTCTCAGCCCTGAGGATAAATCTATTATTTATTTAAGTTGACAAGTAAAAATTGTACAGATGTATTGGGTACAGCATGTATTTTATTTTATTTTATTTTATTTCATTTTATTTTATTTTATTTTAATTTTATTTTTGGGGGACACAGTTACACTCTGTTTTCCAGACTGAAGTGCAGTGGTGCAATCTTTGCTCACTGCAACCTCTGCCTTCCAGGTTCAAGCCATTCTTGTGCCTCAGCCTCCTGAGTAGCTGGGAATACAGGCATATGCCACCACACTTGGCTAATTTTTTAAATTATTAGTAAAGATGGGGTTTCCCCATGTTGGCCAGACTGGTCTTGAACTACTGCCTCAAGTGATCCACCCAGCTTGGCCTCCCAAAGTGCTGGGATTATAGGTGTGAGCCACTGCACCCGACCAACATGTTGTTTTAAAATATGTATTCATTATGGAACAGTTAAATTGAGCTAATTAGCATATGTGTTACCTCATATACTTATCTTTTTTGTGGTGAGAGCACTTAAAATCTACTCTCTTAGCAATTTTCCAGAATACAATACATAGTTATTAACTATAGTCACCAGCACTTTGGTCCCAGTACTTTGGGAGGCCAAGCTGGGTGGATCACTTGAGGCAGTAGTTCAAGACCAGTCTGGCCAACATGGTGAAACCCCATCTCTACTAATAATAAAAAAATTAGCTGAGTGTGGTGTCATGCGCCTGTATTCCCAGCTACTCGGGAGGCTGAGGCACAAGAATGGCTTGAACCCGGAAGGCAGAGGTTGCAGTGAGCCAAGATTGCACATCTGCACTCCAGTCTGGAAAACAGGGTGTAATGTTGTATAATAGATCTCTTGAATTTACTCTTCCTATCTACCCAAGGGAAAATCCTCACTGAAGCATGTTAATTATGGCAATCTCATTGCTTAGACAATTTTGGATAGTGAAACATTAGTGTAAATATGCTTCTGAGGGTTGGAAAGATTTCCTCACTTCGAAAAAGTCACGAATATTCTCATTTCTGCCTCAAAAAGCTGTTGTCTGAACGAGACACTGGCAACTGTGACAGCAATTTCAAAATCATGACAAATGGCAGAAATAGCTAAATGGAACTGGAGAGCGAAAAGATGAAGACATCTAAGCCCTTGATGAATCTGCGAGGCACTGAGTTACCTCGCTCTGGAATTCCGTGAAACTCTGACATTCTCAAGAAAGGTTTTTAAAAATGCCTTTAATGTTTAAGCTCCTTTTAACTGGGCTTTCTGTAGCTTGCAGGTGAAGGCATTCTCAGGGATTCAAAAAGAAAACTCTTGTATTTGTCTCCTCATGCCGCCATCATAAAATCCCATACACTGGGTGGTTTTGTATTTACCTCTGTGTAGTTTGAAATTTCTGAGAGAGAAAGTTTTACTTTATAATAAAATAAATTTGTTAAAATGATGGATAAAGAACAATTTTCCTGATTTTAAAATAGAAAGATTCTAATATATCTACCCAAAATGAATGACTAACAATAAGGATATGTGCAGTGGTCTACATAAGACATACCTATATCTAATTTTCATGTTAATTTCAGATGGATGTATCAGTAATAGGTCACATTTTGTCAGATATACATAAGTTATTATAATCACTTCACATCTAAGTTTAGAGAAAACAAAATGTCAAATTCAATGCAAAAGATGTGAGACGTGCTTTGAAGCTTTTGAGAGTATTTTGACATTTTATTTAATTAATAAACTCAGATATTTCACAACATTGGCAAAATAAGTGTTTATATCCATTCTGTTCATGTCAGTTTGTTTCAGACATCTTAGACACTAAACATGGCTTTTAAAGAAAGTCTACTGCAAGAACTTCACCAAGACTGATACCCCAACTCCTTCCAAAAATTGTGGCTATTTCCCTTTTCTCTGTCTCTATCCCATGATGTGGAGGATCAGATTAGTACTCCCAGAAAAGGAGTAGGAGGAATGTAAAACTAGGAAAAGACAAAAATGAATTGGCCTCACCTATGGTTGTAAAAAGAGTAACCAGTTAATCAATAGCAATAATATCCATATGCATCTCAATTTTGATGAAAAATCTGTGACTTTTATTGATGCTAATTTGATTGGTTTTAAGTGCTGTTTTCCTCATAATGTTCCAGAACAAAACATGCTCTTGCTAAATAGCTGCTCTCTTTGCACGCCCCCGCACCCAAGGCCATCAATGACCGAGAAGCCTGGACACAGGCTCTCTCTATTGCGAGAACCTCAAAAACTACAGTGACCCTCCCAGGCGACTGAGACTGAGTCTACAAGGGCCATCCCAGTGGCCTGAACCATCTTGCTTTTATTCTTTAAATAGACCCATGTCTGTGGGGTAACTGTCCTTTTCTGACTCAAAACTTCTTCCAGAGCAATGTGTTTAAGTGTGTCCTACAAAAGAGGGGAGTACTTTTACCCACAAAATGGGTCAGTCAATTTAACAAGTGGGCATCTTTTGAGATATTTCAGAAATCGAGCTGGAGTTTTTCAAAGCAAGGAAATTTGGTATCGGTGCCAAGGGAGAGGATTTAACTTCTTTTTCTTACTAGTTTTTCCTTCTCTTCTTTTTATCACTATACTTCTCCTGCAACATTCCTTGAGGAAGTCGTGCTCATAAAAGACACATTCTGGTTACCTACTGGCCTCTGTGAAAGCAAACTGTGTAGTCACGACAGATCCATCTAGACAGACAAGAAAGGGTCGAAGCTCTGCAACATTTAAGGTCTCTGATCACCAAAAGGAGGCAACGATTTAAGCAATGGAAAACCCTCATCCTGCCCGGATGGATGACGGGGTTCCGAATGGCAGGCCTTATAGACGGTGTGTGAAAACTATCCCAGGGAGCTTACGAGTTTCTTCCAGGTTTAAAGGGCCTGTTAACACTGAGCCACATGAAAAAATAATACTCCGGAGGGTTTTTCCCTCCTCTCCGTGATGTGATTAACATCTGAAACTACTCAAATTATGCTCCAATGAGGAAAACTTAAACAAGAAAAAGTTCCCTTGAGCATTAAAAGAATCCACTTGTTTTGTAATCTGCACTTTTATTCCCAGAAGCCCTTTCATTCCAGGTCTAATTCTGCGGGATCTTCAAGTCCTGCATACTTTGATGTTAGTATCAATCTTATTGGTGGACAGTCACAAGTTTTTGAAGTATTTTGAAAGCAGTTTCCTGCTAATAGCACAGACACATGAGCTTTGCATGTCAATCCTTTGATGGGGAAAATATCTGACTGGATTTGGACACTCACAGTTTTGCTTATAGTTACTCTGCCAGGTTTCATCATCGGAATTTGGCAGTTTATCTTCTTTCTATCTTTCCTTTTTTTTATTTTTTAAATTTTTTTCTCTTTTGATCTCTACATGCTTATATAGAATTTTAATTTAATAATCACCTAGGCAAAAGAGATGCTACTTTGAAAATTAATTTTTTTTCAAAGACAGCCAGGCATATAGTAGAAAAATCTGCATGTTGAAGTCAGGCAAGTCAAGTGAGATCCGATGGCTTAAAGAAGCCACCAACCTCTCAGAGTTGCCTCAGTTTACTCATTCCTAAAATGGGGTTAACCAGGACTATTTAAAGCAGAATTTCTAAAACTTTATTCATATATGGAAACTTTAAGGAAAAAAAGATGCCTAGAGTGTTGATTCAAAGTGTTTTCTGATTTAATGTTGCTGAGCTATGCATAAACATAAATCTAGGTATAAGTTCTTTATGCTTATTTTAACTTCTTATACCAATTATATTAGTTGGCTACTATGGAAATAATGCTACATAACTGACAACCCCATAAATCTTGGTAAATTACAAATACAAATATTTGTGTTTTCTATTCACAGTGGGGTTTGGCTGATCTCAGCTGGGCCAGGTGAGGATTAGCACCAGGTTGCAAGTAGATTCAATTCTGCTTCCTCTGTCTTCATTGCAGGATCAGAGGCTACGTGAGGTATGGTTGTTTTGTTTTGTTTTTAATGATGTATCCCAAGACCGCAGAGGCCACGTCAAATTATGAATACACATTTAGAGTCTCTTCCTGTGTCATATTTGCTGATATTCCAGCCAAGTCCAGCCTTAATGGGTCAGGGAAGTATACTCTGCTTACCCTGGGAGAGGTACTGCAAAGACCCATGGCAAAGATCATGGAGGTATAAATCCGTAACAGGGAGAAAGGGAAGGACTGGCAGCAATAGTTCAATCCACAATTTTTCTTAGATTATCATTATTCATGGCCGGGCATGGTGGCTCACGCCTGTAATCCCAGCACTTTGGGAGGCCAAGCGGAGGTGGATCACCCGAGGACAGGAGTTTGAGACCAGACTGGCCAACATGGCAAAACCCCGTTTCTACTAAAAATACAAAAATTAGCCAGGCATGGTAGTGTATGCCTGTAATCCCAGCTGCTCAAGAGGCTGAGGCAGGAGAATCGGTTGAACCTGGGAGGTGGAGGTTGCAGTGAGCCGAGACCGGGTCACTGCACTCCAGCCTGGGTGACTCTGCCTCAAAAAAAAAAAAAAGATTATAATTATTCACTTTGCTCCTATATGTGATGTACTTCCCCTGCCCCTCAAGACACACCACAAGCCTTAACCAGTCATGGCATGGGGCTCAAAGTTCAGAATCTTGTGCTCGTCACTGAGATGTGGCTCTTCTTGATTGAGATATTCATAAACTAAAAAGACAAGGTATCTGTCAGCCTATATTCCCAACATACAAGGGTGAAACAGGGTTGAGGAATAGCAGCAAATGCCCTTCTTTTAAAAGGGGAAGACTGAGAAGATAGATAGTGATTACTGGGCCATAGGAATTCTGAAATCCTGCTATGAGAGTATTGACCAGTTTCCCCACTGGGGCAGGGATTGTTCTTTGGAGCAATGCCCCAATCCACTGTTCTCCATGTCCTAGCTCTGTCTCTGGCACAGCCTTCCTTTTCCATTATTTTTCCTGGCCACATCTGAAAAGAGTACAATCATCCCTCGGTATCCATAGGGGATTGGTTCCAGGACCCCCTCTCTTTGGATGCCAAAATCTGTGGATGCTCAAGTCCCTGATAGAAATGCCCTAGGATTTGCATATAACCTGCACACATCCTCTTACATACTTTAAATCATCTCATAGGTTACGTATAATACCTAATACAATGTAAATGCTGTGTAATAGATGTTACTATGTATAATACCTCATACATAGTAGATGCTATGGAAACAATACTGTGGTTTTTTATTCATTTTTTTATTGCTGCATTATTTTTATTGTTTTCTTTTTCAAATAATTTTGATCCATAATTGGTTGAATCCACCCATGCGGAACCCGTGGATACAGAGGGCCAACTGTATTGGAGGACGTGAGAGCAGCTCTCTCACCCACTTCCTACCTATAGAAAGCTGGGAGCCTAGAGCTCTTTTTTTCATCTCAAAGTCAGTCTCTTAATCTAGCAACATTTTTGCAAATACAGCTCTCTCAAAAACCTGTTAGGTTTTGATGCAGTTAATTTCAGACATTTCCATGTACCAAAAACCACACTTGTAATTCTTTGTGAGGCACATCTCTTTCTCTCTAAACTTTAATTACAAGTACTTTGCGTGCATCAGGCATCAGTGATCCCACTTACTGGTCCACTTAAAAGTTGTTATGTCCAGGGAAAAGTACCTACTGTTAGTTTTGTTGTGACGAGTTTGCGCCTGGATTGTGTCATTTTTCTGAGGCTATTTTCATAAGTCTTTCAAATGCAAGATATTTTTCAATTTTATATTTTACTGATTGAAAATGAGAAACAGCTTTATTCATCAACTCGACAGCTTCTGGAATTTCTAGGCTTGCTACATTCCCTATCAATTTTGCTTGAAAACTGGCCAATTCTTTTCTGAGCTTATCTCTTGTGGCACTTTTTCAAATGCTGAGAATTGCAGCCTGTTCACGTTATCAACATTCTGATTCAGAATCTCCTTGCCAGTGCCACAAGTTCATTAGATAACACCTTTTGCCTTCTCGGTCATCAAAAATGATAGTTTTGCCCAAATATTTCACTGCCCCATGGTGTTACAGTAGGTCGTCAGGCAGACATATGTAGGGCAGGAGAGGGCCCCCCACCAGGAATCTCAAGTGACCATCAGGTGATGGTCAGGCCATTGTTAACCATCTCTCTAAAAGAATGATTGGCTGCAGATGGTGCCAGGAAAAGGCAGTCTCCCAATAGATAGAAACACCTGAAATATGATCAGCAGCTTCCTGATAAGATCTCGGGAGTCGGGTGAGCGGGCTCAAGCATGCACACTAAGAGGCAAAATGGCAGAGTTTACCAGGTAAATGACCTTCTTCTAGGAACCCTTGGCTGGTAAGGAAAGAACGCCTCAAGTGAGCATGCATACAACTCCAGTAAACACACTGCACGCTCACCTCCCAAGTGTTGGCAGGCCACTGTGCATGTAGACATCCCACCCCAAAGGAAGAATCAGGAAAGAAGGGATGCAAGACCCCAGAAGTATGCCAATGTATAAGATCCCAAGTCAAAGGTCCAAACATGTCCTTGAACTCTCGTCACCTGCTTGGCCCTCTTCCAAGTATACTTTTCTTCCTTTTGTTCCTATTCTAAAGCTTTTTAATAAACTTTCACTTCTGCTCTAAAACCTGTCTTGGTCTCTCCCTCTGCCTTATGCCCCTCAGTCGCATTCTCCCTTTTGAGGAGGCAAGAATTGAGGTGGCTGAAGATCCGCACCGATTCACCACTGCTAACAATGGTACAGGTTGTCTTGTTTTCCAGCCTCCTGTAACATTCTGTTTTCTCTAAGGTGAGGTATTGCAAAGTCTAGACAAAGGGCTTGGTTGTAGAATCCTATAATGGAGACGGAGTAAAAAATGGAGGAGAATAATTTACCACACTGATATAAATCAAAGCAAAAAAATGAAACTCAAAGAAACAGTATTAACTTAATGTGACACTGTTGTCTTATATCAAATCATAGCTCAAAATATGAATATGATGCATGTTCTTTGGGATATGACTTTACTACATGTGCCAGATAATAACTAAAATATCTTAGCACTATTCTGTATTTGAACTCCTGCAAAGCCATCATTGATTTCATACACAATGAGGTTGTCTTGACCAAAATACCTCATATTATATGAAATGAATGTATATGCATGTCATTTATATATTAAGTCTGGCTTTGTGCCTTTCTCATGAGCATACTTCAGTTAAAGTAGCACAATGGACTACTTTGTGTGACACTCTCATTATAAGTGTTGATTATAAAGTAATCTTTCTGATGATTCAGAATATGTTCACATTAACCAGGCTCATATTATTTCTGACATGAAACACAAGCATTTTTCAATCTTACCACTCATGTACTACTGAGAATATGGTCTGTAGATCCCTAAGCTGAGAACATTGATCTGTAAGGTTATTGGGGGTTTTAAATGACATGACATTGTTTAAAGAGCTTAGCACAATACCTGAGTAAGTGCTCAATAACTTTTAGTTTCCTTCCCTTCCCTTTTCACTTTATAGATTAGAGTTTCATAGTCCACTGTGAGCATTAATTTGTCCAGCTCTGCCTTCAGGTGGAACATCTGTATAAATCCAGCTTTGTGAGTATTTTTAAACTGAGAGATTTCCCATCTGTTTTGGAGTTATAGCAGCCCACATTAGCCTCACTTGAGCTCTTAATGATATATGTGTGATGAAAACAAGACGTTTTAATATGTAAGTATTCATAGCCTCCTTCATTCCTGTCTGTGCAGATTCTACCCCTCCCCCCACAGTCTTAGGAATTCTTTCTTTGCCAGTCTAGTTCTTGGTATTTTTGTAATGCAAAATTAGGAGGCAGGGAGAGCAACTGGGCCAGAGATGCCTGAAGAAAAGGGAAAGGATTTTTGCTTTCTGGGTCGGCCCTGGGTTCTCTATTGTGCAGAATCCAGGTAATGAGCAAAGCAGAGATGAAACTATAAAAAGAAGCCTAATTCCAAATTGATATAAATAAGAAAGATTTTGAGGTGGAGGCAGGAGGAAGAAGACAGAAAAGCCATGCTAGATTGATGTTGGGAGAATTTGGAAAGTTTAGGGAGAGTCTGCAACAAATATGGAGCTTGTGGAAGAGAGATGATATTTCCGAAAGTATTTTTGTGGGTTATAACACAGATCCCCTTTAAAACTGAGAAATACACATAAAATATTAAAATTCCTTCTAAGTTACTGCTATGGTTTGAGTGTTTGCACCCTCCCAAACTCATGTCAAAATTTATTTCCCATTGTAACAGTAAAGGGTTGAGACCTTTAAGAGGTGATTAGGCCATGAGGGCTCTGACCTCATGAATGGATGGATTAATGGCATTTTCTTAGAAGTGGGCTTTTATAAAAGGATGAATTTGCCTCTTCTGGTTCTAATGCTCTTTAGTTCTTTCTGTGCGTGTCTCTTTCTCCCATATGATGCCTTCTGCCATTGTATGACACAGCAAAAAAGCCCTTGCCAGATGCCACTCCATCTTGGACTTCCCAGGCTCTAAAACCATGAGCCAATAAATTTCTGTTCACCATAAATTACCCAGTCTGTGCTATTCGACTTTAGCAGCACAAAATTGACCAAGTTACTTTTGGCTGCTGGAGTCTAGATTTCCTCAGATGAGACAATATACTAAGACCTATTCATATGAACAATCCCTCTACACACACACACACACACACACACACTCACTCCACACACACATACTCTTTGTATTTGGATTATATACAGTCCTTCCTAACTAAACAGCATCAGGATTACATATTTATTACTATATAAAGTTTGACAAAATTACCAGGTTCATTTTCTGGAGTGTGTTCTGTGTATTTAGTTTAAGATTTTCATATAAACATTCTTTCCAAGAATGGAAAGTTAATAATATTTATATCACTTGTGTTTCACTGTTTGTCCGACTTCAAAATGCATTTTGAAACTTTTAGGCAAGTTTATACACACACACAGAGTCACACAGTGTGGAAGATAGCTAATTTATCCCCAGGTCCCCCTCCCTCTAGCCCACATAGCTAGAGACTGCATTCTCAGCCTCCCTTGCAGGTCGTTGGCCATTGGACTAGGTTTGTGCCAGTGGAAAGTGAGCAGAAGTGACTGTGCAAGTTCTGCTGCAGGTGCTTAAGAGAAAATTGCTTGCTCTCTAGATTCATTTATTATCCCTTTCTGGTAGGCTAAATTATGGATGATAACCTGAGCCAGTTTCAACCATCTGGATGAGAACAATATCATAGGAGCAATAACATAGAAGGAAGCCAGGTCCTGACTCAATCTTTTGCCCATCCAAGCTGGTTAACCACTTCTTTCCAGACTGTGTGAGAGAGAAGTACACTTCTATTATGTTTGAACCAGTGATGTATAGAAGTATCTGCTATTGCAGTTTAGCCTACACCATAATCAATACACCTAGAAAATGTTGCTTTCAATGCGACAAAACCAAAAATACTCAAGTGGGACTTAACTAAACTAAAAATGCTTCTGCAAAGCCACATAAATAATCCACAGAGTAAACAGAAAACCTGTAGAATGGGAGAAAATATTTGCAAATTATGCCTCTGCAAAAAAACACTAATATCCAGAATCTACAAGACACTCAAACCACTCAACAACAACAAATAACCCCATTAAAAAGGGGGCAAAAAACCATCAACAGACATTTCTCAAAAGAAGATATGCAAGCAGCCAACAAACAATTGAAAACTTGATCAACATCCACTAATCATCAGAGAAATGCAAATTAAAACCACGAGATACTATCTAATACCAGTCAGAATGGCTATAATTAAAAAGTCAAAAAACAACAGATGTTGGTGTAGATGCAGAGAAATTGCATTCACAATTTGCAATTAGGAGAAATGTAAACTAGTACAGCCTCTATATAAAATGGCATGGAGATTCCTCAAAGAACTAAAAATAGAGCTACCACTCAACCCTGCAATCCCACTACTGTATATCTACCCAAAGGAAAAGAGACGATTATATTAAAAAGACTTCTGCACTCATATACTTATTACAACACCATTTACAATAGCAAAGGCATGAAATCAACCTAAGTGCTCATCAATGGATGACTAGATAAAGAAAATGTATATATACACCATGGAATAGTATACAGCCATAAAAAGAGAATAAAATCATGTCTTTTGCTACAACATGGATGAAGCAGGAGGTCATTATCCTAAATGAAATAACTCAGAAACAGAAAATCAAATAATGCGTGTTTTCACTTATAAGTGGAAGCTCAATGATGTGTACACATGGACATAAAAAATGGAAACCATAGACACTAATAATAGTGAGATCTGGGCTCAAACTTCACCATTACTCAATATACACAGGTAGCAAACCTGCATGTGTGCCTCCCGAATCTAAAATAATTTTTTTAAAAAAGAAAATGTTGCTTTCAATTTAAGGAGTTATTGACTAATGGACAATATAACATATATACTCTTCTCTGTATTGTGCAAAAATAAAATCTTTTACAGTAAAAAAATCATTGGAGGTCATGTTTGGAAATTACTATTCACTGATAGGAAAATTAATCTCTTTCTGTACAGTTATGTTGTGATTAAAGTTGAGATGGTCAAAACTAGAGCAAACAAGAGTTGCTAGAGCAACTAGAGCAAACAAACTGGTAGATGCACTATGTTATAGCAGTCATTCACTTACTTATAAAAAACACTGAAAAAATTTCAACTTCTAGTCCAGCATATTCAGAGCTCGGATGTCATCTCTCTTGGGAAAATAAGCTCCACAAACTGAAAACCAGCAACTCTTCTTAGATCCATCATAGAACTGAGATCACAAGGCAAAAACACTGCCCTCAAAATTGGAGAGATAGACAGGTGGATACAGAGAATTCCATCACACGAGGGAGGAAATTCAAGCAGAAACCTCCCTGGGCACCAGAACCAGGGTAGGAAAGCCTAAGTATAATTGACAAATTGCTGGAGGCTCAGTCTGGACAAGTTTGAGAATTAAAAACTCCTGGGGACCTGGTCTTAGAAGGAATGGGGAGCACTTTCAGGAATTTTACCTCTAAGAGCACTCAAGTTTCTCACAGTTAACATCTCAGAAAAAACTCCTCCTGCTTCCAGCAGGGTGTGAGGAAAGTAGCCATTGTGAAATAACACACAGCAAAGACAACCCCAAAGAGAAACTACTTTGTGAGAGCCTAACCTACTGAGGTTTTTCTAAACCCCAAATGATGTAGAGGAAAGGAAATCTCCAACTCCAGCCCCATCTAACCTTCCTGTCTAACCACGGCGTGGTGGTGGTGGGGGACATGAGAAGCACTTGTGAAAGTCGCAGCCCAGGGGCACAGGCTCATTTCAAGACTGAGACCTCCCCCACAGGACTAGAGGAAGCCTCCCCTCTCGACTCCTTATCTTCACACCAGTTGGGCTCCAGTATCACACAGGGGAATACAACTGAAAGAAGTGAGAGTCTCAGATGATATTTCAAGTGTAAGTCTCTAAGGGAAACCTGGAAAATACTGAGTGCCCACTATATACCAGCCAATAGCTTATCTGCCAAAGATACAGTGGTGTTAAACAAAAGCTGTCCTTTCATTGAGCTTACGTGGTAGTAGAGAAAAAAAGACCATAAACAACATAATTTCAATTAGAGGTAAGCGGTATGCAGAGACTAAGAGAAGGGAAGGCCTGGCCAGGCACAGTGGTTCATGCCTGTAATCCCAGTGCTTTGGGAGGCTGAGGTGGGAGGATTGCTTGAGGCCTGGAGTTCAAAACCAGCCTGGGCTGCATAGAGAGACTCCATTTCTATAAAAAAAAATTAAAAATTTTGGGCATAGTGGTGCATGTCTGTAGTCCTAGCTATTGGGAGTGGGGGCTGAGGTGGTAGGATCGCTTGAGCCCAGGTGTTGGAAGCTGCAGTGATCTATGATCACACCACTGAATTCCAGCTTGGGCAACAGAGCAAGGTCCTGTAGAAAGAAAGAAAAAGGAAAGAAGGAAAGAAGGACGGAAGGAAGGAGGGAAGGAACAAAGGAAGGAAGGAAAAAAGGAAGGAAGGAAAAGGGAGAGAGAAAGAAAGAGAGAGAAAGAGGGAGAAAGAAAGAAAGAAAGAGAAAAGAAAGAAGAAAGAAAAAAGAAAGAAAGAAGAAGGAAAAAGAAAGAAAGAAGAAAAGGAAGGCGGGGAGGAAGGAAGGAAGGAAGGAAAAGAAGGAAGGAAAGAAGGAAGGAAGAAAGAAAGAGAAAAAAGAAAGAAGGAAAGAAAGAAGAAGGGAGGGAAGGAGGGAGGGAGGGAAGGAAGGAGAAAGGGAGAAGTGAAGGAGGGAAGGAAGGAGAAAGGGAGAAGTGAAGGAGGAAACGAAGGAGAGAAGGAGGGAGGGAAGGAAAGGAAAGACAGAAAGAGAAAGAAAGGAAGGAGGGAGAGAAGAAGGGAGGGAGGGAAGGAGGGAAGAGAGTAAGAGAGAAAGAGAAAATGGAAGGAAAGAAGGAAGGAAGGAAGGCCTGGAAAGCAATGGGGGAAGAGGGGCACAGCTATTTTAGGTAAGATGGTCAGGGACTATCTCCCTGAGAAGGTGGCTTCTGCACTAAGGCCTGAATGAATTAGAAGCTCAATTTGCAAAAACAGAATATACATTCAGTCCTGTCATCTTTTTGCTCCTGATCCTTGAGGCATGCATGAACAAGCACAGACCCCAGAGAAGTTGACAGAAACATTGTCCAATACTCAATGTATCAGGAAGATCAAGCCCTTGATATCAGATACCTACAATTATTATAGTGTTCATGTTGGATGAGCCAAAAAAGTCATCAAATCTTGGGAGACCTGTGTCAAAAGTCTGTGGCCAAAATTTCCCCCCAAAAAAGGCTGTTAATCTTTTCTCAAAGAAGTCCTTCTGAACTTCGTGACCTTTGTTGAGATTGCCTTTCATGGGCTGATGGGTTTATTACACTGTGTGATGATCATGTTTTTTATAAAATAAAATGTTCTGTGACTAGTTAATACATCTTCCTATTTATTTGAATAATGTGACTTTATTTTATCAAATAAATAAATAAATAATTTATCAAAATAAATTTTGATATGCTAATCACATATTCTATTCCTAGCTGATTAAGTGTAGTGTCTGTAGTCATTTTTATTTCAGAAGTTGGACTTTTAGTCAACACCCTTAGTCCCTAGATTAACATTTTTTCTTTGGAAAAGTCAGATTCAAATTCTATCAAATTATATCACTTTAGCAAACATTGCTCTTTCCAGAAAATTAGACTGGATTTTATATATAATAATTTAAAATTCTGAAAACAATGGTTTTCATGCTGTTTCTGAGCAGTGGAGGTTCTATCTGTGAAACATAAATTCAATAGTGTTCTCCATGAAGTGTGATGGACGATCAGCACATTCCTTCACCATCCCAATGACAGAATTAATTTCTGTCCTTCCTGGATGTATTAGTCTGTTCTCACACTGCAAATAAAGACATACCTGAGACTGGATAATTTATAAAGAAAAAGAGGTTGAATTGACTCACAGTTCCACATGGCTGGGGAGACCTCACAATCATGGTGGAAGGCGAAAGGCACATCTTACGTGGCGGCAGGCAAGAGAGAGAATGAAAGACTTATCCACAACCATGAGAACAGTATGGAGGAAACCACCCCCATGATTCAATTATCTCCCACCAGGTCCCTCCCACAACACGTGGGAATTATGGGAGCTACAATTCAAGATGAGATGTGGGTGGGAACACAGAGCCAAACCATATCACTGGATTTACATGTAACTGGAATATTCATTTTTTATACAGTCTTCTATATTCCAAAACCAGAAGAGAGGGTATTTTAGAAGGCTAACACAACGGTTTACAAACTCTTCCCTAGAAATAGTTGTCCGGAGTTGCCTTAGGAGGTGTGTAGAAAGTAGGGGAAAAAAATCAAAGCAGAGAGAGGCTGGAGTTTGTGATATGGGAGATGGTGACTGGGCAGGACCTCTAGGCTCATATTAGCAAGAGAAATAGGCTATGTGGGGATCACATATGATCTCAGTGGCTTCACACCACAAATGCTATTTCTTGCTCCACAAACACCAGTGCAGACCAAAAAGCCTTCTCTTTCATCTGGTAAACCCATCTGCCACCATTGTATGACGCCACTATATATTAAAGACTGCTGTTGCTGCAATAAGAAAGCAGAAATGGAGGGTCCATGGAGGATTTTAGGGCCAGCTTGGAGGTGGCAGTCTCCACTGGCCAGAATGCAATCACATGGCCCCTGTCTAACTTCCAAGGATCCCAGGAAACCTCAGGAAGCACCTGGGATCCGCAGCAAGTACAAATGATTTCTGCCACAAGACCTGACCCCCACTCCAACAAGAGCAGTGATTTGTGTATTTCTTTACTTGTATGTAATATTTCCAAGGGGGATTTTATTTGAAGAGTTTCCTGGCTCAAAAGAAAAACATGTGTTAAGGCACCAATCTAATAATAAAAATGACTATTTCAAATCTAAGATGGCACAATTTAGGTATACTTCGGAGAATATAAAATTGGTGCTTTCATGGTTTGATCAAGTTGAGGGAGATTGATGGTAACAGAGTGATGTACTGACTTGTCAGAATCAAGAAAAAAGAGGTTGGGCATGGTGGTTCATGCCTGTAGTCCTAGTGCTTTGGGAGGCTGAGGCAGGAGGATTGCTTGAACCCAGGAGTTCAAGACCAGCCTGGGCAACATAGCAAGACCCCATCTCCACCAAAAAAAAAAATTGGCTGGACATGGTGGTATGTGCCTGTAATTCTAGCTACTCAGGAGGCTGAGAGGAGAAAACTGCCTGGGTCCAGGTGTTTGGGGCTACAGTGAGCCATGATCCCCCCACTGTGGTACAGCCTGGACAACAAAGCAAGATCTTGTCTCTACAAGAAAATAAAATAAATCTTAAAAAAGAAAGAAGACATCATCACATATATAGAAGTCGAATTTATGTGAATATGAATGCCCATCATCCATTCCAATCTTTTTTAGCCTTCTCGTCTGACAGAGGCTGGAAAACTCTGGTCTGTGTTTCCAAAACTCCTTTGCAGCTTGGATTCTGAAAGTGATTGATCTGACAAATCAAATGCATTCCATGTGCAATACAGCATTTGGAAGTACGGTGGAGGCCTCACCTCTGTGGTTTTCTATTTCTTTCAGCAGTCCATCTCATGGAGACATTTCAGGTTTTTGTTCCAGAATTAGCAGACTTTCTGGTGTCCACATACAAGAGTCCCATGGGTGTCAGAGGTGAGGTGCAGGCCATCAGTGCTGTTGATGGGAATCACAGTCCTGGCACCAGCAGCAGTAGTGGTTTCTTGATCACAGCACTTCCTGAATGAGGCACAGTGGGGTGGTGCTCTGGAGCTCTGAAAGAGACAGAAGCTCTTTCAGTACTTCTGCTCTGCAATGTACTTAGGAAGTCATTTCTGAAAACCTGGAACTGAGGGGTTAACCTGATCAGGTCTGCCAGATGTAGCAACCCTCTTGCTTTTGGTCACTTTTATTTCCATGAATCTGAAGGCCGTGAGCTGAATGCTGCAATGTCACCTTCACTGGCCACCTTATCGACAACACTTATAAGTCACCATGGTAATGGTCACTTCAGTTGTTTTTCAGGAACTTGGGACAGCTCCTATCCAGTTCAAACTTGTTGAGAGCACCCTTCAACTGGGCCCGTGCAAATGCCCAAGAGCTGACATTTTGACATGAGAGGACCCAAAACTCTACCTATAGATCATGCTAATAATGCCATTTTCTGAACATATGTCCCATGAAATGCCAGGCACCCTGACTACGCTTGTGCAGATCACTGATTACTTCAATTTTCCCTACTACCAATCACCTTTTCCCACGCTTTAGACCACGTTGCTTTTCTAACCCATAAATATCCCTAAGCCTCATCTTCAAGGAGGTGGATTTGAGACCTGCTCTCCCACCTCCTCGTTTGGCTGCCTTGTGAATAAACTCTCTTTTGCAAAACATGTGTCACAGTGATTGATTTAGTGTGTTTGGGCAGAAGGGAGCTGGACCAGGTTGATACCAAATCTACTCAGAGTTTACTAATTTAGCACTTCCCTTCTTCCTGCTCTTATGCTCCTAATGATTTTCCATGTCATTTAATGTCCCGTAATCAATCTTTTCCTCATTGAACTAGCTAGAATGGATTCCGTTTGCACCAATTAAGCCCTAACTGTTACAAGACCCACATGTGGGACAATTATAAATCGTATCTTGATAAAAAGAAAACGAAAATGGTAGCAATATGTGGGAACATCTTGGTAACTTGCTTAAATGATCTCCTTCATCCTGTACCAGGCTAAATGCCACTGTTGTGCAGGCCCTGCTTCTTAGCATTTTGTAGAAGCTGCTGGATTTCATAAATTAGCTGAACTTGGCCAAAGATGAAAGATGAGAAGAAAATGGCCCCAAAAATGTGACAGAGGTGGCTGGGCATAGTGGCTTTCACCTGTAATCCCAGCACTTTGGGAGGCCGAGGTGGGTAGGTCACCTGAGGTCAGGCATCCAAGACCAGCTTGGCCAACATGGCGAAACCCCGTCTCTACTAAAAATACAAAAATTAGCGGGATGTGGTGGTGTATGCCTGTAGTCCCGGCTACTCAGGAGGCTGAGGCAGGAGAATCGCTTAAACCCAGGAGGCAGAGGTTGCAGTGAGCCTAGATTGTGCCATTGCACTCCAGCCTCGGTGACAAAAGCAAAACTCTGCCTCAAAAAAAAAAAAAAAAGAAAGAAAAAAGAAATGTGACAGAGACTTTCCCTCCTTTTTTTCCATTGCGGAGATCAGCAAACACTTTCTGTAAAAAGGCCAGACAGAAAATATTTTAGGCTTCATGGGCTGTGTGATCTCTTTAGGGACTACTTAGCTCTACAATTGTAGTATGACAGCAGCCATAGATATTCTATACACAGGTCTGGCTATGTCATCCTAATAAAACTTTATTTACAAAAATAGGCAGTGAGCCAGATTGGGCTTGCAGATCATAGTTTGCTGATCGCTCTTCTATAGTAATAGTGTCCTTTATTTGCAGATAGGAACATGGCCACCTGGAATAAAGACTGCATTTCCCAGCCTTTCTTGCAGCTAGGTGTGGCCAAGTGGTTAACTGTGATCTATAAGATGGGAAAAGTAGTGTGAGCAACTCCTAGGAAAGGCCATTAAAAAGTGGTGGGAACGAGGAAGCGTGCACTTCTATTTCCCGTTCGTTCTCCTTTTCTCCTGGTTGGAATGTGGTCATAGTGGCTGAAACCCGGGCAGCCATTTTAGACTAGATAATGCTCTCAAGACAGAAAGCCTTGCGTTGGGGAAGCAACAAAATAGAAAGCGACTAGATCCTTGACATGTAGGAATGTCAGGTGGATTTCTTGAACGTGAGAAGAAAGTGAGCAACCATGTTGTTTAAACTATGTTGATTTGGAGTTTTTCTGTTATGGCCAAACAATCTTAACAGATCAGGCAAAACTTCAAAAAGCATAGTAAATGAATGAGGACTGCTAAGTACATAATTTTTGCTGGATTAATAAATGACTGTGAATTGAAGTATGCACTACATGAAATAAGGCTATTGGGACTTGTCTCAAAGATCTAAATGTCAACCTGAAGTACAAAATGCAAAAAGGTATTTGGTTTATATATTTGCAATACCAAATTTCAGCATATGAAGTATCTTCGTAGACAGTTATTTGGTATTTTCATGATATAAAATAGAGAAAACTAAACCTTATTAAAGAGGATTAAAATAAGTCTAAATCTAGTTGTAAAATGTGGATTAAAAATTTATAACCAGGGGCTTGGCACAGTGGCTCATTTCTGTAATTCCTGCCAAGGCCAGAGGATTGCTTGAGGCCAGGACTTGGACACCAGCCTGGGCAACATAGACAGACCCTGTCTCTACAGAGAAAGAATTTAAAATTTGCTGGGGATGATGGGTGCACCTGTACTCCTAGTCACCCAGAAGGCTGAGGCAGGAGGATCCCTTGAGCCCAGGAGTTCGAGGCTGCAGTGAGCTATGATGGCACCACTTGCATTCCAGCCTGGGAGAGAGTGAGACTCTGTCTCTAAAAATAAAGGATTAAAAAATTGTAATTAAAACACTCAGCAATTGTATGCTAAACTACCAACATAGTGTTCAGATTTATATCCATGTTCTAGTCACTGTGCTACAGAAATAGCTTCCTAACTAGTCATACAAATATTTCTCTATACCAAATAAATCATCCCATAGAGGTAGTTTTTCTAATCCCTGTCCATGCCCTTACCCCTCTCTATAATGAGTGTATCTCATTGGGTTCTATTTGTTTTTCTAAGTTAAGAAGAGAAAGACGAAACTAAGCTATAGCTGAGGGTTTCTAAAGAAACAAATTATGTTGTGTGTATTTAAGGTATACAATATGATGTTATGGGATACATATACAGAGTAAAAAGGTTAATATAGTGAAACAAATTAACAAACATGTCTATCAACTCACATAGTTATTCACCTTTTTATTTGTTTTTGTGGCAGGAGCAGCTAAAATCTACTCATTTAGCATAAATCTTAAATACAGTAGAATTGTATTTCCTATAATCCTCATCTTGTACATTAGATCTCTAGACTTGTTTATGCTACATATCTGCTACTTTATATTCTCCGACCCACATGTCCCCATTTCTTCTCCTCTCCCTGACCCCTGCTAACCATTGTTGTATGCTCCATCTCTGTAAATTTGAAATTTTTTTAGATTCCACATATAAGTAAGATTATGCAATATTTTTCTTTCTGTACCTGGAGAATTTCACTTAACATAATATCCTCCAGGCCCATCCGTGTTGTGGCAAATGGCAAGATCTGGTTCTTTTTTAGGGCTGAACAATACTCCATTCTGTATATAAACCACCGTACACTCTTGCTATTCAAAGTGTGGTCCTTGGGCCATCAGCCCTACCTAGGAGCTTGTTAGGAATGCAGAATCTCTGGCCACACAGTATCAGAATCTGGTTTTAATAAGATCCCAAGGCGAATTGCACGCAAGTTAAAGTTTGAGAATATTTGAGAATACTGCTTTTCAATTCTTCTGTACTGACATCAAGCAACAAATACCCTTTAACTTCTCTCAGCTCTTTCAATCTCAAAAATACTAGTCACCTAAATAAAATGTTTCTGTACTTCTAAACTACCCACCAAGCACCAAAACAAAAAAAGGACTAAAATTAAAACATAGGTCTCATAGCATCACCTATTTTCCTGTTGGGGGAAAACAGAATATGTTTTCATTTCAAAGCACTTCTTTTTCCTAGGAAGCATCTAGGATTAGGCTCATCTCTGATCCTCAGCTGAAGACGAAGAAAGAGATTCTAGTGATAAATTCTAACAATCAGATGCCATATCTGTAGAATCTCTTAGGGATCCTACAGAGTCTGTTAAATTCTGATAAATAAAACTAATAGTTTTATTTATTGAGATATCAATTTTATTACAGGTCTGCAATAATAGGTTATTATTTAATACTATTTCCACTACATATATGTCAGTTTCATATCATTTCAAGAATATAAAAACTTGTATTACAAAGTAGAAATTGTATTTTTCCCTCCAGAGAAAATCTCTACTTGCAGTCCTGCTTGGTTAATACATCCAAATCTATGCTTCAGGTATTTGGAGGACAGCCGCAAATGTAACTACAAGTTTAAAATGTAAACTTTGAAGAAAAGTTTACAGCTTCTAGAATTAAAATACTGAAAAGAAAAGTAAAAACAATTTCTAACCTTTTGTCAAAGAATGATATTCCCCTTTTGGGGATATTTTTAAATATATTGGGTAGAATTCCATGATGGCTTAATTATGGCCTTGACTAAATGTGGAAAGATAGATTCTATTGGCTTCTCAAGGTCTCTTTTCAATGAATAGTCTCTGTACAAATAGCATTTGCTATAAATAAAATTTCACAGTGAAAATCAACCCAAGCACATTGTACCTTATACCATTTTATTTTCTAAACTTTGGCTGAAATATTCAGAAGTATTGGCAACTATATTACTTCTTTGGAAGAAAAACTAGGTAGTGAGATTCTTGGGCCCTTTTATGCTGGGAGTTTTAAAGAATTTTAGTACATTCCTGCTAACTCTTAGAACTCACATCCTATGTATTTAAAAAGTTATTTTCCTGCCATTTTGACATATCAGCTCATATCTGAATTAAAGGCCTGTTTAAATGTCTAGGTCAAGAGCAGGAAGATTCATTAGAGATCTGTTGGTTGAATCCTGTATGGTTTCGTATCTGGCAATTTTAGGGACCAATTGTAGGGACCATCCGTCCCACGTTGCCAAACACTGGAGGGTTTACTGGGACACATGATTTTCAGTGCTAACATTGAGACAGTTGGTCACGCTACAATTTAGCAATATATTTTTCAGAGTGTGTGTGTATCTGCGTGTGTGTTAGTGAGTGGTTATGGGGTGTGTGTGCTTCTGTGTGTGTGTGTGTGGAGATGCATGGTGTGCGTGTGTGTGTGTTTATGTCTGTAGATGTGTATGTGTGTATAAGCATGTGTGTTCAGATACATTTATTGATATTATTTTTTTCCATGTGTTTAACGTCCTTTTAGAGGATAATGACCAAATATAATACTTTTTCCAATCTATGTGCTATGTGTGCAAGTAAGCCAGTAGTTAGGTATTTATCAACTCATCTTTAAGAAAAGTAAAACCTAAAATTCAGTATTTGCATTTTAAATAAAAAGAAAAATTCTCAAAATAGAGACATCTTGTCTTGACGATGGTATAGGTAACAGTTTTTGAAATGGTGTTTCCTTTCCAGCCTTAATAAACCCATATTTCAGGAGTGAATTCATCTTTAATTATGCAAGGCCGATAGACAGAGCCTTATATGCTGCCATTAGACGAGGACATTCTCTGGGCTGAGTGGCTTATCATGTGTAACAAAAGACATTCTCACCTTCTTGTCAATTCATTTTTTTTAAGTGTTCATAAAATTGTGAAGTTGACTGTATCTGCTTCTTTTAAATAACACTTCAGTGTAAAAACAACTGATGCTGAGTTGTTCAACTTATAACTTCTTAGATCCAAAATGTTGTCAGGATGAAGTGGCAGGTTTTACAAAGCCAATAAACTCTGTGATTTTTCTTAGATGGAAACAATGAAAATCCATAACTGAATAATGATATTCAAAAAGGAGAAAGCCCCCCCCCCACATACACATTTGAGGCAGTTATTAATTAAGCTCCTTATTCTAAAAATATATGTCTAATGGGAAAACTTTAACACTTATCCTGCTTTTCCAGTAAGACTATATTTCAGGACAACCAAAAAACACCATTTCATCTAGTGGGGTTTTATAAGAGAATATCATCTATGAAGAGAGATAAAAAACTGAATGCTATGATAATCATTGTCAATCCCTAATGAAATTATTGACCCAGGCAAGAATTATCAACTAGTGTTGGAAGCAACTTTAAGTTGGAATTCAACTTAAAAAGATGAATGGGCAATCAGACATTTGCAGAGTACCAAAGTAGTGCCAAAGCTTTCTTGCTAGTCACAGGTGAGAAATGTAAGTGTACAATAGAGGGACTAGGTTTTCATCACCGAAATCCAGTGGTCAAGTTTAACGTCACTTATGGTGCAACCATTAAATATCATGTCTCCTGCTGTGACACACAATAAAATGCAAACCACCACCTGTGACATATTCTACGAAAATGCTCAATGTGAATCCAGCAAACTTTCAAATCTAACTTCTGTTTATGGAAAGCAGAGGGCATGAGGGAAAGTCAAATAACAGTACCAGAAAGCACGCAGACAAACGAAGAAGGTGGAGGATTCTGTGGGGTCATTGGTCCAGCCCATCCAACAAGTCAGTGTGTAATGAAAAAACATTAGGGATGGTGATTGATTAGGAAAAAACTTGGAGGCAATACAACTAGATTCAAGATGTGGGCCTAGATTTGACTCTAGTTTGGACAGACTGGTTCTGAAGGGTGCTTTGAAGACAATGAAGATTTCAAATATGGGTAGATTATAACATAAAAATGTATTTAACTTTAAAGCTAAAGCTCATTAATATAGAAAATCACGTTACAAAATAAGTTGCAAAGTATTATCTTGTTTATATTAAAATATAAATATATGTAAATTATCTAAACGAATCATTCAAATAGTTTTAGCAGAAATAATCCCTGGGTGGTAGGAATATGGTGCTTTTGTTTTCTTAATTTTGCTTATCTTATTTTCTAGCTTTCTTATTGCACAGATATAGCTTTTGTAACAATAAGTTGTATTTATTGGTTAAGAAACTAAAAGAATTGTGTGCTGAGGGTGGGAGTGCCACAGTTCAATGACATTAGGGTTTTAGACCTTTCTGAGACCTAGCGCTGATCGCTGCAATCATTTTTGATGACTTTAACTAGAGAATTTGGATTAGGAGACCAGAGCTGAGTTATAATCAGCCGGTCCAGAGCCAGGTCAGCACTTTAACTCTTCGTGTCCACAACTGAAGTTGTCAACATAGCCCAGATTTGCTGGACTCTTGGCTTTTATATGACCTCGAGCTCAGATTTTCATCTGGAAAGGATTAATAATGAGACTGTGTGCTTAGGGTGTTGCATTACATGAAAAGACACACATGAGAGCCCTAGAACAATGCCTAGCATCTGAGAGCTCCATCAATATCAGCTCTTGTTCCTGTGATTGTTCTCTCTCACAGTGAAGGATTCCATTGTCCCCTGTGTCACTTAGGGCTGCAGGCCATCCTGGAGGCTACCTTGCTCCTCCCACAATGACCCGGTGGCATCTGTGGCTGCTCCATTCTTATAGGAAGAAAACCAAAATAATGGACATAAGATACAGGACTTCCATCATCTAGCATTTGCCCATTTATTGTCAGTCTTCTCATTTCACTTTCCGTTATGCATCCTAAGCTTCAGCCTTAAGCCACAATAATTTGTTCACCTTCTTGAGGATGTGACTATCATCCTCAAGGATATCTACTTTATAGTTACATAAAAGCAAAACACATATAAAACACTCTTCATCTGCCCCCTTCAGGTAAAGATGACATTTAACAGTAATTGAGAAACTAACTGCCTTCCAAAAGACACTTAGGATTTAGAAATGTACCTGTCATTGTATGATTTTGTTTCTGAAAATAACTTGTATTATCTATTGAAAAACTGATTCTACTTAAAAACTTGGAAAAGGAATTTTCAAATCTACTTTAAAATCTCTTTAAAAGTTGCAGGGAATATGATAGTCATTTTTTTAAAATAAAAGTGCCACACTTTCTGACTAATTTATAAGAAGAACTGATTGATATCAAGGAAGGCTTAAAAGCATAATCTCAAGCAAGCCCCTTTGTATAATTTGTGGATGGGGCAGTAAATATAGTCAGAAATCCACCTCTTCTGTATGAATCTATGTCTTGTCCTGAGATATCTGGGATTTTAGGGATGGCAGTAGTATGAAAAATGAAAAAAAAAGGATGCTAATGAGCAACATGAAAGTTTAGAACTTACTGGTAAATGTTAAGTACATAGTCAAATTCAGAATACTCTAATACTGTGATGGTGGTATGTAAATTATGTATATCTTTAGTATGCAGGTTAAAAGACAAAATTATTAAAAATAACAATAGCTATAACAATTTGTGAAGGGATACATAACATAAAAATATGTAAATTGTGACACCACAAATGTAAAATGGGGAGAGTAAAAGTGTAGAGTTTTTATGAAATCAAAGTTGTTTAAAACCAAAAACTGACAAACGGGATCTTATTAAACTAAAGAGCTTCTGCACAGCAAAAGAAACCATCAAAAGAGTAAACAGACAACCTACAGAATGGGAGAAAAGTTTGGCAAACTATGCATCTGACAAAGGTCTAGTATCCAGCATCTGTAAGGAACTTAAACCAATTTACAAGAAAAAAAATAACCTTATTAAAAAGTGGGCAAAAAGCATGAACACTTTTCAAAAGAAGACATATATGCAGCCAAGAAGCATATGAAAAAAGCTCAACATCACTAATCATTAGAGAAATGCAAATCAAAACCACAATGAGATACCATCTCACACCAGTCAGAATGGCTATTACTAAAAAGTCAAAAAATAACAGATGCTTGTGAGGTCGTGGAGAAAAAGGAACACTTCTACACTGTTGGTGGGAGTGTAAATTAGTTCAACCATTGTGGAAAACAGTGTGACTATTTTTTAAGTATGAAGCAATTCAAATTACATTGCTTTCACTAAAAATAGCCTTGTTGATAATATTAATAATTATTTATTGACATAACATTTTGGTGGGAACAAAAACATATTTGTGTCATTAATAGAAAAAATTATTTAAAAATATTGTTTATTTCATTGTTGCCTCTTTAAAAACCTTTCCATTTTTGCATGTTTTACAATTTACAAAATATATTAGCCCAATTGTACATCTATACCAACCATTACCAGTAAACGACTATATATGTATTAGAGAAGCCTGCCCTAAATATTTTTTAGTGATGAGTGTACAATCAAAAAAGTTTGAAGGCCATTGCTCCAGACCAATTTTCCGCAGTGTACGGTTTGAGAAATATCTGTATCAGTACCATTATAGAGCCTGAAGCCCAGAAAACCTGACTTTGAGCATCTATAGTTGGGATGTGGAACCTGCATTTCTAACAAGTACCCCAATGCTTAAGGTGATTCAACAGCTTGAAAAGCCTAGCATTGAGGGAAATAAAAAGCATTCCATAGAGACCACGAGTGCCTAGGAATAAGGCATTCTACTGACAGCCATAGGCTATATACAGTGTCCATAGTCAGCAGTCTCCTTATTAGTCTTACTGAATTTGCAAGACCAACCTTAAGTGTATAAACTTCTTAGCCTCAGCAAAGAAATTATTTCCTAAAGGAAGATTCTGCAATAATTGCCCCTGTAAAAAATGTATGTTACCCACATGGGGCTTTATAGGGACTGCTATGGGTTGAATGTGTCCTCTCAAATTCATATATTGAAACTTATTCTCCAATTCGATAAACTAAATTAGTCCTCTCAAATTCATATATTGAAACTTAATTGCCAGTGTGATAACATTAAGATAAGTGGAGCACTTAGGAGGTGATTAAGTCATGAGGGTGGAGCTTATTTCCTAATTAAGGCCTTGAGTGAGTAGGTTCATTCCCTTCCCATTCTTCTGCCATGTGAGATGCAGCAAGAAGGCCCTCACCAGACACCAGATGCTAGCACCCTGATCTTGGACTTTCCAGCCTCCAGAACTGTAAAAAAGAAATTTCTATTCTTTATAAATTATCCAGACTCAGGTATTTTGTTATAACAGCACAAAAGAACTAAGACAGTGGCCCTGCCATTGCTATTCCAGAGGCTGAATTATGTGTTAATCATTGTGGGATCATCAGAGGATAAACTCATGAAAGGCTTCAGTTAGTGCAATTTCTTTTTCATTAATGAGATGGCCAAGTTTAATAATTTTTAAAAAAATGAGTAGATAAAGAAACACTTCGAATGACCACACCACTCTTAAACCCAGGCAAAGGGCTACTGCCCTGAATCCTTCTTTTAAAAGGCCTGCATCACACACACACACACACACACACACACACACACACACACACTGTCATTTGGGATTGCGTGCTTAACAGGGCATAGTGCAACTCTAAACCTAAATGTCTGCTCTTGTGACAACATCATTCAGGCCCACGGAAATTCTTCTACACATTGTTTGCTTTATGTCCTCAAAGTAAAAGGTGATCACATCCAAATGTTGTAAAGGTTTGGGTTGCACAGCTGAGAACACTGGAGGTGAACACTGCAGGTGAACACTGCTTCTGAGAGCTGGGAGAAAAGACCAATTAATCAACTCAACAGACCCTTCTTTTCAGAGAGCATGAATGCAATATATCTTTGCCTTATGCAGTATTGTTTCCCAGTAGTGCCTGGTATCATTTTTTTTGCTCATCCAGCAACTGGTTGTGAAGGTATTCAATATTTAGCAAAGCTTTGCAATAGTTGCAACTGGTAGCAAAAGAATGTTTTGCAATATTAAACAATTCATATCACACTTAAATCAGTAATTGTATAAATTTTGACAAATAACTCATGAAATCTGATATCAATACTTTGCATTGAAACCAGCCATGTATTGAACACTACCAATGCAAATAATTTGTATAAAGATATTTTAAATTAATTTTCCAAAAATTAAATAAAATTTTAGATTTATTTGAAATTTTATATTCATTAATTGTTTTTCTCTTTTAATTTTATACGTAATTATTTTAGAATAAAAGCATTTCATAAATGATACATGAAAATGAGTTTAATTTTAAAAACCTGCCATATTTATTTTAATATACATTCTTTATAAAAACAAATTCAAGTTTTAAACACTTAATAGAATTGCATTTACTCAGAACACAAATTATTGCAATTATTGAAGTAATTGCAATTACTTCAGAACACAAATTATGAGAAATATTGATTATAATAACTGATTTTTGCTGAAATAAAGACAAGAAAATTAAATTTAATATAATAAATATATTTTATATTTATATTTTATTACTTATCTAAACACTGCAAGCTTAACAGCAAGATATCCAGACATATACAATAACAATTAAATCTAATTGTCTTTAACACTTTTCTAACTAAAGTCCTAACTTTCTATATAGTTTTTGATTTTCCAGAGAGATGGTATGTTCGTCAAGGTAGAAGGACGGGGCATATGTTACTTAAGTGTTTTAGCTTGATTTATAGGGTTTAAATATTTAGACATATGGTACGTGGGTGTCATTGGTACTCTTGCCTTAGGCTCCACAAATGTTAGGGGTAAGCCTGACGACTGTAACAATGAAAACAAGACAAAACAAAACAAAACAGAGACAAAATAACCAAAGAGGATCATGAAGTTGTAGGGCCACTGTCACCTTCTTCTTCAAAGCTACTGGTTTTCACCCCTCTTAGAATAAGCCACTTATAATCATGTCTACTCCCACAAGAAAACAACACTTCAGGGTCGCTGAGGCTATTCCAAAGCCTGTTATTTTTCATTGTCCGGTGGAAAAGATGTTCTCCAGATTTCGAGAACCCTCAGAATACTCAGCAGTAATTGGCTTCTGGGTGTGAGCCCACACATGAAGAAGAACAGGAAGTGGAGCCTTTCTACCATGACGCTGAAGCTGTTGAAATCATCCTATTACAGGTGACACTGACCCTCCACTGCTCCCCACCTAGAAAAAATGTCACATACAGAATGAAAAGTGAACGTATTGGCGTTGAGTTTCTACCTGTGAAGTGAGGAGTCGGAAGGTGTGTAGCTGCATGTTTAGCTGTGCCTACAGTTATGGAGACAAGGGTTTAAGAGTTCTTTCTCTCTACCCTTCCTATATACCTTCAAAGAAGGGGCAGAGTTAAGTGATATAGCACATGAGCTCTAAGGTCTGCCTGACTTGGTTCAAATCCCAGCTCCACTAGTCACCAACTTTGTGACTTACAGTAATCCTATGCCTAGATGTCCTCTTCTACAAAATGGGTACTAAAGTGTGGCTGTGAGAATTACATGAGTTAATTGCTTACAATAGTGTGTGGATTCATAGGAAGTGCTTTGTATGTATTATGTATTTTTAAAATATCCTTTATTATGTCACCATTTATGAGTCTGGAAGAGTAGTATCAGGACATATGTCTTGGGCTGCCTGCTACCGCAGGTCTAAGAAAAAGTTGTGACGTTTGGATATTGCAAGACTTCCCCTATCCTAGACTTCAGGCTGTTTAAATTATACAATTTAGGCCTGGCATGGTGGTTCGTGCTTGCAATCCCAGCAACTTGGGAAGCCGAGGCCAGGAGTTTGAGACCAGTCTGGACAACATAGCAAGATCCCACCTCTACAGAAAAAAAAAAATTAAAAATTAGCTGAGTGTGGTGGTATGTATCTGTAATCCCAGCTACTCGGGAGGCTGAGATGAGAAGATCTCTTGAGTTCAGGAGTTCGAGGATACAGTGAGCTATGATCATGTTACTGTACTACAGCCTGGGCAACAGAGCAAGATCCTATCTCTAACAATTTACATTAATAAATAAATAGTATATAATTAATTGGCCTAATGCCTTTTTCCTTTTCCCTTTCTACTAGCCCAAACTCCTTTCTCAGCAGGATTTATGGTAGCCTACTCCATCAAAGCACTTTTAACAAAGATCAGTGAAAAGCAGAACAAAAAGATGCTCACACCTGCTGCCTGGCCTGAGGTTCCCTGGCCCAGATACTTGGGCAAGAATTAATCTTTCTTGTGCAGAGAATGAGTGGAGCCCCAGGAATGACTTCACTGCCACCCATAACAAGTTTATGCACAGAACACCTCTGTTCCAATCCCTCTCTCCCTTTAGCACTTTTCCAAAACAGGGGTTTTATAAAAGTGGGTTGCAGGGAGGTAGGTTAGATAAAGGCATGCACAGGGAAGAAAAGCCAAAAGCTAACCTCTGTGTGTCTGCCATTACCACATTTTTTTTTCTCAACGGAAGTCCTAAAAATCTTTCTTGAAACCCAGAAGTTTTTGGCATAACATTCAAAACAGCCTGATGTAAGAGGTGAAAATACTGTTTTTCAATCAGGCTCAAATTTCTGAAATAATGCTCTCTTTTTGCATGTTTTCGGGAAGGATGTTGGTAATATGGTTACAAAATTTTTAGCAGACACATAAAATTATCATTCTGTCATCTTTAAGCTCCCTCATGCATTGCTACAGATGACTTATAGATTTACTGGATTCAAGCAATCTTTATATCAGATACCCTAAGGCTTTTTAGATGAGGTATATTTATTTTCCAGTGCTTTCTTAACAGGTTTGTAAGCTAGGCAAGGATCGTGTCTTTTAAATCAGATACGATGCAGTTCTTGGCACAGAACTTTGCATGCGGGTGCTCCATAAATACGTATTGTTGATTATTAAAAAGAAAACAATAAAAAATAGCTCAAATTTTGTGAGTTTTTTGGAGGGGGGGTGGTGGGGTGTCAGTCAGAAAACAGTAAGCCTTGAAAATTAATCAGCATTTTCCGTGATTACATAAAACATAAGCATCAAAACCCAAGTACCAATACTGCGCCTAAAGGCAGATCATATCAATAACTAAGGCATATCGTATCAATCGCTAAGGCATATCACATCAATAACTAAGGCATATCATATCATATTGTATCATATCAATAACTAAGAAGAGGAAGAAAGAAAGGAAGGGAAGAAGGGAAGAAGCGGGTGAGAGGAAGGATGTAAGCAAGAAGGGAGGGAAAGAGGAAGAAAGAAATGAAGGAAGGGAGGGAGGGAGGGAGGAAGAAAAGATGGAAAGAAGGGAGAGAGAGAGGAAGGAAGGAAGGAAGGAAGGGAGGGAAAAGAGAGAGAGGAAGGAAGGAAGGAAGGAAGGGAGGGAAAAGAGAGGGAGAAAGGAAGGAAGGAAGGAAGGGAGGGAAAAGAGAGAGAGGAAGAAAGGAAGGAAGGAAGGGAGGGAAAAGAGAGGGAGAAAGGAAGGAAGGAAAGAAGGAAGGGGGGAGAGAGGAAGGAAGGAGGAAAAAGAGGGAGAGAAGGAGAAAGGGAGAGAGAGTAAAGAAAAGAAGGAAAGGAAAGGAAAGGAGAAATGAAAGGAAATGAAAAAGGAAAGGAAATGAAGGAAAGGGAAGGGAAGGGAAGGCAAGGGAGGGGAGGGGGAAGGGAAGGGAAGGGAAGGGAAGAGAAGGGCAAGGGAAGGGAAAGGAAAGGAAAGGGGAAAGGAAAGGAAAGGGGAAAGGAAAGGAAAGGGGAAAGGAAAGGAAAAATTAAGATTTTTAAAAAGACCATAGCGCCAAATAAATGTGAAAATAATAAGGCTGATTCTCTAAACACATGCAACACTGTCTCAGGAGGCAAGGGGAGGAAGCACTTTTTCTTTCCATCTCCTTTCCAGATCGCCCTGGTGTGGCAGCCTCTAGGCATCTAGGAAGCGCTTTTCTTAAGCCCACCTGTGGCCACTGGGATCATTTTTTTTACAAGTGTCTATTACTTAGGGTAAAGACTAAGTTCCTTTAGCAAGGAAGCCCCCAAATACAGTGACTTAAATAAGGGGTATTTGTCTCCCCTGCAATGAGAGCTGAGTAGTCCAAGTCATAGGTCAGCAAACACAACCCCTCGCCGGCAAAATGCAGCTCATGGCCTTTTCCAATTTCTCAGGTAAGAATAGCTTTTACATCTTTAACTGGTTGGAAATAAAAAATAAAAGCAGCAACACTATTGTATGTGTATGTCTCTTCTCATGCTGCTAATAAAGACATATCTGAGACTGGGTAATTTATAAAGGAAAGAGGTTTAATGAACTCACAGTTCCACATGGATGGGGAGGCCTCACAATCATGGCAGAAGGAGAATGAGGAGCAAAAGGACGTCTTACATGGTGGCAGCCAAGAAAGCTTGTGCAGGGGAGCTCCCCTTTATAAAACCATCAGATCTCATGAGACTTATTCACTATCACTGCTATCACAGGAACAGCACGGGAAAGACCTGCCCCCATGATTCAATTACCTCCCACCAGGTGCCTCCCATGACACGTGGGAATTGTGGGAGCTACAATTCGAGATGAGATTTGGGTGAGGACACAGCCAAGCCATATCAGTGAGAATGAGAATGACACAAATTCAATCTTTAGTGTCATTCAATCAAGTCTTATTGGAACACATCAACACTCATTCCTTAACTCATTCATAGTCAAGTCTTGTCTACAGTTGCTTCTGCACCACAGTGATGGAGTTCAATCATCATCGGGGAGATCACGGGGCCCAGAAAGCTTTTGCTATCCGGCCCTTTACAGAAAAAGGTTTTTGGACTCAGGTTAGGTTAGCCTGATAGCTCTCACTGGAGTGATTCATTCAAAGCCACAGGTTCCCTTTATCTTGCGATTCTGCTGTTTCTTAGGTTATTTGCTGCTCGGCTGACATGGGTCACTGCCTGTTACGGACTGACCTGTGTCCCCTCAAAATTCATATGTGACACCCTAACCCCCAATGGAACTGAACTTGGAGACAAGGCCTTTAATGAGGTGAATAAAGTTAAATGAGGTCAGCCAGGCATGTTGGCTCACTTTGGGAGGCCAAGGTGTGTGGATCACTTGAGGTCAGGAGTTTGAGACCAGCCTGGCCAACATGGCAAAACCCCATCTCTACTAAAAATACAAAAATTAGGTGGGCGAGGTGGCAGGCACCTGTAATCCCAGCTGTTCAGGAGGCTGAGGCAGGAGAATTGCTTGAACCTGGGAGGCAGAAGTTGCAGTGAGCCAAGATAGCTCCACTGCACTCCAGCCTGGGTAACAGAATTAGACTCTGTCTCAGAAAAAAAAAAAAAGTTAAATGAAATTACAACAGTGGGATCCTAATTTGCTACAACTGGTGTCCTTTTTAAAAAGAGGGAGAGGTAGCAGACCTCTCTCTCTCTCTCTCTCTCTTTCTCTTTCTCCTCCTCTCTACCCCACCCCAGCATGAGCACAGAGAAAAGGTCATGTGAGGACACAGTAAGAAGGTGCTGTCTGCAAGTCGGGGAGAGAATTTACCAGAAACCAACCCTGCCAGCACCTTGATCTTGGACTTTGAGTCTCCAAAACTGTGAGAAAATACATTTCTGTCATTTAAGCCACCCAGTCTGTGATATTCTGTGATGGCAGCTGGAGTGAACTAATACCCTGCCACATCCATGCTCCAACCGTTGGACACAGGAAGAGTTAAAGGGAGAGAAGGGCAGCAATTTCCTTCTAAGCTTGTTGAGCAGAAGTTGCACACATCACTCCTGCTCACATTCAGTCCTTTGGTGAATCTATTCAGTTATCCTACACATAGATTGAAAATGAAAACAGAGAAGATGGATTTGGGGAGGGTCAACCAAAAGCATGACACATTTTGGAGCACATATCATGATTAAATATTTAAAATCTACGGATTTCCTGAAGTCCATTAGGTTTCATACATAGAGCCCTACTGGCCTAGGGACAAAAGTCTTCACTATTTTTATTTAAAAGGACACTTTTTGACATAAAGGCAAATTGATTCTCAAGCTAGAAGAGTCTTCTGAAAGTAATTCTAGTATGTAAGTGTAAATGCGTATTTTAAGGATGAAATATTCTGCCAGTTCCCCTCAAGACCCCAATGTATAGTATATTTTCTTGTGTGTAATATAGGGGACTCTAATTTGAGGTCACTGAAGATACTTTGGTATCAAGAGAAAAGATGGGTTGTTAGGGGTCAGTGTCACATCAGGTCCTGTCTCAAGCAAGACCTGGAGTAGAACAAGACGTTAACCCACTTGGATCTCAGTTCTATTGATTGCTTATTATGTGTATTTTCTGCACTTGCACATACTTAATGGTTTTTAAAATTGCGGTGATAAAGTACTTGCATTTCTGGCCAGAATGAATTTGACTCATATATAATCATTATCAAATGTTCCTATCTTGACTAGCTGCTTTGTGAAGAAAAAAAAATTAATTCCCATTCCATGAAATGTTGAGCAAGGAGAGAAATACATTTTACTTTTTCAAACAATGGGTGCTTTTTCATCACTTTTACAAATAACCTTATATTGCTTGTGATAGGGTATCCCTTCTTTGTTACATGATGTGTTTGAAAAGCTATGTGCAGTCACACTGTACTGTGGAAAATACAGCTGCTGGAAACTGATCTCCTGCTTCTAAGCTGATAAATGACTTCATCCTAGAACACCATTGAATCAACCATCTCAATCTGAACCATAACTTATTAAGAAGCCAAGTGGAAAAATGTTTTAAAGTATTAGATGAAAATACAAAAAGAAAAAAAGCCTTCTTAAGCAAGACACAAAAACCAGAATTCAAAAAAGGAGACTGACATACTGATCTATTTACATTTAATCATTCTGTAAGACAAAGACAAAATAGATAAAAGTCAAGTCACAGACCAGGTAACATATTTGCAACATGTAAAAATATATATCATGAAAAAATGATTTATAAATAAACATTATAAATCAATAAGGCATCTCATAAGGATATAAGCAAAGGCAATTCAATTAAGAAATGCAAATGGCTTATAAAGGAAAATGTTTTCAAACAATGAGGCATTATTTTACTCATCATTTAGGCAAACATTATGAAGACTGAACACATGCAATGCTATGTAGCATGTGAGGAAATTGGAGCATGCATGTGTCAGCAGTGGTGTAGGTTGGAGAAAAATTTGGAAGTATCTATCAAAATTTAAAAACCGTGTTTCCTTCAACCTAGAAATTCTACGTCTGGGTAACTATTCCTAGAGAAACACGTTATGCATATACAGAAATAATCATATGCAAAGATGTTTGATGTTTATATAGTGAAAATTGGAAAGACAGACATATTCATAGGAGAATGTTTAAGGAGATTATGGAGTCTTATGTAACAGTTTAAAAGAAGGAGTTACATGTATGCCTACTAATACAAAAGTTCTTTAGGACATCACTGAATGAAAAAGCAAGAATTAGTTTAATACTCAGTATGTATATGTACATTTATATACAGCCTCATTTATTTTAAAAATTCATAAAGCAAAACTATAATTTATTAATTTTATTCATGTATGTAAATGCATAGAAAAAACTTGAGCAGATGCATATCCAACCTGCAATTGCCAGCTTTGGGTGGTTCCTCTGCAGAATGTGATTGGGTGGAAGTGGCTGAGAGGGACTTTCGCTTGTATTCTTCTTTGTTTGAGAGTGGATTTATGCAAAAGACCCTCCCTGTAAGAAGGCGTTATTCATTCTGTGTTATTTATGGAACTAAAATTAACTTATAAACAAAGCAGAAACACCTTGTGAGATCCTTCGTGGCCACTCATTCTACTGCTTAGCTCACAGTGTTTCTGCAGCGGTATGTCTCACCACTTGTTCTGTTGTTCCCCTTACACACTCCAGTATGTATCTCTGCCATCAAACTGTCCACGTGTGAGCTGAACCTGCTATTTGTTCATTAACTTACTGTTTTATACCATTTGAGCAGGAAGTTGTAGTCATTCTCTGGCTTTGTAGTTTGCTTTATTGCTCATAAGTAATAACTGGAAAAAGGAGTTTTAAAACACTCATTATTTTCAAACATTTTGACTAATATTTATTCTGAAATGTCAGGGTAATTTGGTAAAATATCAAAATGCTAAAACTGAAGACTTATTTTTTTCTTTACCAGAAAGTAATAATTACATATATTTATAACTGCAGAGTCCAATACAATGAATTAATATTTCTTTCAAATGTTCTTACTTAACATCTTTCTAGCTTTAGCAAAGCAGTATCTTACTTTCACATTAAAAAAAAGAAACCCTTCATAATAGTGTAAGGCAGTTTGTGGAAAACTTATTACCGTCATTTTACACTTTACTAAATTCAGGCTAAACCATCATCAAATTAACCAGAATTAAGATTAGGGCTCAAGTCTTCTGACTTCTGGTCTAAGTTGTTGGGTGTTTTGGGTTTTTTTTCCCCCTGCATAAGGCCATCTTCCACAAACTACATATGCTTTCTTAAATCTTCTAAAACTTTCTGAAACTGGAAGCTTTACTTCTGAGGATTATATATAGCATTTCATATACTGACATTGGATATAGCACAAGAGGCTGAGTAACATTTATTTTAGAAATAGGTGTAATTTAATAATGAATGTATTTGAAGTGTGGATTAAAATGAAGACAACACTTCCCTTTTGCATAGAGGATAAAACTTGCAAAAATAAAATAAATGCCCATTGGTATATTACAGAGGGATATTTCACACCATTTCACTTCTAGAATGGATCCTTCACTCTTCTTTCATTTTTAAATGGATTTTAATTATTAAATCATAGTCTAAGGGAATTACCATATGTTAATTTTTTAGTGAGTTGAGGCTTACTCAAATGTATTTTATTCCTATATCAAATGAAAAGTATTTTTGCATTAAGATTTTTGCTGTATATTTCATTTCAGACTTTAAGAAAACAAATATTACATGTAAGTATATCTTAAAAGCGCTCTAAATGCATTTTTAAATTGAGTAAATATAGTTAAGTACTAAAACAACAAAATTCATTTGTCCTATACTAACATGTACTATAGCATATAGCTCAAAAAGTTAGTAGAATACTGGGAAATTGCAAGTAACTGTATGATGCCTATTGCTTTACCTGGGACAGCTGACCAAAAAATGTTTCAGGGGTATGTTAGAGCTAATTTCATTACAATTCCCGGTGACTAACACCACTGATAGAGACCATAAAAGAGAAGGTGGCTCTTTTGTCCTATGAATTATCAATTAGATCTGCTTCTGTGGTGAAATTTGTTAGCTGAAAATTGATGGCTGAAACCTTAGGATTTACCCCTGTCTTTAAGCTCCTACAGCGAGGTCTGTAGACCAGAAGCCTGTACTGAACTCACACCACAAGGGCAGCGCCAAAGACAAGATGCAAGCGCTGCAACAGCAAGTTATATAACAAAAGAGAACCGAGGACATCAGAACGTGCTCCAATGATACTTTGTATCTTCCTGGTGCGCAAAAATGTAAACCGGCCTTCCTTTATGGTTTACATTGTACCCCTGCACAACGGTTTGCTATCGCGTAATTTGGGAGGTGACACATATGAAATTTGAGGGTGTGATTAGTCTTTAAAATAATAGTTTTGGTATATATTTTAAGCACTTCTAGCGACCCCCCCAACACACAAACACACACACACACACGCGCACACACACACACACACACGAAGAAGATGCTAAGGTGGGCCACTGCCCCGGCTCTGGCCAGCCGCATTTAGAGGGGAAAAGGACAAATGGCGCTATTTCTTTAAGCTTGGTGGGGGGAAATCTAAGTTTGTTCTTTAAAAAGGGCGAAAGTTCGCTAGGACCACAGGGCCTTCGGCGAGAGCGCAGGCAGCTTCGTGTTGGCACCTTGGGGATCTTCTGGGCTGCCAGAAGCTCTGAGCTTGCAGTTGCACCTAAACCGCCGCTTTCGCTACTTATATTTGCGGTAATGTTAGGAAGCAAAGTATCATCAATCAGAGAATCTGGTAGCCATTCTCTCTCTTTGCCCTGTGTCCCAGCTTGTGATTCTTCTAAGTTCCATCTCCTTTGCTGCGTGCAGATCCTTGGCTTTGGGCGCGCTTCCTCTTCTGCACTTGGGCCACCGCGGGTTGGCCACCTGGGCTGAACTCATCCCATCCTTGCTTTCCCCCATCCCTATACCCAGCGGCGAGGGCAGCCTCACCAGCCCTTGCCCCGGAGGTGAATGTGTGCCTGGCTTTGACTGAGACAACTAGGACCCCAGAAGCCCAGTGACATCAGAAAAGAGGCTCCTGGGCACTAGCACTTCCCGCAATACGCTCCAGGGCTGTAGGTGCAAAACGGAGCTCTAACTTCCCTCCAGCTAATCGAGAGGAAAATACAGGGCGCGTCACAGTGGCCTCTCCCGCCTAGCCACGCGCAGTGAAATTTCCGGCAATCGGGCCAGCTAAGACACGGGATTTGCACCGCAGCCTCTCAGCTTCTGGAGCCGGAGCCGAGCGCTCCCGGCAGCTTCTCCAATTTCTCTCCTAAAGTGCGAAGGGAAAAGCCCCGTCTGCTCCACGACTGCAAGGCCGGCGGATCTGGGAGCCGCGCCCGGCTCCGGAGGACTCGGCGGGCCCGGGGCTCCCCGGCAGCGGCTCCTCTGCTAGGGGTTAACAGCAGCCCCCGCGGCCGGGCGGGCGCGGACGCTTCCTCTCCACCCGCCCGGGAACGTGGATACCGCGCCCGCAGGATGTTCGCCGGCTGGGACCGGCAGTCAGGAAACATGAGAAGGCCTCGCTATTCCTGTTCCCGGGCGGCGCGCGCCGGGCTGGGTAAATAAAGCCGAGACGACGGCGGTGGCGGTGGTGAGCGCGCTGGAGCCCGCGTGGAGAACATGCGGCGGGGATGGGAGTGCGCCTAGTCTCGAGGCGGGAGAGCCAGCCGCCCTGCAGCCGGCCGTCGGCCCCGCAGCCACAGGTACAGCCCCCGCGTCGCCGAGTCTCAGCCGGCTGCGGCGGAACGCCAGGCTCGCTCTGGCCCCTGCGCCCTGGGCGCCGGTGCTCTCCCGCCCTTCCCCCAACTTCCCTCCAAGGTCTGGTGGAGAGGCGCTCGGGTAGCGGCCAAGGCTGGCCCAAGGGTCTGCGCGGAGCTTGGGAGCCCACCTGGCCGCGCCTCCTTTGCTTTAAAATTATTCGCCGGCGTTGGGGGAGGGGGACACTTCTGCAGGGAGTGACCTCCCCGGCCACAGTCTGGAGTGAATCGGGGTAAGTGATTTGAGAAGAGGCGCGGGTGGCCGCGCGCGGGAGTCCTGGGAGGGTCAGCAAGTGTGGTTCACACGCCCCCGGACCCCTTGCGACAGGACAGCGCTCGGACCTTTGCCATCGCTTGCCTCTGAGCCTGCTGCCTGCAGACCTACAGCGCGCCGGGTGTCTGTGTCTGCGATCTCTGCGTGGGCTTGGGGCTGCCGGGGAAGTGTCCGAGGTGGCTAACCTCGTGATGACTTCGCTAGGAAAAACACGTCGTCGCATCTAGGAGGACGCGCTGGGGTGGCTCGGAGAAGGCCGGGCCGGGGAAGGGTGTCTTGTACAAATAAAGCAGCATGAACACACATCCCTAAGGGCATGATTTTAAAAGAAAACACCAACGCGAGTCTTGACTGTAGAACAGGGGCTGCAAGCACGAAAATTCTCTTTGACACTTATCACCGAGGCTATGTGCACACCCCAGGCACGTACCTGTCTGCGCGGGAGGACGCAGTCCTAGGGGACACACGACATCCAGCAGAGGTCTGACTTCACTTCCCTACGAACACAGACCGTAGCCGTCGTTTGATCGCGGTGGTCACGCGTGGTCCTAAATGTCACGCGTGGCCTCTGCTGCGGTGGCCGAAGGGCGGGGCGGGGGCGTTGGCGAGTGTGGGCGCTTGGCGAGGCAAAGGGTGTGTGTGTGTGTGTGTGTGTGTGTGTGTGTGTATGCGCGCGCGCGTGTGTTAGTGGAGTAGCAGCCCATGCCGCGGCTGGACGGGCAAAGGGGGCGCTGGCAGCGAAGCTGAGGCCGCTCGGAGGAAACGGGAGCTGTCCCGAGGCGCGAGGCGAGGAGATGGGGCGGGCGAAGTCCGCCGCGCGCCTTGGGGCTGTAACTCTGCGGCTCCGCGGCCGCGCGGACTTGCTCCTGACGCCGGTGCGCGGCAGGCAGAGGCTCAGGGCCTCCGCGACCCCAGAGGTGAGCTGCTGGCTCTCCCCGACAGTGGCAGCAGTGGCCCGGGAGGTGCGCCGACCAAGCTGCCTCCTGCCTTGGGCTTCTGACACCTTTACAGCCTCTGAAAGGGTCCCCGGAGACCCCAGAGAGAGGCGGGTGTCGAGGGGCTACGAGCTCGCGGCTGACACCCGCGCTGCGGAAGAGAATGGCACTGATTGAGGGCTCTGGGGACCTGGGTCCTGGCGCCTTGGACCTTAGGACCATGCACTTCCCGGGGCGCGTTGGGGGATGATAGGAAGATTCTGGGAGAGAAGGGGGAGAAGTGGTGCTTTCGTCCTGACGCCACTTAACTTTTTCCTGTCCTTGAACCCAACCTCACCCCGGGGGACCTTGGCGGACAGAAGATGCGGGGGTTTCAACCAAACCATCCACGATCTAGAAAACACGAAAATCCCCCAAATCCCGGTATGGCCTGGGACTCATGAGCTGGGGGGTCTTGTGGATACGGTTGGCACATTACCCCAAATCTTCCCTTCCATCCAACCCCTCCTGACGCCCCGAGTTGGGGTTCCTAGAGGCTTTAGTCTTCTGCTGTGATTGAAGAACCACGCGCGGCCTCACGCCGGTCGCGCTCCGCAGTCCGGAGTATGCCTCTCCCAGATTCAAACTGAAACCCAGAGGCTCGTTTGGGAATTCGTTTCCTTTGCCTCTGCGGGTGAATGATTCCCGGTTGTAGTTCTGGGGAGTGAAGGGATTGGGGGGATCGATCGCCCAGGCAAGGAAGAGGGCAGGTACCTGTCCGGGGAACCTGCAGGGGCGGGGGCGTGTAGCCAACTGGGGAGAGCCGCAGGGTCCCTGCCAGTTGCGGCGGCGCCGCTCCTCCCCTCGGCTCCGCAGCCCGGCGACCCGGCCAAGTTCAAGGCCCTGAACCTGCAGGGGTCTGAGCACTCTCAGCCAGTAAGTAACGAGATGCACCTTCCTCTCCTAGAAGCCGAGCCCCGCTGCGGAGCTCCCGGCGGCCCAGCCCCGAGGCTCTGCGGCCGCGCCGCGCGTCCCTACCAACCGACACCATGAACACCATCGTCTTCAACAAGCTCAGCGGTGCGGTGCTGTTTGAGGACGGAGGCGCCTCGGAGCGGGAGCGGGGTGGCCGGCCCTACAGCGGTGTCCTGGACAGTCCTCACGCCCGCCCCGAGGTGGGCATTCCCGACGGCCCGCCCCTCAAGGACAACCTCGGCCTGAGACACCGGAGGACCGGGTATGCGCACTCCCCTGGGGGCCCTGCCCGCCTGCGGCCCGGAGGGGTGGGGGTGGTGAGCTGTGACGGGGTCCCGTGGCAACGCGGGCGGGTGGACGGGAAAGGGCCCGGAGTTCCCTGGGAGTGCAGGTCTGCCCCTCCAGGGCTCGCGCATTCTCATGTTAAGGGGCTCCTATCTTAAAACATGAGGGATCAATTCGTCGGGGCAGCTCCAAAGAGCTTGGTGGAGACTAAGGGCGCCAGGAGCTGCCCCTCGGCCCTCCGCTGCCTGGACCTCGGAGTTGGGGGTTATTTGCCCCTCTCCGGACTGTGGGTGCCGGTGCGCGGCTGAGGGCGAGGAAAAAGGACTGAGCTCGGTGCAGAGAAACAGGCGAAGCCGAGCAGTCGGGGAGTCCAGGCTCAGGCTCCGCGGACTTCTCTTCGGTCACTCGAGCCCCTCGCCAGAGCCCCGCGGCTCGCCTGGCCCAAGGAGTCGGGAAGGTCGCCTCCCGCCAGGGAGTCCCGGGCGTGAGCGCGGCTCGGCTGGGCCCGCGGCGAACCCGGAGGGGGAGGCCCCGGGCCTGCGGGGCCGGGTTTGAGTTTAGCGGGGTGAGGGGTATGCTGGGGGGGGCGGTAGCTTGCGGGTGGGCCAGCTGCTCAGACTGCCGGTGAGTGGAGGGCAGGCTCTGCCTGGCCCGATCCGGCGGCTCCCCGGGCGCCCCGCCGGGGAGGGGCGGCCGTCCTAGCCGCCTCCACCTGAACGATTGCATCAGCTGCTTGTTCTGCGGCGTCGCTGCTTAGTAAAACAGAGATTCGGTTTCGTCAAAATGTTACTACCAGTCGTTTCGGGTGGAATTGCATTTCAAAGTGTTTAAAGAGGCAGAAACCCAGGAGGCTCCGGCGCAGGCGCGCAAGCCTCGGGGAGCGGCTGGGCTCGCTGGCGGCCGCGCGCGACACCTCCCGGACCCGTGAGGGAGCGCAGCGCCCCAGGCCACGCTCCAGGCTCCTGGCTGCCTCTGCCTCCTCCCCCTTTGAATGTGCTTTTCCTGAGGTCTTTTTACCTTACATGATGGGACAGAGCTTGCCGTACTTTTAACCCTCCCTTAGTCGGGAAACGGCCCGACGGTGTTTTTGGGTTCTGCAGCTTTCCTCCACAAACCACCAACTCCTTTAGAAAGTTTCCCCCTTTTCCTAAAAGATCAAAGGAAATAGCTTAAAGAGAGCCGGGGCGGCAATGCTCCTTTGCTTTATTCCCTATGTCCAGTCGGCGACCTTTCCCCTGACCACAAGCGACGGAAAGCCTCTGGGAGCAGACAAGAGATCCCCGAGGGAAGTTTCGAGAGCCAGCCGCATACCCTGCCAGGCCTGCCAGGCCAGGGCCACTCGAGGGTGCGGCGCCAGCGGGTGAGGGAAGGGTAGCAGTTAGCCCCGCTGCCCAGATACGCGACTGGAATAGCAGTATTCTTCAAATCACTTGACCTTCGTCTTCTAAACCTCTAACCTTGGGGTATTGGGTTCAAGGTATCCCCCTATTCAAGATAAACCTATCGAAATGATCTCCCCATCCAGAAACTGTGTGGCTCCCACTTCCTGCCTCTCCCAAACACTCTGGGCGCGCGCAAAGCAGGGGCGCAAGGCAGGAATGCGCAGTTTGGATGCGGGGCCCGGGCTTGGCCGGGGCGTGGAGCGTCCGGGCGGGCAAACGCGTCGCTCACCAGGGCCGCCTCCTCTCCCCATGTCCCAGCGCCCGGCAGAATGGCGGGAAGGTGAGGCACAAGCGGCAGGCCCTGCAAGACATGGCGCGACCCCTCAAGCAGTGGCTTTACAAGCACCGTGACAACCCGTACCCCACCAAGACCGAGAAGATACTCTTGGCCCTCGGCTCGCAGATGACGCTAGTGCAGGTAATCAGGACCCATTAACACCCTGATCCGTTTTCCCGCGAGGGGCTGAAGAGCGGGAACGCTTAGAGTTCGTGTGGCTCTCCACGTGGCGCTTCTACCTGGAGAGGGATGGAGCCGAGCTGTGGGAGTTTCTGAATTACCTCTCACCCTCATCCCTCAGTTCAGTGCAGATGCTCCGTGCAGGAAAGAATGCAGGATGCGCTGTCAGGTAGGGAAGTGAAAAGTAAACTGCAGACTTACGAGAAGGTTCAACATTAGTGAGCATCAGAATCGCCTGGAGAGCTTAAAACACGAATCGCTAGGCCCCACCTCCGAGTTTCGGATTCAGCAGGTCTGGGGTGAGACCATCATTTGCATCTCTTACAAGGCCCCAGGTGTTACTGAAGCAGAGGCTAGGGAGGAACCCCACTTTGAGAACCACGCAGTGTGACGCTCCATATTAAGGCCCAGTATTAAAGCTCAGGTACAGAGTAACTTTCAAAATTACCATTACTGACAGCTAGGAGTAGGGGATAGAAAGACAAGAAATGATGTTTGGATCAACAACCCCCCACACACACTTATTTATTATTATTTTTTAATAGGAAGCATCCTAAACATTAGCTGCAATCCACAGCATTTTGCTCCTGATGCTTTTCTGCTGGGCTTAAGGAGAGGAGGCAGATTTCAGATGGTTGGGTTACTTTGCCAAGTGTAGAGAAATGGTGCAAAGTTTGTGTGTTCTCTGGTGAACAACGTTACTTTACATTTGACTAGCTTTTCAAAACTGAATCTTACTGTTCACAAAACCACGATGTTGTAGGCAGTTACTATCAGAATTTTACACTTGACATAATCAAGACTTGGGGCAGTTGTGTCAGTAAAAGACAGGCCTGGAAATAAATAATTCCAGACCAAATGCTCTTCCCGTCATGTCACAATTTTTTAAAATAAATACGGTGGCTTGAACTTTTTTACATGCAAATAGGCAAATTTATTCAGAAAGAAGAGGAGGAGGGGCTACATCAGGTGAAAAGTTTTGCACATTGCGGTAGCATTACCTGATTGTGAAAATTTGGCCATTCCGCTAAATTTACAGTAAGCAGGAACTCCAAAAAGGAAAAAGGAACTAGTGGATAAAATAAAGATTGCTTTCCAGAGTATTTAAAATTTCCCTTTAGGAATTACTGGAAAGTTTGACAAGGCATGAAAGTTGACTTATTGTCAGGCTATCAATACTAGAATACGTAATTTCTGCTTATTTTCAGAATATAATTATATACAAAAACATCTGTTTTCTTTCATATTATCAGGCAATGGTATTAATAGTGATTTGCTGCAGCAGTGGAGGGGAAAATTAATTTAGTGTTCTTGGCTTAATATCTGTTTAACATAAAACTATGAATCTTTTAGCAATGTACCAAAGTAGTTTTGAAATAAATTATTCCAGTCAGAAAAACCTGACTTATGAAAATAAATAACCTATGTTAAAATTTCAGTTTAAATAAGTATGCTACTTATTTTTAAAATACACTAATTTATAGAGTTATCTGAATATTTCACAGTGATGTCAGCAATGAAACACTAGGTTATTTTGGCTGATTATAGAGCTTCATATTTAATAGAGACTATTCTTTCATACAGAAAACAAAAGAACATTGATGACATATTTTAGGACATTTTTAAATTATGAAGTAGCATTTGTCATTAGGAGAGCCATTTAAACTTTCTTATGTAGTGGTTTTTGTTGAGCTGCAATACAAGTAGTTATAATTTTAAATTATTTGCCACCTGTAATGATAGTTCAAATACAAATAAAAATGCTTTTTACATTTAGATCTTGGTAAGGCTATTACATTTTTAAAATATGCTTTACATGAAATTTTCATTCAAAACACTTTTTTTCTCTTACACTAGTGCTCAGAAAATAAAAATGCACAGAAATATGTAATTTTAAGTGGGGTAAGATAATTTTTATAATAATAAATGACAACTGTATAATGATTTCAAATTTTATTATTAATGAAGCTAGTTTCTGAAACTTTAAAGTGATAAATGGAAAAAATAAAAATGTATAGAATTACCAACGGATCTTATGGCTGATCCTATGGCTGATCATTGTTCAAATGCTATAGAAATACACTCTGTACTCTCAAAATATAAACAGCTTTATTGTGGAATAGTATAAAATGGTATGTGATTGGGGTTTGTATTATTGCAGGATATGGAACTTATCAAGGAGTAATGAGTAGATGTTAATGCTTCCTCCTCTAATAATGAAAGTCTCATATTCCTGTGATATGTCCACATACGATTTGTTAAAACTGCTATGTTCCTAGATTCTGTCTCCTCTGTTGACATAACTCTGTTTTTGCTTGGTATTGAGTGTGCCTGCTGATATATATATGCCATTATCAGCTACAAGGCTTATAGTAACGTTAAATATTCAACAAAATCTCAGATCAGTCCTTATTCATTATTCCAAGTGTTATATTACATGGTGTGGAAATGAAGTGCTCAATATTTCAGTTGAATAGCTCAGAAGTTCGTTAATTCAGTGTGTTCAAACATGGACAGATGCCAGTTTATCCCTTTGGGTGTACTATAACAATTGCTCTGTCAACATGATGAATGTAAACACCTTTGTTAAAGTAGGATGAATATTATTTAGTTTTCCCTCCCAGCTTCTAGATGTTTGGCCTTCTAATCTTTCACTATAAAATATGGGAGATAGATAGATAGATACTGATATAAATCATAATTATATAAATTAGTCATATCTAACTATCTCCCATATTTTATAGTGAAAGCTTAGAGGCCCAAACATCTATACGTATATACACATATAGCATTCAGTTTGACATTAAAATTCTGTTCCAGAACCTATCCTTGGTTAAGGAGACCTGTTTCATGTAAAATACAATTTGAAGAGAATATGAACGACAACCCGAAGGAATCCATAGTAGATTAAAAGTGGAAAATTTGAACCGATATTTTTACCTTCAGTGAAACAGATGGAATTTGCATTAATTCATCCAGAAAGAAATGCAAAACAAGTATATGCAAATTTGTTAACTAACTATTTGCTGTTTGCAGGACCTACTGCAAATACACATTAAAGACCTTGGAGTGTATCTAGCTGTTAAGTTGTACTGAAAAAACAAAAGAACAAAAAACCCCAGCAGAATATATATATTACCAGATTGGGTGGTGGTCAATTTATGAAATCAGTTTTGAAACAGTCTATAATAGACATCAGCAAACCTTTCTGGAAAATCACCTAATGTGTAACTATTATAATATGGTTAAAAAAAAGACTATGAGTATATAAAACTTAAAAGAGATATGACTCCTATACATGAAAAGTTAGTTAATCCCCTGTGACATTTAAATCATTTAAATGTTCCCCCATTTTTATCTGTTAGAAGGGTAGTGTATTACTTTTTTAAAAAATTAGAAGGCCATTGCATTTTCATTATAAGAAGAGTTTCATAAGAATTGGATTTTACACTGTACTATGTGTGGTTGCTGTGTGAAGATTTAAGGTTAGTTAAGATTTAAGGTTAGTCTGAATTATATCCCATTGAGTAAAGAAAGTTACAAAAATGTTTTGGAGTTGGATTCTAGTAAATATGAATGATCTAGGGGAAGTTGCAGGCTGTACTCTGTGTGTGAAAGGAGCAAAGAAGGACAAAAACACTCTTGCTGGAGACAGTACTGGTCAACAGAGGGAGGTTAGTACCTAGTATAAAGGAAATTAACATTGCTGTAGGGGAACTTGGGATGTATTCACCCATCTTAATTTTTAGAGCTAGCAAGGATATTAGGAACCATCAAATCCATTTTAGAGATGAAGGATTCAAAGTTCAGAAAAGTTGAATAATTTATCCAAATTCACACAGCATGTTTTTGGCAAATTCAGAACAGGAAGCCAGGCCCTCTTCCACTGTATGGTGATTATGGGATAACAGGACATTTATGAGGATTTGAAGAAGTGAAGTGACTAAATCAAAATGGTGCATCAATTCTTGAATTTGATGATACTTGCTAAGATCCATTTAAGAGAACAGAATGGAAGACAGGGAAGTTAGAAAGAGAAATGTTTTCAAATTCCCAGCTAGTAGTATGGCTGGATAAAGTAGTCGGATGAAGATTTTGGCAGTGAGTTGAAGAATCCAAGGGAGTTTGAGAAATTTCATGAAGAAAGGGATCAGGCTCCTTGTGCTTCCACAGCTAATGTTCACCAGTGTATCCCAGTTAATTATGTGTAGTTCTTTTCCGCTAGTCCTTCTGGGAGTGCAGAAGACAAAGCTTATTCATTCCTAGGACTTAACACCATGGCTAAAGTACAATAGTCACTCAATAATTTTGTTGTCTGTCTGTAGAGAATGGGAAGGACTGAGAATTTGAAGTCAGACTGAATCTTAGTAATAGTAACATAGCTTAGCAGGAAGAAGCATTGGTGAAGACTGACTTCTGAAATGCCACAGTGAGATAATATGTCATTGCATATAAATTTGAAAGGATAACTATCATTGCTTCAGGTACAAAGAAGACAATATTAACTATATTGAATATTAAATACATATGGGAAACCCACCGTGTGTTTACCCATGAGGACAGGGAGAAAAAGTATAATTTGAGATTTTTTTTTAAGTAGAATAATAAGGACTTGAGTAATGCACAAAAAATGTGTATTTATAGTATAAATCTAGAAAAAAAAAAGTAGAAATTTCCAGTGCAAACATTGCCACACAAACCATTATAGTAATCTGGCCTTTCTTCAAAGCCTAGCTTAAATTCCTCAGTTTGGTCATGTTCTGGACCAAACTGGCAGAAAGATTTAATTCTCTTCCCATGTTTCATTCTTTTAAAGGCAAGTATTGCCCTTTTGAGTTTCTAAAAATCTATGCACTGATGATAACCTGGTATTTTAGAAGAAATTTCAAGTATCAAATCCAGTAACATCTTTAAAAAAAAAAGAATGGAAGTAGCTTTTCTTTGTCTTGACATATTTCTTTCTTTGCCTTCACCTATTTGTCTAAGAAACATTTGACTTTTGGCTTAAAGTGAGGAGTTCTTTGGTTTATTTTCCCCCTCTTCACCCATGGTTCTACCTCTGTTTTGCTAACGCCTCTTTTGGAAGCGAACAGATCCCACTTTTTTCATCTCTAATGGTTTCCAAAGCTTGGCCCTTGACCCTGCTTTCACTCTCTCTACTCTTGCAACTTTGACTATTACCTCTGTGCCTTTTCCTCTTGAATTTGCTCATCCCCTCCCTTCAATCTCAGATACCACTTTTATTTTCTTACCAGACATGTCACCAGTATTAGCACCTCAAACTAGACATTGCCCAAGCCAAACACATCATTTTATCCTCAGAAAGTTTCATCTCCTTCCCCAAATGCACTACCCTTCTCTTGGTTCCACAGGTTTGATGACTCAAGGTCATCTTTAACTCTTCCCTCTTCTTCAACCCCTACAATTTCTGTGGAATTTCACTTCTATTTGTTCCTGTGTCCTCTTTATTGGGAATGCACTTCCCTTCCCTCTTGACCTGACCTATTCTGGACTTTCTTCAAAGGCTCACTTAACTTCCTCAAAAAGGCTGGAGTCATATATGAAAGTAACCCCTCTTTCCTTTGGACTCGTATCATTTTAATGTCTTGTATGCCATTCATCACATTCTTTCTTATACTAGTTATTTGTATACCCTCCTACTTCTCTTACTGGACTTTTCTCTTATTAAATTTTTTGATGTCAAGGCCTTTTCATTTTTCCTTATTCCACAAATACACTAAATGCTCAGTGTCTGTAGTAAGCAACATGTTTGTCAAATGAATGAATGGATGCGAATGTCCGGTATTCTTATGTCCTGAGAATATTTAATGATCAGAGGTGCTGAGAGAGGCTTAGCTCCTTTATGAGAAAATAATCGCACCATGGATAATGTTTTTAAGTTTTGTTAATTGAAAAATAATACTGTTTTAGGTGTCAAATTGGTTTGCTAATGCAAGACGTCGGCTTAAGAATACCGTTCGACAGCCAGATTTAAGCTGGGCTTTGAGAATAAAGTTATACAACAAGTATGTTCAAGGCAATGCTGAACGGCTTAGCGTAAGCAGTGATGACTCATGTTCTGAAGGTTTGTTAATATTTTTATTTTGCTTTCTTTGTTTTGCCTCTATTAGCAAGTTCACCATAATTGCTATTTTTAAGGTTGCTCTCACAAAATATGATGGTGCCTTAACGGTTCTTTTTTATTGCATGAAGTAACTTCATTTTTATAATACTATAAATGACCAAAGGAATGATGGCCATTTCCTCTTGTTTATAGATATACCATGTGTCAGAATAACATATTCAGTGAAATTCATTAAAATTAAAATACCATAAGCGAGAGATGACATAAATATTTGCTTTCATTGCCTAAAAATTGATCTTGACTATCAAAGATAATTTTATATACTTTAAATATATTTCCTTTATATATTTTTAAGGATTAAATATAAGAGTTGGGTGGCTGGGGGAAAGTATGCATACCACCCTACTTAGTGATACTGTTCCACTTTAGATGGAGAAAATCCTCCAAGAACCCACATGAACGAAGGGGGCTATAATACCCCAGTTCACCATCCTGTGATTAAAAGTGAGAATTCGGTCATCAAAGCGGGAGTGAGGCCAGAGTCACGGGCCAGTGAGGACTACGTGGCACCCCCCAAATACAAGAGCAGCTTGTTGAACCGTTACCTTAATGACTCTTTGAGACATGTCATGGCCACGAACACTACCATGATGGGAAAAACAAGGCAAAGAAACCACTCGGGATCTTTTAGCTCCAATGAATTTGAGGAAGAATTAGTGTCTCCATCGTCATCAGAAACTGAAGGCAACTTTGTCTATCGCACAGGTAAGTCCGTGCTTTCTGTAGTAATTCCTGCGATACCTGTTTAAAGCACAATTAAAACTGCATCAGAGGGATTTATTTTAACAGGTATAAAGACATCAGATTATTCACATATTGCCCATAATTCAGTTTTAAAGCTTTCGTTTTGTTTAGAATTGCCAATGGATACATTTGTTAGTAGATTATGGTCTTACTGAGAAATTTTCAGTTTTCATATTAAAGACAGGAAGTTTTATTCTTTTTATATTTTTTAATTTTAATTTTTTAATATTTTCATTTTGTTTTTATACAAAAATTAACTCAAGATGGAAGAATTTTCATTCTTTATAATAATTTTAATCTTCAGAATAACAATGTTTAGGGGGGTGTATACTGGCTTTTATGAATAATTTATAATAGAGGATAGTGCCGGATTGTGGCCAGTCCTGCAAATACTTTGTATTTTATCTTTTCTGTTAAATGCTTTGATTGCTAAATAGTGATGGTAAATGAAAACAAATTAATAGGGTGTCAAGCTTTTGTGAAAGAAAGGTATAGGTCTGGCTTCCATTGCTCTGGAAATTTTACTCTCATTCCTGAAAAGCATAAGCAGGGATGAAAAATAGCTTTTAAAATTTTACTTTCCTTCCAGAAATAAAGGATCGATTCCTACCTGTCCAAAACTTTCAGATGGAGTAGTAGGTTTGGTAAAAATTTCTATCTTGACTTCAGTTCCCAGAGAGGTTTGCTCTTAAGAAGTGTATGAGGTGACTTTGGAACAAGGAATATGCATGACCAACATCTGGTGTAGACAGAGTCTGGGTCCTGAAAATGTCAGCAAATGAGATTTAGAATATTAGAGCTGGAAATAACCTCAGAAAACATCTAGACCAGGCACATTACATCACAGATAAGAAAACCCAGACCAAGAACACATAGTAGGTACTCTCCTCCAGATCTCTGAATCTGCACAAGAGATAGGAAGAACATCACTACTATAATCACTATTATTATCCCTACTACTACCAATCATGTATAGAGTAGTTATGGTATACTAGGCCCTATGATATAAACTATACACATTTTACTACATCTTTTCTTCATAATATCAAGAAGCTTGGTCCATGAACAGTAGGGCTTTATTAAGAAATCTAAAGTTGCTCTGTTAATGTACCCTTTAGATCATTTCACCAGCAATCTGATTTTCAAACGTTTACAAATATATATGAGACAAATGATCTACAAAGATTCAGAGAAAATATCAATACATTTCTAAAGACTTAAATCAACCTCATTTTCTCTTTGCATCACCAACTCCAACAATAAAAACAAACTCCAAACACTCAAAATTACAGAAATTGTCTTGTAAATAATAATTGGGTCTAGGAAGAAGAAAAAATAAAAGAAAATTTGGCCAATAATGAAAATGAAGCTGGGCAAGGTGGCTCACAACTGTAATCCCAACACTTTGGGAGGCAGAGGCAAGAGGATTCCTTGAACCCAGGAGTTTGAGACAAGCCTGGGCAATATGGTGAGACCCCCATTGCTACAAATTTTTTTTTTAATTACCCATGCATGGTGGTGCATACCTGCAGTCCCATCTACTTGGGAGGCTGAGGTGGGAGGACCGCTTGAGCCCAGGAGATCAAGGCTGCAGTGAGCCGTGATCATGCCACTGCACACCAGCCTGAGGAACAGAGGGAGACCCTGTTGCAAAAGAAAATGAAGACACTACATATTAACATCTGACTGTTGTGACCAGAGAAGAGCTTGAAAGTAATTCAGAGTTTTATGAATGTTTATTTTTAGAGACAGGGAAAGAAATCACATTGTTCAAACAGATAATTGAAAAATAAAATAAAATAAAAAAAGGTCAAATGGGAAGCTGAAAAATAAATAAGAGTTGACTCTTTTAAAACAATAATAAATTAAACAAGCAAAAATCGACGCAAATTAAAATTGGAAATTACAAAGGAAAGAAACAACAATCAATAAACAGTTATTAAACAAAAAAGGTTTTAAAAAATTATGATGAAGTACTATGCACAGTTGTTTGGCAATATACTATATGTAAATGTGTATTTAAATAAATTGGCATTCTCCACACAAATTAAAAGTTCATAAACAAGAAAAGTTTTAAATGGCCAATAACTAGGGAAAAATTAAGATTTTTAGTCAATCCAATTCCCAAAACACATGACTTAATACATCCATTTCTTTTCAAACTTTGAAGAAGTAATTAATGCTCGTGTTTTATACATTTTTCTGGAACATATAAAAAGTATCAATTTTAAAAAAAATGTAAACGTTATCCTACTCTCAAATCAGATTAAGACTGCATAAAAGTCAAGATCTTTCTTTATAATACTGATACTATGAAAATACTTGAGAAATATTTATAATGTAATATTGAAAAACAATTCAAAATTGTGGAAACACTATAATACAGTTATGACAGTACAAATGTGCATAGGCAAATAAAAAAAAATGACAAATACATTAATTTTAATGAGACAGAGTAATTGGTAATCTTTTATTTTAAAATATTTTTCTTATAAAATTTTTAACATTGCCTGGTAAAAACATAGATTAGATGCCTACGCAATTTTCCCAGTGTGGTGAGTCTTCTGAAAATGCATGTTCTTTTCAAAAGTGACAAAATATAAAGCCAGAGTGAATAGCATGCCTGTAGAGTTGATTCTTTTCAAAGTTAAATATCTCGGTGGCTTGTTTTTATTAAAGCATTCCAAAGGCACTTGGTCCATAGTATGGACTATTCATTTGCCAAATTCTATTTTTAAATAAAAGCCTATTTTTTTTTTTTAGTTATGCAAGCAATGAGAAAGCAACCTAGACATGTAAACTTCTGGTTTTACATGCGTGTGCACCAACTTAAAAAGGGCAGACTAAATGATTTGTTTTTATGGTTGGAGAATTAAGAAAGGCTGGTGGCCTAAGACTGATCTGCTAGGTTTCAGGTCAAAACAATCAATGGCTGTCTTTGGTGGGAATTGAGTGACAGTGTTGCTGCAATCGTAGCTGGGTTACCAGGCATGTATAAATAGTAAAACAGGGGATTTCAAGAAATACTTTCTGAGCAACTGCTATGGTTTTCTCTGGCATATAACCTTCTTCTGAATTCTTTCAATTCCATCTGGTTATATCTTTCTTTCCTCACCTAAATAGAAATTTTCTAAGTCTGTATTAACACCCCCTCCCCCAGTGCTACAGTAGTACAAAGATTTTGAACTTTCAAATTTTTTAAAAGAACACTTTACAATTTATTTGTTTTTGTTACAATTTATTGCTGAGGAACTTTTCTTTTTTCCTTTTTTTTTTTTTTTTTGAGATGGAGTCTTGCTCTGTCGCTCAGGCTGGAGTGCAGTGGCACGATCTCGGTTCACTGCAACCTCCACCTCCCAAGTTCAAGCAATTCTCCTGCCTCAGCCTCCTGAGTAGTTGGGATTACAGGTGCGTGCCACCACATTGGGCTAATTTTTTGTATTTTTAGTAGAGACGGGGTTTCACCGTGTTAGCCAGGATGGTCTCGATCTCCTGACCTAGTGATCTGCCAGGCTCAGCCTCCCAAAGTGCTGGGATTACAGGCGTGAGCCACCGCGCCCGGCTGCCAAGGAACTTTATCCAATTATTCATCCATTTTTGTTAGAGTAGCTGTCTTGTGATGAGTTTTATTAAATATATGGAATCAAATAGCCAATTGAGGCCGGGCATGGTGACTCACACCTGTAATCCCTGCACTTTGGGAGGCCGAGGCAGGCAGATCACCTGAAATTAGGAGTTCGAGACCAGCCTGGCCAATATGGTGAAACACCGTCTCCACTAATAATACAAAAATTAGCTGAGCGTGGTGGGAGGCGCCTCTAATCCCAGCTACTCGGGAGGCTGAGGTACGAGAATCGCTTGAACCCAGGAGGCAGAGGTTGCAGTGAGCCGAGATTGTACCACTGCACTCCAGCCTGGGTGACAGAGTGAAATTGTGTCTCAAAAAAAAAAAAAAAAGCCAGTTGAAAGTTGGTGTGAGAAAGGATAATGTATCACTGAATTTTACTTCACTTATTTTTATTAAATTCTAGGGGGCAGAATCTTGTAGATTATAAAGTAGTAATCCTAATTGAAGATATTACTAGAAACATCAAAGCAAATGCAAACATATTTTTATTGATTTTACATAGACATTATTTCTCTGTAATCCACAGTCTTTGGCTTCATGCCAGGGTCATAGCAGGCTCTCACTACAAATGGGTTGAAACATTTTTGACAGCAGTAATTTTACCATTGCAATTGATCAGAGTTATTAAGGTCATTGCATCTAAATGTAATTAATACTCAAAGGAAATTTAGTCACTCAGTGTCATCTGTTGAATTAAGTCATCTAAATTAAAATTATAATTTGTTTTTATCATGTGAGCTTAGCGAATGGTAATTTTCAGATGTTTGACTGAGTGAATTTCCTTACAAACTGATGTCCAAGCCTCTAGCCCCCAGGTGGTCTGCTCTCTCTGCTCTCTGTGGTGCCAGGATAAGGACCCCCGGTGTAATATCCACCTCCATTCCTGTTGAACCAGGGCTCAGATTCTCCAGATGGAACCGTTTTTGCCGCCTTACAGAGTGGGTTCTCACTGGAACCTTTTCTAACTTGAATTAGACTTTGACTTTACCCTCAGAACCAAGCCTATGGAATTTCTTTCTCTACTGAAGGAGGAAAGAGGATTCTAAGAAAGAGTAAATCAGGCAAGTCTTGAAATAAAACCTGTGGAGTTCCCCTCTTGTTTTGCTCGACTTGAGGACAAGCCCTTGTTGCATTTTTCCCTTTCACAGATCACAGATGATCAGTTTATAAAGGCCTAGTGCAGGCCAGGAGCGGTGGCTCATGCCTGTAATCCCAGCACTTTGGGAAGCCGAGGCCAGTGGATCATCAGAGGTCAGGAGTTCGAGACCAGTCTAGTCAATACAGTGAAACCCCATCTCTACCAAAAATAAAAAAAAATTAACTAGGCATGGTGGAGCGCGCCTGTGATCCCAGCTACTACGGGGAGAGAGGCAGGGGGATCACTTGAACCTGGGAGGTGGTGGAGGTTGCACTGAGCCGAGATCACGAGATCATGCCACTGCACTCCAGTCTGGGCAATAGAATGAGACTCTGTCTCAAAAAAAAAAAAAAAAAAAGGCCTAGTGCATTAGAATGGTTGCTCTATGAGCCCCATGGCTCTGTCAGCATATACTTTATAAATTTATCCTGCTCCCAAGAGTTTGAATGTTTAAACTTCATTTTGTTACACTCTCTAAAATCCCTCTTAATTAGACACATCTGGTATAAAGCAAAGCATCTAGGCAGATAGGAGTGTTTTCTATGTTAGTATGAATTAATCGGGCTAACTTCCCATCTGCTTGATGGAGGTGAATATCCCTGGGAAGAAATGAAGATTTTGATTGAGAGAAAAAAGAAGTCGTTTATTGGTGCATGGGACACTCTGGGAGGTAGTATCCATTTGGATGTCCTGCTGCGGTTGGAGACATGGAACAAAACGAGAGAACAAGCCATTTTGGTTACTGGGGAAAGAGGAACAAGGATGTAGAAAGTTTGGGAGGATAACAAGTCCAACTGCCATCTCCAAACCATTTTTCTTGGCTCATAATGACCCTCAGGGGAGAAAATGTTCTTTTTTCTTTTTCTCTCTCTTCCTGCACACTGTGTGCCTTAAAATTTAAGCTGGTATCAGTAGTAAAATCTAGATATGCTCATGAGTTCAATAAACCATTGGATCTGCGTGGGCTTCAAGCTTAATTTATGACATAGTTTCTTTGGAGAAAGGTATTCTGTTCTAAACAACCAATGTAACAAGCTTCTGGGACACAGTCCATTGGTATATGAGGTGCTGCTCCTATGTGCATTCATTCCACATGCAAAAATGACAATTAAGAGCCACTCCATGAAAGCTCTGGCTTAGACTCACTGGAGCCCTGTGTTTGGTGCTGGTCACTCTATCCATGAAACCATATTTAAACGAACCAGAAGAAAGGTTTAAAAAGATGCCTTGGCAGATCTTTTTGAGCAGTGAATATTCCCCCTGACAATATCTGTTTCCTTCATTTCAGCTTTCGTTTTGGGGGGTAGCTTAAAAAAGTCTTACGGCGGCATCAAGAGCCATCTGTGTTAAGGGCCCTGTGTGAGTGCCTCGGTGCACACGCACGGTTTCTCTTTTGGGCTTTTGTTGACCAGTAAGTCTACCTCGGATACTTATTTTCTTATTTTATTTCCCTTTCTGTGCTGTCACTTTCTTGGTTTTAGTGAAAGAATTAAGCTTTGCCTTTTTTGGATTATTCCAGACATTCTTTTCCTGGCATGCAAATGACTGTTGATGTACTCCAGCAGAGAATAATAAAAGCCTCTATCACCAGTCCAGCGAGTGACATTTAAAGGATATTTGAAAGGTTGTCCAATTCCTTGTCTTGTACCTTACCTAACAAAGGCCATCTGGGAATGAGGTATTTCACATAAGTCCAGTTTCCAGATAGCAGAAATCTAAGGACCAATTTAAAAAATAGAGAATTTTCTTCTCTTCTAAACTTACACTATTCAGCACAGCTTTGGAGAGGTACTTTAATAATCTTTCTATTCTCTAAATGTCCTCTTCCTTGTATTTCTTATATACTGTTCCACCCTTTCAAATCAGTAACCTCAGGGTTAATCACAATCGGAAACTTGCCCCTCACTCCTTTGAATAAAGAGCCTTGTCTTCCTGACAGCCTTTTTAAAAGAGAACTTTTCTAATTACTTATTTCTAAGCAGAATCTTTTAAAATGAGATTTATACAAATGCTGACCCTTTGAATATGCATGGGATTGCTATAGAATTATAAAAACTTAAGCACTATTCGGAATACCATAGATTCTTAGTAAACATTTATGAGTGATGATTGTAGCAAAACACATTGACATGGATTCTTTCTGAAGTTCAAATTAATTTGATGTTTGAAAATTACATTTCTTTCTGGCTTCACTTGCAAAAATTCAAATGCAATTGTACCAGGGTTTCACCCATTGTGAAGAACTGAGAGATTAATGGAAGACAAGAAAAGAAAAAAGAAATATTGGCAACATGAGCTGTGTGCTGGCTCCTTCAGGGGTGGCTTTCCATTCACTTTTCTCTGTTATTTGGTATCACGTGAGAGCCCGAAAAATCCTACGTGTAGATAGATGCTGAGACTCGCACTATCATACTATATAGCTTATAAACAAATCGAAAGTATGAGGCAGTTTAGCCTAGAAACTGTACAGATATTTTAGGGTTGTGTTTGCTTCTGACATTTTTGTCCTTTTATGTTGTGGTACCTAAAAAATGTAGCAACACTGATTTCATATTTGGCTGAATGTGGGCAAATTGTTTTCCGAAATGCAGTCGCATCCTATCTCTTTCATTTGGTACTGGCTCTCACTGCCTTGTATATATATATTAAAAGTTCCTGGAGGCCCTGAAATGGTGCTGTATTAATTTTTATAATTCCCCTAGTGCTTATTACCGTGTCTTTCACGTATTTACTCTATAAATGTTTCTTCAGTGAATGAATTCGTGTTTTGATGATTTAGTGTGTCTGCTCCTTAAATCATAAAAAACATTTAAATTTACTTAAGTATATGTTGATCTGTGTCTGTGAACAGAACAAGAGGAAGGGTCCTGAATAAGTTTGAATTGGTTTAAAAAAAGTTTTAAAAAGAGGAAAAATGTAAAGTAAAAAAAAAAAAATTAAACAATGAAGCTGAAAACAATGAAATGTTTAAGAGAGTCAAAAGAAAAACATAGAAAGAGTAAAATGAAACTAAATCGATTTTCAAGTAAAGGAGTGACTTCCAGAGAAATGCAAGGATGAAAAATGGAAAAATTTAGAGAGTTTAAAAAAAATCCACCAAAGAATAAAAAGCACAGCCGATAGACAAATAAAAACAAATGGAGCTTTTACAAATTTGACTTCACTAAGTAATGGGATTTATTGTTTACCTAGTAGCATACTACTACTTTGGAGGTGAGACTTAAGAAATAAAGCACAGATCTAAACCCACTCATTTAAACCCTGCGGCATGCCACCTTTACTGTCAGGGTTGACAAGAACCCTAAGTCAAAGTTGTGACTTTTTAAGAATGACTATTTTTAGCTGCATATGAGAATAGGAGAAAGTCCATACAGAAATTTTATACTTTCTCTCTCCTCCATGTGCAAGAGCAAAGATCCCATACATTTCTGATATTTTCCTGTTAAGAACAAGTTTACCAACGTTAAGTTTTGATCTTACAAAGGCATTCTCTGTATTTTGGCATTATGGTTCTACTGATATTTATCAGCAAATTGATCATAATTGACTTTCTGATACTCAATGCATTTCAGACTTGCTTCAGTGGTCAGTCACATCCCGGGGCAGCTTCACAGAAGTGCTTGTTCATGTCACTATATTTAAGACTGTGTCAGTATTTCCATTAAGAGACTTTCTCATTCCCTAGGGCTTCTAAATAAGTCGTAAAAAATCAAGCCAAACTCAAAGCTGGCATAAAGGGGTCCTTTTCTTTCTTCTCCTATGTATAAGGAATATAAGCACGTAACTCCCATTAATTCTATATTTAGTTAGGTTTGTAAATGCTTTATACACTGACGAGACCAAATATGATCCATTGATGCTTCTGTGGCCTAAGATTAAAAAGAATTTCAAGAAGTTTTTACTGTCTATGAAAATAACAAGACATTCTAATTAATGAATATGGAAGTGGTTTCTTTTCTCCCTTCTTTTTTTTTTTTGTTAGTTGCAGTTAGTTTTTTCCTTTCTGCCTCCCTACTTTGTTTCTAAAATTAAGAAGGTATTTTTCTGTGTTAAAATTTGTCTTGTTGATGTAACAGAATTTTTACACAGGGTAAATATGTGCTTTCTTCCAGTCCAGAGTTTTGGTACTTTTAATTTTGGAAGCCTGGTTTCTTGTTTTCCATTATAAATGATATCATTTATAATTGTGAGTTTTGAGGAAGTGAAAAAATATAATAATAAATGTGTTCACTTTGCCCAATTTCCTTCACAAAATTTGAATATTTTTCTCAGTTTTCAGTTTAAATGAAGGGTGGTGTGTTTAAATAACAGCTGCGTAATGAACTTTTTCTCTCTTTCCTCTTTGACAGCTTCCGTTACCCAATTTCTCTGTTTCATTGTACTAAAGAAGTAAATAGACAGGGATTTTTGTAAATCCAGCAATCAGCTTTTAAAGGATCTTCCAGATCAATCCCTTATTTTTCAGGTTAGGAAATTGCTTTAACCTCTATACAAGTCCCTGAAAATGTTCACTTTTGGCTATGAGTTTCTCTGTTGCTTGGAGATGTGATCCTGATCCTTTGTACAGTAAGTCTAACGGTTTTTGGCAGCTTCAGGTACTTAAATGACTTTTACTTAAAAAATACTTAAATCATTAGTGTTGAACTTTTGAGAACTTGGAGTATGTGTGTGTGCATTTCTAAAAGTTTCTCTCTTTTAATAGCTAGAGTGGAAAGGTTTTTACACAAGTTGATATTATAAATTGTGGGTTGTAATAGCCATACAGTACCTACGGATCATCTTTGGTTATTATGGGAAATAGAAATGGTTTGCAGAAGATCCCACACCATTAATACTGGTGGCCAAAGGTTTCTGCGGGGTGTGTGTGTGTGTGTGTGTGTGTGTGTGTGTGTGTAGGTAGTAGTAGCAGTAATAGAAATCGAACATAGTTGGAAAAACAAGGTCGCTTTTGAAGACGATCGGTGGCATCTCCCCTCTGCCTTGTACATAACACTGGAGACATTGAAGTTATTACCAGGAAGTGGCCAGAAACAATTTGAGGGATGACAACCCAGTTTGAAAGTGGTTTTGAGGAGATAGATTAGTCTCAGTTTGAAGCAGCAACACCACTCTAATTTTAACAGTTTGGAGTCTTCCCCAAAGTGAGTCAGTAACTGTTTTTCCAAGCCCAGTAGGAGGTGCTACAGGGTGAAATTCACTTTTAGCATTTGCTCAGGTCACACAACCAAACAAAGCAAAGTTGAAGTTTAGACTTCACAGGCTCATGGTTTTGGGCAGCACCTTAGCAGTGGCCATGATTCTCTTAAGCACTTTTTTCATGTCTTCCGGAACTGCTGGACTGCAGATAGGGGTAAAAACTGCCACTTGCCCACTGACTTCAGTACTTTTGAGTATCTTTGACACAGTGATGAAGATGTACATCTTTTACACACTGTGTTCACTTTTTGGTCCTATTACACACACATACACACAATTTTATTTTTTTGTGTGTGTGTTGTTTTTGTTTTAAATGAAAATTTTGATCAGTTTTCATTTAAATAAAGAGAACATTTTTTACAATGTGATTTAGAGAGGAATATTTTAGTAATACAAAATTAAAATGGAAAAACAGAACTCAAATGAAAATGAAACCTTTTAAAATGCTGAAAGGTGGTCAGAGACAACCATTCATAAAGTGATATTTCCAAGAAACAGCTTGCTCCTTAAGTTTTCACATAGTTGCCTGTGTATTAAGAACTGATAGTCCTTTCAGCTGAGCCAGTCTCAGGTGATGGTGAACAAATCTCCCAGTATGGCAGAGACATTTCAAGTAAGAATGCCCTGTTCTGCCAAGACAGTCATGATACTAAAATGTACCCTTTTGCTAAGGGCCAAAATTCAGAGTCTCTCCTCCCAGTTTCTACACTGATGTAGACAACAGATGCACAAAAAGGCAAAGTGGTATGTCACATGGCTTCAGAGCAAGAGGATGGCTATCTGGCAAGGGAGAGAATTCCTTAAATGTTACTGGGGCTTACATTTCTAAACATAAAATTCCTAGCCAGAAGCTATTTGGTGCCAAGTGTCTTTGCTGTGATGCCTGAGCCTAGCAGGAAGCTGGATGGTTGCAATATTGTGGCTGGCTGTTGGAATCCACACAGCCTTTGCTAATTTGCAACCAAGATTGAGTGATATGATTGTTTTCCATTTTTTTCTTATTGTTGTTCTGGTTGCATCTGATCTTGCCATATTTTCTTCTCCTAGAATTCTCTTCTGAGCTGCTAAATCTATCCAGATGGGTCAAGGAGTTTCTTCATAACCTTGTCACTAGTGCAACTGGTCTTGTTTTAGTTTTGACGGTGTCTCCTGGGTTCATTTATTTTAGACCTTTTTAGAAATATGGCACTAATTCATATTTATGCAGCAACCCATGGGGACTCTAGCTTATCTAACTGTGCACTTTTTTTCTTTCAACTGTGTACTTTTTTCTTTCAGAAAATTTTGTATGTATATTTTTTTCTTAAAATGTGCTTGGAAAAGTATAAGCATAAATCATCTGGAATAGTAATTCTCAACTATCTTGAAAGGTGTGCGAGGACTATTTCATGGTTACTATGATTGAAGCAGTAAAATTTAGTTTATAGTTACAATAACTTTCCTCTCATTAGGAAAATATAAAAAAGCTCAACTTTATGATTTCACGACATATTACCAACCCTTAAATTCCATTCTAATCCCCACCCCCTAACACACACAGACTCAGTGAAATGCTCACAGGAAGCTCAGAGAAGAACCGTAGAGGCATATGACCCATCTGTGCTATGTTTGACCTCACGTTGTCTCTCAGATGCTTTCATTAAAATGACAGCATAAAGGTCTGGGTAGAGGCTGGGTTGAAGGAATACACATCAAATGTATATTTTGATTATAGTAAAGTCCCCACTCCTTCAACTGTGATTTGGAAAATGACTTTGTAGGGCCCCAGTTTTCTCTCCAACCAACCTCCTTACCTACACGAAATTATCCACTTGTAGATGAGACCACAGGAAGCTATAATGTGGACAGAGCAGAGAGCAATGCCTTAGAAATCAGCAGCTCTGTGTATTGGCCAGATCTGTTAGCAACTGGGTGTGTGTTTTAAGGCAAGTCCCTTTATTAATCATGGCTTTCGTTCCTTTAGCTGTAAAACGAAGATGTATGACAAGATAATCCATAAGTACCTTACATCTCTGACAGCATGCAATTCTGTGCAATGCACAGAGAGACAAGGAAGCCCACAGTTTATAGAAAGTCATAGCTAAATGCACACCGCAATGTCTCTATTAGAACAGAACTTGGGCTCTGAGCCACAAGACAGGGACATTGCAAAGGAGCATTGGGGAGCATGGCACCAGTAAACCTCCCTGGTGACAGGTAAAGGACTCTGCCCAGTGGGGGTGTTGGGCTCTGACCATGGGGTAGGAGGCCAAGAGGGTAGATGTCACGTGTTTACATCTGGCAATGCTTGCCTTATGTCGTGTGTCATTTTTAGGAGATCTCTCCCAAGATTATAGAAGTATGCTATATTTTAACTTTTCTGATAATTTTTATCAGAAGTATATTTTCTGACATTTTTATTATTTTAAGTACATGTTATATACTTATAATCTACCTACAATTTATTTTTGTAAATTATATGAGATCATGATCAGACTACTTTTTTCTCCACCAAATGAACAGCCAATTGTCCCAACACATTTTACTGAATATTTCTACCTTTCCTTATTGATTTGAAATACTACCCCCATTATATACTGACTTCCTTTATATGTATGCCTATTTCTGGACTCTATTGTATTCTATCAAACTTAAACATATATTAATAGCATGACATTTGATTTCCTTTTTATTTTAAGTTCTGGGATACATGTGCAGGATGTGAAGATTTGTTACATAGGTTAACGTGTGCCGTGGTGGTTTGCTGCACCTGTCAACCCCTCACCTAGGTATTAAGCCCAACATGCTTTAGCTATTTTTCCTGATGCTTTCCCTCCCCTTGATCTCCCCATGACAGGCCCTAGTGTGTGTTGTTACCCTCCCTATGTCCACATGTTCTCATTATTCAGCTCCCACTTATAAGAGAGAACATGCTGTGTTTGGTTTTCTGTTCCTGCATTAGTTTGCCAAGGCTAATGGCTTCCAGCTCCATGCGTGTCCCTGCAAAGGACATTATCGCATTTCTTTTTATGGGTGCATAGTATTCCATGGTGTATATGTACCACATTTCCTTTATCCAGTCTATCATTGATGGGCATTTGGGTTGGTTCCATGTGTTTCCTATTGTGAACAGAATAGCGTACCATTTTCATGAGTGTAGTTTTATTGTCCATTTTGATGTATGACAGGGTATGTCTACTTCCATTTTTTTTTTTCAAAATATTCTCATCTAGGTCCTTGAATTTATTGTTCTAGTAGAACTTTAAGTTTGATAATTCTATTTTAAAAACTCTTGTTAGAAGTTAATTTGGGATTTCATTGACTTTAAATGTTAGTTTGGAGAATATTTTTGTCCATGATATTTATATCAAATCTTCCCACTGAGGGCATGGCAGATTTCTCCATTTATTCTGGTCATCTTTTTAGTTTTTACAGTTTTCCTTACGTAGGGTTGGGATATTTCTCATTAGGTTAATTTCTGGATTTTTATTTGTTGTTCTTATTGTTTCTATTGCAGATGAGTTCTTTTCAATAATAGCTATAATGGATATACGGGAAAGCTGTTGCATTTTGTATATTTTTCTTATATCTAGTTCCATTGTTCAAGTACACAAGTATCTCATCTTCAGATAGTAAGTTTTGTGTATTTACTCTCCTTCTCTTTCCCTTCCTTCCTCTCTCCATTTATTGCATCATGTTGGCCAGGTCCTACAAAACATCATTGACTCACAGCAGTAATAACACACATTAATGAGAATTTGTCTCATATTTTACCATAGAGTATAATGTTTGCAGAAGGTTTCTGGTGTAATCACTTTATTGAGTTAAGGCATTCTCTTTCCATTCCTAGATTATTTAATAAGATATCTCCCCAACCACACACTTAACTGAATAGGTCATTGCATTTACAACAAACTGCTGTATCTATAGTTTTTAAGATTGTCATCTAGTTGTCCTCTTTTAATCTATTTAAGTTATTTACAGTAGTACATTTCCTAATGCTTAATCATCCTTGAATTCTTGGGAAAGTTTTTATTCCATATCAATATAATATTCTTTTAATATATTTCTGGATTCACTTTATTAACATTATTTAATAATTTTGCATCAAAATTCTTAACTGAGATTTGTCTTTAGCTTTCTTTTTTTTTTTCCTAATGGTCTCCTTGCACAGTTTTAGTATTAGAGTTATGTTAGGCTTATTGAATGAGCTGGAATGTATTTTATCTTTTTCTATGCTAGGAAATTTTAAATAAAGTTAGCATTAACTCTTCCTGATGCCTTGAAAGTTTAAAAGAATTCACTTGTGAAAGGATCTTAGCCTGAGATTCCTTGGTTCTCTACTTTTCCTCTTATGTTTCTCATCTTTCTCCTCCATTTTCTGAACAGTTTTAGCTTTATCTTCTAGATTATTATTAATAATTTGGTCTTTAACTTTTCCCCCATTCATACTTTAATCAACTTTTTCTCTCTCTCTCTCTTTTTTTTTTTTTTTTTGAGACTCTGTTGCCCAGGCTGGAGTGCAGTGGCACAATCATAGCTCACATCAGCCTCAAACTCCTGGGCTCAAACAATCCTCCTACCTTGGGCCTCGAGAGTAGCTGGGATTACAGGCATGTGCCACCATGCCCAGCTAATTTTAAAATTTTTTTTGTTGAGATGGGAGTCTTACTATGTTGCCCAGGCTGCTCTCAAACTCATGGCCTCAAGCAGTCCTGCTACCTTGGTCTTCCAAAGTTCTGAGATTGACAGATGGGAGCCAACATGCCTGGCCCTATAAATCAATTTTCCTACTGCAGTTTTTCTTTTAAGTTTGGTGTCTTATTTTTATTCTCCAAGAACATCTTTTTTTTCTTATCACTACTTTGTCATAGCAGCTATGATCCCTGTAGAGATCAGAAGTTACTAGAATCTCTACTCTGTACCTCTTAATGGCCTTAAAGCCTTTTCTAGGAACCCCCCTTAGACAGGTCCCCTAACCTATTTAAAGAGCATTTGTAGCAGCTTTATGCTGCGGTTAGATGACCCAGAAAGCTCTCTGTGGACTCAGAGAGGAAGAAGAGGTATGCCCTAGCTCTTCTGACAGCTGTCTCGTAACTGATAATTTTCTTGATTCCCCTGGTAGGCTACTTATTCTTTGTGAACTGTGCACTTGGAACATCTGTGCCCTGTTGGGAGAAGCAGCTCACACTCTCCACGGTCTTGCCCTCCACCTGTTTTGAGTTGTGGTTCCCAGTTTGGATTTCCCCACCAACTTGATGCCATATGTATTTTCCTTTCCATGAATTTCTCAACTTTTCTGACTTGGCAATGGTACCTTTTATTGTTTTTGAGCCCCATTAAGCATGTATTTGTTTTCAAATTTACATTTTGCAATTTAATGAGATTTCGAGAGAGAAATTAATAAAGCTTATTCAGTACCCCCTCTTAAAGGGTAATTCTATAACACAGACTTTTAGCAAATGATTTTATGGTAAAAGATGTTTTCCTTACTTCTGAGAGTTTTTATGGAGAATTTGCACACATTCAAAGTTAAGCATAGATTCTGAATATCAACGAATAATAAATACAGAGTAACTGTGCACACAATGGAGCAGTGGGAATTGTTGCAACATTCCTGGTAGGTTTCATGTACAAAAACATGATGCATTGTGATAGGTAAGACTTCCTGAACTATGGTGCTTGAATAAAGAGATAAATATAATTTAGTTAAATAAAAAAAGCCATAATTATAATAATATGATATATTATTACTTGGCAGTTGTGCACCTAATCTGTACTGTACTTTTGAAATGTGACTGGAGTCCAAGTGGATACTATTTTACTATGTCGTTAAGCTTGTAGCACACTAGACCTGACTTTTCTTTTTGTCTTTCCAGTGGAAAACTTAGGTTCTTTGAGTGAGGACTCCTGGGATTTTTTAAAGTAAAAACAAGGAGCTAAGAATTCCACTCCTTCTTGCCAATATTTCCTTCAAGCAAAATTATTGATTAATGGAAAATTAAATATCATATGCTTCATATTGCTTTTTTACCCTTTTGTACTTGGGTTATTTTAATAATTTTCGCTAGCGCTACAAATGTAATTGACTAAAATTATACATCAAAATAAAACAAAACCATGGGAGGGAAAAGATTATCATATTTTGAAAACATATCAATAAAGTACATATTTAAATTTGCATATTTGGCTTATTGTGAAAATGTCAAAATAGTTTTGCTTTCCTCTAATACCTTCATTATTATTTCTTCTTTTTCTTCTTCTTCTTCTTAGTAATAATACAGTGTATTGTCTTTGCTTAGCGCTTTAGATTCTTCGTTGGTTTGTTTGACTGTGAATGAGATGACTGAGTATTTCACCATACTTCTATGTCCCTGAGCAGTGGTGAACTGACCACAGAATATTTTTCTGTGAGTTTTCTTTCTTCCTTCAGGAATAAGGTTGATTGTTCATCTGTCACCAGGAGGAAACTATGATGCTTACACAGTAACGAATTTAAAATAAGCCACTGTTCCCAAGATCTTTCCAAGAGCAGCAAGCTTTCAGTGGAGTAACTAATATTTCTAGAGTCCTTTGTTTGCAGGGCACTTATCATCATTGTGTTAGGCAGTCCCTGTTATGCTGCATGGGTCTTTCCCTGAATTATAGAGCTAGTTCTCTGGTTCATCCTTTAAGGTGCTAAAATCACGCTGATGAGGTCGAGTTTTACATGTTATCACTAGTTGATCTCGCCACTGGGCAAAAATCATAAACAGCAAATATCCAGACCTAATTTCTAGCTAACAATTGCAGCATACTCCTCCACCAGGCTTTCCCTGGGAATAGGGGAATTTGAAGGGTTTTCTTTTCCAATGTTTCTGTATATCCTGTTGGAGATGCTGATGGGCAATGTCATCTCCACACACATATTCTACGAACATATTAAGTGAAACCTCTGCAGCTAAGAAGGGCAAGAGAAATGCCAGACGTCCAGCCTGAGATCATGGTACCTACATGGCCAGGAACAGACAGCTTGCATGCAGCAGTCAGGAATGTAGTATGTGGTTTCTGAATTCATTAACAATGTCAAGTTGAAAACTGATGACTACAGTTATAAATCAGAGAACAGTTTTTAATGCATATGTATTAGTTTTCTCTTGCTGCATAACAAATCATCACAAATTTTGTAGCTTTAAACAGCACCCATTTATGAGCCCAAAGTTCTGGAAGTCGGAAGTCTGGCATGGCATAGCTAGGTTCTCTGCTCAGGGTCTCACCAGGATGACATCAAGGTGTCATTCTGGGCTCTAAGAGAGAACCCACGTACAAGCTTATCCAGGCCAATGACACAGCTCATTTCCCTGTGGCTATAGGACTGAGACCCACATTTCCTTGCCTCTCAATTTCTAGAGGCTGCCCAACTCCCTTCCTTGTGGCCTCCTGGCACTTTCAAACCAACACCCACATGTTGAGTCTTTCTCAGGCTTGAACCTCTCTGACTTCTCCCCCTGCCTTCCCCCAGGAAAAAGCTCTGCATTTAAGGGTTCATGTAATTACCTCAAGCCCATCCAGATAATCTTCCTATTTAAGGTCAACTGATTGATCATCTTAATTACATCTGTATAGTTCCTTTTAACATGGAACGTAACATATTCACAGATGTAATACCAGGTTGAAAAGTCATGAGGGCAAAATTCTTCCTACCCCAGCATAGATCATGTGGCAGCGGGATTTGGGTAAGGTTTGGCCCGTACAACCACAAATGTTTAGACAATTAACATTATGATGAGTGTGAGCTTATAAAGTACAAAAAAATGTACCGCTTTAAATGCTTTTGGTATGGCTAATCTATAAATGGAGTAATCAAATCCTGTCTAAGTAAGTTAGTTGAAATTTACATAATTATTTACATATGAGCACAGAAAACACGTGTTCTCTTTATCCATTCAGTCAATCTTGCTTTCCTTAAGGTTACTTGTATTTTATCTCATAACATAAAGTAGGCATTTTCACATGCAGGCCAGCATCAGGCAATTGACAGTGTGCTTTTTTTTTTTTTTGCTTTTTTTTTTTTGAGACAGAGTCTGACTCTGTCACCCAGGCTGAAGTGCAGTGGCATGATCATGACTGACTGCAGCCTCATCCTCCCGGGCTTAGGTGATCCTCCCACCTCAGCCTCCCTAGTAGCCTGACAATGTGCTTCTAAGGTAGCTGGCTAGATTATTCCCCATGGCATGATGAATGTTTATCACACATAATAATGGCTGCTATTTATCAAGCATTTCCTATGTGCCTGGCATTGTGCTATGTGCTACACTTGCATGTATTATTTTAGTTAGTCCTTACAATAACTCTGTGATGTACATATTACTATCCTTATTTTAAGGATGAGGGAACAGACTTAAATAGCAGAATGTGCCCATATAAGCTGAGATGTTGCAGAACCATGATTCGAATTCATATCTGTTTGACTCTAAAACCTTCTTCAGCACTATCTTTTACTTTTTCCCAATCCTGGGAAAAGATGGCAGTTTATTTTTGAGAGATCCTTAGACCTGCTTTTATGTCTTCCTCTACCTTTTTTTCCCACTATGCCCAGAGCAACCTATGTCTTTATGCTATGCCCAGCCCCCAGCCCATCCCATAGGTCCTCTGTCTGCCCTTCGATCTTCTGGAGTAAGTGGTTTTCCATCTGTCAATCGAGAATGGCAGGCTCTCATCTCAGGCAGCTGACGTCAGTAAAGTATGAAAGGAGCACCATCAAAATAGCTTATACCAGGGCATAATAATGACAAAAATAGCTAGGGATCCCTGTGCCAGGCACTGCACTAAGTGCCCTACATGTATTTTCTTACTCAAGCCTCATAATACCCCATGAAGTAGGTACCTTATTATCCTCATTTCCCACAGGGTATTTTGAAGGCAGAATTTCTAAATCTCTGAGGGGATTAACAGTGTGAGAGAGTTTGCAGGGAGAGTCCTTGGCTTCTCCAGGCCATCCTAATCCTTTCCTCATTCTAGAAGATTAGGATCAGCCACGTAGCACCCTCATCTTCAGTAACAACTTTCAGTCTAAAATTTATTTCATCCCTCCTTCGTCTTACTTCAGATCCTTTCTCCCGGAGTGCCACTGTGAGCATTTGAGGCTGGAGAGAATGCCATTAGGACCAAGCCTTCTCTGTAGCACAGGCCGGTGGCATTTTGGTCTTAGAATCCCAGGAGAGAACACTGAACATCTCTGTAGAGAGGAGAGGGACTCCAGCAACATAACACAGTGTCCAGGGCAAAGCAAGCGTCTGCCTGCAGCAATTCTCCTGAGAGCCATGGAGGCCAAAACTATGATAAAGGAAAGTACAGCAATTGCATGGAACAAGGGTTACAGGCTCCTTATTAGTGGGGAGAGCTGCTCCTTTGAAAGGGACAGCAAGTCTGTTAAGAAAACAAGACTGCAGTCAAGTTCCTTCCTATGGCCTAAAGATCTGAGTGGCCTCAGAATGCCAAAGGCAGGAAAGGAAGAGAGACCCTGCCTGGGGTCTAGGGTCCAGGCCCTCAGTCACTGCCCCTGCCTGTAGATTCGACTTACACCCTTTACTTCACATCACTCTGTAAATCCACAGAAAATAAAGTTGCACCTTGATTTTCAGAATAGATACATTCCAAAAACAAAAGGTTTACATCTAATCAAGGTTTAAGGACAGAGCAGACACTTGGTGTTTTAAACTAATCTTGCCATAAATCGTTTTGTTATATGTACAGCATAAGTCAACTTCTGTTTCATAAGTTTAGGTTCTAAGATACTGAGTTTTTCTTACATTTCATGTTAACCAGAAATATCAGCTTCCTTTGGTTGAGTCTGTCATTGTGTCGGCAGTAACGGCTATTAAAATATTGCATCCTGGTTGTAAAATATAACTGAAATCACTGGAAAATATAATACTAAGTGGGCAAACTGTGACTACCATAGTTTCGAAACCACAAAAATGTTGTCTTGATGAGGGAGTACATACTCTGTTTTTGATCACCTTGTATTAATGAAGATTGTTACTTTAAGAGAATAATTAATTTTAAAAAATGTCAAGCGCTTTCTCTAACAATGGGACTCAATGACATTCCTTTAAAACAACTTTCACTTTTAATCTATCATTAAAGCCAAAGGTTTTTTTAAATTTTAAAAGCTTGTCCTTGAACTAAAATAACATGGAACATTTTAAAACATGGCTCCAAGCTGCTCTACATACATTTTATTTAAACCACAGAGACTGCAGTTAGATTTCTCAGTGCCAGACAGACTACAAATTATAACTGTAGCAGAAGCGACTGTGAATTTCTGGATGTTGTAGTACCAGCGAGCCTGGTTGCTTTTTGGAGCTGTTCCTCCCTTTGGGCTCCACTCATGAATGACTTAATCCCTGTGTCAGATCAAATGTCATGCCTGTTGCCATGCAGAGAAAAAGCAAGCAAAGCCTCTTTTTTTTTTTTTTTTTTTTGGTCTTTGCACAAATTTGCTGTACTCGCCTACAGAGGAGCAGGTGAGAAGTAAGAAAAGTCACAAAATAGAAGTTGTAAAGTGAGGCTAGAACACAGTGAAACTCCAAATGTTGAATGTATGATGAAAATATCATCTAAAGCAGAACGCCATTGTTTATCATGGCAAGAAGAGGGCAATAACATCCATGGTATCCACGGTTGAATTGTAAAAATATTTTTACTAAGGTCATTTTTGTACTTACTATTCTGGTATTAGATTAGCAAATCTAATGCCAGATTAGATCTAATAATACCGTATATTGTGTTGCACTGTGTACTGTAGAAAGTACCTGAACATCTGTTATTTTATTTGATCCTCATTATAACTCTATGAGGTAAAAATAAGGATAATTATTCCTGCTTTCATGCAGGGTGGGAGGGAGTGATCATCTCTTGCACAGCTACTTAATGGCAGAGCCAGAAAGAAAATTTAAGTCTCTAAGCTCCTGGTTCAGGCTCTTTCCACTTGATTTTACTGTGTTTTCCATCCTGGTTAAGTCAACTCAAAATAAAAAAATCATTTACGGAATAGAACTCTCTAAAGCAGTCACTCTTAACTTCCTTTTGTACATGGACTGCTTTAAAAATTGGGTAAAAAGCCTTGCATCCTTCTTCAGAAAAATGCACATCCACCCCCTTAAACCCACACAAACACATAGACACTGTTGTGTAGCCCAGATGGCAACAAGGGTATCTCTGATCCTTTTGATCTAAATAGCAATCCCTTAAATACTTGATTGCACACTATGGAAGGTCAGACACTTCTGAAGATTTCTAGAGATGCCCAAGGGCTCCATCTTCTAAGCATATGGTATATTTGGTGCTTGGGTCGTGTTGCCATTCCACATATGTGCTCCCTGTTCCTCATCGCGTGGATTCAGATGTGAAATATACTCCCTTCCTCAAACGCCAGAAGATCCCCACTCTCGGAAAGCTTGTGCACGTGGTACAGTTGAAGGAAGATTCAGAGGGAGTGAAGGAGGACCTTCCATCACAGCAATTCATATGACTTTATTATTGTTGTTTTTTTTTAGAGACAGGGCCTTGCTCTGTCATCCAGGCTGCAGTGCAATGGCATGATCATGGCTCACTGCCACCTTGAGCTCTGGGGCTCAAGCCGTCCCCCCACCTCAGCTTCTCTAGTAGCTAGGACCACAGGCACTCACCACTGCACCTTGCTAACATTTTATTTGTAGAGACGGGGTCTTGTCGTGTTTTGTCTCAAACTCCTGGCCTCAAGAAATCCTCCCACCTCTGCATCCCAAAGTGTTGGGATGACAGGCCTGAGCCACTGTGCCTGGGCACAGCAGTTTATATGATTTCCTACAGAGCACTACTTGTCTTCATTCTTTAGTGCCCTTTGGCCACCCCGACATGGGACTCTTCCTTGCCTGCTTCACCTCCCAGGGTCTCCAGCCTCACAGCACCTCACTGGTTCTACTCTTCCCCCTCCCACCTTTTCCTTTTACCTCCTAATCCCCAGTTGCCTCAAAATCCCATGTTCTTTACCTGTAGTGTAACCCAGGTCTCTCCTGCTTCAACTCCCAAACTCTGTTCCATGCTCAGACCACTTACTGAGATGCTAAGCGAACTTAAGGGGCTTTCTAGGTCCCCTTCACCTTCCTTATAAGGCGTTTGGGACATTAAATGGTAGTGTATTTTCTTCATGCACACCTGTTTATAATTGTAGGAGTTTCAAGGATTCCCTAAAACATCATCCCCCTGGCTTTAGAATCCCATTCGAAGACAGCAATGGGAATGTCTGGGCTTCTTGGATCTGTGAGTTTAGAGCTTTTTTCAGGTTCCTTTTTGGAGCAGAGTTGATGATTAGGGACAGAGCGCTCTTTTGACCACTCCAGAGCTGTATCCAAGCCAGGACAGCTGGTGTGGGGCACCACGGGATCCCATGCTTATGGCCCTGCCCGTCTCCTTCACCTGGCCAATCTAGAAGCAGAGGTTGGTATGGAAACTTCTAGGAAAAAAGAAAACAGGTCAGTTGATCCAACAAAAATCTACCTTGGTTCATGCTTATCAGTCTACCTGCTTCTTGTCCTTTATGGGAAATGATACCTGTTTTATAAGAAAAAGTGAAGGATGAACACAGTTGTTCATGCCTGTAATCCCAGCACCCAAGAGCAGGAGGATTGCTTGAGGCTAGGAGTTCAAGACCAGTCTGGGCAACATACCGAGACCCCATTTCTATTAAAAAAAAAAAAAGAGTTTTAAAAATTAGCTGAGCACGGCGGTGGGCGCCTGTAGTTTCGGCTACTGGGGAGGGATTGAGGCAGCAGGGTCACTTGAGCCCAGGAGTTCGAAGCTGCAGTAAGCTATGACTGTGCGACTGCGCTCCAGCCTGGACAATAAAGCAAGACCCAGAAAAAAAAAGAAAAAAAGAAAGAAAGAAAAGAGAACAAAAGAAAGAAAGAAAAAGGAAGGAAGGAAGGAAGGAAGGAAGGAAGGAAGGAAGGAAAGAAGAGAGAGAGAGAGAAAGAAAGAAAGAAAGAAAGAAAGAAAGAAAGAAAGAAAGAAAGAAAGAAAGAGAAAAGAAAGAAAGAAAGAAGGAAAGAAGGAAAGGAAGAAAGAAAAGAAAAAAGTGACAATTATGAAATAAGAATAGATAATGACATAAAATAGCATTTTAAGAGTAGATAGTGCTTTTAGGAAAGAAATGTTTTAAAATATTAATGTATTTTTAATTTGATTCAAATATGAAGCTATGTTATTCTGAGAGATGCATTCTTTTCCCAGTGATGAAGCTTCTCTTCTTGTTGGTGGTCTGTGACTTTAAAGCACTGTTGCCTGGGATTTATCTCTGTTTCCAGGGTATTCTAGCACATCTAGTTTTATTCATACCTGTGATGGATAGTACAAAAAAATTATTATCATCTTACTTGAAAAGTAATGATATGATTGGGCTAAGATTGAACACGTTTCTAAAGGAAACTCTTGCCAGTCCAATAATATGACTTATAAATATAATTGGTAAGCACAAATGTTTACAAACAAAAACTGGCTGAGCACAGTGGCTTACGGCTGTAATCCCAGCACTTTGAGAGGCCGAGGCAGGCAGATCACTTGAGGTCAGGAGTTTGAGACCAGCCTGGCCAACATGGTGAAACCCCATCTCTACTAAAAATACAAAAATTAGCCCATATGTAGTGACTCATGCCTCTAATCCCAGCTACTTGGAGGCTGAGGCACAAGAATCACTTGAACCTAGGAGGTGGAAGTTGCAGTGAGCCCAGATCATACCACTGCACTCCAGATTGGGTGACAGAGCAAGACTTTATCTCAATCAATCAATAAATAAAAATAAAAAATTAAAAACTAGCAGAAATATGGAGTTAGAGATAGACCAGAAATGGAATTAGACCCATTGCCAATTCTGCAGTTGTGTGGAAAAGGTAGAAATTCTCAAACTGGGAATTGGCCCTGCCCATGCTGCCCCCAGAGGAGGAGTCCCTTCTGGGCCTTAGGCTTTAGCTTACTCTCTGATTGATCTATTGGAGGACATTGGGGAGTGTGTCCCTCTCATGCTAATGCAGAAACTAAAGATGAGCTGGTGAGAGGGGGAATCCAGTCCTTGTGACCAGTCAGTAGTGAATCCAGAATAAGAAGTTACTTTAAACCAGGGATCAAGAATAGGAAGCAAAGTATGTGGCCACAAATCAAGCCCTAGCTCATCTTCAACTTTTTCATTGCAGGACAATTCTAGGAATCTCTGCTTCCACAGGAATGCTATAGGAAACTATGGCATCTCTGAACTTCTGAGGCATCCTCAGGATTCACTATGTCACTATGAAATTTAAGGAACAGCCCACAGAGTGGTTCACTTGTTCATTCTGCCTAGAGAGCCCTTAGAATTGTGCTGTCTGATATGGTAGCCAATAGCCACATGAGGCAACCCAGCATGTGAAATATGACTAGTCCAAATTGAGATATGTTTAAATATATGAGAAAAGAAAGCATGGAAAATATCTCATTGATAATTTCTATACTAATTACATGTTAAAATGATACTATTTTGTATATATTGGGTTAAATAAAATATTTTATTAAAAATACTTTCACTTTTTCTTTCTACTGTAAGTGCATCTACTAGAACATGTTAAATGACTTATGTGGTTTGCATGTAGCTCACATTATAATTCTATTGACAGCACTGCCTTAGAGTCACGGGGCTTCCCAAATGGTGGTGGTGGTGGGAGGAAATTTATGGAAAGGGCTTTTATTATAACTCATATTAAAGAAGAGGCATCGAGAGGGAAGTCAGAGTTTAATTTGGCTTAAAACTGGCTAGTATCCCTTTCATCCCACTCCAGAGGGGCACAGGATCTTCATCTTCAGGAAGCCCTGCTGTCTTCATGGCCACTCACACATGTGGAACAGAGCCACATCCTCAGATCAGCTCACCCTTGTTTTGCTATTGTTACCAGTCCTACCAGAAATCAGTGCGAAGAACTGGTTTGTTCGCCTCATTAAATGTTGACTACCCTACAGTACAGTCATCCCTCTGTATCTTGGGAGGCTTGGTTCCAGGAACTTACCCTACTTCTGCCACCAATACCAAAATCCACAGATGCTCAAGTCTCTTATGTAAAATGGCATAGTATTTGCATGTGACCTGCACGCATCCCCCTGTATCCTTTAAATCATCTCTAGATCACTTATAGTACCTAATACAATGTAAATGCTATGGAAATAGTTGCTATTTTTAATTTGTATTTTTTTGTATTATAAACTGTATTTTTTATCTGTATTTTTTGTTGTATTGTTGTTTATTTATTTACTTTTTTCTTTTGAGACAGAGTCTCGCTTTGTCACCCAGGCTGGAGTGCAGTGGCACAATTTCAGCTCACTGCAACATCCACCTCCCAGATTCAAGTGATTCTCCTGCCTCAGCCTCCCAAGTAGCTGGGATTACAGGCAGCCACCACCATGCCCAGCTAATTTTTTTATCTTTAGTACAGACGGGGTTTCACCATGCTGGCCAGGCTGGTCTCGAACTCCTGACCTCAGGTGATTCACCTGCCTCAGCCTCCCAAAGTGCTAGGATTACAGGCGTGAGCCACTGCACCCAACCGGTATTGCTGCTTTTTATTGTTTATTTTTTTCCAAATATTTTTCGATTCACTGTTGGTTGGATCTGCAGATGCAGACATGGAGTTCCAACTGTATAGATTTGTCTCATTCATCCCTGGTACTCGACATATTATCTGGCAATAGTCGTTTTTTTTTTTTTGAAAAGAAGTCTCGCTCTGTCACCCAGGCTGGAGTGCAGTGGCATCATCCTGGCTCACTGCAACCTCTGCCTCCCGGTTCAAGTGATTCTCTTGCCTCAGCCTCCCAAGTAGCTGAGACTAGAGGCGCACGCCACCACGCTCAGCTAATTTTTTTATTTTAAAGGAGATGGGGTTTCACCATGTTGGTCAGAATGGTCTCGATCTCCTGACCTCGTGATCTGCCCACCTCGGCCTCCCAAAGTGCTGAGATTACAGCCATGAGCAACCGCGCCCGGCCTATAGTCAATTTTTTGATGCATTAAAGAAATAGAAAATGTATAGATGAATAAATGAACAAATACATTAATGGTGCACAATAAACCATTATTAATTTCTGTGGGCTTAGGTATACGGGAGAAGGCCTTGTGATGGTCAGTGAGCTAAACCAGGGAAAAAAAAGTGTGAAGTGAGAAGTAAAGTACTTTTTACAAGGGGTGAGATACTTGCCAGGATGCACCAGTTGTCGCTCTGAGTTCTCTACGGCCAGCATCTCTTGTGATTGTTTGGTGTGAATGCCATACTGGCTGTTAAATATTTCAATATTCTATGGTTGGAAGGATTTCTTAGTTTTTTTTAAATTAAATCAACTAAGAGAAGTAACAGTTTCCTTCTTTAAGAACAAAATGTAGAAGAACGTTATTTAGAAAATGTATAAAGGTTACCATCTCCCACTCTCCCACTATTTTAAGGATACAAAGTTGGCTTTGGTTTAACCTGCTCACTTCTGATAGAATAATGCAGAGACCTGTTTACCTTCATCTACACTTGTGTGACATTAAGTCACTGTACTTTCAAACAGAAGCATTTTTGTTTAGAGGATATAAGCTTCCATTTAGAAAAATATGCTTTTTAAAAAATAAAATTCCCTTAAAAACACAAATGGATTAGCTAGAGGAACATTTCAGTTTGGGTGGAAGGAAAGTTCTATTTTATTTTCATTTTTCTTTGAAATTCAAAACTTATTAAGTTAGCTTTGCAGAATTAACCCATACTTAGTGCCAATAGATGCTAAGTGTTGCCGCCAGTAACTGTCAGAGAGGATGCAGCAGTGTGGACGCAGGGCGGCAAGCCTGGAAGAGGCTGAATTTTTATGTTGCTTTTATTAATACCTCCCCTTTCCACAGCAGTGCTGGGTTCCCGCGTCCTCATGTTGCCTCCTAATTACCCAGGACCACGACCTTGGGCATTACAGACCTGATTTCTTTAAGAGATACCCACACCCACTATTTTTTCCTGGGTTACCTTACCCAAGGCCAACTTCCCAAGTTAGGCACAGTAGCATGGTGCCCAGGACCCATGAAAATATTTCAATTTCGTTTTTTTAATCAAAAGAAAAATGAATGCAATAATAATGAATACATCATAAGCCTGGATTATATGCACCTATAGACCAATGCATTTGTAAAATATCATTTTTAATTTTTTTTATGTAGGAAAGAGTGCACCAAAGCACAAGTACCTAGAGCTGATGAAAGTCATAATGCAGTCCTGATCCCACTTTTTTAACCCCCTGGGGCACATCTTTTTGCTTTCCAAAGGGACTGCTATTTTGTCACCTGACAGTTTAGCATCCTAATAACACGCTGTATGCTAAAGTATTAAATTAATCTCTCCCCATCAGTTCATCAATCTGTTAACAAATAATCATTGAGAATCCTTTCTTCTGTGAGTTGGGGCTGACGCGGTGACCATGACGAACAGTGCTTTGTGGTAGATGAGCATAGAACAAGGAAGTGTGCAAAATGCCACACAGAAATACAGGGTGCATACAGCACGGGACAGAGAGATCTCATCTAAATACATCTTTAAAATATTTAACTGTTATTATATTCTTACAGAGATTCTTTATGGATTTAAGAGCAAGTATAAATATAGATACTTCTTTTCCCCTCTTTTATATCAAAGGTAGGCCATTCAACTCAACAACAAAAAAAGAAACACCTCAATTAAAATGAGCAAAGGGCTTGAATAGACATTTTTCCAAAGAAGATATACAAATAGTTAATAAGCACATGAAAAGATGCTCAGCATTACCAATCATTAGAGAAATGCAGATGAAAACTACAATGATATACCACCTCACACCCACTAGGATGGCTATTATTAAACACACACACACACACACACACACACACACACACAGGAATTAACGAGGGTTGGCAAGGATGGGGAAAAATCAGGACCCTTGAGCACTGCTGGGATTGTAAATGGCACAGCTATGGAAAACAGTATGGTGTTTCTTCAAAAAATTAAAAATAGAGTTGACATATGATCCAGCAATGCACCTTCTGGGTACATACCAGCAAGAGTTAAAGTCAGGGACTGAAACAAATATTTGTATACCCATGTTTGTAGCAGCATTATTTATAACAATCAAAATGTGGAAGCAGCCCAGTTGTCCATCGACAGAAGAATGGACAAACAAAATGTGATATATATATATATATTTGAATATTATTCAGCCTTAAAGAGGAAGGAAATTCTGACACATGCTACAACATAGATATACTTTCAAGACATTGTGCTAAGTGAAATAAGTCAGTCACAGAATGACAAATATGGTATTGTTCCACTTGTATGAGGTACCTAGAATAGTCAAATTCATAGAGACAGAAAAAAAATGGTGGTCACTCAGGGCTGGGGGAGGGAGGAATGAGGAGTGATAGTTTAATGAATATCAAGTTTCAGTCTCGAAGGTGAAAACATTTCTGGAGATGGATAGTGGTAATGGTTGCACAACCATGTGAATGTACTTAATGCCACAGAACTGCACAGTTAAAAATGGTTAAAATGATACATTTTATGTTATGTATATTTTGCCACCATTTTTTAAAGAAAGTCTTCATCAAAACGATTTCAGATCATACAGGCTGCTAATAGGCTAGAATTATTTGTCTTTGATTTGGACTATGATGACTAGTGTATTTATCTCATAGCCAGAAAAAACAATAGTGATAGCCACAGTTGGTACTCTGTCCAGATACTAACAATAAAAAATTACTTTGTTTTACCTTTTTTAAAAAGGTAGCATATGGCTGGACATGGTGGCTTACACTTGTATTCTCAGAACTCTGGGAGGCCGAAGTGATAGGATTGCTTGGGGCCATGAGTTCAAGACCAGCCTGGGCACCATAGTGAGACTTTGTCTCCACAAAAAATTTAAAAATCAGCCAGGCATGGTGGTGCACACCTGTAGTCCCAGCTACTCAGGAGGCTGAGGCAGTAGGATCGCTTGAGCCCAGAAGTTTGAGTCTGCACTGAGGTATGACCGTGCCACTGCACTCCAGCTTGGGTGACAGAGTAAGACTCACTCTGTATAAAACAAACAAACAAAAAAAACAGATATATATCCCTTTACTTTGAGATTTTAAATTTAATAATGTATGCTAGAGATGTTTCCATAATAGCACATGGAGAGTATTCACATTCTTTTTTTTACAGCTGTGTAGCATTCAATCCCAATTCCAAGTAGCTCTCTGTAGGCCCGGAATCTGTTTGCACTCAACTAAGGATGAGAATCCTTGTTTTCTTACAGCCTGTAGATGCAGTGTCATTAAACTCATTAATTATTTTATCCATCTGATTGGTGAAGAATGAGTCTGAGCACCTCTGTATGTTTAAGGGCCATTCATAATTCCATTTTCCTGTGTGCACATATTCATATTTCTTTTGATACGGACTCTGATGGATAATGTTTTATTAATTTGAACAGCTCTTTATGGAGGGAGATGAGCCTGTAATATTCATTAACAAATATTTTGCCCAAATTAGTTATATATCATTGTATATATTTATTTTAATAAAGATTTTTTCCTTATGTAGCCATTTTGAAATGTAATTACACTGATTATTTTTTATAGCTTCTAGAATTTAAGTGATAGCGAGAACTTCCTCATTTTAAAACTTTAAAGGGAGTATTGCAAGTTTTCTTCAAGGATTTCTATGGTCTCAATTTTCACTTCACATCTTTCATCAATTTGGAATATCTTCGTTTGAGGTATAGTATAATATGGTGTGACAAAAATGTCCAACTTTATTTTTTTCCACAGTTACCCAGTTATTCTAACACCATTTATTGCCCAGTCTTTCTTGTCCTCCCTAATTGGAAATACCATATTTTAAATTGAGTTGGTCTTGTCTTTCTATTCTCTTCTATTAATTTTTCTTTGGTCTTGTCTTTCTATTCTCTTCTATTAATTTTTCTTTTTACTCATGTTTCTGTCCTATCCTGTTTTAATTATGGAGGTTTTAGGATATGTTTAATGTCTGGTTGTGCTTATTCTTCCTCATTGTTCTTTTTTCACAGTTTTTCTAGCCAGTCTTAGCTTATTTTTGCATATTAACTTTAGGGACAACTTGTCTATTTAAAAAATGCTTTTGTTACTTTTAATGAAATTGTGTTACATTTACAAAGTAATTATAGAAAAATCAATATTTCTAGGATGTAGAATCCTCTTATCCAAACACTTGGTATGTCTGTTCATGTCCTCTTATGTCACTTTTAACAGTGTTTTAAGATGTTCTAAATTGGCCTTGAACACTTCTTATAAAATTATCCCTATGCATTTTATCTGTTTGTTTTATTGTTATAAGCAGGTCCTTTCTTCCATCGCATTTTCTAACTGCTTTTTATATAAGAAAGCCATACATTTCTATATATTAATATTGTATTCTGCTACCATCATAAATTTGCTTATCATTTTGGTAGTCTTTTAGTTTATTTTTCTGTGTTTTCTTGTATTTTGCTACCATCATAAATTTGCTGATCATTTTGGTAGTCTTTTTTTGGATACAGAGTCTCGCTCTGTTGCCCAGGCTGGAGGGCAATGGTACAATCTGGGCTCACTGAAACCTCCATCTCCTGGGTTCAAGCGATTCTCCTGCCTCAGCCTCCTGAGTAGTTGGGATTATAGGTGCACGCCACCATGCCTGGATAATTTTTGTATTTTTTAGTAGAGATGGGGTTTCACCATGTTGGCCAGGCTGGTCATGAACTCCTGACCTCAAGTGATCCGCCCGCTACGGCCTCCCAAAGTGTTGGGATTACAGGTATGAGCCACCAAGCCCTGCCAACTTGGAAGTCTTTTAGTTGATTTTTCTGTGTTTTCTAGCAGTACAATCATATTTGCAAAGAGTGATGATTTTACCACCTCTTTTATTTTTTTTTTCCATAGATGTCTTTCTCTAGCTTATTGCATTGAATTTTACTTCCATTGACCTTAGTGGTGTTATGTAAGTTGCTGGCCTTCAGGTTTCAATCAATGCCTGCTCATATTATGGTTTTAGACTTTGAGGACCTGGGTTCCAATTTTTCTCTCTGCCAATCACTGAAAAACATTAGGTGAAACATTTAATTTCTCTGATTTACATTCATCTCTATAAAATGAAGGCAATACAAATACCCACCTCCCAGGGCTGTTTCAAGGTTCCAATATGATAACGATGGAGAAAGCACTTGGTAAACTGTGCTATATAAGAGTTCCTTGTTATTCCTTTTTCCTCCTACAGAGAATGCTCTTCTATGGCACTCTTTTAGGAATTAAAAAACTGGACTTCCCTTTGTGGTCCTGCGCCTTTTTGTAATTCCATTTTCTACATATACTCCAAGGCTGGAAAGAAAAAGTGTTTTTTGAACGATGAGCAAATTCCTTTGCTGACATTTAACCAAAATGTATTCCAAACCTGAAGCTTTTCGGAAGCCTAAGAAAATGTTGGTCACCTTCTTGTAAAAAAGTGAAATAAAAAATGTTTATGTACCTCAGAACTTCCTGACTGAGCTGGAAGTGAGTGCACTGGCATGTTGTTATTTTGTGGTGTTTCAGTTCTGGGAAAAATGAAACCAGAAAATATAGGAGATTTTTCAAGATTTTTTGTTGTGAAAATCTTTCCTTTCCCCCGCCCACCCCTCCACTTTGGTTAACATTGAGAAGGCCATAGAAGTTTGATTCAGCTGTAAGTCTTCTGCAAACTAATTCTGATCTGCGATCCTGCATTAAATTTCCTTCTCTTTCCTTCTCTTGCATTAAATTTGGTAGAGAATGAACTACATGTTTAGAGATAGGACAGTGGTTCTTCTTTCACCCTTAGACACAACACTGCCTCCTGATAGCCTTGACTGAATATATAATAACTTCGGTATGTAGGATGTTTGTATTCCTTTTGAAAAATGAGCTTCCATAACTAGTTTCTGTGCAGAGTTTTGTGTCCTGCTCCAATCTGATAAAATTTGCAAATTTGCTTTTCCTTTTTAAGAAACCACCAGCAAGTGGCTTCACTCCTTCAAGGGTTTTTAGTTACATATCAACTGCCCCCACCCTGCACCTCCCATGCAGGCATCTAGCTTGAAAAGTAATATGTGTGGTCATTGGTATGTCCCTGTGTCTCCTAATACCACTAACCTTCGTATTTAGACAGCTCTCTCTCTTAGGACCTCGTATCCAGCTGGGAAAGTTGTTTTTCCAGCAGCAGCCTTTTCCCTTGGCTTCCTGGCCTATCAGTGGCTTTGGGAGATGCTTTTGGCTTTGTCCGTGCCTGGCTTCAGAAGAGAGTTTTGTACTCCCTCATTTTCCTGGATTCAGTTCTACAGCTAACTTTGAATAGAAGGAATTTGCCCTTTGTGGAAGGAGTGGAGATCAGTTTTGCATTGAAAGCTAATGAGGTCTTAATGTATTCTCTCCTGGAGATTGGTAGGAGGAGGACATTCTAGTCTCCAGACAGGCTGTGGATTAGCTTACTGACCTTAAAGGAAAGCATATTTGAAAACATATTCCTTCTTTTTGTGTGTGTGTTTGTGTGTGTATATATATACACATGTACATTTGAAAACATTCCTTCTTTGTGTATATATATATATATATATACACACACACACACACAAAATAACTGTAAACTTATTTTTATATTATGTATATTTATATTATAATTTATATATAATATATAATTCTCTATATAATATAATATAATATAAATATGTCATATACAATATAAATATAAATTAATATATTTATACAATATAAAATAACATATTAATATATTAGTATATAATATATAAATATATTATTATTTTAATATTAATTATTTTTAATATTAAAAACAATAATTTTATATTATATATACATTTATACATTATTTTATATCTATATATCTAAATAAACATACAAAGATATTAAATATAATATATCTTTTATATATTATATTATATATTTATACACCTTTTATATATAATTTTAATCTTTTATATACTTATGTATTTTATATATATTATCTATAGTAAAACCTGTTATATTTTATAATTTTATACATATATATATATATATATAAAATCATCTTTTGTGACTCTCAAAGCTCAAACATAATGAGATAAAATCACGTGAGAATGCGCTGCGTGCCGTGATGTGCACCGCTTCAGTTCTTTAGAGGGAAAGTCCTTTGAAAACCCTTGTTTATTAAAACGTTACGTAGCAATTGTTCCAACAGTAGCAGTGTCATCACTTACGTTAACTAACTTCACAGAGTGCTTATCAAAGCAGATTTAGTAAATTAGAATAAAAGTCAAAATAGAAACAATTAAGTGAATCCATTAAAAACTTAACCCCTTTGTAGACATAGCCTGAACTGCTAGAGGCATCCAGCCTAGGAAATTATTTGTGGCTACTTTAACAGACCACTACTCCAAATGAAGGGCTTCATCCCTAAGTTTATTCAATAATAAAATAGGTATATACACCTACTATGTACCCACAAAAATTAAAATTTTTTAAAAAAATTACAGAACAGGAGTCAGGGAAGACAATGTGTTAATTTTGGTAGGGGAAAACATTTTATTATTGTATAAATTAAAATGAACAACCTAGAAAATGAGAGTATGTGTTTAGTGGATGATTTTTCTCGCTAAGTAAACTTCAGAGGACACAAACCACCTTCCTCTTGTTCACTACTGTATTACTAGCTGTTAACGAAATGCAATGAAAATCTGTTGATTGATCGGTTTATTGATCGATCACTAGGGAGTATAATAAGTACTTCCACCTTTGAAACACTCTTAGTTTAAAGAGGAAAGTATGTCTATCTTTTGTTATGTAGATATAACAGCAAGCAAAGAAAGCATGAAGGGCCAGAATCGATTCTTGGGTAATGAGGAACAGGCTCTATTCAGCAGAAATGGTTTACATTATTCCAAAAGCACAATTTTGCATTTAGTGTAAGATACAGTGGTAAAACATTGAGCTTTTGATTTTTACCGATAGTGTAAACATTACTCCAAGATGTAGTCTCTGGAAATAATTTAGGTAACTCTTATTTTTATATGCATGTTCTGTTCTGGAGACTTGTTGCAAAAATTGATGGAAAGTTATTTTGTTTAAGTGACAGTTTGTTTACAGAAATTCCTTGAAATCTTGATGGTTATTGAAAAGACTGAAATAAATGTTGCCTGAAACTGCCTGCTTTAGGGCTACTCCACACCTTCCAAAGTAATACCATACTTTGTTAGTAAATCATCTAAAATCCATAAAGGTCATGGAGACTGCTCCCTTTGTAAAATGAAATATTTATGTTTCAATCCCAAAAACATATTGTGAATCATTTTGTTGTTTTAAGTTGAGGGTACATAGTAAATTATTCCAGAATTATGGAGGCCAAATGTCATTCCCTCCAAAAGTTTGTGTAATATCTATTTATCTGCGGGCAGATGACTGCTCTGTATAATCAGAGGCAGACTTTGTCACGTTAAGTCTAAGTAAACACAGCTGAACATAAGCAAGTTGGACTACAAGGTTTTTCTGAGCTTTGCCAATAGCATATGACCTTGGAGAATGCTGAATTCTTACTACAATCTGCTTTCAATGGAAAGAAGAATTTTTTTGTTTCAAATTAACAAGTGATGATTAGAAGCTTGTTATGTTCTAATTTTTAGCTGCAAGACAAATGACCGTCACACATGCACCCCAAAGACCATCTTTCTGAGGGAGTTAATCCCATGTTAGGGAGCTGAATTGAAACTGGGAAGGCGCGTGTGGAAGCCAATTAAATGGAGTCTCTTTCTATAAGAAAGCCTTTTTTGTTGTTGTTTATTTGTATTTTGTGGGTTTTTAAAAACAATTTTTTGTCTTTGTGCCATTTCAACAGATTACAACTGTGGTTCCATATGCCAATAGCAAGTGAACGTTATTGACGTATTCGTTCTTCATGAAGCATCTGTCCTCCATAGGAAAGGAGCTTTGTGTTGTCATTAACTTTTGGTTTTCAATAGAAATTCTCATTAACTTCTTTGCACTTTCCACAAGTCCCTTTTTTCTTCTCCTTTTCTTTTTAACATACATGTTTCTTTTCAGTCACTGAATAACTCCTTCTTTTAGTCTAGTATGAAGTCCAATATTAAATTTTTAAGGGCACCTTGTGGCTAAAATAAAACTCCTATTAAATATTTCATGTCAAAAGGTGGGACTTTAAGTGAGAACTTTGGTAAAAGATGGATTAGTAGAGATTTGCCTTGAGACTTCTAGCTTTTCAATATTCTCTGACTGGCTGCTCGCCAGACAGATCCTCTGTTCTTTCTGTTTCTTCGCTTAAGGAAACTATTACTTTCTGCTTCACCCTTTGGGTGTACATTTCTTTCTGAGAGTAAATAGAGTATGGATTAAGGATGTGTGACTAATAAATATTTTTAAATAATTCATCTTTCAAGACTGGTATTTTACACTTTTTTAAAATCACATGTTGAATAATATTAGCTGAGCATATGGAAAAATATTTAGATATATGTGGTAAGATATTATACTGTGGTTAGATTTATATAAAACTCTTATTGATTGATTGATTTACATACCTCTTTTTTTTTCTATATGCGACTGACTTTCCACATTAAAAGGAATGCATTGAGGAGAAAATATCAAAACACCCTGTCTTTCCAAATATGTTGCTAAGTAATTTCGCATCGCGGTTTTCTTTTTGCAAAAAGCTGCATCAGACATCTCTGAGTACATCAACAGCTACACAGGAAGGTCCTGAAAACACCACATACTCTCAACACATCCAAATCAAACACTTTATGTCCTGCGTCCTTCAAAGTGAAGCTTGGCCTTCTTCCTTGCCCCCCTTCCTCAGACAATGCCGTTGCCGACCACCCAGTCACCCAAGGCAGAAATCTGAGAAACATTTCAGACTCCCAGCTCCCACTCCCCCAACTCCATGTGGTCATTCCAGAAGTCTCTCCTGTAAATATCTCTCGAATTTTGCCTTTCCATCCCCCCTGCTACTCCCTTAATCCCCAGGACTCCTCGCATCTCCCCTGGGCTCCTGCCATGATCCCGCCTGGCTCCTTCAATCTGGTCTTCCACCAGGGCGAGAGGAATCTTTCCAACATCCAAATCTGATCCTATTATTTCAATATTAGTGAGTGACTCCCCATGCCTGTCAGGATAGAGTTCACTTTCCTTATCTTGGCACACAGAACCACAAACCCCTCAATGCCTGGTCTCTGCTGATCTCTCTCGGTTCATTTTCCAGCTGCCCTTTCATATTCTCCATTTATTTCAGCTCAAACAAAAACTCAAACACTTTCCCAGAGGAGTCAAGACATTGCACTTTCATACAGCTCATCCCTCTCCTTGGGCTGCTTCTCTCCATCTGTTCATCTCAGTAACTCCTGTTCACCTTGACCTCAGGCTGAGGCATTCCAATCTTTTCCATGTCTTGGCACTCAGATAATGATAACCTTGGTTGGGCACACTGGCAAGACCAGGACAGGCTGCCTGCTGCTGGAAGCAATTGCTTGGGGTCTCTTCCCTGCTGCCCCACTGGTATCATCTTCTTTAGAGCAATTTTCATGACCACTGCCTCCTTATCCCTGCCATTGCTCCAACCCCCCTCTGTTCCCACCATACTTACTACAATGAGCTATACCATTCGTTCACCACAAAGTGAGCTTCTTTGTAATGAGATCCATTTGCAATTTGTATTTTGAGGGCCTGTCACAGTGCCTGGTGTACAGCACACATTCAGTAAATGTTTGCTGAATAAACCAATGAACCTGTGAATAAGTAAACAAAGACAACATGGAGAAGAGCAAATTCTGTTACACTTGAAATGAGAAGATCTGACTTCCAGTGCTAGCCCTATTGTTGACTAACAATTTGGCCTTGGACCTGTCAGTGGGCTTCTCTGAGGCTCAATTTCCACATTATAAATTGGGGATTGTTTTGAAAATAATGGAAGTGTGCACAAATAAGAAATGAGATAAATTGCAGGTTTATGACTTGCAAAATGCTCACTAAATACTGTTATTATCATCACAGGTTGTATTAAGGTGTCCTGGCCCTTTATTATATCAAAAAGGGGGAGAAAGAGGCAACATTCTGCATGCAAAGTATAGTTTTCCATACAACACTCACAAAAAGATAATTTTGTTCTCATTTGAATAATTTCAGATACATTGTAATGTGATTACACATTCCCTATCTAAGTGCCAGGCATCCAAGGATGGCAACAATAATTCCAAGGAAAATTGAATATTCTTCCCATTCAGCAAGGCAGGGGGAAGAAGTTTTGGGATTGTCAGCCTATTTGTAAAATACCAGGAGTATTTGAAAACATATATACATTCTTGCACCAGTAAATCTGAGAATTTGAGAATACCAAGTATACTGGTTAAGAATGAAGCAGTGATACAATTTAAGTCTTTTAGGTAACACGTGGTTACTTTGTGAAAAGTTGTGAAAAGGATGGGTATAACAGTTAGATCCTCACAGAAAATTCTTACCAACAGATTAGAGAAGTAGCTTTTAAAAATTGGGAATTTCCAAAGGTGTCACCTACATTCAAATGCCATACTCTTCTTGAGTAAGAACCTTTACATTTAAAACTTGTCTCCAAGCCATTAAGAGTAAAACACTGTCACATACCTATATGATTGAGTGGGTGATATACGTAGGATGCTAGTTCATGCACCAGCTCTAAAAGAGAACAGCAGAAGACTAGCTGCTGACATAATTTTGGAATTAGCCTTGGTATGCACGTTCTCACTCTCGGTGAAGATTCCATCCTAATGTTTTGCATATTATGGCTACTAACCAATTTAAGTGACCTTCTCCAAGGAGTCTCTAAAACTGGAAACTTTGTAATATGCAGCTTGTGCTCTTTTGAGAATTTTCCACACTCAAGCATCAATCATAGACATAACATAACTGCCCTTGACCCAGCTTAGGCAATTCAAATACAAAAACTATTCTGGATTGTTGCATTACTTGTTTTCTGATCCATTTCAAGGTAAATCTTAAAAGTGTGCTGTCTCTACAAAAACAATGTTTGCAGTTGTGGAGTAATTATTGCTGCAGCTCATTGAATGTTATTGGGTACCCGTGTCTGACAGTGACTATTCCTAATTTTCACGAGAGTACCAATTGTTTGCTACTCTTATATCTATTTCACAGATGAGCAGAAAAAATAAGACTCAGAGAGATTAAGTAACTTGCCCCAAACCTTTTTGAATAAAATCCCAGCACAACTGGGATTCAAACCCCAATATCGGAGGTCCCAAATCTATTATCTTTCCAGTGTAACTTACCGTTTGAGGAATAGAGTGTGGTTAAGTTTGTACTGATTAGCAGTAAACAAGGGTGTTTAATTCAAGATAAGCAACAACAACAAAAAAGGCATGAATCCTACAAGAAAGCCGCTTTAGGAATTCAAATAGCTAATAGGTTATTATTTTTCTCTGTGTCTTTATAACTACTAAAGTTAGCATGGAATTTCCATTTGAATACTTCTTCAATTAATCATAAACTCCCAGTTCTAAAGTAACCTTTTGATACATGCTTCCAGCCCTTGTCCCACACAGCTCTCATTACCCTTTTCTTCTTCAGTATAAAAATAATCATCTTTTTCCAACTCTGGCCCACTTTCTGTTTTTTCTATTCTCTTTATTATCATTATGATTAGTCACGTGAATAATTAATTAAATGCATTTTTACCTTTAGTAGGGCCCTTCCTCATCCCTTATCTCTCCTGTCTTTATTCTTCTCCATGAGCTCCTAAAAGTCAACATAAATATAGATTCCTTGCTCCTTTCACATTGGAAGTATTTTTCATTTTATGTGCATCTTCCTGTCCAAATAAGAGTCTATATACTAAGTTGCCTAACAAACCATCTATCTTGTAGGATGATTTTTATAAACCTCCTAAATTAAGCTGAAAATTGGCTGGATAATAGAACTGGTTACTGAGTGCATGGAAAATATGAGATTTTTTTTTTTTTCTGTTAAGCCTTACTGAGCATCTCTCCTTTCCTGTCTCCTATTCTTGTCTTATACTGTGGGCGGTGTAATTAACATTGCCCAGAGGCCTGCGACAGTGGCTCACTTCTTCGTGTGTGTTGTGTCATGCCTTGTTTTCAGCTTCCACTGTGGGTGGCCTGGGAAGGAGCGTTTCTCCTTCTATGTTCAGTAGATGTCTTCTGCTCCCTTGGGTTCGGACTCATGTGCAAACCACATGTAATGCAGACAGTGGCACGCTACTGCTGGCCATTAACTGGGAGGGGTCTAACTGGGTAGACATTGAAAATAATAGAGGATGTCAGGAGCAATGGTGCTGGGACACATTTTGAGGCTCAGAGGTCCTCACAGTTCCTGGTTTCTTGTGAGAAACCATTCTGCCCTTGAATGCAAGGCTGGGCTATAACAATTACTCTTGCTTCCACCTTCTGAGTGGTGGAAAAGTAACTAGAACTACCACACACCTGCAGGAGCTTGGGACTCTTGCAAGGAATGGAGGGTTTTCCTGGCTGCTGTTAAAAAAAAAAAAAAAGGCAATTTGTTTGTGCTTTTATGATGAAAATATGTAGTCTGTTTACTCTTGTGTACGAGTGCCAGGCTTTTTTGTATGATACTTTGATTCAAGGCAGTAACTACTATCTGTTTCTCATTGCTCATTCACCATCTAGTTCTGGATGCCTGGAGAGAATTTAGAATTGGGAGATTAAATTTTTTTTTTTTTTTTTGAGACAGAGTCTCGCTCTGTCGCCCAGGCTGGAGTGCAGTGGCACGATCTCGGCTCACTGCAAGCTCTGCCTTCTGGGTTCACGCCATTCTCCTGCTTCAGCCTCCCGAGTAGCTGGGACTACAGGCGCCCGCCACACACTCGGCTAATTTATATATATATATATATTTTTTTTTTTTAGTAGAGACGGGGTTTCGCTGTGTTAGCCAGGATGGTCTCGATCTCCTGACCTCGTGATCCGCCTGCCTCAGCCTCCCAAAGTGCTGGGATTACAGGCGTGAGCCACCGTGCCCAGCCTGGGGATTTAATTTTTAAAGCACTTTGGAGTATGTGTAGTATATTCCAAAACCAAACCCAAAAAGTATAGATAAATGGATCTGGTTTGTTCTGGAAATGTCATGTTTGCTTCCTTTTCTCTTTTGCACAGCTTTCTGCCTTTCCCTCTATTTCTGTTGTTTATTTTAAAACTGGTAAGAGTATGTTAGTGGTTGTTAAAATATTACATTTCTCTCTATAATTGTATTAGTCCATTTTCATGCTGCTGATAAAGACATACCCAAGACTGGGTGATTTATCAAGAAAAAGAGGTTTAATGGACTCCCAGTTCCACGTGGCTGGAGAGGCCTCACAATCATGGCAAAAGGCAAAAGGCACATTTTCATGGCAGCAGGCAAAAGAAGATGAGAGCCAAGCAAAAGGGGAAACCCCTTGTGAAATCATCAGATTTCATGAGACTTATTCACTACCATGAGAACAGTATGGAAAAGACCTGTCCCCATGATTCAATTACCTCCCACCAGGTCCCTCTCACTGCACATGGGAATTGTGGGAGCTACAATTCAAGATGAGATTTGGGTGGGGACACAGCCAAACCATAACAGTCATCAAAAGATATAACAAAGAGTAGAAAAGATGAGAAAAAGCAGAAAATTGCTTTTAATCCCCCAGAAGTATTACATTCATTGGCCATTTCTCTAAATCAGTAACTTTTAGTGACTAAAACAAATATGTTTTCTTTTTTATTTATAGGTGTCTTATTTACTTATAACCATATGTGACATCAGTAACACAGTATGTATGGTCGTTTGGCATTTAAATTCATTTAAATCATATGAACATGCCATTCTTTTGTACTTAAATTTCCATGAAATGGCCTTGCAAAAACTTTTCTGTGTATTATACTTGTTCTTGCCTTTTCCTGGTAATTATTCAGTTCTTGTTTGGGGGTATTTTTAAACCTAAGATCATCATGGTGTTTGTTCTCTCTCTCTTTCCCTTTCTTTCTTTATAGTTTCTTTGATTCATGCTTAAGTACTGTAGTTTGAATGCCTGGTGATGCCTACAGAAATACCTCTCCTGCATATTACACTTCTTAACTCTGTAGTATAGATCCTTATTGTTTTAGACCTGCTATGTTTAATTTTTGGCCATTGGGAGGAGTGGTCTCAGCATAGAATGACCCCACAGGCTCTGGGGGAGGCACAAGCCCAGCTCATCTCTCAGCACACACACAGCCAAGAGTTGTTCTCAGATCTCAAGCTCTGTCCCTAGACATATAGGTGGCTTTCAGATGGCCACCGTTAGCAGTTTAGTCCTCTTCAGCCCTATGGTTCCAGAAGCTGATGCTATGACATTCTGTGGCTGTTCAAAAGCAAAGCCATGAGAAGGCCTAGATAGGATCCTCTCTATCCTCCATCACAATTCAATCCAGGATCCTAACCTCTGTGCTCTGCCTCAGTCGTTTTGGTTGAGCAGTGGCCAAGCTGTTCGCCTGGTGGATCTCTACCCTAGTCCCTGTTCCTCTTTAGAGACCATGTAGCTCCAGCTACCTCGCAGGGCTGACCTAGAAATAACAGACTAAAAATAACCAAATACTCTGTTCATAAAACCTCATCACTATGTCAGTGTATAATAAAACAATGCTCTGTTCTTTTTGAGGCAGGCCTGAATAAAATATTCCAAGAGCAGCAGAAACTAAGTTCACTTTAGTTTATAAAAGCTTATTATCCTACCCTAGAAAGAAATTCTATGTTAGGTTGAATAATTAGTTTCTGATGATTCCATGTGGAATACTATTTGTCACCTTCCTTTCCCAAAGGAAAGATTAAGAAAAAAGTCAAAGACTTATAAAAATAAAAGGCCCTACCAGCACAACAATTTTGCACTGGGCCACATGTTTATTTTCAAAACAGAAAACACAGATCTCATAACAGTATGTCATTACCATGGCTATTCCAGTTAGAAGAAGGAGGGTGATTTGCATATTCTGAAGTATCTTGTAATATATTACAATGAAAATCTTGAATTCCTTTGTTCTCAAGTTTGTATTAGTAATAATTCTCCCAGATTTATATGTCATAGCCTAGCAAAAATTGTAAGAACTGGGCAAAAGAAATGCAAGTAAACTGAGATGTTTTACCACCTCACCTGACAAAAAGAATTTTTAGAGGTATTATATCCATATTTAAGCAAAGATAGACAATAAATAGTATTTTTGAAGCTGGAGTTACCAATTTCTGGGCGATATTTTCTTATAAAAGTGTTATATCTGCTATTCATATTTAATTAGAATCAAGAACTTGGTTTATTAAAACAGGATTACCATTCAACACAGCAATCCCATTAGTGGGTATATAGCCAAAGGAAAATAAATCATTCGACCAAAAAGACACATGCATTTGTATATTCATCGCAGCACTATTCACAATACCAAACACATTAAATAACCCAGATGTCCATCAAGAGTGGATTGGATAAAGAAAGTGAGGTACATATACACCATGGAACACTACACAGTCATAAAAAAGAATTAAGTTATAACCTTTGCAGCCACATGGATGCAGCTGAAGGCCATCATCCTAAGCAAATTAACACAGGAAGAAAAAATCAAATACCACATGTTCTCATTTATAAATTAGAGCTAAGCATTGAGTACACATAGACACAAAGAAGGAAACCATAAGCACTGGAGACTCCAAAAGGGTGGAGAGAGGGAGAGCAAAAGCTAAAAAGCTGCCTATCGGGTACTGTGCTCACTACTGAGTTTCAGGATCCTTCATACCCCAAACCTCAGCATCACACAATATACCTGTGTAACAAACCTGCATATGTACCTCCTGAATTTAAAATAGTAGTTGAAATTATTACAAAAAAAAATCTTGGTTCATTCGATACAGGCGTAAGATGGCTAGTTGGCCCTTACTGGAATATTAGAAATCCAATAATATATATATATTTTTACTATGACAAGGTAATAGTGCCTTGTGCTGCTATACCGTAGTGAACACCAGGAATTCCAGCATGGTTATTTACTAAAACAGTCCATTTTGAATGGCCCACACCATAGTTCTCATAGGGTAGCCCCTTCACCCTCAACATCGGAACACCTGAGGAGCTTGTTCAAGTGCCATAGCTATTACCTACCTGAACACAATCTCAGAGATGGGATCCAGGAACCTTCCCCTTTGAAGACTTCCCCAGACAATTTCATTCTCTTCTCTAGAGCATCCTAAGAAAATAAGTAAGAGGCCTATATTTTTCCATTCTCACATGGCTATAAAGATACTACCTGAGACTGGGTCATTTATAAACAAAGGAGGTTTGATTTACTCACAGTTCTGTGTAGCTGGGGAGGCCTCGGGAAATGTACAATCATGGCGGAAGGAGAAGCAGGCACCTTCTTCACAAGGCAGCAGGAGAGAGAAAAGTGAGCAAGAGCAGGGAAAATTGCCTTATAAAACCATCAGCTCTCATGAGAGTTCCCTCACTATCATGAGAACAGCATGGGGGAAACCACCCCATGATCTGATCACCTCTCACTGGGTCCCTCCCTCGACATGTGGGGATTACAATTCAAGATGAGATTTGAGGACACAGGCAAACCATATCAAGGCCTAAGGTATGACAGGAGAGACCCAGTAGGGGGCTTAGTACCTTTATGGAGCTTGGAGTGGCCCCTTGGCTAACAAAGGATGATTTGCACCCTGACTTCTTCAAGTCAGGGAGCAGAGTGCCACAGCCCTTCTTATATGCTGGGCACTGTTTCAAGAGCTTTCCATTTAATACCTCATTTTATCCCCACAGCAACCGTACGAAGTAGGTGTTACAATGATCCCCATTTTATAGGTGAAGAAACCTAGATATAGTGTGTGTAAATAACTTGCCCAAGGTCACGTACTTAGTGAGTCCACTATGTTCCCACAAATCCAGTGCCTCAGACAAATACTGTATAAGCAGGTGGTTTTGGATCTATGAAATGTTTTTTATTTTCCTCCCAAAAGATGAACTTGTTAGGTTTTTGTTTTGTTTTGTTTTGTTTTGTTTTTTGAGATGGAGTCTCACTCTGTCGCCCAGGCTGGAGTGCAGTGGTGCCATCTCGGCTCACTGCAACCTCCGCCTCCGGGCTCAAATGAATCTCTGGCCTCAGCCTCCTGAGTAGCTGGGATTACAGGTGCATGCCACCATGCCCAGCTAATTTTTCTATTTTTAGTAGAGACGGGGTTTCACCATGTTGGTGAGTCTGATCTTCAACTCCTGACCTCGTGATCTGCTGGCCTCGGCCTCCCAAAGTGCTGGGATTACAAGCGTGAGCCGCCACACCCGGCTGACTTGTTAGGTTTAAGCAATTTATCCCTTACTTTTTTCTAGCAATATCTTGTATTCTAAGTTTAGGTGGTAATCATGGAAAAAGGATCTGTATGCCATCGGAATTTAATAGGTGTGTATTTAATAGATTAATAGGAAAGGAACATAATCAGATGCTTCCGGTTAGCAAGAGCTGTCCCCACTCACCCACGTGTGGCTTCCTTCAGCCAGAACCGGTTCTCCTTGGCAGGGAATCTTTCTCTAGGAGCAGAGTGGTTCTCATTTAAAAGTAGGGGTGACCGGTCTCTTCCTTTTTTTGGAGGCTACCTTTCTTCTTGGTTTGGGATGTACATCCCTGGGCAAAATTTAGAGTAGATCTCTTGGCAAGATTTAAAGTGGAGATGAGTTATTTAGTGTTCTTTTGGTCAAAAGGGGTCATGGGAGGACTGCTAGACTAGGGGTGCTCTGTGACCTCTAGCTCCAGCCACCTTCCCACGGGCAAGGAGTTTTACCCCGCCTTTATGCATGGTTCTTTTTTAATTTATACCCTTCGATACCATCAGCAGAAATCTTCCCAATTTTCATTTCAAAGTATACCTTCACCCCAGTTTAGGCTTTAAATACTGTTCCTAAATTAAAAGCAGAAAATTGCAGAACCTTTAAACATAGAAATGTGTGAACCCAGAACACCGACATGCCAAGTAGAGTTTTAAGGTTTAAGTTTATTAAGAACATTGCAGCATATTTAAAATGTAGAAGAAAGACTTGGTAGTAGTATTCATCTTATGTCTAAAATGTGGGGGTTTTTTCTAGTAGTAAATACAGCAGATGAACAGTGAGTAGAAAAACTGCCGTTTGCCGCTCTTGTGAAGAGCCAAGAAGTTTGTGAGCGTCACCTCTCTCATTGTGTCATTTCTGGTGTTAATCAGTCAGACAGGTTTAACACGGAGATTTCCTAGTCTGAAGTGTCATTTCTGGAGATGGTAATTTGAGGAATTTGAAAAGCATGGCAATAATGTGAGCCAATTCAAAGATACACTACAGTTCATGTATCAAAGGAAAAATACTTTTTGATGGTTTTTCAGAGATACTGAGGAGTTTGAAAATAGATGGAGGAGACAGACTTTCCAGCCAACTTCTAGATCATGAATGCACATTTTTTTCCATTTAAAAAGTCTTTTTTTGCTGAAGTCACATTAGTCCTTTGTAGCCTAACACCATTCAGCTGTATATTTATTAAACAAGTCAACCCTTCTAAAACTGCAGTGTGGTAACTATAAAGTGAATCTTGGGAGAAATAACCCTTGGGCTATATAGAACTGAAAGGATGAATATCAATATTAAGATGTGGGGACAAAATTAAGATTTAGCTAAGAAGCACTATAAATGCATTTAGGTTTCAGAACTAGTAGCTCAACCTGCATGTAAAAAGGAGTGCTTTTATAAACAATGCTCTTTGCAACATACAAGCACACACAGAAGTTATTCATGCATAGTTAGGAAGTCATTTTCTGAGACTTTGGCTGGAAATCTAGGTTTCATGGATGAAACACTTTGGGTAACATCTCCAATATTCCCCTTGAGAAAATGAAGTAACAAAATCCATTAGACACTTAAAGCTAATAGATATTCTTTAATGTGGCTCCAGGTCTCTTTGTCTTGGCATGTTGTGGTGTTTTGGCACAAAGGACCATCAGAAAAGCCATTTTTGTCTTTGAAGATGATAGATTCTGCACACTTAATCCATTAATCTGAGCTGATGGGCTTTTGCCCAGAGTTAAAATATTTTCTCCTTACATAATGGTTTTCATATTAAATCATCGAATAACACTAATTTTTCTGGTGACTGCATTTAATTCCATTTTCTAGATGTAGAAAATTAAAGTGAGAGAGGAGGTTAACTTTTTCTTTCTTTTTTTTTTTTTAACAAGGACTTCCATAGTGCTTGGTATATGTGCTCAAGCTCTCTTCTAAGTGTTTTATAAAATATGAACTCGTGTGGTCCACATAACTACCCTATGACTCTGGTACTATTATCTTCATTTAATAGGTGATAAAGATGAAATGCAGAGAAGTCAAGCAGCTGGCCAGCTTGGCACGCTGATGCTAAGTGAGAGAGCAGAGGTGCAGCTCATGCTGTCTAGGTCTAGAGTCTGGACTCTGACCATTACACTACACGGCCTCTAAGTCTCCCTCCAGACCACCCTCGTGGTGAATACCAAGAGCCAAGAATAGAAACGAGAATACTTAACATTTCCAGACCCTCTTTCTCATCCCCCGCTGACACTGGCCTCCCCATAGACTGCATTCAAATCTTCAAAGTGAAACTTCAGGCTGAACATTTTAAACTTGGGGAAGATGGAGCCTTTGAGATCACAGAGGAGCAATCTTGGAAAGTGGGACTATGCTGAATGAGTTAGCATCAAGAATATTTAATGTGCTTAGTGAAAACGATCACTGGGTGGTGGTCTGTTTATTCTGAAAAGCTACTTTTAAGTTGCAAGTCCCGCTTCCTGCACCTCCACTGGCCCAGACTGACGAGGCCAGAAGAGCTGTGCATTTTACCAGAAAAAAATAAACATCAGGAAATGACTAAAGAGCCACCAGCCAGGGCTGTAGCTCCCTAACATAAGGAGCCAAGCAGCACTTTCCCACATCGACCCGAGGCATTGGTACTCTTGTAGAAAGAAAGATGTCCTATTGTTGTTATTAATGGAATTATAACCTAGCCTGAGAGCTTCGAGATATGAAAATATCCCCATTTTAACTAGGGAGCTCTTCACTGTTGGTTCAAAATAGAGAAGTGTGGGCTGGGCGCAATGGCTCACGCCTGTAATCCCAGCATTTTGGGAGGGCGAGGCGGGTGGATCACGAGGTCATGTGTTCGAGACCAGCCTGACCAACATAGTGAAACCCGTCTCTACTAAAAATACAAAAATTAGCCGGGCGTAGTGGTGCGTGCCTGTAATCCCAGCTACTCAGGAGGCTGAGGCAGGAGAATCACTTGAACCCAGGAGGCGGAGGTTGCAGTGAACCGAGATCGTGCCACACTGCACTCCAGCCTGAACAACAGAGCGAGACTCCGTTTCAAAAAAAAAAAAAGAGAGAGGTGTGGCTTTTAATTTTTATTCTCTAGCAGGAGCTAGTTGGGGGGACTATGCATTGACAGAAAGGCAGTTGAAGGTGAGGACCCTGTGGATCCAGGACATCTGGGTATCATTAGCCATCATGAGGGGCCAGCCCACATGAGGGGTGGCAGAAAGGAAAATAATTTCTGGCCAGAATATGGAAGTCATGGCTGGAAGCAACACTGGCTTTATTTTTGGAAAAGAGTTGGCTGGGCACGGTGGCTCATGCTGGTAATCCCAACACTTTGGGAGGCCAAGGCGGGCGGATCACCTGAGGTTGAGAGTTTGAGACCAGCCTGGCCAACATGATGAAACCCCATCTCTACTAAAAATACAAAAATTAGCTGGGCATGGTGGTGGGCACCTGTAATCCCAGCTACTCAGGAAGTTGAGGCAGGAGAATCGCTTGAACCCAGGAGGTAGAGGTTGCAGTGAGCCGAGATCACACCACTGCACTCCAGCCTGGGTGACAGAACAAGACTGTCTCAGAAGAAAGAAAAGACTTTTCTCTTCTCTTCTCTTCTCTTCCCCCTCTTTCCTTCCTTCCTTCCTTCCTTCCTTCCTTCCTTCCTTCCTTCCTTCCTTCCTTTCCCTTCCCTTCCCTTCCCTTTCTTTCTTTCTTTCCTTCTTTCTTTCTTTCCTTCTTCAAATTCTGAAATAATTTCGGATGCCTCTCATTGTTTATACCCCGAGGATAAATAATTTAGCTAGTCTATTGTAAGAAGAAAAAAAATACTAGGTCCATCCATGAAGATGGGGTGGGTTTCATTTTATTCATTTATTATTTATTATTCATTTCTCACCATTTAGAAAGCTTCCAAAGCTCTCCTATCTCCAGATCCACAAAATCCAGGCTTCTAATAACTCTTTCATCTTCAGTAGCCTTGATCTTCACCAGGCTTTAGTTGCAGTCTCTTCCTGTCATGCCAAAGTTTTAAAGTAAAACTCACTTTGGTCAGTGGGACTGGTAGAAGAGTTTGGTCATCAGCAAATAACTGTTATGGGTTGTTGGGTGGTTTTTCTTTTCTTCCTTTTTTTTGGCAAATATCACTTAGAATGATTTCTCTTTACTCATTCAAAAGCTCTAACTGTCCCAAAGAGAGGATAACCACAAAAATTTCCTCTGAAAGTGACGCAGCAGCAGCTGCCTAGGAACTGTTTAGCAGTTATTCACTCAGGGCTATAGAGGAGCGGTTACAGGGATATCACACTTCGATTAGAAATCGCTCTACTGGGCCGGGTGTGGTGGCTGACGCCTGTAATCCCAGCACTTTGAGAGGCGGAGGCGGGTGGATCACAAGGTTAGGAGATTGAGACCATCCTGGCTAACACGGTGAAACCCCGTCTCTACTAAAAATACAAAAAAAATTAGCCAGGCGTGGTGGCGGGCGCCTGTAGTCCCAGCTACTCGGGAGGCTGAGGCAGGAGAATGGCGTGCACCCGGGAGGCGGAGCTTGCAGTGAGCCGAGATCGTGCCACAGCACTCCAGCCTGGGCAACAGAGCGGGACTCCGTCTCAAAAAAAAAAAAAAAAAAAAAAATCACTCTGCTGAAAGTATAAAGAAGATCTCAAGACAACTTACTTGAATTCCCTATTCTACAATCTGGACAGATTCCTTGATATTACATATTAAATCATAAGGAGAAAAAAATCTGGTTTTGGTCTCTTTGTGGTCTAATATCCTAGCAAAAAGTACAGAGAAAAGTTTAATCCATTTTTAATAGGTTCTGTTGCCATAGGCTTTCATATACAATGCATTAAGCCTTGCCATGGTCTTTGCAGGTGGCTTTATTGACAGAGGTTACTTGGATAATGCCATGCAGGGGTTAAAAACATGACCTTCAGGGCCAGGGCCAGGGGACCTGGCACTGAGTCTCACAGCTTGCAAAGATGCAAGTTCCTGGACCCCTCTAAGCTACAGTGTCATTTGTAAATAAGGGTGGTGGTGCTGTCACACAGGGTCATTGCAGGCATTTAACCAAATAACATTTGTATCGTTTCTGGCATAGTGTCTGGCATAGAATAAGCATTCAATAAATATTAACAGCAGCATTAGATTCTCATAGGAGCGTGAACCCTATTGTGAACTGTGCATACAAGGGTTGCGCACTTCTTGTGAGAATCTAACTAATGTCTGATGATTTGAGGTGGAATCGTTTCATCTCAAACCCCCCGCTCCCCGGTCTGTGGAAAAATCATCTTCCACGAAACCAGTCCCTGGTTGTTTTAAAGATAATTCCTTCTTGCAACATTTGCACTGCTTAATATTCAAGTTTAAGTTGGATGAAGCTGGATTTTGAATTCTTTCAGGCTGTTTCTATTTCACAGGCAAAATCCACTGCCACACTGGGAAAGGCCAAGGGGTAAATTATTGTCTTATTTATTAACAAAAGGTAAGGTGAACACAGAAGTTCAGTAGAAAATGCAGGTTATAACACATGTCCAGAATTATGCCTTTTTAAAAAATGTGTATAATACTTGTTTGGAAGGCCATACATTCAAATGTTAATATTAGTTATCCCTGATTGCCCCTTATTTTCTATTTTACACTTTTTCTTAGATTTTCTGCAGGGAAGCTGTATTACTTTCTTATTAAAGAAAAACAACAAATGCTATATTTATATATGTGTGTGTGTGTGTTTGTATATATATATATTTTTTTCTTTTTTGAGACAGGGTTTCACTCTGTCACCTAGGCCCAAGTGCAGTGGCATGATCTCAGCTCAATGCAGCCTTGACCTCCTAGGTTTGAATGATCCTCCCACCTCGGCCTTCCAAGTAGCTGGGACTACAGGCACACACCACCATGCCTGGCTAATTTTCAAAATTTTTAATAGACACGGAGTCTCAATATGTTGCCCAGGCTGGTCTCAAACTCGTGGGCTCAAGCAATCCTCCCACCTCGGTCTCCCAAAGTGCTGGGATTACAGGCATAAGCTGCTGTATCCAGCCAACAAATGCTATTTATAAAAAGAAAGAACTGTATAGTCACTGTAGAACCAATTTGTAGATGGGTATGGAAGCCCAGCTTCAGTCTCCAGGTATGGAGAAGTAGAGATGGAGACTGCAGCAATGTGAGCAGGGAGCCCTGGGGATTGCTTGTGAGCCCTGGGGGTCATTTGGTAAGGCACTGCAACTTCACAGCAATTGGTATTTCAGAATCTTCAGGGAGGTTTTATACCTGCCCTACTCACCAGAGTCTTGTTCTTATCCTCAGTTGTTCCAAGTATGTGAATAACTCCAGAAACTGATCTGGTATCCCCAGAGGCTCTCTGGACTTCTGAGGTCAGTAACACACTAGACGCAGGCTCTGCACACCTGCTATCAAAGTAATGGCCCCCAAACTTAATAGGTGTGCAGAAGCACAGTTTTCAAGCATCTGGAGCTCTGACTTGCTTTGGATCATTATCACAGGCCCCGGATTTTTAATTGCTCTGCAAGGGCACTAGGCCAGTCCTCATGAGCAAGGTGAATATAGCCATGTGTTGCTTAACAGCAGGGAAGTGCTCTAAGAAATGCAAGTGTATCATCAGGCAGTTTCATCATGTGCGAATCTCGTAGTGTGTACTAACACAAACCTAGACGGCATAGCCTTCTGCATACCGAGGCTGCATGCTGCAGCCTATTGCTCCTAGGCTACAAACCTGTACAGTAGATTGCTGTACTGACTACTGTAGGCAATCGGAACCAATGGTAAGCATTAAAAATATGTATCTAAACATACCTTCACATAGAAAAGACACAGTAAAATATGGTATAAAACAGGGGCCCCCCCATCCCCGGGCCACGGACCGGTAGTGGTCCAGGCTGCATAGCAGGAGATAAGCAGCTTCATCTGTATTTACAGCTGCTCCCCCATCGCTCACATTACCATCTGAGCTCCACCTCCTGTCAGATCAGCGGTGGCATTAGATTCTCCCAGGAGCGCAAAACCTATTGTGAACTGCGCATGTAGTTGTGCGCTTCTTTTTCTTTTCTTTTCTTTTCTTTTTTTTTTTTCGAGACCGAGTCTAGCTCTGTTGCCCAGGCTGGAGTGCAGTGGCACGATGAGATCTCGGCTCACTGCCACCTCTGCCTCCCAGGTTCAAGCGATTCTCTTGCCTCAGCCTCCCAAGTAGCTGGGATTACAGGTGACTGCCACCATGCCTGGCTAATTTTTGTATTTTTAGTAGAGACGGGGTTTCACTGTATTGGCCAGACTGGTCTCGAACTCCTGACCTTGTGATCCACCCGCCTCGGCCTCCCAAAGTGCTGTGATTATAAGCACGAGCCACTGCGCCTGGTCAGTTGTGCGCTTCTTTTGAGAATCTAACTAATGCCTGATGATCCGAGGTGGAACTGTTTTATCCTGAAACGCACCCCCATCCCTGGTCCGTGGGAAAATGGTCTTCCACAAAACCAGGCCCTGGTGCCAAAAAGGTTGAGGACCGCTAGTAAAAAATAAAAAATGATGCACTTGTGTAAGGCACTTACCATGAACAGAGCTTGCAAGGCTGGAAGTTGCTTTGGGTGAGTGAGTGAGTAAGTGAGTGGTGAGTGAATGTGAAGGCCTAGGACATTACTCTACATTACTGTAGACTTTATAAACACTGGACACTTAGGCCACCCTAAATTTATTTTAAAATTTTTTTCTTCTACAATAAATTAATCTTAGCTTACTGTTACTTTTTTACTTTATACGCTTTTTAAAAAAAGTTTTGACTCTTGTAATAACACTTAGCTTAAAACACAAACACATTGGACAGCTGTATGAAAATATTTTCTTTATATCCTATTCTATAAACTTTTTCCTGTTATTAAAATTTTTCATTTTTTATTTTTACTTTCTAAACATTTTTGTTAAAAACTAAGCCACAAACACACACATTAACCTAGGCCTGCACAGGGTAAGGCTCATCAATATCACTGTCTTCCACCTCCATGTCTTGTCCCACTGGAAGGTCTTCAGGGGCAATAACACGCATGGAGCTGTCATCTCTGATAATAGCAATGCCTTCTTCTGGAATTCCTCCTGAAGGGCCTGCCTGAGGCTGTTTTACAGTTAACTTTTTTTTTTTTTCTTGAGACGTAGTCTTGCTCTGTCACCCAGGCTGGAGTGCAATGGCACAATCTCGGCTCACTGCAACCTCTGCCTCTCAGGTTCAAGCAATTCTCCTGCCTCAACCTCCCAGGTAGCTGGGATTACAGGCACCCGCCACCAGGCCCAGCTAATTTTTTTGTATTTTTAGTAGAGACAGGGTTTCACCATGTTGGCCAGATTGGTTTCGAACTCCTGGCCTCAAGTGATTCCCCACCTCGGCCTCCCAAAGTGCTAGGATTACAGGCGTGAGCCACCATGCCCAGCTACAGTTAACTTTTTAAATCTAAGGTGAAGGAGCACACTCTCAAATAACAATAAAAAATATAGTAAACACATAAACCCAGTAACATAGTCATTTATTATTATCAAGTATTATGTACTGTATATAATTTATGTGCTATACTTTATACATTTAGCAGCTCAGTAGGTGTGTTTGTTTGTTTGTTTGTTTGTTTTGCGATGGAGTCCTGCTCTGTCACCAGGCTGGAGTGCAATGGCGAGATCTTGGCTCACTGCAACCTCCGCCTGCGGGGTTCCAGCAATTCTCCCACCTCAGCCTCCTGAGTAGCTGGGATTACAGGCATGCACCACCACGCCTGGCTAATTTTTTGTATTTTTTAGTAGAGACAGGATTTCACCATTTTGGCCAGGCTGGTCTCAAACTCCTGAACTCAAGTGATTCACCCGCCTCAGCCTCCCAAAGTGCTGAGATTACAGGCGTGAGCCACCACCCCCAGCCTCAGTAGGTTTCTTTACACCAGCATCACCACAAATACATGAGCAATGTGTGGCATGACCACATTACGATGTCACTAGGTGATAGGAATTTTTCAGCTCCATTATAATCTTATGGGCCACTGTCGTATGTATGGTTTGCCACTGACCGAATTATCGTTAGGTGGCGCACAACTGTACCTTCTTTTATTGTTTTAAAATATGAGTGGCTTCCTCTTCCCACTCAAATAATCCTAGTGGTCTGTCTTTGTTTTCCCCCTTGGCCGAGCTATTTCAGTAATGATTTCTCACTGACTCATTTACTTCCCTTTCCATGATCTCAAAAGTTTTTTTTCTTCTACTCCCTCCATTTTAATTTAGGGAAACATATATAATTTTTGGATTATTTAATTTAAAAACCTGAATTCTAAGTCTCACCTCATTTTACTTACGTTTCAGTGGCATCTGTGAAACAAAAACATTTTTCCCTTTACAGCTTATTTATTAAATTTTTTAAAAACCTCAGAGAAAAAGATTTGGCCACGTTTTGGTCTCTTTTTATGGCTACAAATATAACATCAGGAATATATATCAGAATTAATGTGCTTCTGAGTTGCATTTTTCACAGTTGGCCACAGAGCTTTTTGCTTAGCTATCTCAAGTTGCATTGGAACTGAGTTTTCTGTATAATTTTTTCTCTACTTAACTGTAGAAGGAAACACATGTCCAAACTGAGGATAGCCCCACTTTAAGTTTCAACATGGTTTGGGTTTTGCAGCATCCAAGATTTTCCTAACTACACACCTTTTTTTTTTTTTTTTCTTTTCTTTTCTTTTTTGGTCTTAAAACACGCTCTTTTGGCTGGTTCAGTAAGCTGTTCCTGCCAACCAGTTGCTTTTATGGTAATTGACAGTGTAGCTGATTTTTGGAACCTTGGAATCTAAAAAGGCATTTTAGCTCAGACTTTGGAGAGGCTGAGCCAAGCTACTTGCAGAGTAAGAGATATAGCCGAGCCAAATGTGGGGCAGTCAGACCCTGAGTCTGTGCATGCTAATGAACTGCTCTCAAGAGTCTACATACCAGGAGCTAGCTCCAACTTGCATTTTCCCTCTTTCACAACATGCACAATCCTTCCCTCTCCTGTCTGATTGTTTCTGGAGCTACTAGGTGCCACTTCTCGAGTGGAGCCGGTGAGACCACCTGTCAGCAGTGGACAGATGTGTCAGGACCCCTATGACCGCCAGTGGTGGGTACACAGACCCACTGCTCCTCAAATACTGACCATGAGCTGCAAAGACACAACACACAGCACACTTGAGCCAGAGAAGAGCTGATAAGTTTTTACTTCAAAGGGAAAGAGCATAAGAAAAAAAAATTACAACACTTAATACAACCAGTTAGTATAATGAGAAGATTGTAAATTTTCTGAATTCCCATCAAATGATATCAGTTCTCTAAAAGCTGCGACATTTCTCCAGATTTCATCTTAGCACAACAAATAGAAAAAAAAGAAACAACTCCCCAGACTCCCAGATCTTTAGAGTCCTTGCTTTCCTAAAAAAGCACAAATGTTTCAGAGTCAAAGGGCTCTGTTTGCTGTCTTCCTTTTGCCGGGTTGGCTATTCTGGGAACCAGAACACGTTACTCCACAGGAGGTGGCACTTGGACTCAAAATACCCTAGTGACACTGAGCAGCCCACCAGTAACAGCCTCAGGAAAAGCGTGCCCTTCTAACATCAATTCATTTTTTGAACTAAAATCACTTTGAACACAGAGACTGCCCACCCCCGGCCCTTCCCAAGTGGTGGTAAGCAGCTTTTCCTTGTTGATTTCAGTCTTTGAGATTGAGCTTTGTTGTATGCAGTTTTCACACTATTCTCCATTACTTTGTTTTTAATAGAAATTCTTTTTTTCATTGTATTATTCTTTATGTTCTAGGGTACATGTGCACAACGTGCAGGTTTGTTACATAGGTATACATGTGCCATGTTGGTTTGCTACACTCATCAACTTGTCATTTACATTAGGTATTTCTCCTAATGCTTTCCCTCCCCCAGCCCCCCACCTCCCGACAGGCCCTGGTGTGTGATGTAAGATGATTTTTTTCTGTTATTGGAGAGGAACCCAATCTATACCTACTGACATTGAATGTGCCCGTCTGCCTGAAGAATAAAATACAGAATTCAGTCTATTGAATCCTGTGTAGTACATTGCTGAGATTTGTAAAACCCAATTAAGAATACCTGAATGGGGACTTGAGTCTACGTTTTTGCACTTCAAAGGTATTTTCATAGGCACCAAAGTGTCAAACACATACACCCAAAGAGTAAGCAGAATTTTATAATTTCACAGTTGGCTGCAGTAAACGTGTTTCTCAGTGGAACAAGTTCAAGGAGTCAGCCACAGGGAGTGCTAGCTACAGCCAGGAGCTCATGGGGCTGCAAGACATACAAGTTGACTCCTCATCTTAAATAGAAGCTCTCCGTGGACCTGAGCCGTGAATTACATCTTCTCCTTCCACGTGCAGGCTCCATGCATTGATGGCATTGATACATTGACGGGTTCTGCAACCCATAACATATTTGATAGCCACAGGCTTTCTTCTTGTCTGTGCAGTAACCACTCTGAGATTGACAGTTCAGGTAGGGAACAGGGTTCTGGTCTCCTTCGCCTATGTGAGATGGCTTCATCTGGGAGCCAGAGTGTCAGTTACATAGTCTTCTCTAAATTATGTTTTGTTATTTCCCTAACGTTATTTAAGCCTCACGGAAATTATTCTGCTTTTGCCAAGTCTTTCCATTGAATAAATATCTCCATAACCTATTGCTTCACTTTGGCAACAGAATTGTTGCAATTTGTGGGCAAAACGGAGCAAAGGCCTAACTCATTTTTTTTTCCTCTGTAAAATGTCCAATTTGCTGGCTTTCCTTCTCCCAAACGAAAGCCTTGACTTGTTCTCTGTTCTGGTAGCGCCTTGTCTCTGTCCTTACTGAGTGAAGATTTACAGATAGGAGAATAGAACTCAATAAAAAATGACTTCGCAGATACTATGGAGACATGCTATCCATACACAAAGTCAGTAGTAGTAAATAAATTAGGACACAAAGTACTCAGAATTGTGCCTGGCACGTAGTAAGTGATCTGTAAATCAGCATATCAGAGTTCTGTAAATTACAAATGATCATTCTTTTCCTGCATTTACATGAGTTACTTTATATTGCAAAATTATGGAAAGTAGCAGAGGTATAGCTAAGCATCCAGGCTGACCCTGTAAGAGCCAGAAGCTGGCAGAGCTGCAGAAGGTAACGATCTAACTGTTCACAGATCCAATTATTTCCCCCAAAGGATCCCTAAAACCTTATAAAATGCTGCCTGAGTAGTCAGTGAAAGGAGACCAAAGGAACTAACACTTGTTGTTCCATTCTGGGCCAGACACACATGATCTCATGTGTTCTTCACAACAACCTTGCCATTTGTTCACTAAATCCTTTTGTTTTGTTTGTTCGCCTTGTTTATTTAAGTTCCTTACGTGAAGGGTTGTGAAAAGAGCTCAGAGTGACCCATGATTGTCTCGTGGTCTACACCTTAAGGCTTAACTCAGGATAGGTCAGCAGGCTTTCCCCATTCTTTTCCTTCAGAGAGGGCATCGAAGCTTGGCTGCCTCATGGGCATATAATTTATTTTCTCTTGACTATCTCTTCCTGGGAAATTTTGCCCTGGTTAGACTATATGACGATCATGTTGACGTTATTCTTCTCAGACCTCTTCTAGTTCTGTGACTGTCTTAGAGCTCAGAATTGGAAATTAGGTTGCATTTCCTAACTAGCCTTGAGCAGTGCAGAGAAAAAGAAATTGTGAGAAATATTGGGTTGGCAGGGGCAGGGGGCGTAAAAGGAAGGGAGAGGACTAAGGGCAGGAAAAGACAGTTTTGCAAAGGCCGTAGAACTAGCAGAGGGCCTTGCGTTTTCCAGGTTTCCTGTGTGCAGCACAGTGCCAAGTGCAGTAGCTCCCCAGTAACATTGATTATTGTTGTGGATGATGATGACGATGATGATGAAGAGGGGCTTACCCACTATCTGGTTTTGGAGTCTCAACCCCACTCCTTTGCTCGGATGCCATGCCAGTAGCCTCTCTCCTACCACCCTACATCTTTCCCTTCAGTAGGTAAATTTTTGTGTTACTCATACCAGATTCTTTTAGCCTAAGGAGCTTGAGAACCCATTTTCGTGGGTTCTTTATATTTATGTGGTGTTGGGAGACATTCGTGTTCTGAGTGAAGCAGCAAATCTAAACCAAAGATGTGAGTGCAGAAGCAAAAGCTAGCATCCTAACTTTCATTTCCTGCAGCAGCAGGAGGAGGCGTTGTTTTGGAAATTGAGGACCAATGCCTGCTTCTTCTAATAAATATGCCAGGAAATCCTGTATTGCTATCACCATTGGGTCCGTTACTCATTTGCTAACTAGCAGAGGGAACTATTTGCCCATCCTTTGTCTGAAATAAATGTTTGATAACTGGCCAGGCACGGTGGCTCACGCCTGTAATCCCAGCACTTTAGGAGGCTGAGGCAGGCTGATCACGAGGTCAGGAGTTCGAGATCAGCCTGATCAACATGGTGAAACCCTGTCTCTACTAAAAATACAAAAATTAGCCGGGCTTGGTGGCGGGTGCCTGTAATCCCAGCTACTTAGGAGCCTGAGGCAGAAGAATTGCTTGAACCTGGGAGGTGGAGGTTGCAGTGAGCCGAGATCACAGCACTGCACTCCAGCCTGGGCAACAGAGCAAGCCTCCATCTCAAAAAAAAAAAAAAAGAAAAAGAAAAAAGAAAATTTGATAACCATGAAATTATAGAATCATTGAGCCAGAAGCACCCCCAAGATTTTCTAGAACCCCCCCCTTTTTTATTTTAATTTTCTTAGAGACAGGGTCTTGCTCTGTTGCCCAGGCTGGAGTGCAGTGGCACAATCACTGCTTACTGCACCTTCACCCCCCTGGGCTCAAGCAATCCTCCCACCTCAGCCTCCTGAGTAACTGGGAATATAGGTGAACACCCACCATACCCAGCTATTTTTATTTTTATTTTTAGTAGAGATGAGGTCTCACTATGTAGCGCAGGCTGGTCTCGAATTCCTAGGCTCAAGCAATCCCCCGCCTTGGCCTCCCAAAGTGCTGGGATTACAGATATGAGCCACTGTGCCCAGCCAAAGCTCCCTGATTTTATAGTTAGAGAACTGAATCCCTGACATTGTGGGAGGTCATAATCTGCCCCCAGGTTACACTGCAAGTGGGTAGTAGGGCAAGGCCAGAACCTGGCCCCAGGTACAGTCAGCACTCTTTTCCTTATGCTGTTTGTCTCCTGATCCAAAAGGCCCAATTTCTCAGAGTAAATAACTTCAGATTTTTGTGTATCTATGAGAGCTACCTTTTATTCTTTACTACCCACTGTCATCTTACTTCTGCCCCTTTGCAATTTTTTTTGCATCTTAATATAAACTGCTTTATCTTTATTAAAAGCGAACTAATTTTCAACCATATTTCCTGAAGAACTTTTACTTCTGGTCATTAGTGATGAAACTCCTGAGATGAGAAAAGAAAGGAAAAACATAAAAATAATTGAATTTTTGCTTTTCTTTACAGACACTCTGGAAAACGGATCCAATAAGGGTGAAAGGTGAGCAAAATGTTCCCATTGGCCGTTCCTGCTTTTCAGCGATGGCATTTTCAATGCAAACTGCAGTGAGTTTGATCGTTTACTTTCTGTTTTGCTTAACTCCAGCGCAGCTAACAGAAAAGGACCAAGCAAGGATGACACGTATTGGAAGGAGATCAACGCAGCTATGGCCTTAACAAATCTTGCACAGGGAAAGGACAAACTGCAGGGAACTACCAGCTGCATCATCCAGAAGTCGTCCCATATAGCAGAAGTAAAGACTGTCAAAGTGCCGCTGGTGCAGCAGTTTTAAGAGCTTGTTGCTTTTCAGATCCAATGGATGTTCTTTCCGGTGTTTTCATCAACCCTCATCCTAAGAGCCGAAGCAGGGATGAAAATGACTCTCTCCCAAACCTCTTCTTATTTTTAATTATCCCAAATATATCATTTAGTTGCTTCTATAAAAGACATATAAATTATAAAAAACTCATTTTAATCAAAAATATTAACTTATTTTATGTTACTCAAACTATGCATAAAACATCTGCATTACCATTACAGTAAGTGCCTTGCTTCCCGACAATAAGCTCCAACGTGGGCATAGTTGAACAAGCTATGCCTCAAAATGCCAACGCCATATGCTTATTAGCCTGTGTGCATCATTCCAGACGGGCCTAATCATTCCAGGACTGAAACCAGAATCGCTGAAAGCCCTTGAAATACATTCAATAATTCATATGTTAAAACTTGGATATCTGTTCAGCCCAAATGAAATCTTCCTTTTAAAAAACGTCTACATTATTGAAAATTGTTCAATGTGCTTTTCAGAGTGACGGTGAGAATTTTATGCATGTATCTTGCCTGCATATTTGATATGTTACAAACTTCCAAAATTCAAGGTGCAGCGATCCACAGAACGTTGTACATTTAAGAAGTGATTCCTTCAAGCTAATTTAAAATTTCATTGAACACATGGTGACCAGGAAAACTTTTTTTCAAGCACTGTTGGAAAGCACCACAAAGCCCTTTAGAATTAATCTGGATTTGTTTCTCAAGTTCTGCTGAAGTTTAAAAAAAAACTTTATTATACAAATAACTCAAAATTTTCCTGTGTAAAACTAAACCTGTAGTTTTAAAACATAATCCTGTTTGCATTAGAGCTCACTGTCTTTTTGTGATGGAAACTGTGTTCGTATGGAATGACTAAAAATCTTTTATTTGGTTTGTTTCAAATTACAATTGCTGATGGACAATTTGTATTGCAGCGAGAACAACAGAATGAAAGAAATGTATCTCTGTGCGGCTATACATATACATACATAAAATTGATTTTTAAATTTAAAACATATGGAAAACAAAACATTGAACAGTTTGAATTTTGCCAAGTTGGACATTAAAGTAAAAATGAAGTGAAATCATGCATTGAAAGAAAACATTTTGTTTCTAAATTAGTCTACCATTGAGTGAGAATAATCAATATCAAGAAAGAAGACTATCTTTCTCAACTAAACAATAATATTCCAATCAGCTTGGGAAGACCTGAAACTTGAATAAGCAGTGGAAATGCCAAATATAACAGAGGGTATGTGCTACAGAGAAGTAAAAAGGGTTTGACTTTTTATGATGGGATTTTTTTTTTCTGGGTATGTAATCTATTTTTTTTTTAAACTGGAAAGCATTTTTGTCAGTGTGAATGAGGGTCAATAGTGCAGCCAGTGGTGACATTTTTCTTTATTTTGCAAAATGCTTTTAAAACCAAAGGCTGCTCTAGTTGATGGACAGTATCAGTCTTGATCTAAATTGTAGGACACTTTTTCATGTAACATAACATTTGGGGATTGGGTTTATTTAGTGTAATGAAGATAATTTGATATAAAAATATTTTGTGTATATATATATATTTTTACTTTGTTTTCTAAATTGCTGTTTGCAGTAACAGTAAGCGCAAAGCAAAATATATAAGTTATGACTGTATGATCAGATGAAGTATGAGTTCTTTTGGTTTGCATCCTTAAATAGTTAGAGATCTCTGATAAAAACTTTGGAATCTTTGCAAAACAATACAAAAATGCCAAAATGTGAGCATGTCAATGAAAACTAAAGACAAATACTTCACTCTTTTTCATACTATTATAAGTTATTCTGGTATTAAATATGTTAATAAAAGTGTTTTTGTTTTGACATATTTCAGTTAAATGAATGAATGCTGGTTGTATTTTATTTGAATGAGTCATGATTCATGTTTGCCATCTTTTTAAAAAAATCAGCAAATTTCTTCTATGTTATAAATTATAGATGACAAGGCAATATAGGACAACTATTCACATGATTTTTTTTAATACCAAAGGTTGGAAGATTTTATAATTAACATGTCAAGAAGACTTTATAGTAAGCACATCCTTGGTAATATCTCCAATTGCAATGACTTTTTAATTTATTTTTTCTTTTGCTGCTTTAACATTTTCTGGATATTAAAATCCCCCCAGTCCTTTAAAAGAATCTTGAACAATGCTGAGCCGGCAGCTGAAAATCTAACTCATAATTTATGTTGTAGAGAAATAGAATTACCTCTATTCTTTGTTTTGCCATATGTAATCATTTTAATAAAATTAATAACTGCCAGGAGTTCTTGACAGATTTAAAATAAAAGTTAATTTCTAGACCTCGATGATCGTATGGATTTTGTTTTCCTTTGAGAGCTGACCAGGTAGATGAAGCAGTAGAACAGACGGGCCCATTATATTCAGCAATTCTCCTTAGACTGTTAAGGGATATGATATGGGAGTGCTGCATTTGTATTAGGTTTGAATTTCATCACCTTAGGCCACCAATCCAGCTTTCAAAGACTGAGGAAAAGGGAGTGTGATGCCGACTATTAAAATACCTAACTTTAAAATGAACATTTTCAGGTAATACCTTCTTTCCCTCACTAATACAATTAGCATTATTTGTGGTGTGCTCTGCACTGGAGAGAAAACCTTGGCTTTGAAGCTAGACAGAACTACCTTTGAATCTCAGCTCTGTCCCTTACTACTTAGTCATTCTTATCTAGTTTCTTCATCTGCAAAGTGGGAGTAAGGAGCTATACCTTGTAGGGTTTGCACTAAGATTGAGATAAAATGCAATACATAAAGTGCCTACCTCAGTGTCTGTCAGATAATAGGTGCTTGGTAACTGGAACATATTATTGCATAGTTACAATTCCTCTATTCAGGCTTTATGCACAAGAAAGTAGAAATATTTAAAATAAATGGAACATAAGACATGGGTAGTTTAATGGACAGCTGTAGAGAGGGAGAGATGCCTGACAAGAAAAGCTGCTGTGCAATGGTGAAAATTGGTATCAGAGTTAGAAAGGCCTTCAAGGAAGATCATTTTAGCATCATCACTTAAAACTTCCAGGCAAAAAGCATAAAGCGTTGCGAAGCCAAGGCAGAACAGACATTCCAACAGAAAACACGATATGTGCTGTCACTTCCTTCTTTGGGATAAACAAGAATTGCTTTCCCTCTGTTTGTCCTGCTTGATACTGTTCAAGATGGCTAAGAAAAACTCAAGCTGCTGCCTGTGTTCTCCGTCTGCTCCAAGTAGCAATGTTTAACAAACAGTGGCAACAGCCATAGCCTGCTTTTAAACTTATCCAGCTCAGTGGTGTCACAGCATGCAAATAAACACAGAGAAGAAGAGCAAGCCACCCATGCTGTCCTGCCAGGGATGGCATAGGAAAGTCATGCCTTGGAAGGCGGTGTGTTGTGGTGGTAAGAACCTGGGCTGGCATGCTCTGGCTTTGCTACTTCACTTCTTAGTACCTTTGGGAAATAAGCATAAGCCTTCTTTCTATACCCATTGTTTGCACCTATAAAATTAGACCTGTGAAATTTACCTACTCCAACGATCTGTTGTGGGGAGTCAATGAGGCAGTCGATATAAAAGCACTTCGCAAACTGCATGGCACTGTACAAATGTTAGCGATTATGACCGTATTCCACGCAGCCCTAAAAGGCCTCATGTCTCACACTTTCTGGCACTGTAAACTGTAGTTTCCATGAAGCATATAGGACCCCTAGATTCTGTCAAATGTGTGTTAGGGTCACCATCATTGGGTCCTTGTGAGCACTAAGAACTTCTTGGTCCTGTTTTTTTTGTTTTTTTTTTTTCTTCTTGAGATGGAGTCTTACTCTGTCGCCCAGGCTGGAGTGCAGTGGTGCGACCTCGGCTCACTGCAGCCTCTGCCCCCCCAGGTTCAAGCGATTCTCCTGCCTCAGCCTCCCGAGTAGTACAGGCATGTGCCACCACACCTGCCTAATTTTTTAGTTTTAATAGAGACAGGGTTTCACCATCTTGGCCAGGCTGGTTTCGAACTCCCGACCTCAGGTGATCCACCCGCCTCAGCCTCTCAAAGTGCTGAGATTACAGGCGTAAGCCACCGTGCCCAGTCAGTCCTGCTCTTCTTTGTAACCATTATGATTGGAATTAGAAGATAGATTGCCACACTGCAGGAGTAGAATCCTGACTTCACCACTCCGAGCTTTGAGACCCATCTTAGAGATGGACTAAAACTTTGGTTTGGGAGAAGTGTGAATTGGCCACAATAAACTTTTTCTCTCAAGGAGAGGAAAAACAGATTTCTGAGTTTGGAAACAAAAAAAAAGCTGAGGTGTTTTTACATTTTGTACAAATGACTCCATGCGAATTCACCCCAGGTAAGATGGTCTCACTAGGTCTTCTACAACAAATTTTAGTCCAAAGCCAGTTTCTGGAAATTTGACCTACAATGAGTCTAATCTGACAGATATTTTTGACTTTTAAACAAAATTAAAATTTTTAATTACAAGTGTTTTAAAAAATTATAGATGTAATTTATGCTAATTGTAGAAAATTGTAAACAGTATAGAAGGGTACAAGATAAAAAGCACCTACATGGGGATCTATTATTTTTGGATCTATTATAATTTATTTAGCAGATAGCCCACTGATGAACTTTTGGGTTATTTCCAATTTTTAATTATTATAAACTAGTGCTACTCAAAGTGCTATTTCACATTGGGATAAGGAGCTTGCAACAAAATGGACTTCTTTCTTCATTCAAGAAAATCTTCTTATAAGAAAAAAAGTCAGCTGAATGTACAGTGCTCTTAGCAATGTAGTTGATTTACATTAAGCAGCACTGATAAACAATGACTCAGGTCGGGCACAGTGGCTCACACCTGTAATCCCAGCACTTTGGGAGGCCGAGGCGGGTGGATCATTTAAGGTCAGGCGTTCAAGACCAGCCTGGCCAACACAGTGAAACCCCATCTCTACGAAAAATACAAAAAAAAAAAAATACCCAGGTGTGGTGGTGCATGCCTGTAGTCTCAGCTACTCGGGAGGCTGAGACAGGAGAATTACCTGAACCTGGAGGTGGAGGTTGCAGTGAGCTGAGATCACACCACTGCACTCCAGCCTGGGCGATAGAGTGAGACTCTGTCTCAAAAAACAAAACAAAACAAAACAAAACAAACAAAAAACAATGATTCAATGAACATTCTTATGCCTATATGTCTTCAGACACTTATACATCTATGGAATAGACAGCTAGAAGTGGAATTAATGGGTCAAATGATAAGCACATTAAGTTTTTTGATGCATGTTACCAAATTAGTATTTTAAAATTCTACCAATTTACACTTCCAACAATAAGCCTGTTTTCCCTCAACCTGGTCAAAACATTGAGTAGTAGTAAACTTTTCAATAGTTGACAATGTGGTTGATAAAAATTATGTCTCAACGTGGTTTTCACTTGTGCTTGTGTAAGATGAGTGGCACTGCGTATAAGCTTATTAGTATTTCTTTTCAGTAAACTGCTTGTTAATGTTTTTCTTTTTCTTTCTTTTTTCCCTTTACTTGTCCATTTGCAAGTGATTTGTATGAGTTCTTCATATATTAAAGAAAATTTAGTACCTTGTCTGTAATATATGCTATGTTTTCCCACTTTGTTAGGGTTTTCTAACTTCACTTATCATATTTTGAAATGCAGAAGGCTAAGCTTCATCTGTGTGTATATTTAGGGTACATAGCATGCTACTGCATCTATCTGGTCATCATAGAAGCAGTGTCATGTGGTAGTTCAGAGCATACACTCTGGAACCAGACTGCTTAGGTTCAGGTCACTTCTCTTGTGCTTACTAGCTCTATTAACTTGCACAAAACACTTAACCCATCTATGTCTCAGTTTCCTCTTCTGTAAAAGACGGTTGATAATAATATCTACTTCTTAGTGCTGTGAGGATTAAATTAGTTATTATATATAAAGTACTTACAATGCTACCTGGCATATAGTTAGTGCCAAGATTGTAAAAAGATTCATCCATGTTTTCTACTATCAGTTTTATGATTTATTTTTGTATATTTAAATCTTGTATCCATTGGTGATTTATTTTGGCTAAGAAGTAAGCTAGGTATCTGGTTCTCTCCCTGAGCCTCCCAGCAGAAGAAAATCTAGCTAGCTGTCTCAAAACTGGTTACTACATAATCCACTGATCTTAGTATTTGCTTCTGATCTCTCTTCAGGCCCTTACTATAGTAGTGAATATAAATTCTTCAATATCATTCTTCCTCAGAATTTTCTTGGCTCTTTTTACATCTTAACTTTTAAGGATATACATGATACATTACGTTATCAAATCCCTACTGCCCCCAAAATAACTTTGGCATTTGTGGAGTTCATAAATATATAGATCAGTTTATACTTTGCAATATTGAGTTCTATTATTCAGTTTTCTTTTTTCATTTGATCTCAGCAGAGTTTTAGTTTTGTTTCCTATTTCTCATAAATTTCATTCATTGGTGTTTATTTTTGTCTTGCATCTGTCAGTGTAATTTTTCCATTTTTGTGTAATCTTAATTATCATTTGTTTGCAGACAAACTATTGGTTTTTTAATATTACTTTTGTTAGCCAGACACTTAATTAGGATTCTTTTTTAAAAATTAATATTCCAAATATTTCACTTGGACTTTGAGGTATACCATCATGTTATTTCTAAATAATGAAAATTTACTGATCCTTTTCTAATATTTATACTGTATTCCTTTCCTTTCCTTGTGGTATTGACTGATATTTCCAGAACAATTTTTAATGACAGAGATGGTAAGCTCTCTTGTGTTTTCCCCTACTTTAATGGAATCACTTCTAGTGTTTAAATATTTAAGCTGTAATGGATATTGATTTGAGAATTATTCTTTTTCATATTTTAAGACAATATTGTTTCATTCTGGATTGACTAAAATATTTTATTATAAATGGATGTTGAATATTTTCCCAAACATTTTTTTATTAAATTATAATGTAAAAAATTTGCAAGCCATAAATGTACAGCTCAACAAATTTTAACCTAGAGAATATAATTGTGAAAGCAAAACCAAGATCAAGATTAGGACCATTATAAGTATTCCCCAAGCTCCTACCCCAGATGTAACTATTTTTCTGACTTCTACCTAGTTGTGAAATTTAAGTAAATTGAATCATAGAGTTACATTCATATTTCTATCTCTTTTTTTATTATTATTTTACTTTAAGTTTTAGGATACATGTGCACAACGTGCAGGTTTGTTACATATGTATACATGTGCCATGTTGGTGTGCTGCACCCATTAACTCGTCATTTAGCACTAGGTATATCTCCTAATGCTATCCCTCTCCGCTCCCCCAACCCCACAACAGTCCCCGGTGTGTGGTGTGTGATGTTCCCCTTCCTGTGTCCATGTGTTCTCATTGTTAAATTCCCACCTATGAGTGAGAACATGCGGTGTTTGGTTTTTTGTCCTTGCAATAGTTTGCTGAGAGTGATGGTTTCCAGCTTCATCCATGTCCCTAAAAAGGACATGAACTCATCATTTTTTATGGCTGCATAGTATTCCATGGTGTATATGTGCCACATTTTCTTAATCCAGTCTATCATTGTTGGACATTTGGGTTGGTTCCAAGTCTTTGCTATTGTGAATAGTGCCGCAATAAACATGTGTGCATGTGTCTTTATAGCAGCATGATTTATAATCCTTTGGGTATGTACCCAGTAATAGGATGGCTGGGTCAAATGGTATTTCTAGTTCTAGATCCCTGAGGAATTGCCACACCAACTTCCACAATGGTTGAACTAGTTTACAGTCCCACCAACAGTGTAAAAGTGTTCCTATTTCTCCACATCCTCTCCAGCACCTGTTGTTTCCTGACTTTTTAATGATCACCATTCTAACTGGTGTGAGATGGTATCTCATTGTGGTTTTGATTTGCATTTCTCTGATGGCCAGTGATGATGAGCATTTTTTCATATGTTTTTTGGCTGCATAAATGTCTTCTTTTGAGAAGTGTCTGTTCATATCCTTTGCCCACTTTTGGATGGGGTTGTTTGTTTTTTTCTTGTAAATTTGTTTGAATTCATTGTAGATTCTGGATATTAGCCCTTTGTCAGATGAGTAGGTCTTTTTGATCAATATTATATTTGTGAAATTCCACCATCTTGTTGCATGAATTCATTCTTGTAGCATCCATTCACTCTTCTTTATTGCTATATATAATTGCATCATTATGTGAATATAAAACAGATTATTTATACATCCTCCTGTTGATGGACATGTGGGTTTTCCATTTTGGGGGCTATGATGAATAACACTTCTATAAACATTCTCATATGTTTCTTTTGGTAAATTTATGTATGCATTTCTGGTAGACAGGAGCTAGACTTTTTGAGTTATGTTCAGTTGTAGTGGATATTATCAAACACTTTTCCATGCTGGTAACACCAGTTTACATCTCCAAAGCAGGGTATGAGAGATCTAGTTGCTCCATAGACTTGCTAATTTTGGTATTTTCAGATGTTAATGTTTTAGCTTTTATAGTAGATTTGTAGAGGCATCTTATGATTTAACATTAAGAACAAACTGATATTGTTTAATATCAATATGTAATTGATATTTAATTGGTGATTTTAATATGTCGTATTTGGATATTGTGGCAGTACCTGTTCAAGTTTTTGTCTTTGAGACAGGGTCTTACTGTGTCGCCCATGCTGGAGTGCAGTGGCACAGTCACAGCTCACTGCCTCAACCTCCCTAGCTCAGGTGATCCTCCCCAATCACCCTCTTAAATAGCTGTGACTACATTTTTTTAATTTTTTGTAGAGACAGGTTTTTGCCATGTTACCCAGGCTGGTCTTGAACTTGTGGTCTCAAGCAATCCACCTGCCTTGGCCTCTCAAAGTGACTGGATTATAGCTGTGAGCAACTGTGCCCAGCCTCAAGTTTTTTTTTAATTGAGACATTATAATTTTACATATTTATGGGGTACGACTTGATGTTTCAATGTATATATGTTGTAGAATGACCTGATCAGGGTAGTGTATCCATCACTTCATGCATTTATCATTTCTTTCTGGGGAGAACATTCAAAAGCCTCTCTTCTAGCTATTTTGTAACATACAATACCTTATTGTTAAGCAGGTTACCCTCCTGTGCAATCAAATACCAGAACTTATTCCTCCTAATTGTCACTTTGTACCCAGTGACCAACCTCTGCCCAGCCTCTTCTTTCCCCCTTCCCTCTCCAGTCTCTGGTAACTACTGTTCCACTCTCTGCTTCTAAGATATCAACATTTTTTTAAATGGACTTCATATATCAGTGAAATCATGTCTTTCTGTGCCTGCCTTATTTCACTTAATATGGCGTCTTCCAGGTTCATCTATGTTGCAGCAAATGACAGGATTTCATTCTTTTTTATGGCTGAATTGTATATATATATTACATTTTCTTTCTCCATCCACTCATTGTTGGACACAGTTTGATTCCATATCTTGGCTATTATAACTAGTGTTCAATAAACATGGAAGTGCAGCTATCTTTTTGATATACTGATTTTATTTCCCTTGGATATATACTCGGCAGTGGGATTGCTGGTTCACACGGTAGTTCTGTTTTTAATTTTCTGAGGAAGCTTCATCCTGTTTTCCATAATAGCTGTACTAGTTTATAATTTCACCAACAATGCGTAAGTGTCCCTTGTCTCTACATCCTCACCAACACTTGTTTTCTTTTGTGTTTTTGATAATAGCCATTCTAACTGGAGTTAAGTGGCATCTCATTGTGGTTTTGATTTGCATTTCCTTGATAATTAGTGATGTTGGGCATTTTTCTATATACCTGTCGGCCCTGTTTAGGTTTTCTTTTGAGAAGTGTCTTTTAAAGTATTTTTTCCCCTTTGAAATCAGATTATTTTATTTTATTTCTTTTTTTTGGCTGTTGAGTTGCTTGAGTTACTTATATATTCTGGATAACTATCTTTTCCCCAATGTGTGTTCTTTGATAAGTACTGACTATTTGGATATTATAGCAGTGACTGTTCAAGATTTTTGTTTGTTCTTTACTTACTAATTTTTAAGTGTTCTTTAATATATTCTGGATATGAATCCTTTGTCAGATGTGTGTGTGTGTGTGTGTGTGTGTGTGTGAGAGAGAGAGAGAGAGAGAGATAGCAAATGTCTTCCAGAAAAATATCTTGCTACAACTGATTCTCCTTAAATGCATTTGTTTGACTAATTATTTATTGTCAGGTTGTAATAGAACCTCCAAAGGTTCCATTTCAGTAGAAACTGCGTATCTGGGATATTGTGTTTCATTTATCTCTTCGGCTGCTCAATCAACATTTTTCATTGCATGCACAAGACTTTCTTCGATTTGAAACCCAAATCCACCTTAAGCAGTGGAAATCCTATGAGTTAAGGGATGGGGCAGACACTTTCAGCCCTTGTGATCAGGAAATAGACTAGCTGACAAGCCGTACTCCCTTGTTAAGGCACCAAGACATATCCCTTCTGCACTCCATGCTGCATAACCGCAAATGAAAGAAGAACTTGGCCAATTACTCAGCAATCCCACAGCACTTTGAGGGTCAAGACTTCACACGGTCTAGTGCCGCCTTCTTCTCAGAGGCCTCTGTATTTTCACAAGCCATTCTTTTTTTAAGAACTTACAACTTGATGCCCATTTGGGGATTCTCCTCTATAGCAATCCAGGTTCTAGTCTTGACAGAGGGAAACTAACAAATGATCTCTGTCCCTCCCTCCCTCTTCTCCTCTTCTCTCTCCTACATCTTTCCTTGCAGAGCCAAGTCCTTAGTTCAACTCTGCAGGCTCTGCCTAACAACTTCAAGAGCAGCTTCCCTGAGGTAGTTGAATTGGAGTTGGGTTTGAGAAGCAAGGCAGTCGAGGCACACAAAGGTGGCCATTTTTCCAATCTCAATTTCTTAAGCTACAAACCTTGAATCCTCAATATGAAAGGTGAAGTAACTAGAACTTTGATACTTCTTCTCATTCTCACATGTCATTTTTAACACTTTCTTGTTAATTTTACATTGTCAGTATTTATGCTACTTAAATTATTCTCTGAAACTATAACTCTTACAGTTACTGAAATAGGTTTGATGCTTACTGGGAATACTTCCCTATGCTACTTCCCCTTCTTGAGGTCTCTATTTTGATTTTTCTTTTGATTAGATGGATGTTATCATTAATTTTGTTTTTAAAGTTTATCATGGGGATGTTGTATTCCCTCAGCTTGAAGCTGTCTTCTTTTCCCTTATATACTCCTGATAACTTAACTAGATATAGAAGTCTGAGCTATTACTTTTGCTTTCAGAACTCTTATTGCTCCACAACTAATTGAATATTGCTGTGGCAAATTCTGACATCAGCCTGATACATTGTCTGCTGGATTGTTTTGGCTTTGGTTTTGTTTTTGTCTTTGCTTTGCCTGAGGGCACACAGAATTCCTTATTTATACCTAAAGTTTACTCACTTAACCAGGATATGTCATGGATTTACAGACTGAAATCTGGAAAAAAAAACATTATATCTAAATTTCAGGAAAAAATTGTTAGATCTAAATTATTTCCTAAGTTCCTTTTCTCTGTTATTTTTCTCAAAATAGCCAATTTCCTGTATTTAACTGTATTAACAGTTTATTCAACTGTTACTTATCGCATAAGTGCATTTGCCAGGCACTTTGCTAAAAGTGTTGGGTATTCAGTAATGTGAATAAAAAAGTGCAGTACAATTCTCGATCAATCTCCTGCCTCGGTCTCTCATACTTATTTTTAGCAGTATCAAGTTTTCATGGTATTATTTTCATGTCTCTTGATTTTGCTTTGGCTTTGTTTATTATCTTCCATTTCTTCCTTGTCCTCAGGAAGCTCACTGTTGTTATTCTCCCCTCCGTGCTTGTTTTCTCTTTCATCCCCTCTTTGAGCTTGCTTTTCAAAATCTATTTCCTCTTTAACTTTTTGGAGTATATAGAGTAATATTTGTCAGAAATTTTCTTCTTTCCTTGGAGAATTGCTCTTCATGCAGGTTCTTCATTTGCTTTCACCTTGTTATGTTTGCTTTTCTCCTCTTTGAGAATAACATTCAAGTCTCACTTTTCATCCTTTATACTTACTAATACTCTTTGCTTAAAAATAGTTGTGGGGGTGAGGAGGGCACAGTGTCCATGGCAGATCTTAGAACAACACCATGCTCATATTTCTTAGTAAATCTTCTCTGTCTCTACATGAGGATAGACCTTCTCTCTCCAGGGTGGGCAGATCTCCCAGGCAGGAATTAAAGTGGCTTACAGTGAAGTGTGTTAGTTCTCACAGATTATTTCTTTGTTCAGGTGACTCAGTTCAGCAATTGCAAATCCGATTATTGTTTTTTCTGTTGTTTCAAACCTTCCTCGCTTCTAGTCAATTTTGGGGATAGAAAAAAATAAGGCTTTCAGCCCCACTTTTCCTTCCAATTCTATGTTATGAAACTAAACTCCCATTAGGATTTATCCCTTTTCCTATGGTCTACCCATGACTCAAGTCCTTGTCTTTCTAAGTCACGGATTATTAGTTAAATATTTTAGGATTTTGTTTAACTTACTTTTAGAGCAATCTATACTCTTCTTGAGATGTAGAAAGGCATGTGTCAACTCTTATATTCTCTCTCAAGTTAGTCAAAGTTTCACCGCATAGTGCAGATACTCTTCGTATGCTGTAGTTGGGTCTAAACTAAATTTCATCAAAGATGGAACTTTGCCCTCTGTTTTTCTTCTTCTTGTGCTTGTGGAAGGCTCTAGCAAAGGGCATAAGGTAAGTATAACTTTACGCTATCATCTTCTACCAGAAGTCTTGGGGCAAATTATATTCTTACTATTTTTCTTTATTGTGGTCTTAAAAATGCCTGTTCTGATTTTTTTTTTTACTTTCTTTGCTAGATTTGTACAATTCTTAACACTTCTTTTTTTTTTTTTTTTTTTGCCTGACACTATCATGTTACCTACAAATGATTTCTTTCTTCACATAGCCTCAGTCTTGACTTTCCTAGTATGTCGCAATACCCCCCTGAGGTCAATAATGAATGGAGTAGCTATGAAGAAGTGATAACCTCTATTTCCAGTTCACTTTCTCACAGGCGTTCAGCTTAAATGTGTGCTATAAAATCTCTTCAACCAACAAGCCCAACCATTTATCATTATAGTCTTAACTACCTCTGCTTTTTGGATATCTTAATTCCCCAAAGGACTGTCAATTCAACCATAACTACCTAACAACTGCCAAGCCTCACTTTATGAGCTGCTGTTGAGAGTTTAGCTATTTAAGGCTGATTTTTAAAAAATTTGTATTGGCACTTCATGGCATTTGCTTGATTTACACTGCTGTAAATAACCACAATTAGGAAAATTTCTTTTCCTTTAAGGTATGGTAGGCAAGGATGAAAATGGATCCTGAGTCATCTTTCTCCATATAGTTAACTCCCTGCCAGCGCATTCTTCCAAGTTTGCCCAAGCTCAAAAGGTCAAATGTGGTCAATTGCTGAGTGGGCAGAGACCTCCTTGGAAACCAAGAATGGATCTGTTAATGGATCTGTTAAGGCAGCAGCTTTTTTCTACCCCAGCCTGAGCTGCTGAGGGGTCTGCTCCTTCACCAGCCATTTGGTCTCAAAACAAATGCTTCAATTACATTCATAGCTTCATGCATCTTATCAGGTTTTCTGAGTTTTTGCAAAGATATCCAAAGTAGGGGAAATCCAGTGGTTTAAAAAAAGATGTCGGCTGGGTGCGATGGCTCATGCCTATAAACCCAGCACTTTGGGAGGCAGAGGCGGGCGAATCACTTGAGGTCAGGAGTTCAAGACCACCCTAGGCAACGTGACGAAACCCCATCTCTACTAAAAATACAAAAATTAGCTGGGCATGGTGACACTTGCCTGTAGTCCCAGCTTCTTGGGAGGCTGAGGCAGGAGGATTTCTTGAATCCGGGAGGTGGAGGTTGCAGTGAGCCGAGATCATGCCACTGCACTCCAGCCTGGGTGACAGAGCAAGACTCTGTCTCAAAAAAATAGAATAAAATAAAAGTAAAGTAAAGTCAAATATTACTCAGATATAAAAAGGAGTGGAATTCTGATACATGTTACCGCATGGATGAACCTTGAAGATATTGTGCTAAGTGACATAAGCCAAACAAAATGACAGACGTCTTATAATTCCACTTAGACGAAGTAGCTAGAATAGGCAAATTCACAGAGACAGGAAGTAGATTCGAGTGTACCAGGGGCTGGGGGAGGAGGAATGGGGAGTGATTGCTTCATGGTTGCTGAGTTTCTGTTTGGGATAATAAAAAGTTTTAGAAATAGATAGTGCTGATGGTTGCACAACATTATGAATGCAATTAATGCCAGTAAATTGCACACTTAAAATTAGTTAAAATGGCTTATTTTAGAAAAGTAATGTATTACTTTGAAAAAAATTGTCAAGAAGTAACTTTAGGACTTATGATTCCTCCAGACTTACCTTCTGGGATACAGTGAGTAAATGCACATCCTGGGGCCCTGCTGTGGGATCCCATTCGTTCAGAATGCTGAGGCCCTTGACTCTCCCTCAGGGGATCACAGTCCAGCTCATTATCTTCTTCACTCTCTGAAGTTGCTCCATTCCTCTCTCCTCCTTTGCTCCCTCCCTGAACAGTCTCACCCCAAGTTCCTCTGACTTGTTCCTCCATTGTTCTCAGATCCTCCTCCGCTGCCTCGCTGCTTTTTTTTTTTTCTTTAGAGACAGATTCTCACTCTGTCGCCCCAGCTGGAGGGCGGTGGTGCCGTCACAGCTCGCTGCAGCCTCGACCTCTCAGGCTCAACCGATCCTCTCACGTCAGCTTCCCAAGTAGCTAGGACTACATGCACGCACCACCATGCTTGGCTAATTTTTCAATATTTTTTTGTAGAGATAGAGTCTTGTCGTGTTGCCCAGGCTGGTCTCGAACTCCTGGGATCAAGTGATCCTCCTGTCTCAGCTTCCCAAAGTGCCAGGATTACAGGCGTGAGCCACTGTGCCCGGACCCTGTCTCACCTCTGAGTCTGAGTGGTGCCAAGCAGAGTGTGACAATTCCAACTAACACCTGCTGAGATTTAACAAAGCACACTCACCACTTCTGTGCTGCCACAAAGTCCTTCTGGGCAGAACCCACAGCTCCTCCCACTCTGCAGACCTTCCTGAGAAACAAAACAGCACTTGGACTACGTGGTCGGCCACAGCCTGGGCCCCACTGCCTGTGCGGGAAACAGGCCAAATCTCTGGAACCAGCATGCCAAACCACCAATTGGGCTGGTGACCACTTTGACCCCGGCCCAGCCCTAAAGCCCTCAAACCAGGTAGAACAGTTTGCTTTAGCTTCACCACCAGAAGTAGGAGGCAGGTAAAGGACCCTGGTGAAGGCAGGGACGGGCAGGAGTAGCTCATGGCACCAATCCACAAAAGTGGAGAAACCTTAAGTAGTGTTTAAAGGAAAGATCAGGTCTGGCATGCCCATGCCTGTAATCCCAACACTTTGGGAGGCCGAGGCGGGTGGATCACTTAAGATCAGGAGTTCGAGACCAGGCTGGCCAACGTGGTGAAACCCCATCTCTACCAAAAATACAAAAATTTGCTGGCGGTTGTGGCAGGTGCCTGCATTCCCAGCTACTCAGGAGGCTGAGGCAGGAGAATCGCTTGAATCTGGGAGGCGGAGGTTGCAGTGAGCCAAGATCATGCCATTGCACTCCAGTCTGGGTGACAGAATGAGACTCTGTCTCAAAAAATAAAAAATAAATAAAGGAAAGTTTAGTCCTTTCCCTAAATGCTGCAGAGGTGGGGCAAAGCAAACGCCCGGGTGAAAGCAAACACCGGGGCAGGGGCAACAGCCAGAGTAGAAAAGACATTAGGCTGTGTTGTGGAGTTAAAGCAAAGTCACTCATCTGTATACTAAATGGCAGTCCAGGATGGAGGTGGGCAGAATCCAAGACAACATCAAAAACTTTGGGGGAATTCCACATTAATTCTGGAATTTGGTCATTAAGCAAATTGATTTTTAGTGAATTTGCTTTCAGGAAATTGATTTTCAGCAACAGCGTCTGTTACACTAGTATAGCAAGAGGAAACTCGCATGCCAATATAGTTACTAAATATGAGTGATATTACCTAGTCATGACGAATCATTCCAGGCTCCAGTGCTGAGCTCCAGGAACTCTGGAGAAGTGGAATGTAATTGCATGCATCTGCTCAAATTCGCTAAGAATTATCAGAGGAGGCCGGGTGTGGTGGCTCACACCTGTAATCCCAACACTACGGGAGGCCAAAGTGGCTGGATCACCTGATGTCAGGAGTTTGAGACCAGCCTAGCCAGCATGGTAAAACCCCATCTCTACTAAAAATACAAAAAATTAACGGAGCATGGTGGTGAATGCCTATAATCCCAGCTACTTGGGAGGCTGAGGCAGGAGAATCACCTGAACCTGGGAGGCAGAGGTTGCAGTGAGCTGAAATCGCACCGCTGCACTCCAGCCTGGGCGACAGAGCGAAACTCCTTCTCAAACAAACACAAAAAAAAGAATTATCAGAGGAACTTTCGCACGAGCAGGTGAAGGTGGAGAGAAACAAAGTAGCCGAGGTTAGGAGGCAGAGTGGGCTGAGCAGCCAGGGCCAGGCAGGAGCATAGAGGGGTACTGCTTATTAGCCTAAGAAAAACATCATTAGGAAGGAAATTTGCTACCGAAAACCCGGCCATCGTATATCATGCAATCCAAAGCCAAATACATTGGGAGGTTTTTGTTTATCCACTGTCTGGAATTTTCCATACTTTTGCCATTGACCAATGGAGAAACAACCTCAGCTTTAAGCTGGCTCATTAAGGCCTTTCAGAAAAGAGCCAGTGGATTTAGCATCTCATCCCAGAGGGAAGGCTCCTGATCACATTAAAACCAGAAAGATGCTGGCTGGCTGTTTCCTGCACTGCGCTGTTAGATGAAAGTGTCCAGCACTAAAGTCTCTGGAATTACATTTCACTTTCCTTTCTGCCATTGTTATTCCCAGAAATAAGCTACACAGGCACATTTCATCTCCACCCCGGCCCCCACGCCTGTTTTACTTTCTTACTACCTTTTAAATCTTTTATCCCCACCCTGTATCTTCCCTTTCTCTCTCTCCCTTTTCCTCTTTATGTAGCTTCTTGATCGTTTGTCTCCAAGTTGAAGTCACAGCTCTTGTACTAAAAACAAACAAAAAGCTCAAAAAAGCAAAACCAGGAGCCCAGGTGTAAAAACCCTCTTATGGCAACTCCTCTCTACTGTATTTGGGTAACCTGCAGAATGAAAACAGCATTGTGTCATGTTTCAATACGGTTTCACTGTTGAAGCTACAAGGGTCAGATTGCATCTCCCAACGGTAGGCAGTCTCTCTGGAAAGACCGTGATTGATTCCTGGACCAACTTCTTTAGGAGAGAAGTTCAAAGCTCAAAAAGGAGATTGGAACCCAGAGTGGGGACCCAGGTAGGCATGAAGGAGGTCTCTGCTTTTCTTGGTCAGACATCACAGAGTCTAATGCCTGGGGGATCACCCTTGAACAGCGGATGTGAAATATGGCATTTTCAAACCGACACCTAGAAAACGAAGTTGCAAAACAAGGCTAGATTTGCTACCTGAGTCCCACCTGGAGCTGTGACCTTTGTACTGCAAGCTCTACCTTGCAAGGCAGACCACCTATATTTTCAATATTTTCAGAATTTATTCCCCTCTGGTTATGTCCATCCATGATTAAATAATTTTCTTCACCGAGTCGACAAAATTTCTTTGCCGGGGTTTAGGTCTGAATGTCTTAGGATGAATGTGTCCTTGAGGCCACCAGTATGACCCCACAGAGGAGAGACTGTGGTAAGAACAGACTTGGAGTTTCTCTCAAAAAGAAGAATCTCCCTCCCCTCATTTTTAACTTTTTATTTCCATAGGTTATTGAGGAACAGGTGGTGTTTGGTGACATGATTAAGTTCTTCCGTGATGATTTGTGCAGTGACCTGGATGAGATTGGAGACTATTATTCTAAGTGAGGTAACTCGAGAATGAAAAAGGAGAATCTCCTTCTAATGCTAACTTTAGTGTCTTGGTCTTATTTCGTGTTGGAAGTTGGTATTTCTTTGGCCTTTTCCTGCTCAATTCACTTAATGGTCTCCATCTTCCTTTCCAAAACATTTGCAGTCAGTTATTAATTTTCGCTCAAGAGAATTAACTCAGTTAAAAGAAATCATCTACTGTTGTAGCCAGTAAACCCACCCGTCTCTCTCTCTTCTCTCTCTCTCTCTCTCTCTCACACACACACACACACACACACACACACACACACACACACACACACACACACACACACTCTGCAAGTTGGGTATGCTGCCACCAGGTGGCGTAGTACTTTAACTTTGCTGTTAAAAACCAGAAGTTCTAAAACCCTGGTCCCGATCACCTTTGTCAAAATGAACTGAGATAATTGTTTAAAACATAAATTCTCATTTCCTGTCCCAGACCTACTCAATAAAATCTCTGAGGATAAGACTGAGGAAATGTTTGTTTGTTTGTTTGTTTGTTGAACAGTTTCTCAGGTGAATCTGAGTCACAACTGGTTTTCAGAATTTCTGATACAAACTATGACACATATTTATACTTTTTTGCTTAAAATTCAACTGATTTTTCCTTAAACAAAGTTCCCTCGGCTTCATAATAAAATCTTCCACATTTCATTTATCAAAATATAGAACTGTTTTCTAAGTTTACAAAGATGACCTCTAAGATGATCTTCTCTCAGACTATTTTTTTCCCTTTTCTCTTCATTCTGGAAAATCTTCTTAAGCTGTCTTCCATATTACTAGCGTAGTTTTCTTTCTTTTTCTTTCTCTCTTTTTTTTTTTTTTTTTTTTTTTTTTTTGAGATGAAGTCTCACTGTGTCTCCCAGGCTGGAGTGCAGTGGTGCAATCTCAGCTCACTGCAACCTCTGTCTCCCAGGGTGAAGCGATTCTCCTACCTCAGGTTCCTGAGTAGCTGGGATTACAGTCAGTCGCACACCACCATGCCCAGCTAATTTTTTTTTTTTTTTTTTTTTTGAGACGGAGTCTTGCTCTGTCGCCCAGGCTAGAGTGCAGTGGCACGATCTTGGCTCACTGTAACCTCCGACTTCCGGGTTCACACGATTCGCCTGCCTCAGCCTCCCAAGTAGCTGGGACTTCAGGCGCCTGCCACCATGGCCGGCTAATTTTTTATATTTTTAGTAGAGACGGGGTTTCACCGTGTTAGCCAGGATGGTCTTCATCTCCTGACCTCGTGATCTGACTGCTTCGGCCTCCCAAAGTGCTGGGATTACAGGCGTGAGCCACTGTACCAGGCCCTATATTACTAACGTGGTTTTCTGAGATCTTAATTGAAATCTTTTATTTCATCTTGTATTTTGTAGTATTCCTTCCTTGTCCCATTTAATATATTTTTTTAAATCTCAGTTTGGTGACTTATTTCAATCCTATTTCATAGAGCACATGTTTTCTTAAATGTTAGTAAGAGTCCATAGCAGATGCTGTCTAAAATTGACTTCTTTTTTATGCAACAAATCTTTTACAAAAGTGTGTTCTCATTGCCTTTTGAATATTATATTTTCCTTCTTACATTGGGGAGTTTATTCCTAGGCCCCGTATGAGTCACAGTACAATCAGGAAAACAAAACACACTAGATAGTTGAAAATGGGAAGCTACGTACAGAGAATTGGTCACAGAAGTGATGGAGGAGATGAGAGGTCAAACAGGGATGCTAAGGATTAGAGAGGCGAGAGGAGCCCAGGAGCCAGGCCATTGGAAAGAAGCTGGGACCTCCATGGGCCGGCCTGGGGGAGCTGAGACCACAGAGGGAGAGGCAACACTCAGGGAGCTGGAGCCATGAAGGAGACAAGGCCACTGCCCAAGGGGCCTTCCGATGCAGAGAGAATGTCCTGGCTTCTCCCTCCCTCCCACCCTCAGCCTCCAATGGGCCAGGGAGCCTGGGACACAGAGAAGGGAGAGAGCAGAGGAGGGGAAGCAGAAGGAAGCCACCTCCACTGTGCTGGCTTGCTGGACTCACTTCCTCTCCACTCTTCTGTGAACAATCAGTTTTGTCTACTGGCCTAGTATTTGGGCTGAAAGTGAAACAGCCCAATTTTCCAACAAGCTGAATGCCTATAGAACGGAAGCTTTAGAAACTTATGTTTGTACAATGAGATGCACCTGCTGCTGCTTATTGGCCATTCCTCTTCCTTACCCGTCTGACATGGTTTGGCTGTGTCCCCACCCAAATCTCATCTTAAATTCCCATTAGTTATGGGAGGGATCCAGTAGGAGGTAATTGAATCATGGGGGCAGGTCTTTCCCATGCTGTTCTCATGAGAGTGAATAAGTCTCATGAGATCTGATGGTTTTATAAGCACGAGTTTCCCTGCACAAGCTCTCTCTCTTTGCCTGCCACTATCCATGTGAGACATGACTTGCTCCTCCTTGCCTTCCAGCGTGATTGTGAGGCCTCCCCAGCCATGTGGAACTGAGTCCATTAAACCTCTTTTTCTGTATAAATTACCCAGTCTCAGGTATGTCTTTATCAGCAGCGTGAGAACAGATACCATCCCTAATGCCTGTTTTCCCGCATGTGGTTATGATGAGACCCCTCACTTGACCACCTGCTGCCTGATGAACACCTCCTCTTCCTCACCCTTCTTGTTGTCCTTCCCAGCTATATAAACCCTTAACTTCCATCTGCAGGGAGGGAGGGATTTGAGGTTTGGCTCCCATCTCTCTGGCTGTTGTCACCGGAAAAAGCCTTCATCCGTGGCAGTACTCATTGTCTCCACGATTGGTTTTCTGTGCAGCAAGCAATGGGACCTAGACTGAACCCCTGGTGTTAGTAACAGCTGAATGCCTCTCCGATACCCCTCAGAAGGTGCCTGCCATTCCTAAGCAGGTGCAACCCATTAACTAGAGGAATGAGGTAGGAAGTTGGGGGTTCCCTGGCAGCACATCTCCTCTCTGCTTCAGGGGAAGCTGCCCTTCCAGTGCCAGCTGCTCTCACTGATCCTCCTCCTGGGCCTGTGGCTGCATCATCGTGGCCCCCCTGCCTCTGCCTCTCAAGGGGCAGCTCCCCCCACATTCAGCCTCCCCCTGAGCCTCCCCACCCAGCCTCCCCTGACATAACCTCCCCCCGAGCCTCTCTTTGCTTGACCTCATTCCTGATGCTGCTGCCTGAGAAACTTCCGAAAGCCCAGCACTGACCACTGCCTGGCAGGGCTCCAGGAGCCCCACACTTCACCCTGACTTCTCCTCCTAAAAGATGATGTGTTGAAAGAAGATCCTTACTCCTGCTGAAGAGGCCTCATCCCCCAGCCCTCCTAGGGGGTGTCTTCATCTGGACCTGTGGGTTGAGCCTCCCTTACAATGGCTGAAAGTCCTCTAAGAGGGTGTCCCCTCTCTGTCTCATAATCTGTCCTCACACTAGGACCCAGCAGACATTCATGGAGTTTGAGACCCTCTCTATTTCTTTCCTGCAAGGCCACCACAACCAGGGACTCTGCAAGGCTCTAAGGACACAAATGAACAGGACAAAGCTCCTGCCCCAAGGAGCTCATGGCCCCACTAGGACAACAGGCAAATAAAGAGGCACTCCCAGGACAGAGGAAGGGCCAGACAGGGCGGGCAGAGCATGCAGGATATGCAGGGAGGAGGGGCACCTCGTCCCACCTAGGGGTGGCAGTGGTCCGTGGAGGCTTCCTGTGTGGGTACATCTAAGAGGGGACCTGAGCTCAGGAGGTGACAGGAGTGAGTAGGGCTAATGTCAGACAAAGGAGGTGCAGGGAAGGGCCTGTAAGGTAGAGGGAAGAGCACGACCAGAGGTCTGGAAGTGGAAGAAAGCCAGGTGCCTTCACAGCCTGCATGGCAGGGAGTGGGTGGAGAGTTGAGAAAAAGGTTGGGAGTGTTTTGAGAGATCTGGGAGCTGTGGCACCAGATTACGGAGGGCCTTGCTTGCTAACTCAACCACACTCTAGGTTGAGGGAAGGGGCACCCAGCGAACACGTGTCACAGCATCCCATTTGTCTTTTAGCAAGAAATTACCCTGGCTACAGTAAGTAAAAAGATCTAGAGGGAAGCCAGTCCAAATACTGGAAAGCTATGGCAATAGTTAAGGCTAGAGATGAAGACATCCCAGACTAGGGGATGGCAAAGGGGATGGAGAGAAGAGGATGAATGGCTTAGGAAAAATAACAGCACTTGGTGGCTGACTGGGTATGGGTGTCAAGGAGAGAAAGAGGGCAATACTGAGGCCTTTCTGACTTGGGTGATTGGAAGAATGAGAGGAGAACTGAAGTAATTAACACTGATTGCAAACCAGTAGGGTAAGGGTGATTTCCTTTTTGAACTTGATGAGTTTGAGACATTTGTGAAAAATCTGCTTGATCTACCTGGCTCTGGAGTGCAGCAGCTACCTATGAAATGTAAGGATATTTGAAATGTAAGGAGCTAGACATGCCGATGTTCAAACTAGCAATCTTTCATTACTTTATAAACTCTGCAGTGTATGATACAAGTGGCAAAGAATACTGAAAACACTCTGCAGTTGACCCTTGAACAACACAGGCTTGAACCGTGAAGGTCCAATTCCAGTTGGATTTTCTTCAGCCTCTGCCGCACTGTGAGCAAGCAAGACCAGCTCCTCCTCTTCCTCCTCCTACTCAGCCTACTTAACATGAAGACGATGAGGATGAAGACCTTTATGATGGTCTACTTCCACTTAGTGAATATCTTCTCTTCCTTATAATTTTCTTAAGGACATTTTCTTTTCTGCAGCTTACTTTATTGTAAGAACACAATGTGTAATGCATGCAATATAGCTACAAAATATATATGGTTTTCTTTCTTTATTTCTTTTTTTTTTGAGACAGAGTCTCACTCTGTCACCCAGGCTGGAATGCAGTGGGACGATCTTGGCTCACTGCAACCTCTGCCTCCTGGGTTCAAGCGATTCTCCTGCCTCAGCCTCCCAAGTAGCTGGGATTACAGGCATGTGCCACAATGCCTGGATAACTTTTTGTGTTTTTAGTAGAGACAGGATTTCCCATGTTGGTCAGGCTGGTCTCAGACTCCTGACCTATAGTGATCTGCCTGCCTCAGCCTCAAAAGTGTGGGGATTACAGGCATGAGCCACAGCACGTGGCCAGCCTACAAAATATGTGTTAATCGACTTTTTGTTATTGGTAAGGCTGCTAGTCAATAGTACACTATTTGTTAAACGGGAGGGAGTCAAAAGTTGTATGCATGTGCGTTGGCGTCCCAATCCCCACTTTGTTCAAGGATCAGCTATATTTGGAAATGCCCCACAATGTTGTTTCCAAGATCGTGACAGAGACACAGGTTAGCTTTAAAGACAAGGACTTTGAGTAGAGTGTCTTGTAGGAACACGGGTCAGCAGGTCACCTGGAGCCAGAAGACAGATTCAAAACACATTGTGAGGGTAGCAGACATGGCAGCCTGCACATAAACCCTTTGTGGACCTGGCTGGTATCTCAGGAAGCTCTGCCTCACAATTACTGAGCAGGACAAACAAGACAGTCTCCTCAAGCAAATGTGGCCAAGTCAGGAACTGTGACATTTGGTCTCTATCAAAAAAGTCTCCAGAGAGCCCAAAACTCATTTTGGGCTGTTTCATAAAGAACCCATTCGAGGACCATGACTGGCCTCATACAGCACCTTTAAAATATCAGCTTTTCATTAAGCTGTAAACACTAAGGAAAACAGTGCTCACAAATATTTTTTAACCAGCTTCCAACAGAGCATGGCCTTATGCAGGTACCCAAGCTGAAACACTGCTCTCTCCTTCTGTGAGGAGTTATGGGGCCTCCTGCAGACATGAATGTGTGCTTAGGGCATGGTTCTTTGCAGGTTTTTCCAGGAGCAAAACAGAACAGGAATTCTCCACATCACTGTTCATGTGAAATATTCTTTGGCTCTGTGTATCAGTCTGTTCTCACCTTGCTATAAAGAAATACCTAAGACTGGGTAATTTATAAAGAAGAGGTTTAATTGGCCCATGGTTTTGCAGGCTGTACAGGAGGCATGATGCTGACATCTGCTCAGCTTCTGGGGAGGCCTCAGGAAACTTACAGTCATGGCGGAAGGTGAATGGGAAGCTGGCACGTCTTACATGGCTGGAGCAGGAGGAAGAGAGCAAGGGAAGAGGTGCCACAAACCTTTAAACAACCAAATCTCGAGAGCACTCACTCACTATCACAAGAGCAGCACTGAGGGGGAAATCCACCCCCGTGATCCAATCACCTCCCACCAGGCCCCACCTCCAACATTGGGAATTACAAGTTGACATGAGATTTGAACACGGACACAGACCCAAGCCACATCACTCTGTTTCATGAAAACATACTAGAATGAAAGTCACGGTAAGGTGAATATGGATTGACCACTGAAATACCATTCTTTCTTTTAAAAAGTAATTATTGACAATTTACTAGATCCCAGGTACTATGATAGATACTGGAGAAAAGAAGCTAAATGATAAGATTTCTGTTCTTCTGAGGCTTACTTTCTAATGCACAGAAAAAGAGAGTAAACAAAGAAACAAATGAACAAAACCATTCCAACTGGTGCTGAGTGCTATAAAGTACTATAAATGGGGCCGGGCACAGCAGCTCATGTCTGTAATCCCAGCACTTTGGGAGGCCAACACAGAAGAATCACTTGAGCCCAGGAGTTCAAGACCAGCCTGGGCAATAAAATGAGACCCCAGCTCTATTTTTTTTTATAGTCAAAAATTTAGCTGGGTGTGGTGGCACCCACCTGTAGTCCCAGCTACTACAGAGGCTGAGGTAGGAGGACTGCTGGAGCTTGGGAGATCAAGGCTGCAGTGAGCTATGCTCACACCACTCTGCTCCAGCCTGGGTGGCAGAGTGAGACTGTCTCAAAAAACAAACTACAAACGAGGGGCAGGGGGCATAGGGAAGAATGTAATATGAGCTGGGGTGGGGTGTGCAATTATAATAGTCAGGAATATTTAGTCCAAACATTTCACTGAGGAAATGTTTGAATTAAACCCAAATGACGCTGGACACAGTGGCTCATGCCTATAATCCCAGGGCTTTCAGAGGCTGAGGCAGGAGGATTGCTTAAGGCCAGGAGTTCAAGACCAGCCCAGGCAACATAAGAAGACCCCCATCTCTACAAAAAAACAAACAAAAAAAAAGATTAGCCAGGCATGGTAGAGTGTGCCTGTAGTCCTGACAACTCAGGAGGCTGAGGTGAGAGGATGGCTTGAGCCCAAGAGTTTGAGGCACTCCACTGTAATCCAGCCTGGGCGACAGAGGGAGATCCTGTCTTAAAACAAAACTAAGAAAAAATCCAACCCAAATGACACACAGGAGCCAGAGGAAGAGTGGGGTTTGAGTATCACAGGCAGGAAGACCTGAAAGTGCTCAAGCTCAGTGTGTGTGTATTCTAGAAACCAAAAGAAAATCCAGTTAAGAGGAGCTCAGTGAGCAAGAGGAGAGTGGTAAGACAGGAAGTCACAGAGGTGGGCAAGACCAGATCCTGTATATCTTTATAGCCACAATGGTGAAAATTGGATACAGAACTAGGAGATTTTATTTGGTGATGACTACTGGACCAGCCAGAGCCCCACAGGAAACAAGAGGCCCCTTAGATGAGCTTCTGAAAAGAATGCAATGAAGGGATTATTTTAAAAGCAAGGTTAAGGGAATGAACAGGGGTTGTTGAGGATTCAGAGCCTGGGAAGGACAAGAATATCTTTAGAAAGGGTCGGGTGCCGTGGCTCACGCCTGTAATCCTAGCACTTTGGGAGGCTGAGGTGGGCAGAGGTCAGGAGTTCGAGACCAGCCTGGCCAACATATTGAAACCCTGTCTCTATAAAAATACAAAAATTAACCAGATAGTCCCAGCTACTCGGGAGGCTGAGGCACAAGGATCACTTGAACCCAGATGGTGGAGGTTGCAGTGAGCCAAGATGGTGCCATTGCACTCCAGCCTGGGCAAAAGAGCGAGACTCGGTCTCAAAAAAAAAAAAAAAAAAAAAAAAAAGCGAGGTGGGGTGGTATTGGTGGTGCAGAGGTAGTGTAGTAGGAGCTAAGCCATAGAGGAAGGATCACTCAACAGAAGATATTGTCATAGAAGAATGCAGCCATGGCTGCAGGGGGTTGCAAAACAGTGAGGGAGGAGGTGATGGGGAGAGAATAGCCCACCTCTCTCTGTTCCCACCCTCCCATCTACTGCTAGTGCCTTCCATTGGCTGAACCCAAACAAAGTCAGAGCAAAAGGGTGGCCAGATTATGGAATCCCCATGGTCTTTATCCCAGGGCCAGGATTTGGCAGAAAGGGGGGTTTTGAGGTTGGGGAAAAAGGAAAAATGACCTGGCCCAATGTTAGCTATTTATAACAGCTTTTTGAAAAAATAGATTTAGGGGATACAAGTGCAGTTTTGTTACATGGATGTATTGCAGAGTGGTGAAGTCTGAGCTTTTAGTGCATCCATCACCCAAATAGTGTACCTCGTACCCATTAAGTAATTTCTCATCCTCATCTCACCTCCCATCTTCCCACCCTTCCTAGTATCCAGTATCTATTATTCCACAATGTATGCCCATGTGTACATATTATTTAGCTCCTGCTTATCAGTGAGAATGCAGTTTGACTTTGTGTTTCTGAGTTATTTCACTTAAGAAAATGGCTGCAAGTTCTTTTTTTGTTTTGTTTTGTTTGTTGTGTTGTGTTGTGTTGTGTTTTTTGTTTTGTTTTCGAGATAGAGTCTCGCTCTGTCGCTGGGCTGGAGTGCAGTGGCACGATCTCGGCTCACTGCGACCTCCGCCTCCTGGGTTCAAGCGATTCTCCTACCTGAGCCTCCCAAGTAGCTAGGACTACAGGCTCCCACCACCAAGCCCGGCTAATTTTTGTATTTTTAGTAGAGACGGGATTTCACCATGTTGGCTAGAATGGTTTCGATCTCTTGACCTCATGATCTGCCTGCCTCAGCCTCCAAAGTGTTGAGATTACAGGTGTGAGCCATTGCACCCGGCCAGTGGCTTCAAGTTCTATCCATGTTGCTGCAAAAGACATGATTCCATTCTTTTTATGGCCAAGTAGTATTCCATGGTCTATATGGAACTTTTTATTATTCAGTCATCCATTGATGGACACTTAGATTGATTCCATAGCTTTGCAATTGTGAATAGTGCCACAACAAACATACAAGTACAGGAAGCTTGATCTAATAATTTCTTATCCTTTGGGTAGATATCCAGTAGTGGGGTTGCTGGATTGAATGGTAGTTCTGTTTGTAGTTCTTGGAGAACTCTCCATACTCTTTTCCACAGAGATCGTACTCATTTACATTCCCATCAACAGTGTATAAATGGCCCGGCGCAGTGGTTCATGCCTGTAATCTCAGCACTTCGGTAGGCTGAGGCAGACAGATCACCTGAGGTCAGGAGTTCGAGACCAGCCTGGCCAACATGGTGAAACCCTGTTTCTACTAAAAATACAAAAATTAGCCAGGTGTGGTGGCACATGCCTGTAATCCCAGCTACTCGGGACGCTGAGGCAGGAGAATCACTTGAACCTGGGAGGTGGAGGTTGCAGTGAGCTAAGATCATGCCATTGCACCCCAGCCTGGCCAAAAGAGCAAGACTCCATCTCAAAAAAAAAAAAAAAGTGTATAAGCATTCCCTTTTTCTCCACATCCTCGCCAATATCTGCTATTTTTTTTACTTTGTAACAGCTTTTCCAAAACAACAATATAAATACAGCAAGAAAACATCTGCCAATGTTCTAACTTACTCTACTTCCCAGTAGAATAAAGAACCAAACTCACTATGCAAGGAAACCCACCGAAAATAGAAGTGCGGTCCACAACCTCCTGTTTGTATTACAAAGAGTATGAGGTTTTCTCTTTGAAAAACATTTTTAGTCTTCTAAGACATTTAATGATCTCTAAAATCAATCTGCAGGTATTTATTACATCGAAAGAATGTCCTAAAAATAGGTCAGAAAAAAAGTTCTAATTTAGTAGGATTTTTCCAATGCAGCCCTGCCATAGTGTTGGGGGCGATCCTTTCATGACTTAAGAGAGGTCCTTCTTTGTTCAACTTTCCCTATAAAGTCTTTCCAGATGACTCCAGGTCTTGTCAGTCTCCACACACCCCAATTCATCTGTATGATATTCTTTGCCTATTCCCTGTAGCAGGGTGGGTAAGAGTGAGAATTCCCACCACCACCAAACTGCCTGGCACACACAAGCAAACACAGAGAAACAACACAGCACAATGTTAAAATGTGTGTGCTTGGCTGTCAGCCTGCCTGTGTCCCCGGCTGGGCCACCTACTTAACCAAGTAACCCTGGGCAAGTTGCATAACCTCTTTGTACCCTAGTGTCATCATCTATAAAATGAGTGATAATAATAGTACATGTTGCATACTATCGTTATGAAGATTGAATAAATGACAATTTATAGAGGTTTCAAGCAGCATCTGGCCCTGAAGTATGCACTAAAATGCTTTCCCTTGTGCACAGAAGGCTTCCTGTAGGACACACTCGAGTCTACCTCCTACCTCGCTGCTGTACGCATGTCTGGAAGTCCATTTCCCCCATATGGGATGGAGGACTCCCCCACAGGGTACAAACTGAGTTCTGGTCATTTCTGAATCCTCAGCACTCACCTCACTGCCCCATCTCTTCATTCCACAAATAATTACAGAAGGCTTACTATGTGCATGACATTTCTGGAATCTGTTTCTAGTTTGGTGAATAGATGAATTGCATCATTGCATTTTTCTGTAATTGTCTCATGGGTATAACATGTCTTGTCTCTCCAAATAGATGTATAATGTTCTGGAGAAAAGAGGTAGTATCTTAAATTTATTTCAATTATATTTAAAGATATCTGTAACTTTTAGTTTTTCTATGAATCACGCTATTTTGCCTTAGCCAGTGAAAGGAGTGCCAAAGTTAACAATATTGTATTTATACGTTGATAACTTTTTATACCTTTTTCTCTTCAATAGAGGAGATAAAATGTACATATAAACAACTGTCATACAATATAGAAAAGACTGAGTGCTGGGTAAAATGCAGAGGGGATTCAGAAAATGGTAGAATTACTTTTTGTTCTTAACTCATTAACTCATTAAAGTTAAGTACAAGTAATAGAAAGCATTATGTTAGCTTAAACATAAAAAAAAAGGATATGCGTTAAAAAATATACTCATAGAATTCAAGGACAATTGGGCATTACAGGACACCTGAAGCAGGAACCGGTAAACTGAAGAAGTCCTTCCATTTTGGTACAACTGAAAACCATCATTCTTCACGTGCATCTGTTTCATTCCTTTCTTTTTCTTCAGGTTACCTTTCCTGTCTCTCTGCCCTAATGGCACTGGGGTTATATATACTGTATATATACTGTGTGGGGTTATATATACTGTGGTATAGAATGTCGTATCATTCTAACCACAGCTGACAATAACTGGCCATCTCTTAGTTTGAATTCCAAATCGTGTAGAATTTAATAGATCTGATTTACCGCCAAAGAAGGGATGCCAGTGAGCTGATCAGAGCTCAGAAACATGTCTCTTCAAGGGCTCAGGGATTAACTCTGTGGAGGATAAGGTTCTGGAGCCTCAGGGAGGATGGCTGTGCCCTAGAAATAAGAGCATCCATGTGCAAGACTCTCCTCCACTAGCTGAGGTCATTTGAGAGTCCCCAGAATAAGAGTCTGCTAGAGGTGGCTTCATACTGGCTTCCAAGAACCAATTGTTAAATTTTCAGGAATTTTCTCATCCGTTGTTAAACACAGCCCTGTTAAAAATTAAAAAAAAAAAAGAAAGAAAGAAAGAAAAGAAAGCCAGTATCTACAAAAAAAAAAAAAAAAAAAATCCATAGCTGAAGCATGTATCTGCATTTTACAAAGAAACTGTCCAGTACATTATTCTATGTTCCCTATTTAATAGTCAACATTAGAATTTTAATTCAAGTTATGCCTTCACTTTCTCCTTTCTGAAAACTAGAACTAGACAACTTTTCTTGCTTTTCTTTTTTGACAAAAACAATGCTTAAATAAAACATGGATACAGAATTAGAGCAAAAACAAAAACAAAAAAAAAAAACAACAAAAAAATTAAACTATGTAAGTTCATAATTAGAAACAATATTAAAAATGAAAGTAAAGCAAGGCACCCATCCAGTAATCCCAGCACTTTGGGAGGCTGAGACAGGAAGATCACTTGAAGCCAGGAGTTCGAGACCAGCTTAGACAACAAAGTGAGACCCTGTCTCTAAAAAACATTTTAAAAAGTTACCTGGGTGGCATAGTGGCATGTTCCTGTAGTCCCAGTTACTCAGAAGGCCAAAGTGGGAGGATCGCTTGAGCCCAGCAGTTCAAGGCTGTAGTGAGCTATGATTACGTCACTGTACTCCAGCCTGGGCAACAGACCAAGACTCAATTTAAAAATAAAAAAGAAAAAGAAAAAAAAAAGATAATACATACTCAAAATTCATTACTTTCTAATTATTTTTAATATGTTACTATTAGCTATGTCTTAAGTTTCTTTTTCTCTGTTGTATCTGCATGGTGGAAAAACTAAATGGCTATTTAATGCTACTGGGGTGCAACTTCACATTCCGTGACGTCACATTAGTGGCTTGAAATGAGCCAGGTAGGAGTACTTAGACCATGGAATTGACAAATACTGTAAATCAGACCTTGATTTGTTTTTTTGTTTTGTTTTGTTTTTACTATTGCTATTTTTTAATTGTCTAAATGAGAGATTAGCAAACTATGGTCTAACACAGCTTGCCACTTATTTTTGTAGAATCCACAAGCTAACATTAATTTTTAGTTTTTAATGGTTAGGGGAGAAAAAGAATGATATTTAATGACATATGAAAGTTATGTTAATGGTAAATTTTAGTATTTATAGATGAGGTTTTATTGGTACACAGCCATGTTTACTACTGTCTATTGCTAATCTGTGCTATAATGGCAAAGTTAAGTAATTGCAACAGAGACCACATGGCCTGCAAAGATAAAATATGGTATGGTTCTTTACAGAAAAATTGTTTTTCTGATCTGGCCTAAATTGAAGAAAATCAGAAGAAAATGTGAAGAATGCAGATTCTTAAATATTAAAATTAACAGTGTTGTGTCTGTAAGTGTTACATTATGATTAGCAAAAAAAAAATTAAGAAAATATCCTTTTGGAATTTAAAAACTATTATACAACTCCACAAAGATATCCCTCCAGTCACTGACAAACAAGTGAAGTTCTGACATATTTCTTGATTGCTTCACTTTCTTTTAAATGAAAATATTAACCAACATTCATGAAGTGAATGATTTCTTTGCTGAATCAGACAATAATCAAACATTTATTCATAACTTGATATTGTGATATGATTGCTGGCAATAGTATTAAAAACACTAGTAGTGAAGAAATGACATTAGGGAAGATGGCAGAGTAGGCAGTGGCAGGAGTTCATCTCTTCACCAAAACAACAATTGTGTTGGCAGGATTTCTCTGATGTAAGTATTTCGAAAAACTGTAGTCTGTTTGAAGGCTTGCAGCTTCCAACGGAAGTCTTTTCCTATAAATCATGGCTAATTTCAGCCAATTTCAGCAGTTAGCATAGTAGCAGCTACCCAGTCACAGCTGCCAACCCTAAGCCCTGTGCCAGTCAGCTGTTCCAACATTCCTAGAGCAACTTATAGCAACTAGGATAGCTAGAAAAGACATTGTCTTTTGAAAAACCCTGGGACCAGTTTTAACCACTGGTGGCTGCTTCTGATTGTGGAGGTATAGACACAGAGGTAAGCTGCCATTGTTGCAAGTCCCATCCAGCAGCTGAAGTGGCTTCCAGGGAATGTAAAGAAACAAAGTTTGTTTTCACCCTTCATTTCCACTCTCCCCAGCACTTTTTTTTCTTTTGCAGAGCTAGATATTTAAGGATTAGGATATTGTAAAGCAACTGCACATGTGGAGGAATTTAGAAAGTCACTGCCCATGCCCAGGGAAAGACACCAGCTCAGAATACTACCCTAAGTTTACACCTCAAGCTGATCCTAGCACAGAGACACCCTGTAACAGTTAAAAAAACAAACCAAACAAAAACAAAAACAGAAAAACAGCAAACCCTGGGGAAGGGGTTGAATCTGATTTCCATAGTTGCCACACTATAAGATTCAAATGTCCAGTTTTAAACAACCACCAAAAGAATTACAAGTCATATAAAGAAATAGTAAAATATGGGTTACTCAAAGGAAAAAAATAAATCAGAAAAAATCTGTAAGAAAGATTAGATGGTATCTTTACTAGACAAAGACATGAAAACAACTGTCTCAAAGACTCTCAAAGGACTAAAGTAAGACATGGATAAACTCAAGAAAATAATATATGAACAAAATATAAATACCATTAAAGAGATAACATAAAAAACGAATCATAAAATTCTGGAGTTTGGAATTACAATAACGGAAATTTTAAAAATTCACTAGAAAAATTCAAAAGCAGATTTGAGCAGGCAGAAGAATCAATCAACTGAAAGACAGATAACTGAAATTTTGAGTCTAAGAAACACACAGACACACACAAATTGAAGAAAAGTAAACAGAGCCCAAGGACAGTGGAACATCATCAAGTATACCAACATATGCGTTGTGGGAATCTTAAAAAATATATAAAGGATCGGGGTAGAGAGATTATTTGAAGAAATGATGTGCAAAAACTTTCCAAACAAGATGGGAGATATGAATTTACAAGCCCAAGAAGCTCAACAAATTCCAGATATAATAAAGAAACCACACCAAGACACATTATAATAAACTTATCAAAAGACAAAGAGAGAATCTTGAAAGCAGGAAGAGATAAGAGACTTATCCCACACACAGGACCTTTAACAAGATTATTAGCAGATTTCTCATCAGAAACCTTGAAGGTTTCAAAGTGCAGAAAGTGTGGAAAGTTATTCACAAGTATATTCAAATTGCTGAAAGAAAAAAAAACTCTCAACTGGGAATTCTATATCTAGAAAAACTATCCTACAAAAATAAGAGAGAAATTGAAACATTCCTAGATAAACAAAAACTGAGGGCATTTATTACTACTAGATTTCAAAAGATCTTCAGATTGAAATAAAGGGACATTAAATAGTAAATCAAGGTCATATGAAGAATAAAGATCTCCAGTAAAGGTAAATACATGGACAATTAAAAAAACTAGCTTTATTGTAACTTTGATTTTTAACATGATTAAAGAAACAAATGTGTCTTAAAAACCAATCATTAGTCTATGTTTTGAGGCTCACAATATATAAAGATATAATTTATTATGTTAATAACTGAAAGGGGATGGGGACAGAGCTGTAATGAGGCAGAGTTTTTGTATGCTATTGAAGTTAAGCTACTGTAAATTCAAATTAGTGTTATAACTTTAGGATATTTAGTGTAATACCCATAGTAGCAATAAAGAAAATAACTATAGAATGTACACTAAGGAAAATGAGAAAGGAATTAAAACACTTTCCTACAAAAATCAATAAAACACAAAAAAAGAGAAATGCAGGAAATAAGGAACAAAAAAACTATAAGGAATATAGAAAATAAATACAAAATGAAGAAGTTAACTCTTCCTATTAGCAATTGCTTTAAATATAAATGAATTAAAATCTCCAGTCAAAAGACAGATTAGAAGAATGAATTTTAAAAAAAAGTGATCCAACCATTTGCTGTCTACAAGATACTCACTTTAGCTCCAACACCACAGATAGGTTGAAAGTGAAAGGATGAGAAAAGATATTCCACACAAATAGTAACCGAAAGAACTCTGGGGTGGCAATGCCAACATCAGACAAAATACACTTTAAATTTAAGAAGGTTGCAAAAGACAAAGAAGACATTAAGTTTACAAAAGACAAAGAAGACTTTACAAGAGACATTAATATGTAATGTTTGCTTTGTCTCTTGTAACCTTTTTAAATTTAAAGTGTATTAATTTTACTATTATATATTAATAAAAATTTCAATATAGCAAAAAGACAGAAATACTTATACACCTAATAACAGACTCCCAAAATATATGAAGGAAAAATTGACAAAATTGCTCTTCTTTTGCTTCAGAATACTCTCATGATAAAAATCTTGACCCTAGTTAAATCTAACTCTGTAGCTGTTTGGCATCTTCACTGGTGCAGTTATCTAGGGGTGGACTTTTAAAAAGCATAACTATGTTCATTGGTTTTGTTTTAATTCATTATCATGAACTGTGGGAACTTAATGCTCTCTGTTGGTTATACTACTTTTTTTTTTCAGTCTGATCACTTTTCCACGCTTCTGGAAACCCACTTCATGTTTTCTTCCCCATTCTTTCTCTCCTTCCCTCCCACCTTGTGACCTTGCTTCTTATTTCACCAAGAAAATGAAAGCAACCAGAAATGTCTTCCACTAGTTCCAACCACCACATCCATCTGTAAACTGTCTTTTGTTCCCATATTCTCTACTTTCTCTCCTGTCGTAATAATACACCTACCCTTTTTACTAGAGTGTTAGATATCACCTTCTCTTGCCTATTGAAAGATATTGTTCCAGCAGTTCTTTCCCCTGTATATTAATTTTCCTCTCCGTTGAATCATTTCTATGTAGCACTTCAATAAGGTTTTCACCCTTATACCACTTCACTGAAATTGTTTTTGTCCACACCACTGATGAACTCCACTTTGCTAAATCCAATGGTCAACTTCTTCTTCATTTTACTTGGTTCATTGGCAAGATTTAACATCAATCATTTCATCCTTCCTGAAGCACCTTCTTCACTGTGCTTCCAGGACAACCTGTCTCTGGCCACATTTTTCAGTCTGCTTTTCTGGTTCTTTCTCATCTCCCTTACTTCTAAACATTGACGTACCCCAGTTCCTTGAGTCTCTTATCCTATCTATAAACACTCCTTTGGTGATCATAAACTGTCTAATGACTTTAAATATTATCCATGTAATGGTAACTCACTGATCTACTTTGATGGACCAAACTACTGCCTGAGTTCACCTATACAAGTGCCTACCTAATATCTCCATTTAGAAGTCTTATTAAACTTAATATGTCCAAAACTGAGTTCCTGATATTTCCATCCAAGCCTGCTCCAACCACAGTCTTCCCTTTCTTAGTTAATAGCAACTTTATCCTACCAAAAATCTAGAACCATCCTTGATTCCTCTATTTCTTTCACATCCTGTATCCAGCTGGTTAGCAAATCACATCAGCTCTTCCTTAAAAATAAGCTAGAATCTATTTTCTCACCATAACCACAGCTACTGCCCTGGTGAAAGATTCCATCCTCCCTCATCTAGATTACTATAAAGCTTCGTAACTTGTCTCCTTGTGTCTTTCCTTGCTTTCAGTCTATTCTCAAAACAGAAGTCAAAGTGATCCTATTAAAATTTAAGTCACATTATGTACCTTCTCTGTGCAAATCCTTCCAATGGCTTCCCATCTCACATAAAGTATCATAAAAACCCAAGTGCTCATCTTAACCTACGAGGCTCTGCATGATCTTCCCCGTTCTGCCCATAACCTCTCTGAAATCATCTCACTAACTCAGTCTTCTCCAATCACTCTGGAAGACATCTTCCTGCTCACCACCTTCCTTAGCTCTTCCCATTATTAAAAACTATATGTATATAACTCCACTAGATTGTAAACACCATGACAGCAGGATTTTTTTCAGTCTGTTTTGCTATATCCACAGCACTGGAATAGTTTTGGAGGCAAGGGAAGGATATATGAGATAGCTAGGACCTGGTATTGAACATTTTCACTGTAGACATGGTAATATGGTTTGGCTAAGTCCCCACCCACATTTTATCTTGAATTGTAGCTCCCATAATTCCCACATGTTGTGGGAGGAACCTGGTGGGAGACAATTGAATCATGGGGGCGTTTTCCCCCATACTGTTCTCATGGTAGTGAGTAAGTCTCATGAAATTTGATGGTTTTATAAGGGGAAACCCCTTTCACTTGGTTCTCATTCTCTTTTTTCCTGCTGCCATGTAAGATGTGCCTTTTGCCTTTTGCCATGATTGTGAGGCCTCCCCAGCCACAGCCACGTGGAACTGAGTCCATTACACCTCTTTTTCTTTATAAATTATCCAGTCTCGGGTATGTCTTTATTAGCAGCATGAGAATCAACTAATACATATGGATTTTGTCATTCAAAGGGATATCATTATGGCTGTAAATAGCCAGTTGATAGGGGGATCCTGCAGTCATTTTGAAAGGAATAATCATTTCCAAACTCATGATTTTTTCCAGAGACTACAAATGAGGACAAAGATGAGGTGACATTGGTGGTATTTTAAACTGATATTTTAAACGATGCATCTGTACCTTATTAGCATTTGAGAATCAGTGACAGGCAATGTGCTGCAGAGAGACAGCCAGTGGACAAGAAATAGGAGATCCTTCCTGTGAGGCAAAAAATGGGGCAAGGCCAGGAGCAAACTGAGAGGAAAAGGCCAAGAGTGATACAAGCTTTGGCTCTTATGATGTAACCAAAATACAACTAGGACCCCCTACCCCCACTCCTGGCCTAGCCTCAGCACATACATTTTAATTCAAAGAACTGCTCTCTAAAGAAAAATACACATTAAATCAGTTCCAACTTCTACTTAGGGAGAAAATCGCCAAGAAATGTGGAGGGAACTACACTATTAGTGCACAGCAAATCATGCCGCATCCTCTCTATGGGTCTCCTCCACTCTCAAAACTCACCACAGAAACTGCTACTGACCCCAGAAACCTCTTTTTCCCTCCTCTCATCTCCTAATCCAAACCTCTCCATGGCCAAGTCCTGCTACTTCCCATTATCCCTCCATTCATCCTCCCTTTCCTCTCCAGCTTTCTTTCTCATGAATAATCTTGTTCTTTCCAATGTAATCCCTATGTCCCATTCGTCCAGTTGTGTCTCTGGCTCACCATTAACTCAATTCTGCATTATAAAACCCTGAGCTCTGAGCTGACAAAGCTATAATTATCTCTAGAGAGGCAGAGGGAGGTACAGGAAAGGCTGAGACCACAAAACATTAATAATTTTCTTCCCCATCACAGTAGAATAAAGTCTCTTTTCCCTCCCTGGACTTCAAGTGTCTGAAAATATCTAATTTCAAAAGGAGGAGGAAGAACCCCTTGGAAAGACAGAAATACTGGTGAAAAGAGAAATCCCTCTCTTTGACTAGGGATTTCAGCCAAGTGAGCTAAAAGGCCAGGATTCTTTCTAACCGTCCATGCCACAAGATGTAAATGAATCTATTTACTCAGCAAAATATTTCCTTATTACATTTTGAGTAATTCCCCATTGAAAACAAACAGTGCATGTCAAAAAGCTCCAGGAGTCCCTCAGGCCCTCGGGGCTTAGAATGGGCCCATCTCAGTCATCTTTCCTCTGCTTTCAAGAGAGGAATCCAGACAAGTTTATTTTTACTTTTGTCTTGCTATTTTGATTTACCAAATGTCACTGCTTAATTGAGTTTTGAAAAAGACAAACAAAAGCAGCAACCATCTCAGTTTAGACTGACTACAGAACATTTGAGCTGATCTTATCAGACAACAAATTCAACCATATTTTATTTACCAATAGAGATACTGGGAATAGTCAAGATTACCAACCTTGATGTAGGATGCCCAGCTGTCATTCATTAACTCTTCATCAATTAACCATTGACAAAGAAACAAAATCATTTCACTTTCTTTTTTTTTTTTTTTTTTTTACTGATTATCAACACAATTCATTGGCCTATCCACTCTTTCCCTACTGACGTGAAAAGCCACTTTCGTCATTTATGGAAGTATATTTAATTCTACACTGTTATAACAACTTCTATGTTCCAGCAGTAAAGCCCCAGACTTTTAATTTCTGTGACTGTATGATTAATTTTAACATCTTATATGATATTAGATTGGTGCGAAAGTAATTGCAGTTTTTGCCATTAAAAGTAATGAAAGTAACACATCTACTTTCATGTCTACCAGAATGGCTAAAAATAAAGTATAAACATTACCAAGTGGTGGTATGGATTTGGAGCAACTAGAGCTCTCAAATACTGCTGGTGGGAATGTAAATTAGAACAGATGTTTCTAAACTCTTTGGCAGTGTCTATTAAAGCTAAACATATGTACTGTATACTCTATGACCCAATATTAACCCTCCTGGCTTTCCCTCTAGTAACAATGAGTATTTACTTTCACCAAAAGACATGTGCATGAATATGATAGCTAAAAATCAGAAAACAACCAGAATGTTTATCACCAGTGAAGAATTTATTTTTTAAAATGTTAGTATATTCATGAAATGGAGCACCATAAAGCAATGAAAATAATAAACTACTGCTACATGCTGAAATATCAATGAATCTTAGAGGCATAATGTTGAATAAAAGCCACACACAAAAGACTAAAAGATTAATCTTATTAATTGTATTAATTGATTACATTAATAAGAAATTCAAAATAAAACTAATCTATGGTAATAGAGGTCAGGAGATAGTTGCCTTTTGTTGGATTTGCTGACTGAGAGGGGTGCAAGGAAGCCTACTGGAATATTGGAAATGTTCTATAACTGGATCTGGATTGTGGTTGTATAGGTGTATACATATAAAAATACTTATGGAGCTGTACACTCAAGATTTGTGCATTTCACTACATTAAGTTATACCTCAATAATTTTTTAAATATTGCCTTTTCTTTTATTTTTATTATTTGGGGTAAAATTTATGACCATTTGACTGATTTTGATAAAAATCTCTATTAGGATTTACATATAAAATCAGAGTGCATTTAACATCATCGTAATTTTATTTATTTTCAAAATATTCCTCCTTTAAAATGTTGCTGTTTTCTTTATGTAAGTATAACTGAGATGTCAATTGCACTCAGAAAATATTTTGACATTCTAATTAAATTTTCTTGAACACTCTCCCAAATGCAGTGAGAAACTCAGAGGAGATGAACCCACGAGGAGAGGTTGAGGTATTGTTTATAAGCTCCCCAGGCAATGTGCAGAATGTCGAGAACCAACAGCCTGGTTGACTTGACTCACCTGGGTCCTGCTGAAAGCCAACAGCTTGACTGCCAAAAACACAGCACTATGTTGCAGTCAGAAAAAAAGAATGAGACATTTTAATGTGGGCTGGTCAGTTCCCTTAAAAAGAAATCAATGAATCTTCTGCTAGAGAATAATGCTGACTGTTAGTATTCTGAGACCCAAGTGAAGGGACAGGACCAGAGGTCTCACTATTGAAGATGTCAACTTTCATTTGATCTGCCTATTTTCAATATGGCACTATATTAGGCTATTTTTTTATTACTATAAATAAATACCTGAGACTGGGTAACTTGTAAGAAAATAGGTTTAATTGGCTTGCAATTGGGCAGGCTATACAGGAAGAATTGTGCCAGCATCTGCTCATCTTCTGGGGAGGCTTCAAGAAGCTTACAAGGAGGGACGAAGGTGAAGCAGGAGAAGACAGGTCACATGGCAAAAGCAGGAGCAAGGGATGGGGGAGGTGCCACACTTGATAACAACCAGACCTCATGAGAACTTACTATTGCAAGGACAGCGCCAAGCCATGAGGGATCCGCCCTATGACCCAAACAGCTTCTACCAGGCTCCCCCCTAAATCTCATGTCCTTCTTATATTGCTAAACGCAATCATACCTTCCCGGTAGTCTCCCAAAGTCTTAACTCGTTCTAGCATTAACTCAAAAGTCCAAAGTCTCATCTGAGATAAGGCAAGTTCCTTCTACCTATGAGCCTGTAAAATGAAAAACAAGTTACTTACTTCCAAGATACAATGTGGGTATAGCCTTCGGGTAAACATTCCTGTTCCAAAAGGGAGAAATCGGCCACAAGAAAGGGGCTATAGGCCCCACTCAAGTCCAAAACCCAGCAGGGCAGTCATTAAATCTTAAAACTCCAAAATAGTCTCCTTTGACCCCATGTCCCACATACAGGGCCCACTGGTGCAAGAGATGGGCTCCCAAGGGCTTGGGCAGGCACCTCACACTCACTTTTCTGCTTCTGCTGTGCGCCAAGTTCAGGCTGCTAAAAATGGGGAGAAGTAGTGACACAGCAGTATGGGGTCAAGGAAGGATCCAGGAGACTAACTGCTTGGTGTAAGGCCTTTCGGCCAACCTTTCCAACTCCCACCACATTCTACACTCTTGTCTTCATAACCTGACATCTAGAATCTGTGAGCTTTTCTGGGGCTATGTGTAGAAACTGGCTTACCTCTTATTAGTTTCTTTGCTCATAGGCTTAGATTTCAACTTTCTCTCTAAAGTTAGTCACCATTTACCTGCTTCCAAAATATTGGTAATATATCTTGTTTGCCAAGCCTTCTAGGTGTGTCTTTTTTAAAAAGACCATATAGCCTATTTTAAATCTCAGTTTGAGTCTTTGCCATTTTTTTCTTTTTTCTTTAGTACAATTTACATAAGGTGAACAAATCTTAAATGTATAATTAAATGAAGTTTTACATATTCATACACATGTGTATCCAACTCTCAAGTCAAATTATAGAACATTTCCAGCACCCTAGCAGGCTCCCATCTAACACCGTATTGTAGATTGGGTTCTCTTGGAAGCAGATTCTGAGACTGTTTTGTGTCCAGGATATTTATTATTGAGTAATCATGATCAATACCTATTAATCATGAGGGAAGGAAGCAGGCCTCAGTAGAAGATGTCAAGGTGTCATGCGGGACCCTCAGCCTCAGCCAAACCCACAGAAAGCTCTGGAGCTGAAAGCGTCCTCTGAATTGTCCTGTCCAATGGACAGGTGACTGTCCAAAATGGCCAGTCCTTTGTCTTTATACCCCCACCTGGATCTATTATTAGCTGTAAACTGCTTCTGGAAGAGTGTGTGACCCTGGTCCAGGCACCTCTCTGTTGCTGATGCAATCCCTAAATCAATGACAGCTGATGGCTGTTGGCTGACAACACTCCTTGCAGCTGAAGGAGGAATCTGGCCTCTTCATGTGTACCACACCCTCCTTGTCAAAAACCCTCTAAGAAAAACATCATTCTAACTCCTGTTACCTTAGATTAGTTTTGATTGCTTTTAAATTTCTCTTAAATGGAATTACACAGTAGGGACTAATTTCATTCTAGTTTATTTTGTTCAGCATTACATATGTGAATTTCATCCTGTTGTTGCATGTAGCAGAAATCATTCTTTTTCATTGCTATATAATATTTCATGGTAAGAACAAACCACAGTTTATATATCCTTTCTTCCATTGATCAACATTTGCATTCTTTCCATTTGGGGCTATTAGAAATAATCTTTGCTTTCTTTTTCATTGGTTTCTGCCTTAGCTTTATTTTTCCTTCATCCTATTTGGGTTTAATTTGCTCTTCACTTTCTAGTTTCTCAGAAGGGAGGCTGAAATCATTGATTTTTGACTTTTCTTTTTCTACCCTATTCACTCAAAAGTATAAATTTCTCTTTGGTCAGAAACTGCATTCCATGTTTTGAAAATATTTCATAACTACTGTTATGACTTCTTTTCTGATGCATGTATTATTGAAGTTGGGGATTTTCTACTTATTTTTCTATTATTGATTTCCAGTTTAATTCTACTGTAGTCAAATAACATTTTCTGTATGTTCTGAGTCTTTGAAATTTTGGGAGACTTACCCTCTGATCTAGTATAGGTTCTATTTTGGTAAATGTTCCATGTAGGCTGGGTGCGGTGGCTCACACCTGTAATCCCAGCACTTTGGGAAGCCGAGGTGGGTGTATCATGAGGTCAGGAGATCAAGACCATCCTGGCTAACACTGTGAAACCCCATCTCTACTAAAAATACTAAAAATTAGCTGGTCATGGTGGTAGGCGCCTGTAGTCCCAGCTACTTGGGAGGTTGAGGCAGGAGAATGATATGAAACCAGGAGGCGGAGCTCGTAGTGAGCTGAGACCATGCCACTGCACTCCAGCCTGGGTGACAGAGAAAGACTCTGTCTCAAAAAAAAAAATGTTCCATGTAAACTTGAAAAAAAAATGTGTGTTCTGCAGTTATTGAGTGTGATGTTCTACACTTGTGAATCAGGTTCAGATCTTCCATGTTTTTATTAATATTTTTCTTTATTTATTATTATCAATTGCTGAGAATGGTGTATTAAAATCTCTGACTATAATTGTGGATGACCAATTTCTACTTCTGGATCTATGAACTTTTGCTGTACATATTTTAACTATGTTAGGTGTATACAAATTTAAAATTATCATGTTTCCTTGATGAATTGGCTCTCTTATTATGAAAACTCTGTCTCTATTAACATTTCTTTCCATAAGTCCCATCATGTGATATTAATATAGCTATACCAGCTAGCTTTTGTTTAGTGTTTGCATGACATATCTTTTCTCATTCTTTTGTTTTTCCATTTTCCTGTGTCCTTATCAATAAGTCTCTTATAAACAGCATTGAATTTAACGTCTGTCTCTTGCAAACAGCATATAGTAGTTTCTTGTTTTAACCAAATTGGCCCATTGATCCAGCAAAGGAAAGAGCTGGTAATTGCAAGTTCACTTCACAATTAGAATTTCAACTCATCTAGTCTCTTTGTTACCACAATTCTCCTATGTCTTTAAATATATAATTTTGGAAAATCTTGGTATTCTTCTTTCGTTATTGCAGCCAAAGCATTGGGCTATTATGACCTATTACATCCTTCCATGGAGCGCAAGTCTCTGTCTTGTGATTTAATAGCAAGGGTTTTTGTTTGTTTTGTTTGTTGTTGTTGGTTTTTTGTTTTTAGCTACAGGGTCTCATTCTATCATTCAGGCTGGAGTATACTGGAGCAATTATAGCTCAGTGTAATCTCAAGCTCCTGGCCAGAAGCAATCCTCTGCCTCTGCCTCCAAGTAGCTAGGATTATAGGAACGTGCCACCATGCCCAGATTTTTATTTATTTATTTATTATTTATTTGTTTTAGAGACAGGGTCTTGCAATTTTGCCCAGGCTGGTCTGGAACTCCTGGCCTCAAGTGACCCTCCTTCTTTGGCCTCCCAAAGCACTGAGATTACAGATGTGAGCCATTTTGCCCAACCTAATAGCAAGTTTAACTGTACACATTCAATGTGATAACTGCTTTATTTTATCTCAATTCTATTATCTTATTTAATGGTTTGTGGCTATTTTTTCATTTTACTTTTTGATAGATTTATCTTTTTAACTCTAATAATACAGATATTCTATTCTATACCCCCAGAAGTCACATGGCCCCTCGATACCTAAACACAAAACAAATAAAACTATTAACTCTCTCAGTTGCATTCAAAAAGAAATCGAATGCCCTCACTGAGATTATAGGGGCTTACATTTTCATGGAGAATTTTGCTTCTGAATTTTTGTGCCTTCTATTCTCAACATCTCTAGCAGTGATTCCCATAGCTGCATGACGCTTGCAGCTTCATTCTGGCCCAGATGTGTTCCCTATTCCCTTTTCTCTTACCCCCCCTCAAGCTCCTAATCACTCTAAACCTGCTTTTTTATTAGCTTATTATTTTTTTTTAAGACAGAGCCTCACTTTGTCTCCCAGGAGTGCAGTGGCATCATCATAGCTCACTGCAGCCTCTAACTCCTGGGCTCAACTGATCCTCCCACCTCAGCCTTCCTAGTAGCTTGAAATACAGACACACACCACCATGCCTGGCTAATCTTTTTTTTTTTTTTTTTTCAATTTTTTTTTGTAGAGATGGGATCTTGCTATGTTGCCCAGGCCAGTCTTGAACTCCTGGCTTCAAGCAATCTTCCTGCCTCAGCTTCCCAAAGCACTAGGATTATAGGCATGAGCTACCATGCCTAACCTCAAACCTTATACTAAGCTTTTCTTACCTCCAAACCTTTTGTAAAGTCTTGTCTGAAGACTTGAGGTAATGAAGGGAGTGTGAATTATAGCCAAGCAATCAATGTATTATCAAATGAGGTGAATCTCCTCCTAAAATTTCTTTGATCATCCTGGCCTTACAGCTCACTCAGAAGTCACCTTTTTCCACAGGGAACTGTTCTCTGAACTTGCTAAGTTGACCTCTTTCTCTCAACAGACTTCGAATTTTGTGTAGGCAGCCTTTTAGCTCTTTACTTCTATTCAATTCTATCTACCTCTGTAGATGCAAAACCTGACTGGCACATTAAGCACTAGAAAAGGGACATGTGTCTCTGTGTTGTATGCTTACCAGCACCAAAGTATTTGCTTGTGATTTTCAGTTTCAGTCTTTCCTTCCAAATTATCTCTGTATTAATAGAAACAATCAATAGAAACACTGCTTTTTCCCACTGACTTGATTTAAGGTATAATTCTTTTCTCTCTATTCCTTTGTTTGTTCTATAAGAAGTTGCCTTTCAATAAAAGTCAAGCTTAAATTCTTGATCATAATTAAGCAAGAAATTATATCTATTCACTGTTCTCCCCTCCCATTATGTAAAACAAGACATTTAACAGTCTTTTATCTCGTATCTCCCAACTCCCAATTACTGTTAACATAATCTAAGCTTTTAGATCCAAATTATGAATATTAATTATTTTACTTTATTTATGTTACCTTTCAAGTACACTTGTAAGTCTTCCCAGGAGTACCAGCCTGAAGCCATCAGGGTCAACTCTCTCTCCACTCTTTGCTCTTTTCTAATTGACATACTTGCTTTTGTAGAAACCAGGTAAATATTGATGCAGACTTCTCTGTTGCATATTTATTTGTTTGTTTCAGTGGGAATTAGGAAGGAGAGAAGAAATTACCTGCCAGCTTAAAGGAACATTAACAGCATCTTGACCTAGGAATCTTTTTTTTTTTTTCTTTTGAGGTGGAGTCTTGCTCTGTTACCTAGGCTGGAATGCAATGGTGTGATCTCAGCTCACTGCAACCTCCGCTTCCCAGGTTCAAGCAATTCTCCTGCCCCAGCCTCCTGAATAGCTGGGATTACAGATGCCCACCACCTTGCCTCGTTAATTTTTTGTATTTTTGATAGAGATAGGGTTTCATTATGTTTGCCAGGCTGGTCTCGAACACCTGACCTCAGGTGATCTGCCCGCTTCAGCCTCCCAAAGCGCTGGGAGTATAGGCGTGAACCACCACACCTGGCCTAGAAATCTTTAAACTTACTTTTACTGAAGCAAGGTTTCCTATTATAATTCATTCCTTAGATTATATTATATCCAATTTTTAAGTATAAGTTGGTGCTCTTATCCCAGTCCTACCTAATTTACTCCTTCAAGTTTCTCCCCTTACACTGAACCTCTCATCACAGTTTTAGGCCCTCATCCTTGCACTTGCCTAAGAAAAGTCTATTAACAAAATGCAAATTTACTTGAATATTCACCTCAGTCTGTTTTTATTTTTAAATGCCTGCAATCTTTCCACTGCTTAAGACAGACTTTATTCCTAAAACTCTGTTTAAAATTGATTTCTTTGGTAAATTAAATGCACCAGCAGAGCTATTATTTAAGGGAAGCTTTCAGTGAATCATTTTGCAAAGTAAAGGATTTTTTTGCAATATGCATTAACTCCTATCCCAACCATTTCCACCTCCTCTTCCCACTAACAACAATAACAAAAAAAAATCTGTTTTATAAATTTGGATTTTTGAATAGTAAATGGAGCTTACCATATTTCATTTTAAAACCAAATATAAACATTTACAGACTCTGCACTGTGACTCTCTCATATCCATATAAATAATTATGCCTTCTCTGTACTTGAGAACTATTTCTTTTCACTGATTTCACTTTCTTTTTTCTTTACTTTTTTTCCAGATCGTGTAGATGCTTAAAGGGAGCTGAAACAAGAGATGAGAAAGATCAAGATAAATAATTGTTTCTCTTTGTAAATGTTACAAACCTTTTAATTTTTCCTCCTAGGCTCAAAGCTCCTTTAACTTTGTTCTGTCATTATTACTGGCCTCTCAGAGGTAAAGCATATATGCTAAATAGTGTGTCCACACTGGCAGATTTTTATACTTGGTGCACTTACAGGCAATGAAATCAGCAGCCTAGAAAACTCAATTCATTGCTAGAGTTCAATTTCTGGCAAAAACCACTACTCCAACGTGAATGTCCATTCCCATTTCAGGTATTTCTTGGCATGGTACTTTTCCCAGCACTGAACCCTTGATGTAGTTAGTAATGATGACTATTACGGGGAAAAAGGATCCAAAAATGAGAAAAACTTTCAGTGAAAGATAAGCTTTTGCAGTTGTCCAAGAAACACAATGAAGCGGTGTTACTGAGCCATGGTGCTCACTAATAGGACCTGCTTCTGATGATTAAGGGAGATTGTTCAGTAGGCTTCATGCTGAAGTAATTAGCGGAATTTTTTATTATATTCTGACAAGTTCAATACAGAGTTGTTTGGTTACTCTCTACAGTCGGAACGCACATGGAAAACACATGTGGCATTGACTGGAGTTTGTTCCACTCTAGAAGTGTTGATAAAATATTTTTTAAAATGTAACTTGCAAGCCTGTAACATTCATCGGCACTACAGGATGTAAACCCACCTCCTAGTCAAAGGGTGAGATCTTTGCGGAGAACGCCATTGCTACCATGCTGCCTCTAACACTCCAAACCAGTACTGCCCCGCCCCAGCCATGACCTTGGCCTCAGCCCGAACCATTTTCTGGAAGTCTACTCAGCACAGGAAAGCTATATGTTCCAGACAGGGAAGATACCACACTGGAGCTTGCTCTCATTCCCTTCTTCTTCCAGCTCTTGCGAGGGTTCTGTGTTCCTAGAACCCGAGCACCAGGCTACCAGCAAAATCTAGATCTAAATCTTAGAAGGCAGTAACATATATAAACAGCTAATGAACACAAAGTAAGTAAAATCACCAAGTCTTTGTGATTCCTCTCTCTCAGTAGTTATCATCTATCTTGAATCTATCCATTATCACTGTCAGTATTTTAATCCTGACTACCTTCATCTCTACCTCGGATGACTACAATAATCTCCTAAAACATCTCTTGCCTCCAGCATTATTTTCTTCTACTGTGGCCAAAATAATCTTCCTAAAATGCAAATGTTGATCATGTTTCTTTCCTTCTGGAAACATTTCACTGGCTCCTTGGACCTATCTTCAGGATTAAGTTTAAATTCCCTGGCATGGATTAACTGGGGTGACAGATTATTAGTTGTCTAAACCAATCAGTGTTTTTTTAAGAGATGGGTCTTGTTCTGTCACTCAGGTTGGAGTGCAGTGGTGTGGTCATAGATCACTGCAGCCTCAAATTCCTGAGCTCAATCAATCCTCCTGCCTCAGCCTCCCAAAGTGCTGGGATTACAGGGGTGAGCCACTGCACCCAACCAAACTAATCTTTACTGAATGCGAAGGAGGGAAGATGATAATAGTTATGCTGAGACCACAGGTGTAAATAGAGTCTCTTCTAGGGCAAACTGAAATGCATAGTCACCCAGAGCATAAAAGGACATATCTTCATGATCTAATCCCAGCTAATCTCTCCAACTTCACCTCCCAGTCTTTTCCTCTTCTTGCATATGTTATTCACACTGCCTTGAATTCTATTCTCCTTATCACTGGCCCCTTCACCTGGACAGCTCTCAATTAGTGCCTCACATCCCTGCTGAGGTTCCTCTTGTTTTCAGAAGCAGCCCTAAGGTCTTTTTCTTTTCTTTTCTTTTTTCTTTCTTTCTTTCTTTTTTTTTTTTTTTGAGACAGAATGTCACTCTATCGCCCAGGCTGGAATGCAGTGGCATGATCTCGGCCCACTGCAACCTCTACCTCCTGGGTTCAAGTGATTTTCATGCCTCAGCCTCCTGAGTAGCCGGGATTACAGGGGCCTGCCACCAGGCCCGCTAATGTTTGTATTTTTAGTAGGGATGGGATTTCACCATGTTGGCCAGACTGATCTCGAGCCCTAACCTCTTGAGACCGAGAGAAGTTCTCCCCTTTGGATGCCCTCTCACTTTCTGTACTTTCCAGCCCCAGCTTTCTGTACTTTCCAGCCCCGGCAGCCCCGGCAGTGACGATAGCATGTTATTTGTCTTTTCCCCCAGTGCATCATCACCATTTGTGTATCTCCCCCTAGATGGTGCTAAATTCTTTGAGAGTAAACATCCTGGAATTGGTTGATTCTCAATACATATGAGTGAATTAATGAACTCCAAGTGCCACTGGAATTGGGAGGGGAGAGATCTGGAGAGCTTGCAGGGAGATGGTATTTGAGCCTGTCTCTGAAGACTGGGTAACATCAGGGAGCCTTGGGAGGCTGGAGGCACAGCCAGGGAAGTGAAGCCGTCACTGCTGCTGAGGATGGCATGGGCCTGGCACTTCACGGCACTGGGGACTGGAGTTGGCTTTGCCCTGAAGTTCTGGCACAAGATAAATCACCCTATTTTTAGTAGCTAACCTAGAAAAACTACATACCCACCAAAACTAAAATAAATAAATAAATAAATAAATAAATAAATAAATAAATAAATAATAAAATGTAATGAATAAGAAGGAGAAGGTGATACCTGCAAGAGAAGTTGAGTGAGATTTCTGGGCGCTACTAACATTCTTCTCCATGGCCCAGAGGTTGGTCACACTGATGTGTTCAATTTGAGAAACAAAAAGTTTAAAATTAAAATGAGTCAATTCTCTCTAAATCGCTTTTCCAAACTGGGTAACTGGAGACTCACGGGGTGTTAAATATAAAAGGTTGGGCCCAGCATCCTATGCGGTACTTGTAGGTAGCATGACTCTGGAAAGCCTGCCTTAGGGCTAAAGGTGTCCCAAAGCCTTTTCAACTTGCACCGCCACCACCACCACATCAGGAGGGTGCTGTAATGCTCCCCGACAGAGCAAGTTGAAATAAGCCAGCTTGCCCAGTGCTTAGGTGCAGGTTTAATTTTTCTAAGATATGCCTTCATTTTTGCTAATTGCACATATGTTTCCAATGAAAATTCCAAATGTGTGTTTGAGCTCCCCACCCTTTCTGGGATAGTCATAAACATGCTACAATATACCCTGTGTGTGCACGTTAGAATTCAATTTGCAATGCGCATCACCAGACATGCATATTTATGACTGTACATCTCTGCTCAGTGGACTCCTGCCCCTCTCCTCCCCAGCCCCATGCCCCTCATTTCCATTTCTTGTTTTCCTGGAAGCCAACTTGCCCCTGGAGACCTGGGATTTTCCCTGGCCCATCCCCATGGTTTTAAAATGACACCAGCTGCTGACATGCAGTGGCAGCTCGGCTTCATTACAGATGTAGATTCTGTCTAGTGATGCTGGCCCCTGTCCCTGTTTGAAGGGAGCCCTGCCCAGCCAGAGCTGCATAAGAACAGACAGGGGACAACTGCTGTTCCTTTGCTGAATGTAGATTCTGCAGTGCCTTGATTGTCCCATGCTGTCAGACAAGGTGATCCCAGCTCAGTCAGGAAGGGCTCAGCGCAAGCCAGCCTGGCTCCAGGGCAGAGGGCAGAGGACAGAGCACAGCGTGTAAAGGGGTCCTTCTCTGCCGCTCCATCCCCCTCCCTGTCCTCTCCGCCTCTCCACCCCTTCCTCCGCCTTGAAGGCCTAATGGGGAATCATTTCCCAACAGAAAAGTCAACTGGAATTGTGAAACAGAAGCCATTTTAAAAGAACCCGGCTCCGCATTTTATTATTTTTCCAGGGAAAACAGGTTTTGCCTTGGCCAGGCCTCGGTGCCACGGTAGGATATGGCTTGTGACAGCTCTGAAAAGCATTCAGAACAGTAAACACGGGCCTGGCCGCAGCACCCTAATTTAAACCGGGGGCATTCTAGGCAGGCGGTGTTTACCACTGCACTCCCAGCACAAGCGGCTTTATTTCAGAGGAAATCATTTCTTTCTAATCAGAGACAGAGAGAGAGAGAGAGAGAGAGACCATATAAGACGGAAAAAAGTTTGGTTTCAATCTGTGAAATTGGTTCCCCTGGGGGAAATTTTAATTCTTGTCAAATGTTTAGGGAGAGTGCAAAAGAGAAATTTTCCACGTTTGCAGACGCGTTCTGTGACTGCAGCTCCGGGTTTCTGTGCAAAGCTTCTCATTCTTGTTTTGGGTGTTTCTGGAGGGAACGGGCCCTGGGATGGTCTGAGAAAGAGGAATTCAAGGATGTCTAGTGAGACGATAGAGTGGCCATCCAGCCACAGTAGGCCCAAGTAACCTTGTCTGGTTAAGGGGAGGGGTCTGGGGCAGGGAGGAGACCCAGGGGAGTGGAAGACTGCGCTTAGGATCCCAGCAGCCCCTGCCCAAGCAGATCAAGAGCAAAGACAGATAAATGTGAGAAAAGTCCTCAGTAAAATTCCTTTTTGCCTTTCTTTCTTCTGCCCTGGGCGTCTGTGTGCCAGCCCAGGAGACCTTGACGCCCCCAGCGAGGGGGTCAGAAGCACAGTGCACTCCATTGAGGCTGCCAGGCCATATAAACGGAGCCTTGGTTATGGTCATCAAAAACACATTTCCCAGCCCTCGTTTCTTAAATCCACTGCCCTGGGGATAGAAGTCAGAAAGTCTAATTATAAAAGGTGACTTCAGGGCACTTCTGGGCATCACTGGTGTTTTGAAGAGGAAGGGGAGTCTCGGTGGGGAGATCTGGCAACGGCAGCAAGGAAATGGAAGTGCTACAGACGCTTTCCTCCAAAAACTAAATAAGCCCACAGTTAGGTAAATATTCTATAGATAAACAAAGGCTGTGAAGCCCCGGAGTTTAAATTGAGGTGGGCTATGAAATGAGACCGTATTAGATTCCCTCTAAGATGCAAACAAACCCTCAATCCTGGGAGCATTCAGAAGAGTTTGGGGGGGGACATCATTCTGGGCATGGTCCCCAGGGGCAGTTGGCTTCGCTTAGGCTCTGGAGCACACTCAGGTGACCACCTTCCTGGGTTACCATCTGCTCACTGCCCCAACCTCTCAGCTGAACTATGCCCCCCCCATCTTTCCCATCACCTCCATCCCACACTGCTGTTTTTAATGTGTGTAACTTCTGTCTTCCTAGCTGGACTGGTAACACCCCGAGGGCAGGGGTTGTTTGCGTTGCTCACCTCTGAATCTTGTGTGCCTACTGGGGACTGGCATATAGTAGGTATGTCATGACTCTGCTGAATGAATGAATGAACGAATGAGCCTTCTTGCTTTCTGCTCATGAAGAAGGCTCTTGGAAAAGGCAATGAGAAAAAGAAGAGGTGGAGGTTTTGAAAAATCACAACTGCTGGGCATGGAGTGTGTCTGTAGACCCAGCTACTCAAGAGGCTAAGGTGGAAGGATCACTTAAGCCCAGGAGTTGGAGGCTGCAGTGAGCTGATTGCACCAGTGTACTCCAGCCTTGGCAACAGAGTGAGATCCTGTCTCTTAAAACAAAACAAACAAGCAAATAAAAACACCTTAACTGGTCTAACTTAGGTTAGCATCATCTAGAAACTACCTTTGAAGGCAAAAAATCCTTTCAGACCATTTCAATTCTAGCTAAAAGAAGCCTGGCCTGGGGAACATTGATGATTCCCGATCATGCCACAGGCGTGCCCATGTTTGCCCACGTTAGAGTGTAGGGTTTGGGGAGGTAGTTGTGGGAGGAGAGTACAGAGGCACAAACAATGTTTAATGTGAAGAGAAGAGTCAATTCCACAAAATAGGAGCCTCCCAGGCAATGTGATGACACCAAGAACCAGAGTTACCACAAATTCCCTTTACTCATTCTTTTGGGTTAAGGCACAGAGAGCTACCATTAAAGGGAGGTGTCATACCGGAAAGGAATTAGGTAAATTCTTTGATGGTCAGTAAAAGGCATCATTGGTACTCTGAAGTTTAGAAGGAGTTCCAGGCTGGGCACAGTGGCTCACACCTGTAATCTCAGTGCTTTGGGAGGCCAAGGCAGGAGGATTGCTTGAGTACAGGAGTTCAAGACCAGCCTGGGCAACAAAGTGAGACCACATCTCTACAAAAAACTTAAAAATTAGCCAGGCATGGTGGTGCAGACCTGTAGTCCCAGCTCCTCAGGAGGCTGAGTGGGAGGATGGCCTGAGCCAAGGAGTTTGAGGCTCCAGTGAGCTATGGTCACGCCTCTGCACTCCAACCTGGGTGACAGAGCAAGACCTAGCCTGGAAAAAAAAGCAGGGTGTGGGGGCCAAAGGGAAGCCGAGGAAGATGCCAGCAACAAAGGCAGCTAACCAAATGGGTTCACTTCTACTGGCACAGCCACCATAGCTTCCTATAGGGAAGTCTCTCTATGCTAGATTTAGTCCCATTTTTGATAGCATCTCCAAGTTGATGAGAAAATTGTGGTGGACATACTAGGCAATGATTTCAGCAAAACCTGTGATGAAATATTTAACAATCTTTTTATAGAAAGTATGGTGAAATAGGGGCTGGATTTGAAATTGAGGAACAATTGAATCTGAAGACTGATTTGTGGCCTGGTACCATCCAGGGAATAGTTTCTAAAACTTCAACTTTTTCATCAGTGACTTCTATGAAGACACAAAATACATTTTATAAAGACAACAAATAACCACAAGGGACTGGTTCCAGGACCCTTCCATACCCAAATCTGAGGATGCTCAAGTCCCTGATAAAAAATGACATAGTATTTGCACATAACCTATGCACACCCTTCCGTATACTTTAAATCATCTGTAGATTACTTATGAAACCTAATACAATGGAAATGCCATGTAAATAGTTATCATGCTGTATTGTTTTTCTGTTTGTATTATTTTTATTGTTGAATGGTTATTTTTTACTGCTTTTTTTTTCAAATATTTTCCATCCACGGTCGGTTGAATATAAGGATATAAAATCTGCAGAGGGGAGGGCCCACTGTGTCAACAATGCAAGTAAAAAAATTCAAGACAGATAGCCAGGACTATAGAATACAGAGTCAGAATTCAAAATGCTGTCAACATTCTCATACACCAGCTGAAACTGATGGAATGAATCTCAACGGAGAAGAGATGTAAAGTCTTATATTTGCTCTCCAAAAATAAATCACAGAAAAACAGAATGGAGGATACTCAGGTTGGCATAGACTCCTATGAAGAAGATGGGAGGATTCAGAATAACTAGAATGAATGCACAGGAAGAAGACTGAACAGGATATGTTCTGAAAAATATGAGAAATGACTGAAAAAATGGATGAGCAGCTTGGGATAATTGTTTGACGAAATGGGAGTGTTCTCTACATATATTTAAAGGACTGTCTTATGAAGAGGAAGAAGTTGTTGCAGAAGAATTCTTCCTTCTTCAGGAGAGGCAGGGAGACAGATTCGTTCAACGAGAGAATGGCCTTCCTTGCAGTTACAGCTGTCTAACAATGAATGATATGGGCTGCCTTGCAAAGCATGAGCTCTCTGTGGTGGCAAAATCAAAGTCATCTGCAGACAGATACATTGCAGACAGAAATTATAGCACTTAATTATCTATAGAACAGAAAGCTACAACAGACAAGCTTGATGAGAATGCACGTTCCTGGGAAATAATGACTAGTGAATAAAACATGAAAACAAAGTCCAAGCGGACAAGATGTTTTGTGCATGGAATGTTGAGGTGGGTGTTTCACTCTGGACAAGGAAAACTGAATAATGGGTTTGAAGTAATGGGCAGTGGTTGAGGAAGGTCCACTGCTGGGAGTTCTCAAGGGGCAAGGTGGCCTGGCATCTTAAGTGACTTCCAAAGTTCGTCTCAGCCTTTTGATTCTGGGTAATTTTTTTTTAATCCCTTTCCCTCCCTTGGCTTTGGCAAGAACACACATCATTAGGTCGCTGAGTTTTCTTTGTGAATCACTCATAGAACAAGAAATTGCTCTGCCATGTCATAAAATATTTTTCCACTTAAAGACACAAAAGAATTTGTTATGAACACAGAGAACCCTGACATGCCCTCCTCTCGTCAGCAGTCCCAGAAATTGTCTGAAAGAAAAAGAGTGGGAGGAGGGAGGAGAGAAAGGGGTGTTTCCATACTCTTAAGGCACAGCGCTCTTCTGGGCAGGTCTGATTCAATCCGTCTGGCTGGTCTCATGAAACATTCTATTTTGAACCTTCTGGGGCTGTTGAAGAAGGCAGGAGCGGAGATTTATAACAACAGTTGTTCATTCCAGCCCAACTGGTTTGGCACGGGGAGCAGCTCTATTTTTCAGAACAGCTTTTCAACATTCCTGCATGAGTTGAAATGCATGAAAATTTCAGTTTTGAAACAACCAGATGTTTTTGTCAGGGAAGAAAGAGATGACCCAAAGGAGACTGGGACGACAAACTTGGGCCTTGGGGGAGGAAAACAGTTCTGCCCAGAGCTCATGTCTTTCTCAGAGCTCCAACCAGTCATTTGCCATGATTAGCCTACTTGTACCGAAGCCAGACTCCACTTAGCATTTTCCTTCCCAAGGATCCCACTTGGGCTGCAATGCTACTGATGGTTTGGGAGTAAAAGAAGCAGCCTATTGTCTTCCACTGGAAACTCAAGGAGAGGGAAGGGTTGATGGCCAGTAACCCCTCATGGCAGAACTGGTCCAGATGAAGCAGATAGACAACAGGCTGCAGAATGTAGTGGAACTAACACTGTACTTGGCAGTGGGGCCCTGGGTTTCCCAGCTGCAGATTTTGTCATTTCTTTGAGGCCATTATTTTCTCTGACAACGGGCTGGGAACAGATGAACCTTAGCACCGTTTCTAGCCTCCTGCTTCAGTAAGCCCCACTCCCTAACTCCTATCTTCCTTACAAATAGATAATACATTGAAATTGAACATGAGGAAATCACTTTTTTAATGATCAGTTAGCAGATAAAAAATATAATTTTTTTCAATAAAGGTGGCATTTCTTAACTTGAAAATTATAATAACTTCAGTAGATTCAGTGAATTAAACCTATATTATTACAGTGACTATAGTCACAGGGGATTTTTCAAAATAGTCTCAATTTTGAATATTGTGACTGGCTCTCAAATGGTGAGTTCTAACTTTCAGTTAAGAAAACATGGCCAATTACTTATAAATGCTGGTTGGAAATGGAGAGAGGTAGGGAAGTATAGAGTTTTCATTTCCCATGATTGTTTTTGTCTTGAGTATAAGGTATTTTTGTCAGTTTTTTTTGGGGGGGGTGACATGATTTGGATTTGTGTCCCCACCCAAATCTCAGGTTGAATTGTAATCCCCAGTGTTGGAGGAGGGGCCAGGTGAGAGGTGATTGGATCATGGGGGCAGACTTCCTCCTTGCAGTTCTCGTGATAATGAGTGAGTTCTCACCAGATCTGTTTGTTTAAACTGTATAGCATACCCACCCACCCCGTCTCTCTCTCCTGCTCCAGCCATGTAGGACGTGTGGGCTTCCCCTTCCCCTTCAGCCATGATTGTAAGTTTCCTGAGGCCCCCCAACCTATGCTTCCTGTATAGCCCATGGAACTGTGAACCCATTAAACCTCTTCTCTTTATAAATTGCCCAGTCTCAGACAGTTCTTTATACCAATGTGACAATGGACTCATATGGGAGGTTCTTGAGCAAGAAAAGCCCAGGAGTCATGCATCTCCTCTCTTCTGGTCTCCAGGCTTCCTGAGTCCTGGTCGGCACGTCCAAGACATTGGGCTACACTAGGTATCTATCTGCTGCAACAGCCGAGAGCCAAGAATGCCAGGCATCCTGACTGATGCTTTTTGGTGGTCTGGCACCTGCCACCATTTCTGCGCTTGCTACTTCTTTCTTCTGTTTTCAAAATCCTGCTTTGTTGTAAGAGGAAAAAGGACTGGAAAGCAGATGCAACTGAGAATATTTTGGATGGGGGAGCTTTGAAGCTGCCTGTCTTCATTTGTTCCAGCCATAGGTCACACGGGTTTGACTTCTAGAGCCACACATCACACTCTGGTGCTGCGTTTTGTCTGACAATCCGTGGTTTCCCAGGCAGCTCCCCCATTGCTTTCCAAGGGCGACCAGCACTGGGTGATTCGTTTAACATTACTCTTGTAAAGTTGCTGCCTCTCCGAGAGCCGCGTCAGCATGCCTCCCTCTTCTTCAGAGGGAGCCAAGAGAAACTATTAAAAATGTGTTTGAAATTACGCATTCCCCACTCTCCTTGACAGAGGAACTTTGCAAAGCTCGTTAAGAGAGCTGGAGAAAATTCCACAGCACATTTCTGGGTTCATGGTTATTGTTATGCATGTGCTGCTGAGCTAATAGAATATGACTTTGGACATCCATGATCCAAGGGAAAATGGCTGCCTAAGTCTAGCGGCTTTAAAACCAGAACAGCAGAGATGGCTACCATTTTGGCCATTCACCCGCTCTTGCTCTACTTGCAGACTTAGTGTAAGAGATGAGAGCCAAGGGAACAAAGACAAAGAGGAAAGGAAGAAATTAAGCAGATTTTGGAACCACTCCTCCTTCTCCCGCCTCCCCTTTTCTCCCTGCCTGCCACCTTTTCTTTTTTGCCCTTTCAAATGCTGGATGGGCTGATTTAAGCTTATTTTACAGCTTTTCTCCAACTCCGTAAAACTGAGCTCAACCAGAGCTGGACTCTGAGACTTGTAAATCATCTCCTAGAGGAGCCTCGCTAAGTGGAAGCAGCCTGTTCAGTTCCATTTTCTCCTCTGGTTACCATCAATGACCCCTAGACATCTCAATTTCTTACATAATCCTCAAGCAAGCAACGCCACTGCTCCATTGCCTCTTTTGGAAAGAATGCTACTCCTGACCTTCTCCCTTGCTGGTGTGCTAGCATGACAATGTGAGAACCAGCCCGGCTCTGATCAGGAACCACCACATCGAACCTCCAGACTACAGAGCTCATGGTTTTATAGTTTCTCCAGGAGATTTGCATGTCTGGTGAATGTATTGCTGAACAGACACATTAGAAGTGAAGTTCTCTACCACCTCATTGAAACTGATCCTTTCCTATAAAAACAAAGGAGTCTCGTGACATTTCCGTTGAGCAAAATGTGAAACAATACCCTTTGACCTTAAGCCATGTAAATAACTTTAACAAGCAAAAGCTAAAACATACTGGGTACATCTAACAAGAAACATATATTGAGAAATCTAGTATGTGGGAGAACTTCAGTGGAATTTTTAAAATCCATTAGAAATGGAAACTGAACAGCTCAAACATACCTGATTTCTAGGGTGTTATAAATTTCTGAAACAAAGGGTGGAGGATTTATCCCTGGTCCTATGACTATAACTTCATTCTGATTTGAGATACCATTGCTAAACAAGCTGGCTGCCCCCTTGAAGGATGAACATCATAGTTTGCTTTTCATATTGAATTCAGATTCTCTCAGTTTGAAGAAACATAAAAAGAAAATTAATGTTTCTATTCTATTAGATCAAATATTATATCTCTTGATAAGATAAATGCTGAATTCTTAATAGGACGCTATGCAGCCGACACCAAAAAGATTCTTTATTCTGCAAAATTTTAAGCACAAGTTCAGATCAAAGAGTTAAAAGACAATTTCCAAAAAACAATTCCAAAACTGCATTAGTCTAAAAAGACCTTTTTCCAAAACTCTGTTGTAAGCTTTTTGTCTCCCTGAATATGTTTTTCTTTCCATTTCAATTTTTACTTCAAGCAAGGACCAATCTTTACTTGAGAGAATATCTCAGAAAACATTTTCATCCAGAATGTGTTTTCTTCTTAGCTTCTAAGCACACTTACACACAAGAAGTGGGATCTTTTTCTTTGTTATAATTGCTTCCTCTCGGATCTGATCCTTTGACCTGAAACATTGTGTTTTTCAAATCCACATCAACATTTTATTTAGGTAATCGTTCAAGATTCACAGGCTGTACACATCTCTGTCTTGGCAGAGTTAGCACTTAGCATGCATCCCCACGGTTCCAAAGAGGGATATAAGAGGGACGTTTGCTCTTTTTAAGAATCCCTGCCGGGCGCGGTGGCTCACGCCTGTAATTTCAACACTTTGGGAGGCCGAGGCGGGTGGATCACGAGGTTAGGAGATCGAGACCATCCTGCCTAACACAATGAAACTCCATCTCTACTAAAAGTAACAAAAAATTAGCCGGGCATGGTGGCGGGTGCCTGTAGTCCCAGCTACTCAGGAGGCTGAGACAGGAGAATGGCGTGAACCCAGGGGGCAGAGCTTGCAGTGAGCTGATATCACGCCATTGCACTCCAGCCTGGGCAACAGAGCAAGACTCTGTCTCAAAAAAAAAAAAAAAAAAAAAAAAAAAAAAAAAAAAAAAAGAAGCCCATGGGACACTCGATTACCTGAGAGCTTGGGACGCCTGGCCTATGGCACACAGAGGTTGCCTCATATGCAGCGCTCCAGTGCTCACACCTCTGCCCAGCTATAGGGTGGCAATTGGTAAATCAGAGCTGTGAGAAACAAATGAACAACTTATGCATCCAGTGTGGCAGCTGGACCTTGAGCTATTTTGGTCCAGAGAACTGGCATCTTCTAACTGGCCATATGGAAGTCTGTCTGTGATTCCGGACAAGAAATCCTTTCCTTGAAATGTACAGGTAATCCAGGCATGGAGAGAAGGAATAGTCACCTGGGTGCTTCATTCACTTTGATGTAAAGACAGCTGAAAAGAACCTCTTCCCCTGCAATCACCGAGACCTACGAGGGAGGTAACAATGGATTTTCCCAGGTGGGAGCATGGGAAACCTGAAGCAGCTCTTCAATCTCCAGGCTTCACTTAATGTTACTGCTTTCCACCAGCTCCACTTTGAGAAAGGTAAAAAGGTACCTAGGAACTTGCGAAGCTTCAAATGGCTCTTGCAGCCACCTTTCTCAGGGGCTGATTTAAATTAAGAGATTTCCTTGGTAGTGCACCCAGAATTTAAGGAAAAACAAAAATGTACCTGGCAGAGCCTGGCTGGGCTCTGATTATCGCCGTTTGACAAATAGAAAAGATTAATACATGTAGGAAAAGATAATGTTTAAAGTATCAGTGTTGGAAACAAACCAATTCAGGAGGGGAAAAAAGCAAATGTCGGTTAAAAAAAACTGTTTGGTGAGGAGAATTCCTTAAGGCTTTGCAGAAAAACAAAAAGGAGAGAAACAAAGAAATAAAAGGGGGAAAGTGGAAAGTCCGTGAATTTTTTTTTCTTTTTTTTTTTTTTTTTTTTTTTGAGACAGAATCTAACTCTGTCTCCCAGGCTGGAGTACAGTGGTGCAATCTTGACCCACTGCAGCCTCCAACTCATGGGTTCAAGCGATTCTCATGCCTCAGCCTCCTGAGCAGCTGGGGTTATGGGCGCGTGCCGCCACACCTGGCTAATTTTTGTGTATTTAGTACAAATGGAGTTTTACCATGTTGGCCAGGCTGGTCTCGAACTCCCGACCTCAGGTGATCTGCCCGCCTCAGCCTCCCAAAGTGCTGGGATTACAGGCGTGAGCCACTGCGCCCGGCAAGTCAGTGAATTTAAGTGTAAAAAGACATGAAACTGAAGTCTACTGTGCTGGTAGAGACTCAGCAGGTTTTCTAAGGTGTTACTAACTCCCGTTTGATTTCCTTCTCTCAGTATGTTATCTTCTTCAAGCTGAGCTAATAACCAAGTTAATACCAAATTACCATTTGGAAAAATTATTTCTCATATGCCTCAGATATCTGCAAACTTCACTTCCCCAGGGAGCAGCCTGGATACTTCCAACTAGACCAGAGTCTCCTGTTAAAAGCTCTCTTGCTCGCCCTGAGGTTTTCCTTTGCAGCAGTCACTGTGGAGCGTGAACATTAGAACTTCTGCTTCCTCCACTGGCTTGCAAGTCACAGCAAGGTGGATGTGTGACAGTTTCTGCTCACTGTTGCTTCTCAGTCACCAGCTCAGTGTCTGGCTCATGCATTCATTGGTTCATTTGTTCATTCAGCAAGTGTTCACCATGCTCCTGTGTAACAGGAGTTCTCCCAGGAATTACAGAGATTGTACAGGGCGAGGCAGAAATGGCTTTCTTTGCTCTCATGGTGTTTAAATTCTGGAGTTAGAAAAGGAGAAGAGGAGGGGCAATATATATAAGTACATACTAAATGAACAAAACTTCAGATACTGTTAAGTTCCATGAAGAAAGTAAAAGAGAGTGATCTGTTTCTGAATGCAGCCCTGGGGGATGGGGTGGGGATACGTGGGAGCCCCTCACCCCGTGGAGTTGTCGGAGAAGCATAATTGAGAGGAGGCATTCGCATAGAGACAGAGGTGACAGGAAGTGGCCAGCTATGCAGAGATGGAGGCCACAGAACATTCCACACGGTGCACATTCCTTAAGCTAAAAGTGAGCACATTTAGGTGAGAGAAAGAACAACTGTGGCTGTCATTTAGTAGGATATGGGAGAGAGACAGGAGATGGGATTGGAAGGAAGAGTGGAGCAGGTTGTGTCGGTTATGCAGGCCATGGCAAGGAATCTGGGTTTTGTTTCCAGCTCATGAGACATCATCAGAGCAGGACAGTGGCGTGATTTAATTGGCATTTGAAAGACTTATGGGGACAGGGACTTATGGGACCATGTAATGAAAACTAGAGACATTCTAGTTCATGGTTTGAAAAGTCACAGCAGCAAGCTTTCTGGTATAGTTAGTGGGGGTCTTCAAAAGGGCTCTTCATAGCAACTATTTCATTTGTGGGATTTTTGGAACAAGTTATGCAAAATTCTTGATTAGAGAAATCCTTCAGGAACCTGGAGACCAGGCTTAGGGGCCCTGGCCCAGGCATTTGAGGGTGTCCCCACTGCAACTTGAGCATCACTTAGGACAGCAAATGTCGGGGGTGAAGGAGGAGGAAGGTGACTTCTTTAGTTGGGGTTGTTTGACTTGCTGTCCTCTCACAAGGTTGAATTTACCAAAGAAATTGTGTCATTTTCTCCAGCAAGGAAATTTATTTTAACCCTGTTCAGCTAGCAGGTGGGGGTTGGGGGAAGAGCCACAGAAAGTGCTATAGACCATTGCTTCTCAAAGTTATCCACCAAAGTATTCTAACACCTGGAGGTGAGTGACAGTGACCTCTGGGAAGGTAGCCTGTTCACTGCAGGCTTAGACTCTAGGATAAATGTTATGTCTTTTTTGTTGTTTTGTTTTGTTTTTTTAGAGACAGGGTCTTGCTCTGGTGCCTAAGCTAGAGTGTGTGACACAATCATAGCTCACTGCAGCCTCGAACTTCTGGGGTCAAGGGATTCTCCCACCTCAGCCTCCTGAGTAGCTGGAACTACAGGCACACATCACTATGACCAGCTAACTTTTTCATTTTTTGTAGAGATGGGGTCTTGCTATGTTGCACAGGCTGGTCTTGAACTCCTGATCCAAGTAATTCTCCTGTCTTGGCCTCCCAAAGTGCTGGAATTACAGGCATGAGCCACCACACCTTGACCTTAAATGTTATGTCTATTTAACCTCCTATTCCGTAATATACATAGGTTTGGTTTAAAATTTAGAATTATGTTTAATTCTTAATTTTATAATTAAATTTATAATTATGTTTAATTCTAAATTTTATAATTAAATTTACATTTAAATTATTTATTTTCTCTTACAATTTTTCTGGCAAAAAGAATATTAAAAATATTCCACCTGCTCTCCAGCGAAAAAGGCCAGGTTCTAGGTCCATCACTACCACCACCATCCTGAGCCCCAAGAATCTTGTCCACACACCAAAAACACAGTAAATGGAGCCTGGCCTGAGAAAGGGAGGCAGAAATGGAGGAGTCAAGAATCCTGCCCATGTTCCAGTATATGCCTGGATTTCTAGATGATGCTCAAGTTCCTCATGTCACCACTCTCTGCAGGGTGAACTCCTATGCTACCTGCAGGACACTCAGGGCCTAGGCCAATGCCAAGTTCTACCACTACTGTTCCCATCAGACTGACTTCTCTTCTTGCTTAATTATGAAGACACTATCAAGTGAGGGGCCTATCTCATTGTAACCACATGTGGGAAAATAGGACTTAGGGACAGTACGTTAGTCTGTTCTCATGCTGCTAATAAAGACATACCCAAGACTGGGTAATTTATACAGAAAAAGAGATTTATTGGACTCACAGTTCCACATGGCTGGGGAGGCCTTACAATCACGGTGGAAGGCAAGGAGGAGCAAGTCACATCTTACATGGTTGGTGGCAGGCAAAGAGAGAGCTTATGCAGAGCAACTCCCGCTTGTAAAACCATCAGATCCTGTGAGACTTATTCACTATCATGACAACAGCACAGGAAAGACCTGCCACCGTGATTCGATTACCTCCTACTGGGTCCCTCCCATAACACGTGGGAATTCAAGATGAGATTTGGGTGGGGACACAGCCAAACCAAATCAGACGGGTAATGAAGAGGAGTGGCCAAGAAGCAGCAGCAGTGTGTTAGTGGAAGAATACACAAGGGTCTCATATGTTCCCATGTCTGTTTGGATGAGTTGTTCGTGAAAGTCACGTCAGTTTTTCTGTCTTGCAAAATCAATGCAATTTCACACTTGCTGAGCCAATACCATGATCCCAGCCAGATCAGCCATCAACTGTTATCTTTTTAAACTCCAAATAATGAAGTGCTCTTGTTTTCCTGAAATGTCTTGAAAAGGTTATTTCCAGGCTGACACTCTGCTTGCCAGCTTTTATTTAGAAACACATTTTTATATATTCACTTGAATTCTCTGGATGGGATCAAGAAAGAGTAAATAAAGCCGTGGCCAAGGTTACCATCCATCCATCAATCCCCAGGCCCTGATGAAGCCTGAGCCTTGCAAACACAGCCTTTGTAGGCAGTGGCTCTGGCCAGACCCTCTGTAAAAAGGGACCCTTGTTGCCCTTGAGGGTTTCAAGTTGAAAAGGAAAGCTTTTCAAAGCCATCAGAAAGTGAAAAACCAATCTAAGCGCATCCATGTAGCACAAGAGTGTCAGAATTCATAATTAAGGGTCATAAATCTTTTTGCAATGGACAAAAAATAAATAAGCTCATTCGAGTACAAACATAAAGGCAGCAGGCATACACACACTCCAAGTGTCAGCTTTAATTTATTTCTTCACTTGGAAAGGGGAGACTGAAAGCTGGCTGCCAGGCTGGAGGGAGCCTCCTCAACTCTTCTTCTGGCCTAGACAAAGGTTTTAATGTTGTAGGGAGAAATCCAAAGAATAACACAGGAAGCTTGTTGACTTCTTACATTGAAAAGAGTTATTTGGAAGAGAAGGAGAAACAGCAGAGAGAACAAACCCCTTCTATAGTAATCTCCTTTGTATAATCCAAAATGCTTGGCACGTTAAAACCAAATACCAGCAGACCAAAGGAAAAAGAAAAAAATGGAAAGAAAAGTCTGATTTACAGTATGCTATTTGACACATCTGGAGGGGATTTAGAAAAGACGTTCACAAACCATTTCAAGTGCATTGAGAACTCCACTAGGACAACAAAGATATGTATATAAATATGTACACAATTATTCACACAATTCAAAGTGTAGCAGTCACAGCACATAATCATTTCCCTTGTGTGTGGGAACAACATCATTATAGCATTAAAATCGGAGGGGATCAATAGCAATGGAATTTTCTGAGAGCTCCATATGGAAAAAGGTCAATGAATACAGTACCTGTGGAACCAATTACTTGTCATTAAATTCAGCAGCATTAAAATAAACTTTTCCCCTCTCTTCTCTTGTCACTTACTCTAAGGCATCCAAACAAAAATCCTCAAATTAGCAAAGTAAAACAGCCGCTCTAGGAAAATTCCGGTGCTCTGAGAAAATGTGTTCTGCAGCAATCTTTCAACATTAGAGCAATGTTATGACGTTTATGAGCTGAGTCAACATTGCACATGCAATGTTGGTCTTTGGGTCACACAAGCATCAGGCTACAGGCTAGTCACCAGGCTCTTGCAGTCACCTTTGAGTTTTTGTGTGTCCATTGCTATTGTTGATAAAATAACCTTTCAAATCATTTTTATATTTAAGATAAGATATTGAAAGCACTTTTAGGACAGGAATGGTGGCTCATGACTATAATTCCAACACTTTGGGAGGCTGAGACAGGAGGACTGTTTGAACCCAAGAGTTTGAAACCAGCCTGGGCAACACAGCAAGACCCCCCAAAATATTTTTTTTTTAATCAGCCAGACAGGGTGGCATGTGCCTATGGTCCCACCTACTTAGCTGGCTGAGGTGGGAGGACTGCTTGAGCCTGGGAGGTCGAAGCTGCAGCGAGCTATGATCATACCACTGCACTCCAGCCTGGGTGACAGAGTGAGACCCTTATCTCTTTTTATTTGTATATTTATTTTTTGAAACAGAGTCTTACTCTGCCGCCCAGGCTGGAGTGCAATGGCATGATCTTGGCTCACTGCAACCTCTGTGCCCAGGTTCAAGTGATCCTCTTGCCTCAACCTCCCAAGTAGCTGGGACTACAGGTGTCCACCACTACCCCTGGCTAATTTTTATATGTTTAGTGGAGATGGGTTCTCACCATGCTGGCCAGGCTTGAGACCCTTATCTCTTCAAACAAAAGAAGGAGAAGAAGAGGAGGAGGAGGAAGGAGGAGGAGGAGAAGGGGAAGAAGGAGAAGAAAGAAGGAGGAGGAAGAGGAAGAAGGAGGAGGAGGAGGAAAAAAAAGAAAAGAAAAGATAAAATAAGAAAAGAACAGAAAGCACCTTTAAAGCATGAAGTGCCTTAAATTATAAGGAATGTATTGCCAAATTACTCTAGGCAACCCATGCAGAGAGTAGAGGACACAGAGCAGTAATTAACCTGAAGTAAGATACAGCAGCTTTTCTAGTGTCTCTTGAAGGCCAGTATGGGATGGAAGGTGGTATGTGGAGAAAGGAATAGGGGACTGTGTTCTAGATTTGCATGCAGCCAGCTGAACTGGAAGGACTGGAGCTTAGAGGCATCTGCAGCCTTGCCTGATAGTTCCCTGCCATGTAGTTTTCCATGTGGGAAATTCAGAGGAAGGCTGACTTGTGAGAATTGCAACCGTTTCAGACCTATCTGTCTTCCACTGTTGAGAAGAGCTAGAGAAGTTGACTGGCTTTTGGAATTATTCTTCATGGAGGAAACTAGATGAACCATTTAGTAGACTTTCCCTCATTTCAGAAGACAAATTCCTCAACTTATCCAAGGCCTACCTAGAATGCCAGCGCCTTTAAAGAATCAGGCACTCATCACACGCCCTGACCATGCTGAGTTGTGGCCTCCATGAAAGAGTCTCCCAAGAACCAAGAGTCAGTTGAAAGAACTCTTTTGAACTCTGTGAACACATCTCTGCGAGGTGGAACAGGGCATCTATAATACATGCAACAACTATCTGCCCCAGCAGACCAGCAGATACATGATCCAGAATAAAGGTTTATTTTTTTATGTCACTGAGTTTTGGAGTGGCATGTTTTGCAGCATTCTGTGGCAATAGTTGACTGATACAAATCTCTGGAAAATAGAACAGGTTGTAAATTACAAGTAGAACCTGATGTTTGGTGTGTCACACAGGATTTTTTTTACAGCCTCAAAATTTGGAAATTACGTCTTTTCCATGTGACTTGATTGGCCCTCTTTGATATTCAAAGATTTGGCATAGGTTCAGTAGGTTTTAGCCAATCCGCCCTGTGGTTCCACCACATCTCCACATTCAGTCTGCCCCTCCATTCAGCACTTTAGCACCCAGAGGAAGGAGAAGAAAAAACTCTTAAACCCATCAGTTTAAGAGTTTAATTTCATCTAAAAATCCAGATACATTATAATATTTGTAAAATACTGTGGAACAAATGATCTGCTGTTACAACAACATATCATTATTAACCATCCAGGGGCACCTTAAAATTAGCTAATTCTTTTCTTTGTATTGATGTCCTCCCCCTTAAGCTGGTCCCCACTGTCATTTAATCCCACCAGGAAGATGAGATCATTCTGTCTGTTCAGCAGGTTCATTTTGTTAAATTGAGTTCCCTTACTCCTCTCACGTTCCTTGTTTATTACCACAAAATTTCAGTAGCATAGAACAATAAATCTTTATTTTTGCTCACTCACAAGTTCTATAGGTCAACTGGACAGTTGTGCTGATCTGGGCAGGCCTGGCTTATTTCAGCTAGGCTCACGTGGTCAGCTGGGGCCTGGCTGGGACAAACTGTCTCTGCTCCACGTGGTCCCTCATCCTCCAGCAGACTGACCTGGGCTTGATTGCATGGCTGCGGGGCAGGGTTCTAAACAAGAGTAGAAGTGCGCAAAGCCTATTCAAATTTAGACTCAGAACATTCTTTTAGAGCATTCATTCTGTTGGACCAAACAAGTCACAAAGTTGGCCCAGATTCAAGAAATGGGGAAACAGACTCTATCTCTTGGTGGGAGGAAGTTGCCTCCGAGTCACACTACAAAGGGTGAGGATCCTGGAAGAGGTAGAGAAGTGGGGCCATTTTTATAATCCAGCCACCAAACCTTTTCCCAAAATGGATGGCACAAATAAGCCTTGTGTTTCCTCATTAGAAGAAAACTATTTCTATACTTTACCCTAAATATTTGTCCTTTATATACTCAAAGGTAATACATTTTCAGCAATGGAAGCCTGTAACAGCAAGTCCCAAAAGGAAAATTGTTATATGTATTTTTCTAAAGGGGATTTGGCATATGCCTCCTAATGACCGCCCCCCCCCAAAAAAAAAAAAAAAATATATATATATATATATATATATATATATATATATATATATATATATATTCATTCTCATTAACCAGGGCAGGTTGTAGAAGAAAAAGAAAAGATATTAACCTTTCACCTGAATTTCAGGTTTAAAGAGTTGGGCGTTTTCCTATCTGGCCTTAAAGAAAAGCAGCTTTATCAGAGGAAAGAATGGACCTGCTACAATCAGCATTTACAACAGGAAGTAAGCTTGCCAACTTTCAGTGGTGTAAGCTGGTACATTCAGACTTCTTACAGCTTCCTGAAATCACAGACCTGGTGGGTTTTAATATCTATTATACACTCATCCTATTTGTGTGCCTATTTATCTCTTACATGTCTGCATCCAATTTGACAGCCTTTTGGATTTTATATGTTATAACCACCTAATCACTGACATAATAATTTTAGGAGATTTGAGAACCAGGATTGGAAACGATCCTGCCAAACCCCAAAGGAACCAAAGGGAGGGGAAATCTAGATTGGGGAAAGAGGTCCATCATGGGTTCCTCTACCTGAAACTGAGGCCTGGATAGCTTCCAATACCCATGGGAGGTCACTATGTTTTATTGGAAATGAAAAACCAATGCACTAGCCCTATAGTTAATAGATTATTGGTTATTTTGTATCCAGTCTCTTTGCCACGTGACTTTATAGTTCTTCCTTCTAGAGGTCGAATGTTCTTCTCCTCCCCTTGACTTTGGGCTTTGTCGTGTGACTTGCTTTGTTCGACAGCATGTTGGCAACATAATGCAAGCAGAGGCTTGCTCTCTGGAGCGTCTGTCATGAGAAGACCTGCCGTGGGTAGCTCAACAATTCCAAGAAAATGAGAAATGTCTGGAACACACTTGACCTGCTGAAATCATCACAGCTGTCCCAATTTGCCTGAAGTTTGAAGCTAACCTATCCCAGCTGACCAGCAGATATATGATCCTAAATACAAGTTTATTTTTGTATGCCACTGAGTTTGGGGATGGCATAGTAAGCAGAATTTTGTGGCAACAGTTGACTGATATAAATCCCTGGAAAATAGAACAGGTTGTAAATTACAAGTGGAATCTGACGTTTGGTGTGCAATACAGGATTTTTTTACAGCTGCAAAATTCAGAAATTGCATCTTATCCACGTGACTTGATCAGTCTTCTTTGACATTCAATTGGCATCCCAGATTCCCTCAATAACTAAGACACAAAATGTAAATTGGGTAGAAGAAGATTTTTTTAAAAATATTTATTATTGTTCTACTTCCATACCCCAAAGAAAGTGGATTAATGATCCCTCATACAAACATCACCCAGCTTCAACATTTATCAATATTTTACGTTTGTTGCTGTCTACCCCACCCACTGTTTTTTCAAAAACTAGGTAATTTTAATTCCAGCTCCATTAGAATATACCTTCCATGAATGCCTGGCACCGAAGTTAAAAAAAAAAAAAGGTTATTTCTCTAGCAAGGGACCTTAAACTTGAGTTCAGGAAGGTCTACGAATCTTCAGAAATTTATGCAAAAGTTAGTGTATGGAAATGTGTCTGTGGAAGAGGTCCACAGTTTCCATCAGATTCAGAAGATAAAATCCTCCTCTCTGCACAAACATCAGCCATTCTTGCCTGTTCTCGCCCAGCCTTGCCAGATGCCAGCATCTTGCACCTTCTGCAGGTGGAAGAAAGCCCATGAGTACAAAGAACCAACCCTCCTCAGTCAAACGAGAACCCACGACTCCGGACGACCAGAATCACCAATTTGCTTATGTAGACACTGAAATAAGACAAAGTGTCGACTTTAATTTTAGCCATATGGGAAGTCGCAGTCCTTCAAACAATCAGGAAGAACGGCTTTGCCTTTCAGTGAAAATGTCTTGGATGGCTTAGAAGCTCAAGGTCCAAATCTCAGCTGTCTAACAATTTTGGATGTGCCTGCCTGCCTGCCTGTCTCATTGGCACTGAGAAGACGTATCTGGGGTAGATTGAGTCTAGTGGTTCCTACGTTTAAGAGAATGTACACATCACCTGGAAGCCTTTAAAACCCAGATTTCTGGATCCCATTCCAGACCTACTGAATTGGAGCCTTTGCAAAGTCTGCATTTTTAACATCTTCTGATTGCAACGTGGTGCAACTCGTCCACAGACCACACTCTGAGAAGCACTGGCTGATGGGCAGCCAGTCCTATAGCAACTGTCAGGAGCTTAAAGTAAGTCTTTCTTGAATTCATATTTCCTTTCAGTCTATGGGTTGGGGGGGTGGAACTTTTTTAAAAAGAAAAAAACAAAATGAAAAAAAAAATCTCCTCTAAAGTCTTAACCAGCCTAGAAATCTGCTATTTCTAAGATTTCTGATTTCCTTTGGGCTCTGTGCACCTCCACCCATTTATAGGACTGCTGTTCCATTGGGCTGGTTTTAACAGTTCAGGCTCAGCGGGGAATTCTCACCAACCCAAACCAGGGAGAGCGAAGCCAGAGCCAGGGTCACCCGAAGTTATTCGGGCTACCCAGGTGGCAGTGGCAGGCATGGGACATACAGTCAAACATTCTTTGAATTTCTCATCCAGTTCTTCCCAAGATAAATGTCACATAAGCAATGAGGGCTTCAGAAGGTATCTTCAAATTCAAAAATGAACAAGCACTTAATGAGTAGCACAGAGGCAAGGGACAGTAAATACAGCTGCCCCCGCCCCTACACCTCCCCTTCCCTGCCCTGCACACTCAACATCAAGGCCACTGGTGCAATGTGGGTTTCATTACTGGCTCAAAGACAATATTTCACTGAGTTATAATTTCAAGATGTTATTGAAAAACCCATACTGTGTTTGTTTTTATCTCTACCTACCCCAGTCCAAGTGTTTTCTTAAATCATTAAAAAAAAAAAAAAAAAAACTCTTTAACGTGGCTCCACCCAAGTGGTCATATTTCTAAGGGTCAGGAGCGATGCACACAGGGGCTGGTGAAACCCAAAACGGTTTGGGGAAGGATGATGCTATTTCCTCTGCCTCTCAGGGGAAGAGGAGAAAAAGCTGTGAATCCGTTAAGTACATAAGCAGGATAGTGTGGGTGGCCCCAGAGAGGGACACCTGTTTTGCTACTAAATGCAAGATCACAAACACAGTTTTTTCCATTATAACTATCCTATCTGAAGCTCAGCCAGCAGAAATTCAGAGCAAGCTCTCACAAGGTCTTAAGGGCATAATCTTGGAAAAAAGCCACTGCACTAAAAGATAAAGTCTACAGACATTCTTTTTCATAGATGCGGACTATTCCGTGGTGTGGCTGTACTACATATTGGCGGACATTCGGGTTGTTTCCATTTTTTCCTATTACAAACAGTGCAGTAACATAAATAAATTTAAACACATATGTATATATGTATACATGTATATCTGGAGGATAGATTCCTACAATTATTGTTGATAGGTTAAGAGTACGAATATGTATATTTTTAATTTTAATAAATATTGTCATATTATTTTAAAAATGTATTCATAAAGCTTATTTCCACCAGCAGCAGATGCAAGTGCCTGTTTTCCTATGCTTGTTTCTTTTTTTTTTTTTTTTGAGGCAGAGTCTCACTCTGTCTTCCAGGCTGGAGTGCAGTGGTGCAATCTTGGCTCACTGCAACCTCCAACTGCTGGGTTCCAGCAATTCTCTGCCTCAGCCTCTGGAGTAGCTGGGATTACAGGTGCATGCCACCAGGCCAGGTTAATTTTTGTATCTTTAGTAGAGGCGGAGTTTCACCATTTTGGCCAGGCTGGTCTTGAACTCCTGACCTCGTGAGTCACCTGCCTCAGCCTCCCAAAGTGCTGGGATTACAGGCCTCCCACGCTTCTAAAAGCACTGGTTGCTGCTGCTTCTTTCCTTTCCTTCTTTCTTTTTTTGTTGTTGTTTTACTATTCAGGTGTGCATAAAGTGATCTTATTGTGATTTTTATTTGCATTTCTGTGTTTAGGTTGAGCATACTTGTATAATTATTCGTCATTTCATATGCATTTTCTCCTCTGTGAATTCCTATTCACATCCTTTGTCATAGCAGGTTGTCTTCTTATGAATTTGTAGAAGCTGAATAACATTAGCACTTGTTCTTTCACACATGTTAAAAAGTATTTTTTCCCAGACTTGTCTTTTGACATTTTCCATTATTTCATCCTTTGACTTACAGAGGTTTTTAACTTTTAGATAATCAACTCTTTGTGGATTCTGGGTTTCCTGAAGGCTTATACCACCTCAGGTCACAAAATATATCTCAAATTTTCTTTTAAAATATTTACAGTTAAAAATATCAAGAACTTTAACCCACTTATCTTAAATTCACTTTCACGTATGTTGTGTGAAGTTTGGGACAATGTCATATATAAAACAGATACCCCATCCTCTGGTGAATTGAAATGCCATTGTGATAGTATGTCTCCATGGATCTGTTTCTAAACTCTCTATTTTTTAATTCCTGTGCCTGTGCCACACTGTTTTATTTACAATACTTTTACAATAAGTTTTAATATTCTTTTTCTTTTCTAAAAATCTTGAGCAATTATAGCATATCTATTTTTATATAAGAACTTTAAAATAATTTGTCTATTAAAAAATTACCCATTGAAATTTTTATTGACATTGCATCTTATGTGGTCTTCTTGTTTCAGAAACATAGTAGGTTTCTGCTTTTTCACATCTTGTTTAAATGCCTTTTAAAAATATCTTATAAGTGCCTTCATTTGGGTTCTTACCCCACAATTAGGGTAATGTTGATAATATAAACAAATTGTGCCAGACAGTCAATCCTTATTACTCAAAGATTCTGTATTTGCAAATTCACCTGCTTGCTAAAATGTATCTGTAACCCCAAATCAATACGCACTGCATTTTGCAGTCAATCAAGGACACGTGTAGAGTGGCAAAACATGTGAATCACCTGTTGGGCACATTCTCGGATAAGGCTGAACGAAGTGATGCTCTAACTTCTTGTTTCAGCTTTCATAATGTAAGCAAGTGTCCTTTTTGTGGTAGATTTAGTGCCATGTTTTTTGTACCTTTGTGCTTTTTGTTACTGATTTTGCTGTTAGATCAGCTTTGATCAGGCATAAGTTATAGGTATGAGTTAGCATGAATTCAATGTTAATGAATCAAAAATACGTATTAAATAAGGCATCTCCAAACAGAAACCCACATGAAATAAGGTTAGGTATTTATCAGTTGACAAAAATATCCTTACAAGAAGCTTGCAGGGACCCCCTGGGAGCAATTGTTCAATAATTGCTAATTCAGCATTTGTAATGACTTATTTAAAAAAAGCTACTGCAAATAATGATAACCAGCTATATCTCCTTATCTGTTATCTTTATATCAGATTTTGATATTAAGAGTATGCTAGCTTCATAAAACTAATTAGTAAGCTTTGTGTCCTTTACTATGGTCTGGAATAGTTTAAATACATCAGTTTCTTTCTTTGGGCCAATCTATACTCATGGCTGAAAATTTCATTCCCTATTCTATTTCCTACCCAATTATATTGAGCCATATTATCAGAGCTTCTTCAACAATAGTAAGATACTCCAGTAACATGATTATATCAAATATTTTATTATTTAAATTCAATAGAAAAAATTCCAATAGAAAAAATTCAATAGAAAAAATAGAAAAAGTTCAAATTTGAACAAAGGCCAGGTGCAGTGGCTCATGCTTGTAATCCCAGCACTTTGGGAGGCCATGGCAGGTGGATAACCTGAGGTCAGGAGTTCAAGACCTGCCTGGCCAACATGGTGAAACCCCATCTCTACTAAAAATACAAAAATTAGCAGGGCATGGTGGCGCACACCTGTAATCCCAGCTACTCAGGAGACTGAGGCATTCAGTCACTTGAACCCAGGAGTTGGTTGCTGCAGTGAGCCGAGATCGTGCCACTGCACTCCAGCCTGGGTGACAAAGTGAGAGTCCATTTCAAAAAAAAAATTGAACATAAAACCCTTCCTATTATACATTTCCTCCTGAGAAATTAAAATTTGAAGATTAAATCCCAGGGATTAGAATCCAAAATTCTTAAGTTAAGTCCAAAAGTTTTTGTCCTTGTGAGTTAAAATCCAAAGAAATTAAAGTTTGATATTTATCCCCATCCTAAATATCTGACTCTGTTCAGTATCACTAGAGGGTCCTCAGTGCTTGGGTAATGTGAGGGTTGCTCAGCAGCTGTGGACGAGGCTGTCCTCTGGAAGGCTGTAGTTCATTCTGGGTCATAGGAATTGAATTAGTTTCTCATATGCCCTGCCTTTAAAAAGTCCGATATGTTCCTAGAAAAGCAAGAATATGAAAACATTGGCTCTCCCCACTCTGCCTTTAGTAAGTAAGCCAATTTGCAGACCGTAAGTGCAATTATCCCAGATAAAATTATGTTCCCAGAACCCAGTGTTTACTGTTGCCAAAGTCCAAAGCAAAAACTCACTGGTGTCTGAAGGAAGGACAGAATGGAAGGACAGTTCACCAGGACACTGATTAGTCTATGTCAGCTGTCCTGAATCCACTTCCTGGGAATTTAAACTCCCTTGGAAGAAATCATCCATCAGGAAGTTAACTTTGGCCCATACGTGAACGTACCTAGGGGAGAAAGCTACGTATACATACTGTACTTCCTATCAGAAAGTAGCATTTTGAAAATGCTATGTTCTTACTAATATTTCTGCAATGGTGCAGCCTCAGGCACTGAGTCTTATTTGAGGAATCTTCATTTCCCATCCAGAATAGGCAATCATCTTAATTTCTCATTTTCCTTTCGGGCCTTGTGTTTCTGGCAACCAATGTTTCACTGAATGTGACTCCATCCAGAGTCCACTTAACATTCTCGTGTGAACAAACATTCCGGTGCTGTGCTACAGTGGCCTTCCTATGGAAGCCTGTGAGACTTGCCAAGGATGGTTTCTCTTTCAATCCCCATGTTTATTTCAGCTGGAAGATCAAAGCTGCTCTTGATGAATATGAAGTTTTGGCTGCTAGAGCCGTTGCAAAGGCCAATTCTTCTACCACGGGCTGCTCCTCAATCCAACATGCTATGCAGTTTGGGTCCTGGGTATCTAAAGGTACGTTACATTGATTGTGTATGTAAAATGATCAGCCTAGTATACAGCAGCCAGATAAGACTCAGCCCACTCAGTTAAATCTAAGTTTCAGATAAACAACCATTACTTTTTAGCATATTCCAAATATTGCATGAGATAGACTTGCCCTAAAAACTTGTTGTTTTGTTTATCTGAAATTCAAATTTAATTGGACATCTTGTATTTTTATTTGCTCAGTATGGCAACCCTAATCTAGAGCTAACGGGAAACTACATGGTGGGAATGACTCTTCAGCCTGAGAGCAAGCACTTAAGTTCAAAGCTGAGCCCTCTAAGCTTGCCTCCTTGGCCCTGGAAAGAAATGACATTTGGAGCAGCTGCTCTGGTCCTGCCTATCAGGGCCTGGCAGCCACATTAACCTAGACACTCCCTAGTGCTCTGTAGAGTAGGCAGAGCTCAGATTCCTTGCAGCTTAAGAACAGTCAATATTGTTACACCTACCAATGCCTGAGAAGGTCTAATCCCACCATTAAGTCTTTCCTGCTGGCTCCTGTTCTAGTGAGAATCAAAGTCATGCTCCAACAGCCTTTATCGTTGCCCTTCTCACTGCAGCCTGTACACTTGCTGTACCGCTCGGGCACATCTGACCCACACACCCCATTTTACTAGGTAATCTCAGCCCTGAAAGACATTGTGCAGCTGCTTGTCTGGGTAAAATTGTTCCATTTATGGATAAAACCAGTTTAAGCACAGTAACCTGCCACAGGGTAATGTTGGCTCTTGAAAACTGGAGCTTTAAACATCCCACCCTGTCTGCATTAACATTGACCTAATGGGACTTCCAGAGACGGCACTGAAAGGTGGGAGGGGAAAAAGTATCAATTCACAATAAAGGAAATAAAAGTGAAATAAGTTCAATACACACATGTAAAAGTGCTCAATTTCACTTATGTATTTTTTTCAAACTAAAAGAAGGAGATGCAGTTTGGGGCCTATATATTTGGTAAAAATTAAAAAGATTTCTAGCATCTGGTATTATCAAGGGTGTAAAAAAAATGAGTATTTTCATATAGTCTTGGTGAGTGTAAATTGGCCTGGCCTTGTTGAACAGTAAAAATTGCACAAAAGCGTTATGCTTATGATAAAGGAAAATGGAAACAACCTAGATGTCAATTAATAGAGATAAATAGGCAGGGCATGGTGGCTCACACCTGTAATCCCAGCCAAGGCCGGGAGGATCACCTGAGGTCAAGTGTTCAAAACCAACCTGGCCAATGTGATGAAACTCCATCTCTACTAAAAATACAAAAATTAGCTGGGCATGGTGGTGGGTGTCTGTAATCCCAGCTACTTGGGAGGCTGAGGCACGAGAATCGCTTGAACCTGGAAGGCGGAGATTTCAGTGAGCCGAGATCATGCCACTGCACTCCAACCTGGGTGACAGAGCAAGACTCTGTCTCAAAAAAAAAAAAAAAGACAAATAGAGGAGTGATGGCAGCAAGCAAGATGGCAGGATAGGTGGGCCCGCCATTGGGAGCCCCCGACAGTAACAATATTTTGGCTGCTATCCATGGACAAAAGTGCCCTTGTGGGGGTTTTTCGATCCAGGTAGGAGGTTACAAAAGCTCAGTGAAGCCTGAGACTGAGGAGAGCCATTTTGAGAAGGCAGGCCAGCACCCAGGTGGCAGGATCACTGTGGTCCTAGCATCTCTGTCCTCCTGTAGACTCAGGTACACCTCCAATTGGTCCTGCCACTGGCACCATCTGCCAAAGGACCCAGGACGGGCCATGCCTGCTCATGCCTGGAGTAATAGGCCCACTGACCTCAGTCCTGATCATAAGCCTTGAAGAGGCCCAAGACCAGGCTCCAGACCCTTTCAGCCACAGTTTGGAAGTTTCCCAGTGCCTGCCTATTGGGAAACACACCTGTCCATACCCTAGGAGGTGGGCCCACACACCTTGGTCCAACTACAGATCCTGGAATAGTCTTATAACTTGGCTTCAGCCCCTCTCAGCTATAGTCCAGGAACAGAATTCAGCCCCTCTCAGCCATAGTCCAGGAATAGTCCTACCCACCAAAAGACCCAGTGGGAGATCCACACATCTGTGCCCCTAGAGGCAGGCCTGAAGAGCTCAGTCTTAGCTGTGACCCTGAAGCAGCCCTGTGACTTAGTCCCTCCAAGCTGTGGTCCAAGGTCAGTTCTGCCCACCCAGAGACCTACACAATGATCCAGGAGGAGCCACACTCACCTATGCATTTAGTAACAAGCCTACTATCAACCAACTACAGATCCTGAAGCAGACCCTTGTCCCAGTGCCAGCCCTACTGACCAAGGTCTTGGAAGTAGATCCATTCACCCAGATACCAGGCAGGATCCACATCTGCTTGAGCCACTGGTAACAAACCTGCCAACTGCAGAGCCCAGTAGTAGCTACATGACCTGGCTACAACCCCACTTGACTTCTTTTGTCAGATCCCAGGGGTGATGGCATCACTTGACTGTGCTCCTAGAGGAAATGCCATCAGCCCTGGGAGCTGACAAAAGAAGATCTTTACCTGCCAAAACCAGTCTATAAAGACTGAAAAATGTACTTGCTTCTTAAATGCACAGACACTAATGCGGAGCTACACAGATCATGAAGAATCAGGCTACCAAACCTGTTACTACCATAACACCACCAAAGGAAATTAATAAAGCTCCAATATCTCACGCCAAAGAAAGGAGATCTACAAATCATCTGACAAAGAATTCAAAATAATCATCTTAGAGAAGCCCAATAATGCAAGAGAACACAGACAGACAACTAAACAAAATCAGGAAAACAAGGTATAAACAAAATGAGAAGTTCACCAGAGAAATAGAAACCATTAAAAAATGAACCAAATAGATATCTTGGAGCTGAAGAATTCAATGACAGGACTGAAAATTTCAATAGCTTCAACAGGAAGCTGGATCATGCAGAAGAGAGAATCTAAGAACTCAAACACACATCAGTTGAAATTAGAAAGTTGAAGGAACAAAAGAAAAGAAAAGATAAGAAAAAGAAAAATAGTGAGAAAAGCATATGGGACCTATGAGACACTATCAAATTGGTGAATATGTGCATAATTAGAGTCCAAGAAGAGAGAGACAGAAATGGGCAGAAAGTTTATTTAAAGAAATAATGTCTGAAAATTTCCCAAATCTTGAGAGGGATATAGACATCCAGATTCCTGAAGTGCAAAAGTCCCAAAGCAAGATCAACTTGAATAAGATTATATTCAACACATTGTAAACAAATTGTCAAAAGTCAAAGATGAAGAAAAAATGTTTAAAGCAGCAAGAGAAAGTGATTTGTCACATAGAAGGGAACGTCTATAAGGCTATAAGAAGGTTTCTTAGTAGAAACCTTGTAAGCCTGGGTGATATATTCAAAGTGCTGAAAGCACTTTGCGTTTATTATTATTCCAACCAAAAATAATATACCTGGCAAAGCTATTCTTCAGAAATGGAGAGATAAAGTCATTCCCAGACAAACAGAAGCTGAGAGAGTTCATTGTCCAAGAACTGCCTTACAAGTGCTAAAAAGGGCCCTTTAAGTTGAAAGAAAAGGACACTAAGTAACAATGTGAAAACGTATGAAAATGTAAAACTAACTGACAAAAGTAAATATATAGTCAAATTCAGAATACTCTAAAACTGTAATGGTGGCACATAAATCAGATTTAATTCTTGCATAAAAGTTAAAAGACAAAAGTACTAAAAATAGCTACAATGATTTGTTAATGGATACACAATACTTAAAAATAAGAAGTTTGACATCGATAGCCTATAATGTAGGAAGAGAGAGATATAAAAATGTAAAGCTTTTGTATGGGATTGAAGTTGTTTCATGCTTAAAATAGAATTTTATAACTATAAGATTTTATGTATGCCTTATAGTAACCACAAAGAAAAAAAAACTCTAGTAGATAAAAGAAAAAGAGAAAGGAAAGTATACCACTACAAAAAAATCAATAAATCACAAAGAAAGATAGTAAAAAAGTAAGAAAGAAACAAGAGAACTACAAAACAGTAAAAAAAAAACTAGAAAAATAGTAAGTGTCTTTAGTTATTAATAATTAATTTAAATGTAAATGTATGAAATTCTCCAATCAAACAAAGAATGGCTAAATAAATTGTTTTCAATCCAACAATATGCCGTCTGCAAGATATTCACTTTAGCTTTAAAGACATACATAGCCTGAAAGTGAAGGTATGAAAAAGAATATTCCATGCACATGCTAACCAAAAGAAAGTAAAGTGACTATACTTACATCAGACAAAATAGAATTTCAGTCAAAATTTGTCACAGAAGTCCAAGAAGGCAACTATGTAATCACAAAGGGATCAATTCATCAAGAGGCTATAACAATTATAAATATATACAGACCCAACATTAGAGCACCTAAATATAAAAGCCAATATTTATAGAACTGAAGGGAGAAATAGACAGCAATACAAGGGGACTTTGACACATTACTTTCAAAGGGGAATTTGATATATCACTTTCAACAATGAATAGATCATCCAGACAGGAAATCAATAAGTGGGCTTGAATAACACTGTAGACCAAATGGACCAAACAGAAAAGTCTATCCAATAGCACCATAATACACACTCTCCTTGAGAACATTCTCAGGGCAGATCATATGTTAGGCTACAAAACCAGTCCTAATAAATTTAAGAAGATTGAAATCATATGAAATAACTTTTCCAACCACAGTGGTATGAAACGGAAGGAAAATTGGAAAATTAACAAGTATGTGGAAATTAAACAACATACTGCTGAACAAAGAATGGGTCAAAGAAGAAATTCACAGGGATATCAAAAAAGTATCTTGAGACCAATGAAAATGGAAGCACAACATACCAAAACTTAGGGGATGCAGCAAAAACAGCTCTAAGAGGGAATTTTATTGTGATAAATGTCTGTATTAAGAAAAATGAAAGATCTCAAATAAAACTAACCAAAGAAAAAAGAGAGATGAAACTTAAAATTAGAAATGAAAGGGGAGTCATGAAATACAGAAATATGATCATAAGAGATTACGATGAACAATCATATACCAACGAACTGAATAATGTAAATGAAATACATGAATTCCTAGAAACATACAACCTACCAAGACTGAATGACAAAGAAAAAGAAAATTTAAACTGACTGATAATGAGTGAGGAGATTGAAGCAATAATCCAAAGCCTCCCAAAAAGTAAAGCCCCGAACCTGATAGCTTCACAGCTGAATTCCACCAAACATTTAAAGAAAAATCAATGTCAGTGCTTCTCAAATGTTTCCAAAAAATTGAAAAGGAGAGAATATTTCCAAATTTATTTTACAAAGCCAGCATTACCCTCATACCAAATCTAGATACAGACACAACAAGAAAGCAAAATCACAGGCCAATATCCCCAATGAAGATAGATGCAAAAATCCTCTACAAAATACAGGTTGAGTATTCCTAATCCAAAATCTGAAATGCTCCAAAATCTAAAATGCTCCAAAATCTGAAACGTTTTGAGCACTGATGTCATGCTCAAAGGAAATGCTCATTGGAGAATTTCAAAGTTGGGATATTTGGGTTACAGATGCTCAACTGGTAAATATAATGTAAATATTCCAAAATCCTAAATCCAAAACACTTCTGGTCACAAGCATTTTGAATAAGGGATAATCACCTTATACTAGCAAACCAAATTCAACAGTACATTAATAGAATCATTCACCATAATCAAGTAGAATTTATCCCTGGTATGCAAGGATGGCTCAACATAGAGAAATCAATAAACATGATACATCAAATTAACATACATCAGACTTACATCAGACAAAATAGACCTTATGATCATCAATATAGATGCAGATAAAGTATTTGACAAAATTCAACTTTTCATAATAAAAATTCTCAATAAATTAGCTATAAGAAGGAATGTACCTGAACATAATGTAAGATATAGGACAAGCCTATAGCTAACTCCGTACGGTTCAACAGTGAAACTTTGAAAGCTTTTTTTCTACAATCAGGAGAAAGACTTCTAGATAGAAATCACTTCTATCAACATAGTGTTGGAAGTCCTAGCCAGAGGAATTAGGCAAGAAAAAGAAATAAAAGGCATCCAAATTGGAAAGGAAGAAATTAAATTGTCTCTATTTGCAAATAACATAATCTTATATGTTAAAAGCTCTTTAAATCTTTAAGTGATTAAGATGCTTAAAGTCTTTAAGATTCCACCAAAGAACTGTTAGAACCAATAAACAAATTCTATAAAGTTGCAGGGTACAAAATCAACATTAAAAAAATCAGTTGTTTTCCTATATGCTAATAATGAGCTATCCTAAAAAAGAAATTAAGAATCCCACATATAAAAGCATCAAAAAATAAAATACTTAGGAATAAATTTAACCAATTTATTGTGTTAGAAAGATCTGTAACTGAACACTGTAAAACATTAATGAGGGAAATTGAAGAAGACACAAATAAATGGAAAGATGTCCTATTTTATGGATTGAAATAGTTAATATTGCTGAAATACCCATACAGCCTAAAGAAATCAATGAAATCCCTATGAAAATTCCACTGTCATTTTTCATAGAAATAGAAAAACAGTCCTAAAATGCTTATGGGACAACAAAAGGCCCAAACTCAACTTCCATGCTCCTCTATAGGGAGAGGTTGCTCCCCAACCCCAAGTCAGGTGAGGGTAGCTCTATGATGAAACACTGAAAGAGATCGGGGTGTCTGCTTCCCAGCTAAAAATTCTGAAGGCAGGAGGTGCCCTGGAGCTGTATCCGTGGCATGTTGGGAACAGAGGCTGCAAGGTAGCAGTAGTCTAGTAGACTGCATTTATAGTTTGGGAAAGAAAGTATGAGTTCCATGAGCCAATGGATGCTACAGCAGGCAACTGAGCATTACACTACTTTTGTTTGTTTGTTTGTTTTTGTTTTTGTTTTTAGACACGGTCTTGCTCTGTCTCCCAGTCTGGAGTTGAGTGACACAGTCAAGGCTCACTGCCACCTCAACTTCCCAGAACCAAGCAATCCTCCTACCTCAGCCTCTCAAGTAGCTTGAGACTACAAGTGCACACCACTGTGCCCAGCTAATTTTTTGTTTGTTTGTTTGTTTGTAAGTGACAAGGTCTCACTGTGTTTCCCAGGCAGGTCCTGCACTCTTGGCCTCAAGTGATCATTCAACCTCAGCCTCCCAAAAAGCTAGGATAACAGGTGTGAGCCACCATGCCTAAACTGCTATGTCGAAAGGACTCCACCAAAGGGGCTTCCAATCTGGGTGAGGAGTATGCCCCCACCAAATGCCTCCAAGAGAGCTCACACTTGGAGGTCTACGGGACAGAGTAATTTGACACTGTAGCAAGAACTATCAACAGTACCTTGTAGGTGAAGAAATCTTTCCTGTTGTCCTTCCTCCCACCTCCTTGCCCCATCTCCACTTGGTAGAACATTGTGTGAGGTCAAAGTGGAGCGTTAGTTAAAGCAGAGACCGTACCTCATTGATCCCACTGCAGATTCCAGAACTGTGTCTTAGGCACTGAAAAGGAAGGAGGACAGAAGCCGTGAATTGGAGATGAGGCTGAAGTTTGCCTTATACTGAACTGGACTTTTATAACTTAATATTACTTCACTCTAAAGATATAATTTTATATTGTTTTGTTTATTTTATTTTTTAATAATTTCAACTTTTATTTTAAATTCGGGGAGTGCATGTGCAGGTTTGTTATAGGGAGATATGGTGTGATGCTGAGGTTTGGGGTACTAATGTTCCCATCACCCAAGTAGTAAGCATATAGGTACTTTTTCAACCCTTGACCCCATTTCTTCCTCCCCACTTTTGGAGTTCCCAGTGTCTATTGTTGCCATCTTTACATCCATTAGTACCCAATGTTCTGCTCCCGTTTATAAGTGAGAATGTGCAGTATTTGGTTTTCTGTTCCTGCATTAATTCACTTAGGATAATGACCTCCAACTGCATACATGTTGCTGCAAAGAACATGATTTTATTCTTTTTTATGGTTGCATAGTATTCCATAGTGTATATGTACCACATTTTCGTTTTTTATATATACTTTAAGTTCTGGGATACATGTGCAAAACGTGCAGGTTTGTTACATAGGTATACACATGCCATGGTAGTTTGCTGCACCCATCAACCTGTCATCTACACTAGGTATTCCTCCTAATGCTATCCCTCCCCTAGCCTCCCACCCCCCAACAGCCCCTGGTGTGTGATATTCCCCTCCCTGTGTCCATGTGTTCTCATTGTTCAACTCCCACTTGTAAGTGAGAACATACAGTGTTTGGTTTTCTATTCCTGTGTTAGTTTGCTGAGAATGATGGTTTCCAGCTTCATCCATCTCCCTGCAAAGGACATGAACTCATCCTTTCTTATGGCTGCGTAGTATTCCATGGTATATATGTGTCACATTTTCTTTATTCAGTCTATTATTGATGAGCATTTGTGTTGTTTCCAAGTCTTTGCTATTGTGAATAGTGCCGCAATAAACATACGTGTGCATGTCTCTTTATAGTAGAATGATTTATACTTTGGGTATATACCCAGTAATGGGATTGCTGGATCAAATGGTATTTCTGGTTCTAGATCCCTGAGGAATCGACACATTGTCTCCCACAATGGTTGAATTAATTTACACTCCCACCAACAGGGTAAAAGCATTCCTATTTCTCCACATCCTGTCCAGCATCTGTTGTTTCCTGACTTTTTAATGATCACCATTCTAACTGGTGTGAGATGGTATCTCATTGTGGTTTTGATTTGCATGTCTCTAATGACCAGTGATGATGAGCTTTTTTTCATGTTTGTTGGCCACATAAATGTCTTATTTTGAGAAGTGTCTGTTCATATCCTTGGCCCACTTTTTGATGGGGTTGTTTTTTCATGTAAATTTGTTTAAGTTCCTTGTAGATTCTGGATATTAGCCCTTTGTCAGATGGATAGATTGCAAAATATTTCTCCCATTCTGTAGGCTGCCTGCTCACTCTGATGATAGTTTCTTCTGCTGTGCAGAAGCTCTTTAGTTTAATTAGATCTCATTGGTCAATTTTGGTTTTTGTTGCCATTGCTTTTGGTGTTTTAGTTATGAAGTCTTTGCCCATGCCTATGTCCTGAATGGTATTGCCTAGGTTTTCTTCTGGGGTTTTTATGGTTTTAGGTCTTACATTTAAGTCTTTAATCAATCTTGAGTTAATTTTTGTATAAAGTGTAATGAAGGGATCCAGTTTCAGTTTTCTGCATATGACTAGCCAGTTTTCCCAACACCATTTATTAAATAGGGAATCGTTTCCCCATTTCTTGTTTTTGTCAGGTTAGTCAAAGATCAGATGATTGTAGATGTGTGGCATTATTTCTGAGGCCTCTGATCTGTTCCATTGGTCTATATATCTGTTTTGATACCAGTACCGTGCTGTTTTGGTTACTGTAGACTTGTAGTATTGTTTGAAGTCAGGTAGTGTGATGCCTCCAGCTTTGTACTTTTCACTTAAGATTGTCTTGGCTATACAGGCTCTTTTTTGGTTCCATATGAAATTTAAAGTAGTTTTTTCTAATTCTGTGAAGAAAATCAATGGTAGCTTGATTGGGATAGCATTGAATCTATAAATTACTTTGGACAGTATGGCCATTTTTATGATATTGATTCTTCCTATCCATGACCATGGAATATTTTTCCATTTGTGTGTGTCCTCTCTTGTTTCCTTGAACACTGGTTCATAGATCTCCTTGAAGAGGCCCTTTACATCCATTGTAAGTTGTATTCCTAGGTATTTTATTCTCTTTGTAGCAATTGTGCATGGGAGTTGACTCATGATTTGGCTGTTTGTCTGTTATTGGTGTATATGAATGTCTGTGATTTTTGCACACTGATTTTATATCCTGAGACTTTGCTGAAGTTGCTTATTAGCTTAAGGAGATTTTGGGCTGAGATGATGGGGTTTTCTAAATATACAATCATGTCATCTGCAAACAGAGACAATTTAACTTCCTCTCTTCCTGTTTGAATACGCTTTATTTCTTTCTCTTGCCTGATTTCCCCAGCCAGAACTTCCAATGGTCTGTTGAATAGGAGTGGTGAGAGAGGGCATTCTTGTCTTGTGCTGGTTTTCAAAGGGAACGCTTTCAGCTTTTGCCCATACAGTATGATATCGGCTGTGGGTTTGTCATAAATAGCTCTTATTCTTTATTTTAAGATACATTCCATCAATACCTAGTTTATGGAGAGTTTTTAGCATGAAGGGGTGTTGCATTTTATGGAAGACTTTTTCTGCATCTATTGAGATAATCATGTGGTTTTTGTCATTGGTTCCGTTTATGTGATGGATTACGTTTATAGATTTGTGTATGTTGAACCAGACTTGCATCCCAGGTATGAAGCCAACTTGATCGTGGTGGATAAGCTTTTTGATGTGTTGCAGGATTCGATTTGCCAGTATTTTACTGAGGATTTTCGCATCGATGTTCATCAGGGATATTGGCCTGAAATTTTCTTTTATTTATTGTGTCTCTGCCAGGTTTTGGTATCAGGATGATGCTGGCCTCATAAAATGAGTTAGGAAGGATTCCCTTGTTTTCTATTGTTTGGAATAGTTTCAGAAGGAATGGTACCAGCTCCTCCTCTTACTTCTGGTAAAATCAGTCTGGTCCTGAGTTAGTTTTTTTGGTTGGTAGGCTGTTAATTACTGCTTCAATTTCAGAACTTGTTATGCATCTATTCATGGATGCAACTTCTTCCTGGTTTAGTCTTGGGAGGATGTATGTGTCCAGGAATTTATCCATTTCTTCTAGATTTTCTAGTTTATTTGCATAGAGGTGTTTACAGTGTTCTCCAATGGTAGCTTGTATTTCTGTGGGATCAGTAGTGATATCCCCTTATCATTTTTTATTACATCTATTTGATTATTCTCTCTTTTCTTTATTACTCTGGCAGTCTATCTATTTTGTTAATCTTTTCAAAAAAACCAGCTCCTGGATTCATTGATTTTTTGAAGGGTTTTTCGTGTCTCTATCTCCTTCAGTTCTGCTCTGATCTTAGCTATTTCTTGTTTTCTTCTAGCTTTTGAATTTGTTTGCTCTTGCTTCTCTAGTTCTTTTAATTGTGATGTTAAGGTGTCAATTTTAGATCTTTCCTGCTTTCACCTGTGGGCATTTAGTGCTATAAATTTCCCTCTAAACACTGCTTTAGCTGCGTCCCAGAGATTCCGGTACATTGTGTGTGTTCTCATTGGTTTCAAAGAACTTATTTATTTTTGCCTAAATTTCGTTATTTAACCAGTAGTCATTCAGGAGCAGGTTGTTCAGTTACCATGTAGTTGTGCATTTTTGAGTGGGTTTCTTAATCCTGAGTTCTAATTTGATTGCACTATGGTCTGAGAGACTGTTTGTTATGATTTCCATTCTTTTACATTTGCTGAGGAGTGTTTTACTTCCAATTATGTGGTAAATTTTAGAATAATTTGTGATGTGGTGCTGAGAAGAATGTATATTCTGTTGATCTGGGGTGGAGAGTTCTGTAGATATCTATTAGGTCCACTTGGTCCACTGAGTTCAAGTCCTGAATATCCTTATGAATTTTCTGTCTCATTGATCTGTCTAATACTGATAGTGGGGTGTTAAAAGTCTCCAACTATTATTGTGTGAGAGTCTAAGTCTCTTTGTAGGTCTCTCAGGACTTGCTTTATGAATCTGGGTGCTCCTGTCTTGGGTGCATATATATTTAGGATAGTTAGTTCTTCTTGTTGCATTGATCCCTTTACCATTATGTAATGCCCTTCTTTGTCTCTTTTATCTTTGTTGGTTTAAAGTCTGTTTTATCAGAGACTAGGATTGCAAACCCTGCTTTTTTTTCCATTTGTTTGGTAAATATTCCCCCATCACTTTATTTTGAGCCTATGTGTGTCTTTGCACATGAGATGGGTCTCCTGAATACAGCACACTGATGGGTCTTGACTCTTTATCCAATTTGCCAGTCTGTGTCTTTTAATTGGGGCATTTAGCCCATTTACATTTAAGGTTAATATTGTTATGTGTGAATTTGATCCTGTCATTATGATGCTAGCTGGTTATTTTGCCTCTTAGGTGATGTAGTTTCTTCATAGTGTTGATGGTCTTTACAATTTGGTATGTTTTTACGGTGGCTGGTATCGGTTTTTCCTTTCCATGTTTAGTGCTTCCTTCAGGAGCTCTTGTAAGGCAGGCCTTTTGGTGACAAAATCTCTCAGAATTTGCTTGTCTGTAAAGGATTTTATTTCTCCTTCATTTACGAAGCTTAGTTTGGCTGGACATGAAATTCTGGGTTGAAAGTTCTTTTCTTTAAGAATGTTGAATATTGACCCCCACTGTCTTCTGGCTTGTAGGATTTCTGCAGAGAGATGTGCTGTTAGTCTGATGGTCTTCACTTTGTGGGTAACCTGACCTTTCTCTCTGGCTCCCCTTAACAATTTTTCCTTAATTTCAACCTTGGTGAATCTGGCTATTATGTGTCTTTGGATTGCTCTTCTCGATGAGTACCTTTGTGGTGTTCTCTGTATTTCCTGAATTTGAATGTTGGCCTGTCTTGCTAGGTTGGGGAAGTTCTCCTGGATAATATCCTGAAGAGTGTTTTCCAACTTGGTTCCATTCTCCCCATCATTTTCAGGTACACCAATAAAATGTAGGTTTGGTCTTTTCACATAGTCCCATATTTCTTGGAGGTTTTGTTCATTCCTTTTCATTTTTTTCTCTAATCTTGTCTTCCCACTTTATTTCATTAAGTTGATCTTCAATCTCTGATCTTTCTTCTGCTTGATTGATTTGGCTATTGATACTTGTGTATGCTTCATGAAGTTCTTGTGCTGTATTTTTCAGCTCCATCAGGTCATTTGTGCTCTTCTCTAAACTGGTTATTCTAGTTAGCAATTCCTCTAACCTTTTTTTCAAGGTTCTTAGCTTCCTTGCATTGGGTTAGAACATGCTCCTTTAGCTCAGTGGAGTTTGTTATTGCCCACCTTCTGAAGCATACTTCTGTCAGTTTGTCAAACTCATTCTCCATCCAGTTTTGTTCCTTTGCTAGTGAGGAGGTGTGATCCTTTGGAGGAGAAGAGACATTCTAGTTTTTGGAATTTTCGTCTTTTTTGTGCTGGTTTTTCCTCATCATCTTGGATTTATCTACCTTTGTTGTTTCATGTTGGTGATCTTCGGATGGGATTTTGGTGTGGATGTCCTTTTTGTTGATGTTGATGCTATTCTTTTCTGTTTGTTAGTTTTCCTAACAGTCAGGGTCCTCTGCTGCAGGTCTGCTGGAATTTACTGGAGGTCCACTCCAGACACTGTTTGCCTGGGTATCACCAGCCGAGGCTGCAGAACAGCAAAGACTGCTGCCTGTTCCTTCCTCTGGAAGCTTTGTCCCAGAGGGGCACCTGCCAAAAGCCAGCTGTCCTGTATGAGGTGTCTGTTGACCCCTGCTGGGAGGTGTCTCCCAATCAGGTGGTACGGGGGTCAGGGACTCACTTAAGGAGGCAGTCTGTCCCTTAGCAGAGCTTAAGCACTGTGCTAGGAGATCCACTGCTCTCATCAGAGCTGGAAGGCAGGAATGTTTAAGTCTGCTGAAGCTGCACCCACAGCCCTTCCTTCCCCCAGGTGCTCTGCCCCAGGGAGATGGGAGTTTTATCTATAAGCCCCTGACTAGGGCTGCTGCCTTTCTTTCAGAGATGCCCTGCCCAGAGAGGAGGAATCTAGAGAGGCAGTCTTGCTACAGTGACTTTGCTGACCTGCAGTGGGCTCTGCCCATTTTGAACTTCCTGGTGCCTTTGTTTATACTGTGAGGTGAAAACCACCTACTCAAGCCTCAGTAATGGTGGATGCTCTTCCCCCCATCAAGCTCAAGCATCCCAGGTCAACTTCAGACTGCTGTGCTGTCAGTGAGAATTTCAAGCCAGTGGACCTTAGCTTGCTGGGCTCCATGGGGGTGGTATCCACTGAGCTAGACCACTTGGCTCCCTGGCTTCAGCCCTCTTTCCAGGGGAGTGAACAGTTGTGTCTCACTGGCATTCTGGCATCACTGGGGTATAAAAAAAACTCCTGCAGCTAGCTCGGTGTCTGCCCAAACAGCCGCCCAGTTTTGTGCTTTAAACCCAGGGTACTGGTGGTGTAGGCACCCAAGGGAATCTCCTGGTCTGTGGGTTGCAAAGACCATGGGAAAAGTGTAGTATCTGGGCTGGAATGCACTGTTCCTCACAGCACAGTCCCTCATGGCTTCCCTTGGCTAGGAGAGGGAGTTCCCCAACCCATTGTGCTTCCCAGATGAAGTGATGCCCCACCCTCCTTTGGCTCACCCTCCATGGACTGCCCCCACTGTCTAGCCAGTCCCAGTGAGATGAGCTGGGTACCTCAGTTGGAAATGCAGAAATCACCTTCTGCATTGATCTAGCTGGTAGCTGCAGACTGGAGCTGTTCCTATTCGGCCATCTTTGTACCATATTTTCTTTATCCAATCCACCACTGATGGGCACCTAGGTTGATTGTGACTAGTGCTGCAATGAACATTTGAGTGCCAGTGTCTTTTTGGTAGATTTCTTTTCCTTTGGGTGTATATCCAGTAATGGCATTGTAAGAGCAAATGGTAGTTCTGTTTTGAGTTCTTTGAGAAATCTCCAAACCGCTCTTCACAGTGGCTGGACTAATTTACATTTATTAATTTACATTTCTGCCAACAGGGACTGGACTTTTAAAATCTGAAAATGTGACCCTTCTCATGGCCAAAAGCGAGCCAAAGATCGTGGAATCTGCCAGGGATGTTATCAATGAGCAGGGAGAGAGGGACTAGAAAGAGCTTGCTTAAAGGCACTGGTCAACAAAAAAAAAATTATGGCATTTCCTGATTTACCCAACTCTGTTTAACCCATTAAATAAGTCAGTTACACGGGATATATTCCTCATTAGTTTTTTGTTTTGTTTTGTTTTGCTTTGTAAGACTGCTTACAATACAGAACCCAACTATTTATCATAGTAACACTATGAACTAAGATGTGATTTGCAATGAAACTAGCAGCTCACAAACATGACACACGATACCCCTGCCTCACATTCATAGCCCCAACAACCACTAATGCATGCTAAAAGTTTGCTTTCATTCTATTCCTTAATTTCTATACCTTTCATTTTCCTGATAGAGGCATCCAGAATTTGTAACCACAGTTGACACTGATTTATTTATGGCTCGCTTTGAGCTGGATGATTTGGGGAGGCCTGAAGATCTTTAGGGCAACAGAAATGCATGATTGCAAACTTTAGTGCTAGCCAAAGCTTTAAGAGTCTCAAATTTTTTATCAACATATATCATTGTCAAATATATATAAACGGTATTTAAAACTCATGAATAGATTATTCCCTCTGGCTTTACATTAACTTCCCCTTCTAGTATAGAGCTATACCTTAGATCTCTTAAAAATTTTCTTCAAGTTTACTTTTTATGTTCAAAACATGATATTAACTTCACCATTCACCCAAGTAGATGCCATTTGCTCAAGGTGACATATTTGTCCCCTTTGGTGCCACACTCAGATCATCTAAAAGCATCACTGCTTCCCCAGAGAGATGCTTTTATTCACCAAGTAATTCTTTGCACAGTTATTAAGAGCAAGTCTGAACACTGGGAATAAATAGCAGACAAGACAGTCTCTACCTTTATGGAACATTCATTATAGTGGGGATAGTTAGTCAGTATAAAACTTGACAAATAAATTGGGACATTTATTAGTAAAGGTTCTCCAGAGAAAAGAGAACCAATTGTGTGGGGAAGGGCAGCGGGGCAGGTAAAGATATTTATTATAAGGAATTGGCTCATGCAATTATGGAGGCTGACAAAGTCCAAAATCTGCAAAATTGACATCCCAGTTTGAGTGCAAAGGCCAGCAGGCTGTTGCAGAACCAGTCAGAAGGCCACCAGGCAGAAGAATTATCTCTTGCCCAGGGAGGTTAGCTTTTTGTTGTATTCAGGCCTTCAACTGATTGAATAAGGCCCACTCACATTATGGAGGGCCATCTGCTTTACTCAGCCTACCAATTTAACTGTTTGTTCATCTCAGCCAGGCACCATGGCTCATGCCTGTAATCCCAGCACTTTGGGAGGCCAAGGCAGGTGGATCACTTGAGGCCAAGATGTTGAGACCAGCCTGGCCAACATGGTGAAACCCTGTCTCTACTAAAAATACAGAAAATTAGGTGACCCATGGTGGCACATGTCTGTAGTCACAGCTACTCAGGAGGCTGAAGCAGGAGAATTGCTTGAACCCAGGAGGCGGGGATTGCAGTGAGCCGAGGTCATGCTACTGCACTCCAGCCTGGGCGACAGAGCAAGATCCTGTCCTGAAAATAATAAAAATAAAAATAAATGTTAATCTCATCTAAAAACACTCTCACAGCAACACCCAAAATAGTGTTTGACCAAATATCTGGTCACCCCATGGCCCAGTCAAGTTAAAACACAAGATTAACCATCACAGGAGATCAAAAACAAGCAAGTTGAAAATAAAGAATATGTTTTATGACTGTCAGGCTCAGAGGAAATAAACTCAGCGATTTTAATCTCATGGTGGTATGAGAGAAAATGAATGGGAAGGGAAGGGGCCAATTTTAGGCATGTATTTAAGTTACAGTGGTGTCCCAAACTTTAAATACCTCAGTATCCAAATGCCATATTGTGGCTGATTACTTACATCAGGTCTTATTTATTTGGTGCCATGCATATAACATCTGTTAAAATGTTTTTTTGGAGTCAGTGGAGTTGCCTTCTTAAGGCCCCAGGGTTTTATGTCCTTATTTCACTCATATTACTCGTGGCAATTCCGTGCCTGATGGATTCAGGATGCTAGCAGCCATGCCAGCCTCACTCCAGGTTCAGATGCCTTCTTTGATTGTAATGGATTTAATTCAAGCCCACCATAAAATAAAATGTTCATGGTCAGTGTACATAAGGATGCTATAAGAGAAATATTTACACATTTAAACTAACATATAGAATCCCTTTACAACCCTCATGTTTAGTACAAAAATAACATCATTACATAGAATAAACAGGACTGAATCATTTTCCAAATTCTGGGCCTCCATAAATACTAGTATGCATTCTTGGCTCAATGTTATAATCTTTGCTGGTAACTTTATGTCATCTAATAAAAGGCATATTATTAAAAGGCTTTGGGCATGACCCATAACTCATGATATGTCTTGAATGCATATCATCATTATTGAGCATGGCAAATCTTTACATTCTTTTCATACTCCCTCCGTTCCCCCTTTTTACACCTGCACTATTCAGAAGGCCCACTGAAGTCAAGAGACTTATTTTCTGGCTTTCTCTTTTTTTTAAGAAAAAGTTTATTAGAAAATAAAATCACACTAAAGAATTTTTACAGCATATGTAAAAGATATAGCTACAATAATATAGATAACCATGTATGTTAGTTTTCTATTGCTGTGTAACACATTACCACAAACTTAGCTGCTTAAAACAACATCCATTTATTAGCTCACAGTTTTGTAGATCAAAAGTTCAGCATGGTGGGGCAGGGATTCTTCCCAAGGTATCACAAGGTGGACATCAAGGTGTCAGCTGGGCTGAATTCCCATCAAAGGCTCTGGGGAAGAATCAGCTTTCAGGTTCACTTTTGTTGACAGAATTCAGTTCTTTGCAGTTTAGGATTTAAGTCCTCATTTCCTTGATGTGTGGTCCGCTCCAACTTCAAGCCAGCAACCGCACATCAAGTCCATCTTATGCTTTACATCCCTGACTTCCTAGTCTGCAACTAGCTGGAGAAAATGCTCTGCTTTTAAAGACTTCAGGTAATCGGGTTTGGCCCACCCAGATAATCTCATTTTTTATTAACTCACAATCAACTGATTAGTAGCCTTAATTACATTTGCAAAATCCCTTCTGCAATATTCCATGATATAATCACAGACATAATGCCAGGGAGCAGAAATCATTGGGGCCATCTTAGAATTCTTCTTACCACACTTTGAATCCAACACCCAGGGAAAAAGATGGAAACATAATTAAAATTATAAAACCTTTAGAAGAAAGCATAGGAGAAAATGTATGTGGCCTTAGGTTAGACAAAGATTTCTTCAATAAGATACCAAAAAGCACAATCCATATTAGTATAAATTGATAAATTGGGCTTCATCAAAATTTGAAACTTCTGCTCTTCAAAATATACTATTGAGAGCATAAAGATGGGTGTTAACATGTGACATGAAATAAGAAAAAAGAGTATAAAAAGGCTACAGACTTGCAAATCATATCTGATAAAGGACTTGTACCTAAAATACATAAAGACCTGTCAAACTTCAAAAATAAAATATCTCGATGAAAAAAACTCATAAAATTTCAACAGACATTTCACCAAAGAAGATAAGCTGATGGCAAATAGCCGCATGAAAAGATGCTTACTATCATTGGTTATTAGGGAAACACAAATTAAAACTACAGTGGGATACCATTACTCACCTACTAAAATGGCTAAATTAAAAGGGTGAATGGGTAAAGAAGCTGCTATGTGCACACAATGGAACGCTACCCACCAATAAAAAGGAATGGCCTATTGATACATGCAACAATAAGATTGTTAAATCTCAGAATAACTATTCTGAGTGAAAGAAGCCAGACCAAAAGAAGTATATATTATTTCATTTATATAAAATTCTAGACAATGCAAACTAATCTATATGAACAAGAAACATGGCAGTGGTTGCCTGGGGTGATAGGGAGGATCAGAAGGGAGGGATTAGAATGGAGCAGGAAAAACCTTTTGGGGATTATGGCTATGTTCTTTATCTTGATGGTAATGATGGTTTCATGAGTGTATAAATATGTTAAAACTGATGAAATTGTTCATTTTACATATGTGCACAATTATACCTGAATAAATCCATTGAAAATACAATAAAAAACAATATACTCTGAATTTTATGAATTAAAAAATAAATTGAACAAATTATTCACCACTTTCCTGAGCACATACAAACAGATACACATCACAGAAGACATCTGTGTTTGTTTTTCTAATGAATCTCAGGTGAACACAACTGAATAAATCAAAACCTTTGGTTTATGGTACACTGTCTTCATTGGTTCATGCATAATTCTTTTTAATTTATGTTATTTGCTTACATATGTATTTATTATAATATTATAAATAGTCATTAGTGCCTGGCCAATTGGAGAGCCATAACTCTGATCATCACATCTCTTCATTTCATTCCCCAGCCTTCAAGTCCTGCTCCCAAATGACCAATCACCCTGAATTTTCTATTTAGCATTCTGTTAATTTCTTAGGATATTTTTATCTGATGACTAAAATAAATAGTTTTGTATGTTCTTTGAACTTAAAAAATATATATTTCATTCTCATAACAATATTGTTCATGATAACCAAGAGGTGAAGGCAACACAAATGTCCATCAACAGATGGAATAGATTTTAAAAATGTGGTACCTACATACAATATAATACTATTCAGTCTTAAAAAAGAATGGGGCCGGGCGCAGTGGCTCACACCTGTAATCCTAGCACTTCGGGAGGCTGATCGCTTGAGCTCAGGAGTTCAAGACCAACCTTGGCAACACGGCAAAACCCCATCTCTACTAAAAATAAAAATAATTAAAATAAAAAAAGGGTATTCTATCACACGTTACAGCATGAATAAACCTTGAATATTATGCTAAGTGAAATAAGCCACTCCAAAAAGACAAATACTATAAGATTCTATTTATATAAGATATCTACGATCAAATTCAATGAAACAGAATAAAACAGTTACCAGGGACTAAAGGGTAAAGGAAAAGTGGAGGTTGTTGTTTAACAGGTATAGAGTTTCAGACTGACAACATGAGAAAGTTCTCAAGAGCTGTTTCACAACAACGGGCTATACTTACTACTGAAATGGATACTTATAATGGTCGAGATAGAATACATAAGCAGAACATGCATGAAGAAAAAAAAAAGATTAAGATAGTAAATTTTTTGTAAAATGATTTTTACCATAATAAAAAACAAATAAGCAAGCAAAGCAAAAAACAAAGTATCATGCTAAATACAGTCGTTTTTCGCTGAACATGACCAAATTATTATTCACATTATTGTATGTGGCTGTAGTTAATTTATTTTCACAGCTGTAAAATACTAATTTTCCCTTTTGCACTTTCTTTGATTTATTTTGATGGCTTATTTTGCCTGACTCATTAACTTTCAGCATTTTTTTTTAATGTATGCATTCAGCCTGGCACAGTGGCTCACACTTGTAATCCTGTAATCAGTACTTAGGGAAACAAAGTCTATCAAACACCTTTTTCCTTTTGTCTCTTGTTTGGTACATTAGGAGTCTTCACAATCTGAAGTCTTTCCTACTTCTTTAATTCTGGAGAAAGTTCCTCGTTGTATCTTTAAATATTTTCTTTTCTCCATCATTATTTTTCTCTCCTTCTGGAATCATTTTTCTGTAAAAGTTAGCACCTCTACTTCTATTCTCCATATCTCTTAACTTTTCTTTTGTATTTTCTATTTCTTTGTCTTCTCCTATTTTCTTCTTGGGATGGTTTTTCCATCTGTTCTAGCTCATCAGTTGGGTCTTCACCTGTATCCATTCTACTATTTATACCATCTTCTATGTTTCTTATTTTAATTATCTAATTTTTCATACCTAATATTTGTACTAGGTTCCTTTGTTTTTGTGTTTCTGTTTCATATTGAAAATTTCTCTTTCCCCTCTGATGTAGTTTAGATATTTGTCCTCTCCAAATCTTAAGTTGAAATGGGATTCCAAATATTGTCCAGTATGTCCATGTTTTGTCCATTATGTCTTTTAATCTATATAATAAATTTATTTAAATATTTTCATCCATGTGTTCTAATACTTCCAGGGATCTTTGTTTTGTTGTTTTTCTTTCAAGATAATTAAGTTCCATAAATATTTCATTATTTTGGCTAATGAAATAATTCTCTCCCAGGGATATCATATAGGGTATGCTGAGAAAGGGCTCAAACGCCTGCAGAAACCCACACTTGGATCTCTCATTCGAAGTGAGTACAAGGAGTGAACAGGCATGAGCCTTAGGGTAGAAAGTCTCAGGCATCATAAAACCAAAATTAATCACCCTCCTTTGTCACTAAGCAACACCTTCAGATCAAGACTTGCATGTTAGAATCACTTGGTAAGCTCTGAAAACGATGATGCTGAGGTCATCAGCCTAGGTCAGTTACATCAGAATCTCTGCCGGTGCGACCCAGGTAAGAATGATGGCAGTATAATAGTGGGAAGTGGGAGAGTGTGGCTCCCAGGGCTACACAGTCTCCAGATTTTTTCCCAACTCCTCACCTGATAGGTGTGTGTACCACCTTTGGGTCTTTGTCACTGGTTTCTGCAGGAAGCAGTTATCAATAATAATTGCACAGCAAAGAACGATCGGCAAGAACTGAATTTTTCAAACTTTTCTTTAAACCCCTCATAGCCCAGATACCCTCTGCCTCAGACCCTAGCCACTAGGCACCCATCCACAAACCATAACCACCACTTCATTTCAAAACTTTCTTCCATTTCCATAGGAGTTTCTCCTTTGTGGGTGTTGTTTGTATTCTCTAGCATCTATATTTTTTCTCTATAATATGATTTATCCAGTTAATTTTAGAGAAAGGAGCCTGCCAAAATCAGGAGGAACTATCTCTCATCAATTTTAAGGCCACAAGTTTACATTCCCAATAAACAAATATTTTTGAAACCTCCAAGCATTTCTATTGAAATAATTAGCTCCCGATGAGTCCATATCCATGCACATGTAATTAACAATTTCCCTTTCAGAAGGCATGCTTCCATTTTGGAAAAGGAAAAGGTTAGCTTCATAGTCAAAATACCTGTAGTTAAAACAAAATTTAAACTGACACATATCTCTCATTCTTGACATCTCTACGAAATCTTTTACTCTCATCAAGTATATTTCTATCCTACTCTGGGTACCAATATCTCTCGTCATTATCCTTTTTGATAAAAGTGAAAAGAGGATGTCTTTATTATTGATATGCTTCATTCTTCACCGTTGTCCCAAATCCCACCAGGTTTTAAAAATAGTATAGGTCTTAGAAATCTACTCTATATACATCCTTATCTTTCTCTAGTCAACTTAGAATGTTTAGCGTGTGGGAAAATTTCCCTTTCGTCTCTAATAGAATTCAGATATTAATAATGTTAATATTTTCCCCCTCCAAATCTTATGTTGAAATGTGATCCCAAGTGTTGGAGGTGGGGCTTAGTGGGAGGTCATGGGGGCAGATCCCTCATGAATGGCTTGGTGCCCTCCCCACAGTCATAAGTTCACATAAGATCTGGTAGTTAAAGATTCTGGAACTTCTTGCACCCTCTGTCTTGCCTCCTCTCTTAAGGTGTGCCACATCCAGCTCCTCTTGCCTTCCACTATGACTGTACGTGTCCTGAGGCCCGCATTAAAAACTGATGCTGGCACCATGCTTCTTGTGCAGCCTGCAGAACCATGAGTCAAATAAGCCTATTTTCCTTGTAAAATTACCCAGTCTCTGCTATTCCTTCATAGCAGTGCAAAATGGACTCATATATCCTTTATAAGACTAATTGCCTCTAAAATCTCCTGCTCCCTTGAAATCACACACAGGTTGGCTAAAAAGCCACATGCTATTCTTTTCCAGACATTTGTAGTCTATGTTTCTATGCTGCGTAAGAAATTACTGCAAACATGGGAGCTTGAATCAGCACACAATTATTACCTCAGAGTTTCTGCAGGTCACACATCTGGATACGGCATAGCTTGGTCCTCCTCAGAAGGTCTTACAAGGCTACATTCAAGGTGTTGGCCAGGACTGGCTCTCAACTGGAGGCTCAGCTAGGGAAGGATTTGCTTCCCAATTCCTTTTGGCAGCAATGAGCTCCATGTGGCTTTAGGAGTTCTGGCAGCTTGCTTCTTCACAGCCAGCAAGGGAGAGAGAACGTCTGTGGAGCCAGCCAGCTAGCAAGACACAGTCATATAACATCACATAATCATGGGAGTGACGTGCCATTCCATTTGTCATATTCTGTTGTTTAGGAGCAAGTCATGGGTCTGGTCTACACCTAAGAAGAAAACAATTACACAAAGGCCTGAATACCAACAGGAAGGGGTCGTGGGACCACCTTTAAGTTTATCTGCCACACCACTACTACGTCAATCCCATAAAATTTCATCTCCCCCAAGCCAATGGACCTACCTCCCAGACCTCCTGATGTTTGGTAGAAGATAACTCTCAGCAGGCTAGAAACATTTGGGGATTTTCATTCAGTAACTGACAAGGAGTGACTGCTTTCTACTTTGATTTAATTATAATATGTCAAAAATTAAATGTCCAGGGATTATTAGGATTTAAGTTTGGATGTATGCAATGGAGACATGAAATAAAGTGACTTAAACCAAACTGAGTTTTATTCCTTTCTTGCAGAAGAGTCCAGAATTAAGCCACTCAAGGGGCTCTATTCCTCGGAGTTACCAGGGACCATGGCTGTTTCTATCTTGTTGCTCTGCTATCCATACAGCATTGTCCTCATGACGTGGTCCAAGACGGTTTGCTGTCAGGTTTATATTTTAGTAGGATACAGGAAGGGAGGAAGGCACATACTGGAAATTTTGTGCACTACTTGCCCTTGAATCTTTTTGACAAATATCACTTATGTAGAAGTACCTACCAAGGGAGACTAAACCATGTAGACTTTATTCCGAGTAGTCATGTCTTTGGCCAAAAGATCAGAGATTCTCTCACCAAAGGAAAATAAATCAGGAGAAATAGAAACCAGAAGACAACCAGGATTAGTGAACTCCACGAAAGTAATTATTTTTTATTTTATTTTATTTTGTTTATTCATTTACTTATTTATTTTGTACAGATGGGGTCTCACTGTTGCCAGGCTGGTCTTGAACTCCTGGCCTCAAGTAATCTTCCTGCCTTGGCCTCCCAAAGTGCTGGGATTCCAGGCAGGAGCCACCACAATCTGCTTAACGTGAATCTCTTTTTTTTTTTTTTTTTTTTTGAGATGGAGTTTTGCTCTTGTTGCCCAGGCTGGTGTGCAATGGCATGATCTCGGCTCACTGCAAACTCTGCCTCCCAGGTTCAAATGATTCTCTTACTTCAAACTCCCAAGTAGCTGAGATTACAGGCATGTGCCATCATGCCCAGCTAATTTTGTATTTTCAGTAGAGATGGAGTTTCATCATGTTGGCCAGGCTGGTCTCCAACTCCTGACGTCACATGATCTGCAGGCATGGCCTCCCAGAGTGCTGGGATTATAGAAGTGAGCCGCTGTGCCCGGCCCTAATGTGAATCTTAACTCCACTTAGGAATCATTTTTCTCCCGGTTTTCCCCTCAGTTAGCTAAAAGAAATCCTTTTATTGAAATATCACCAGACCTACTACATGGCCCAATCAAATTGTGCTCCCTAAAATGAAGTATTTTAAGAACAAAATAAAATATTTTATTTTAAAATAAAAATTTTAAAGGCATTCATTTATTGGACAACAGGGTCAAAGGAAAACGCAAAATGTGTGCCACGATGCTGATCGCAGTTTAATATTTTGGGTTTTCCCACATCCTTTTGGCTTCAGAATTAGGACCTGCCCTTCCCACGTCTCTCCCCTCCATTGTGCTTTCATTGGAAACAGGGATTTACTTCTCTTTGGTTATTCTGAGACCTACAGAGAATAGGACTGGGACCTATTTTGAGAAGTAAAATAAAATAATATTATGAACTGAAATGCTTTTGTGGTCCACTTAGCAGTGATTGGGCAAGAATTTCATCTTAATTTTTTTGTAGTGCTTATGATTTGAGTGCATTTTGGACACATGTTACATTTGCATGGCTCTCCAGGTGACATAATTACAAATTCCTGAACGCTTGATTCTTGGTTGCTCTATGCACCTGCAGAGGAGCCCTAAAGTCATGTGGGAATATAGACGTGTAACATAACAAAGGTATTGAGATACAACCCTAAAAGTTGATAGTGGTTTGCTCTGAGTAGAGGGATGGGGCAGAATTGGAATAAGTGGAGGAGGTCTCATGTGGAAGGCTAAATAATGCCCCCCACAAGAATGTCCACATTCGAATCCCCAGAACCTGTGAATATATTATCTTATGTGGCAAAAGTGACTTTATAGATATAATTAAGTTAAGGATCTTGAGCTGGGGAGAGACTCTTTGGGTGGGCTCTAAATGTAATCACAAGGATCCTTATAAGAGGTAGGCAGAGGGAGATTTTACAAGGAAGAGAAAGTGAGGTGACACTGAGATCAGAGGTAGGAGAGGTGATGTGGTGTGACCACAAGCCAAGGAATGAGGATATCCCGCAAAAGATGAAAAAGCCAAGGAAATGGATTCTCCCCAAAGTCCCCAGTGAGTGCTGCCTGATTGACTTTCTGATTTTGGCCCAGGGAACTCCATTAAAGACTAATGGCCTTCAGAATTGTAAAAAGAATGAATCCAAGTTGCTTTAAGCCACCAGGTTTATGGTAATTTATATGGTGACTAAAGAAGTCACCAGATAATAGAAAAATGGTAGAAAAGAAGCATTTCTTCTATCGCTGCCTCTTATAGAATTTAGCTTCTCCATGATCTCCATCAATAGGGAACTAATATAGTTTAACTTTTTACCTTGATCCCTCCTAAATGTTTGAGTTTTTTTATAACAAGTATATATTATTTTTATAATTAAAAAGTAATAAAGAGGAAAAATGATAATTTCTCATCATTAAAATGATTATTTTAGCTTGTGAATTTTTTAAACATGTGTATTACATGTCCAAAACTAATTTTAAAATGACCTGAAAGATGCAGATTTACATTGTTGTCTCTTGATCATTCCATAGTCTGAGTCGTACAGGTGGATATGAGTATCATGGGGGCCAACCAGCGCTGGAATTTTGCCTTTGGCAACTTTATTTCTGTTTTTGATGTTATTGTATGTTTTTAGCTTGTTTGGTTTCCTGTAATGATGTTTCTGCTGCCATTATAGCATGCTGGTGGTGTATGATGGTCTACCAAGAAGAGAGGACTATGATTTCAATTGTTTCTCTGCATTAACCAGCCACCAAGAATTTCAATGACTTTTTAAAACCAGGGCCAGGCATGGTGGCTCATGCCTGTAATTCCAGCACTTGGGGAGGCTGAGGCAGGAGGATCAGTTGAGGTCAGGAGTTTAAGACCAGCCTGGGCAATATAGCAAGACCTCGTCTCTTTAAAAATGTTTTAAATTACCTGGGCCTAGGGGTGAATGCCTGTAGTCCTAGATACTCTGGAGGCTGAGGTGGGAAGATTGTTTGAGCCCAGGAGTTCCAGGCTGTAGTAAGCTATGATTGTGCCACTACACTCCAGCCTGAGCAATAGAGCAAGGCCTTGTTCATAAAAAATAAAAATAATGAAAAGTTTCAGATTAAAAAAATTGTAGTGAATATAGGCTTTCATTTGATAAGGGTATTCATAACTTTCCTCCTAGTTTTTCCCTTTGCTACTGCTAGTTCAAAGGTCTAGAAATAGCCCCAAGTAAATCTCATCTAGTTTCTTTCCTGGTCTATTTCTTATCTTAACGACTCAGCCCCTGAAGACTGGGGACATCCCCTAGTACTAAACAGCCCCATGCTTCAAAGAAGTCACCAGATAATAGAAAAATGGTAGAAAAGAAGCATTTGTTTTTCCTTCTATCACTGCCTCTTACACACTTTAGCTTCTCCATGATCTCCAGCAGGAAGATGGGACCACAGTATGTGAGACTCCCCAGTGATCCATGGATGCTTCCAGATGCATCCTTTGCAGTGTTGTTCCCCTCCCTCATCAACAGAATGTCTTTTTCTTACTTCCAAAAATACTGCACTGCTTTCTTAGAAAAGGAAAAGACCCATGACTCTCCCATCTTCCTTCACTTGATCCAAACTGTAATGTATGCAGCAGGAATTCTGTGACATTTGTATAGTACAGTTGGCATTGTTCCTAATTTAAAGACTTGTCTAAGTTTGTCCCCCAGATAGTATTTATTTGATCTTTCTTTTGAGGGCATTTTGGGGTGACAAACCAGGAATCAGTAATATGTAAGCTTACTCTTATACTTTCATATTCCTTGGTTATCTAAACTTTCTAACTTTTCTTAAATGAATCTATATTATTTGTATAATTTAAAAATACATTTTACTTAAATTTACTTAAAAATATTATTAAATTTCATTTAATAGGACTTTCCAATCAATTAATTCCTACAGTAAATATTTGAACTTACAAAATATTCCAGATGATATTAGCTAAGTTCTAATTATCGGTTTAAATAGAGCCTCCTTTGTTACTTTTACTGTTATTATGATAATTATATCAACCAAGCAGAATGCACCTCTGCTCAGGAAAATTTAGGTGAAAATGATAAGATTAATAAGTTGTTATTCTACCCTGAGGTATTCTTCTTGAGTCTTTTCAATCCAGACTATTATAAACAGGAAAAACATCAGCATTTAGATTAACAGCTGGATTTTGTTTAAAATATTTTCTTAATTATAATCTATTTAATTTTTTGCAGTCTAAGGGAGTTTTGATGTTATTGTTATTGGAGAAAATCTCTTACTTGTGTTTCTTATATGACAATCTTGTGTTTCTGGAATACAGAGCTGAAAAATATGGTGGCAATTGCTCTGGAAAGCTTGTCTTCTTACTTGGCTCTTTCAAATTTTGCACCCAAATAATAATTCTCTTTAGGGGTCAGTCCTGAAAAATATATCAAATCTCACCAAATCATGTAGAAATAGAAGTTCCCCAAACTGGAAGAAGCCTAATAAATCTTATTTCTTCTATCAAGCTGTATATTTGTATCCATTAATCAACCTCTCTTAAAACCCCCAACCCCCGAAGATGTGTTTGTTGATATGATGAACAAATCAAGAGAAAGACAAGATGGTTACAAGATTTGGGGCTTGAATGACTGGACAAAAGAAGGTGTTACTTCCTGAGAGGTGGATCCCTGAGCAAAGAGCTATTTGCAAGAAAAATCAAGAATTCTGTTTGCACATGTAACATTTAAGATTTATCAGACAGGGACAGGCCCTTGAAGGTGTGACGTAGAGGTACAAGAGGGTACAAGAAGGATACAAGAGTCTGGAGTTCAGGTAAGAGGGCAAGACTGGAGATATGAAATTGAATTAAAATCAGAGTGGGAGATTTTAACACACTTCCATCTTAAACGGATAGGTCAAGTAGACAAAAAGTTATTCTTGATAGAGGAGATTTTAATGAGACAATGACATGCACACGGACACACACACATGCACACAAACCATAACCATATAATATGTTGTGCACAACTGGGACACATTTGAGGTAAAAGGGGACATAATAATTACGATTAGGCAGCAGGTATAAACTGGGACAAAGAGTTGCAATGCACACATCCCACGTCTTATACCAGATTCCTACAACAATGTTAGAAATTAATAATAAATAGAATCTTCCTCTCCAAAAAAATTAACAGCACAAGTTTGAAAACTAAAAGTCAAAGTGACAAACAACTGATAATTGTAAGATAAACTCACAATGGAAATTTTGAAATTTTGGAATTAAATGGCAGGGAATATATAGCACATTAAAACCTATGAAAACGTACTAAGGTTTTATTTCTGATAAAACTTTTTGCCTGAAGAATTAGCCATTTAATTCAAAGGGCTAGGAGGCTGGGCACAGTGGCTCATGCCTATAATCTAAGCACTTTGGGAGACCAGAGCAGGAGGATAGCTTAAGGCCAGGAGTTCAAGATCAGCCTGGGAAATATAGGGAGACTCCATCTTTACCAAAAAAAAAAAAAAAAAAATCGGCCGGGCGCGGTGGCTCACGCCTGTAATCTCAGCACTTTGGGAGGCCAAGGCGGGCGGATCATGAGGTCAGGAGACTGTTGAGACCATCCTGGCTAACACGGTGAAACCCTGTCTCTACTAAAAAATACAAGAAATTAGCCTGGCGTGGTGACAAGCGCCTGTAGTCCCAGCTACTCGGGAGGCTGAGGCAGGAGAATGGCCTGAACCCAGGAGGTGGAGCTTGCAGTGAGCCGAGATCGCCCCACTGTGCTCCAGTCTGGGCGACAGAGCAAGACTCTGTCTGGAAAAAAAAAAAAAAAAAAAAATTAAAAATCAGCTGGGCATGGTGGTGCACACCTGTGGTACTAGCTACTTGGGAGGCTGGAGCTGAAGGATCAATTGAGCCCAAGAGTTCCAGGCTGCAGTCAGCTATAATTGCACCACTGCACTCCAGCCTGGAACAACACCCTGTCTCTAAAAAAGGGGGAGGGGGTATTAGAAAAAGATTAACGGAGTAAATCTTTTTTAAAAAGTTGAAAGTGAAAACCTTTACAGAAATTAACAAACTAGAAAGCAAATACACACACAAACAAAACAAGAAAAGCAATAACTAGATTCTTTGCAGCTTTTTTTTTAAAAATAGCAAAATACTGGAAACAATTTCAGTACCTATCAGTAAGAGAATAGGTAAATAAAATGTGGCATGTTACTACAATGAAACAGAACGTTGCCATTTAAATGAATAAACTGAAGCTTCGTGTATCCTTATGAATAAATCTCAAAAGCAATGTTGAGTAACAAAATCAAGTTGCAAAATGATAGGTGCAGTATAATGCCATTTATGTAAAGTTTCAAACACACCAAACAATAATGTTTACTTTTTCTTTTTTTTTTTTTCCTAGATGGATTCTCACTCTCTTACCCAGGCTGGAGTGCAGTGGCACAATCTTGGCTCACTGCAACTTCCTCTTCCAGGGTTCAAGTGATTCTCCTGCCTCAGCCACCCGAGGAGCTGGGATTACAGGCACCCATCACCATGCCCAGCTAGCTTTTCCTGCCTCAGCCTCCCTAGTAGCTGGGACTACAGGCACCCGCCACCACGCCTGGCTAATTTTTTGTATTTTTAGTAGAGATGGGGTTTCACCATGTTGGCCAGGCTGGTCTCGAACTCCTGACCTCAAGTGATCCACCCACCTCGGCCTCCCAAAGTGCTGGGATTACAGGCGTGAGCCACTGCACCTGGCCAATAATGTTTACTTTTATGACTGCACAGAAACTTCCTAAGAGGCAAAAGTTTAGATGAGAAAGATGTCAACTTGAGAAGAATGGCCAGACCCACAGAATGGGAAGAGGATGTTCCTGTCATGGAAAGACACAAAGGAGACTTTAACTACATTTGTCCTATTTTTAATAATATCTGAAGTAAATAAGGCAAGTGTTAAGATGTGTTAAATCTGGATCTTAAGCACCTAAGTGTTTGCTATTTTCTATATGTCTGAATTATTTCATAATTTTTAAAAAATTTGTAAAAGAAAAATTGTGTTGCAATCAAGAGCATACATGAAATAATGTTTATTCTGTGAAATTATTTATCATATACTGTCTACTCCTCCTCCTCCTCCTCCTTCTTCTTCTTCCTCTTATTCTTCTTCCTCTTTCTTCCTCTGAGTCAGGGTCTTACTCCATCGCCCAGGCTAGAGTGCAGTGGCACGATCACAACTCTCTACCACCTCAACCTCCCAGGCCCAAGTGATCCTCCCACCTCAGCCTCCCAAGTAGCTGGGACTACAGGCTCACTCCACCGCGGCTGGGTAATTTTTGTATTTTTTGTAGAGATGGGGTCTTGCCATGTTACTCAGGCTGGTCTTGAACCCTTGGGCTCAAGTGATCTTCCTGCCTCAGCCTCTCAAATAGCTGGGACTACAGGTGCATGCCACCACATGGGCTAATTTTTGATTTTTGTAGAGATGGGGTCTCCCTATGTTATTCAGACTGGTCTCGAACTCCTGGGCTCAAGCGATCCTCCCTCCTCAGCCTCCCAGAGTGCTGAGATTACAGGCATGAGCCACCACACCCAGCCCTTCTGTCTTGTTAAGTATTACAAAATGAAATGTCAGCTGGCCTCCCTCCACAATGGAATGACCTTGCTAGGACTTGACACCACTTCCCACTGCTCCTCTATCTGTTCTTTTGCTTCTCTGCCCTTTCTTCAGAGCACAACGTTTTGGAGAGTATATTGGCCAGATCAACAAAAACAACATTAAAAAGTACTCTGTTTCTGATGTTGAGTAAACATGACATCTTTGGCTGATAAGTTTTTAATTCTATCAACAGCTCAGGTTGAATATATTAAATTTGGGCTCTATCATCAGATTTTACAGCTTGAGAAGGAGGCATCTGATAATATACACAGAAAAGCAGGCCATCTGTCAAACATGAAAGCTACACAGGATGCATTGTGCAGCAGCGGGGCTGCCCCGCTCTACAGCTAAGCAGCAAAGCTCTGCCATGTGGTTCCCATCAAAGACCTCAAATGGGAATTTCACATCATAATCTAAAGAGACGACCCTCGATTAAATGCAGGCCCAACACATATACATGTCAGGATTTGGTAGAGGTATTTCTATTGCATAACATATGTAGTCATTTCTGGTACATAAATTGGATTTTTACAGGCCTGTACAGACTCCACAAAGAACCTTACCTTTTTTTCACACTCTTTCTGACAATACTTTGTATAGATGTTGACATTTATCCTTTGAGTTGCAGTAATTGGGTAGTGTGGCTTTTACATTCCTGTAAGGTGGCTTTGAGATACTAGCAGGGAGGAGCAGGAATGAGCCAAGACCAGCTGGAAAAGAGAACGTACGGGCTCAGTAAGAATGCTTATCATTGTGAGAGTATGGAGATAGGGGAAAGTAGGAAGACCAACAGGGAAAGGGTAGAGGAACAATTAGAGACTCTAATGTTCAAACCTAAGATGCCTCATCCTCAGTGCTCCTGAGACCACCCACTGCTGTGCCCCACCAGCTCAAAAAGAGACACACACCTCAGAATAATGGTCTCCCCCAAATGGTCACATCTGTATCCCCAGAACCAGTGAATCTCACATGGCAAAAGGGATTTTGCAAAATCGATTTAGTTAAGGATCTGGTTTGGCTGTGTCCCCACCCAAATCTCATCTTGAACTGTAGCTTCCATAATTCCCACGTGTTGTAGGAGGGACCCCGTGGGAGATAATTGAATCACAGGGGTGGTTTCCCCCATACTGTTCTCGTGGTACTGAGTAAGTCTCACAAGATCTGATGATTTTATAAGCGGTTTCCCTTTTCACTTGGCACTCTCTCATTCTCTTGTCTGCTGCCATGTAAGACATGCCTTTCACCTTCTGCCGTGATTGTGAGGCCTCCCCAGACATGTGGAACTGTGAGTCCATTAAACCTCTTTTTCTTTATAAATTACCCAGGTATGTCTTTATAAATTACTTTATAAATTACCCAGGTATTTCTTTATAAATTACTCAGGTATGTCTTTATCAGCAGCGTGAGAGTAGACTAATACAGTTAAGGACCTCGAGATGGAGATATTACCCTGGATTATCTGGATAGGGCCAATGTATTCACAAGGGTCCTTGCAAGAGAGGGGCAGGAGGATCTTACTCAGAGAAGGGGATGTGATGACAGAAGCAGAGATTAGAGGAAGAGAGAGATCTGAAGACAGTGCTGCTGGTTTTGAAGCTGGAGGAAGAGACCCTAGCCAAGGAATGTGGGCGGCCTCTAGAAGCCCACAACAGCAAGGAAGTAGACCTTCCCCTTGAGATTCCAGAAAAATGCAGCCCTGTCAACACCTTGATTTTAGAACTTCTAACTTCCTGAACTATAAGACAATACATCTGTGTTGTTTCAAGCCACTAAGTCTGTGGTTACTTGTTTGGTAACAACAGGAAACTAACACATGTCTCCATCCCTGGTGAGAAGTTACTGACTTATGACTCCATTCCCTCAACTCTTGATAGCCCTTCCAGTTCTCAAAGTTCATGTTTCTGTGATTACAAACTAGGGGACCATGTGGAAACGTTGTTCTTTTTTCTTTCAATATGTTGACAGTACATTCCTCTAAACAAATTACGAGTCCTGATTTGAAAGATTCAGAGACAAAAACGCTGGGGCCACAGAAATGAGGTAACTTCACACATGAATTGCAGCTGATAAAAAAAAAAATAGCAGACCTGCACCCACAAGACAAGGTACCACTTCCCTAGAGGGAAGCTCAGCTTCATGCACATCCTCTGTGACCCTCCCTGTATAACCTTGGAATCCACATTCACTTCCAGGAATCCAAGCACTTTCAACTTACGGAGGGAATACCTTTCACTTAAAAGTACTGAAATGGTAATCTTCCCTCATCAATATAAACACACATCTAAGAATCACCAGATAGCTGAGAAAATAACAATGTGAAAAAGAATTAACACATGAGGAAACAGAATTTACAAAGGAAACAAGAGAAGACTGCAAAATAATCATTAGTATCCTCAGAGAAAGGAGAAGCTATCACAACAAGAAAAAGTTTCTTTGAAAAAGTGATCAGAGTGGTTGGAAAATAGAAATGATTGTCATCCCCCAACTCCACAGATAAATCTCAATCTGTGGGCTAAGATACAGAAAGGAAATATGTGAAGATTAAAGTGGCGACCTGGAAATGCAAGCTGAGTGATCCTCCAGGATACAGTGCAAAATAAGAAGTAATAAAGTGATGGGGAAAAGGTTAAGAGACAAAGAAAATAGAGAACACAAGTCCACTGAAACCCTAGCAGAAGTTGTGAGGAGAAACTCATAGCAGATACATCTTACTGAAATTTTTGATGAGAATAAAGAAGTTTTCACTACATGTTCTCACTTATAAGTGGGAGCTGAACAATGAGAGCACATGGACACAGGGAGGGGAACAACACACAATGGGGCCTGCCGGCGGTTGCAGGGCCAGAGAGAGCCCCAGGAAAAATAGTTAATGCATGCTGGGCTTAATACCTAGATGAGGGGTTGACAGGTGCAGCAAACCACCATAGCACACATTTACCTATTAACAAACTTGCACGTCCTGCACATGTATCCCAGAACTTAAAATAAAATAAAAAGAATAAAGAAGTTTTCTTGTTACTGATTTCTATTTTGATTCTGTTAAAGTCTGAAAAAATACTCTGTAAGATTTTATTACTAGAAATGTATTCAGACTTGTTTCATGGCTCAGGATATGATACATTTTGGTGAACATTCCATATGCTTTTAAGAATAATGTGGGCAACATGGTGAGACCTCATCTCTACAAAAAATAAAAATTGTCTGGCATGGTGGTACGCACCTGTATTCCTAGCTACTTGGGAGGCTGAGGCAGGAGGATTGCTTGAGCCCAGGAGTTTGAGACTGCAGTGAGCAATCATCATGCCACTGCAATCTAGCCTAGGCAACAGAGCAAGACCTTGTTTTTAAAAAAAACAAAAAGAAGAATGCATATTTTGCAGCTGTTGAGATAATGTTCTATAAAAGAGGTTTATTATGAGAATTAAGTGGATTAATGTGTGTGAAATGACATAATAACATTGAAATATCTCAATAAGCACTAGCTGTTATTTTGCTATTGAAAAACAGTTTTCTTTTTTTAAAGTAAGATAAAAATAGATATCTGATATTCCATATTTACCCACATATTTACCACTTGGGTGTTCTTCATTGCTTTCTGTAATGAAGTTTCCATCTGTCATTACCGTACCCTGAGCTTTCAGCTTTAGATTTGTAGTGTTGATGAGCTGGCAAAAAAAAAAAAAAAAAAAAATCTCTCAGCTTTCATTGATCACAAAATTTCTTCATTCTCTTTTGAATGATATTCTAGATGGATATGATATTCTGGGCAAGCAAATTTTTTTCATCTCAACACATTTAATATGTTGTTCCATTATCTCTGGGCTCCACTGCTCAAATGAGATATAAGACACCATCTGTATCCTTGTTCCTTTGGCTATTTTCAAAATTTTCTCTCTAGCTTTTGATTTTACCTTCAGTTCACTCATCTTCAGTTCATGCTAGTTTCTTTTGCCATCTCTAGTCTACTGGCTAAACCCACCCAGAAAACATTTCATTTCAGATACAGTACTTTTCATTTCTGGAATTTCCATTTGATTTCTTTTATCCATTTCTCCAATAAAATTATAAGTTTGTTTAGTCATTGTGGTCATTTCCCTTTAAGTCTTTGAAGATGACCATAATAGCTCCTTCCAAGATTTTGTCTGGTAATTCAAATATCTCAGCGTTTGTTTGTCTTGACTATGGATTCCATGTTCTTGTTTGTTCACCTTTCTAGTGAATTTCAATTGTGTAAAAGATTAACCTATGCCATGGTTTGAATGTGTCCCCTAAAGTTCATGTATTGGAAACTTGATCCCCAATGTGGAGGTGGTGGGAGATGGGACCTTTAAGAGGTGTTTAGTTTGTAAAAGCTCTGCCCTCATAAATGGATTAATGCCATTATTGTGAGAGTAGGTTTATTATCACAGGAGTGGGTTTCTTTTCTTTTCTTTTTTTTCTTTTCTTTTTTTTTTTTAGATGGAGTCTCACTCTGTTGCCCAGGCTGGAATGCAGTGGTGTGACCTCAGCTCACTGCAACCTCCGCCTCCTGGGTTCAAGCAATTCTCCTGCCTCATCCTCCTGAGTAGCTGGAATTACAGGTGCATGCCACCATGCCTGGCTAATTTTTGTATTTTTCGTAGAGATGAGGTTTCACCATGTTGGCCGGGCTGGTCTTGAACTCCTGACCTCAGGTGATCTGCCTGCCTCAGCCTCCCAAAGTGCTGGGATTACAGGCATGAGCCACTGCGCCAGCCTAGGAGTGGGTTTCTTATAAAAGGATGAGTTTTGTCCCCTCTTGCTGTCTCTCTCATCCATATGATGTATTCCACCACATTATGATGCATAAGAAGGCCGTCACCAGATGCTAGTACTTTATATTGGACTTCTCGACCTCCAGAACTATAAGCCAATAAATGTCTGTTCATTATAAATTACCCAGTCTGTGGTATTCTGTTTTAGCAGCACAAAATGGACTAAGCCTCTTATGAGCTACTCATCTATTACCAAGGATTATTATTTTTGCCTTTTAGAAAAATACACTACTAACAATGTAATAGTTAGACTGAATGATGGAAGGTCAGATTCAGAGAGATCCATTAGAGAATGTTAATGTTACAGATTACAGTGGTAATGGAGAAGTTCAGGTTTTAACGAAGACCTGAACTAAGGATAAGGAACTCTATTTATGTATGCCAAGATGTGGAAAATAATCTAAATGTCCATTGACAGATGAATGGATAAAGAAAATATATGCAAACAATGAAGTATTATTCAGCCTTAGAAAAGAAGGAAATCCTACAGTATGAGACAACATGGATGAATGTGGAGGACATTACACTATGTGAAATAAGGTAGTCACAGGACAACAAATACTTTTTTAGATGCTTCATATAAGTGGTTCCACTTACATGAAGTATCTAAAAATAGCCAAAGCCAAACCCGTACAGAGAGTAAGAAGACTGGTTGCCAGAGGCTGGCGGCGGGGAGGGGGAAATGGGGAGTTGATATTCATTGGGTATAAAGATTTAGTTATACAAGATGAATAAGTTCCAGACATCTGCTGTACAATTAAATGTCTATAGCTAATACTTAAAAGTTTGTTGAAAGAATAGGTCTCATGTTAAATGCTATTACTACAATTTTTAAAAAGAGAAATGCTAGAAATCAAAAACACTGTAAGAGAAATGAAGAGCCTTTGATGACCTTGTTAGTAGACTGAATATGACTGAGGATAGAATCACTAAGTTTGAGGAAATGTCAATAGAAATATTCAAATTGGAAAAACAGAAAACGAAGAAGTGAGAAAGGAACAGAAGAGATTAAGTGAAGCAATAATCATTGAGAATTTTGCTCAAATAAATGTCAGACACCAAACCACAAATCCAGGAAGCTGAGAGGGCACCAAGCAGGATAAATCTCTCTCTCTCTTTCTTTCTCTTTCTCTTTCTCTTTCTCTCTGTCTCTCTTTCTCTCTCACACACACACACAGACACACACACACACATACCCTACATGTAGGCATATCATATTCAAACTGAAGAAAAATCAAAGATAAAGTGTTTCAAGAAGGCAAAAGAAAAAAAAACACTTTATCTCTAGAGGAGCAAAGATAAGAATTACATGTGATGTCTCCTCAGCAAGTAGGCAAGCAAGAATAGAGTGAAGGGAAGTGTTTAAAGTTTTGAGATAAAAGGCCACCAACCTAGAATACTGTACCCTGAGAAATTATTCAAAAGTGAAGGAGAAATGAACTTTCTCAAACAAACAAAAATCAAATTTGTTGCCAGTAGACCTGCCTTGCAAGAAATGTTGAAGCATGTTCTTCAAAGAGGAGGAAACTGATACAGGTCAGAAACTCAGATCTACATAAAGAAAAGATTAGCACTGGAAAATGAATAAGATATGGTTGGACAAAAACTTTTACTTTTCTTATTACTCAGTTTTCTAACCAATAAATGTTCAAAATAATAATAGAGGCTGGGTGCAGTGGCTAACACCTGTAATTCTAGCACTTTGGAAGGCTGAGGTGGGAGGATCTCTTGAACCCAAGAGTTTGGGACCAGTCTGGGCAACACAATGAGACCCTGTCTCTACAACAACACAAAATTAGCCTGGCATGGTGGTATGCACCTGTAGTGCTACTCAGGAGGTTGAGGCAGGAGGACTGTTTGAGCCCCAGAGGTCAAGGCTGCAGTGAGCCATTATTACAATATTGCACTCCAGCTGGGCAACAGAGCAAGACCCTGCCTCAAAATAATAATAATAATTGAAGGGTATGGTGGTATATGTCTGTGGCCTCAGCTACTTGGGAGGCTAAGAGTGTCACTTAAGCCCAGCAGCTTGAGGCTGCAGTGAGCCATGATCACACCACTGCACTTCAGCCTAGGCAACAGAGTGAGACTCTGTCTCAAAATAAGAATAATAGTAATAAAAACAATGTCTTTTATTATCTATGCTTATATATATATATATGTATGTTTATGTAACTTTACGTATAAGTGATAACTTTAAAAAATGGGCCCATTTCTTTGAAATTTCACAATCTAACAAAACTCACAAAAGAAGAAATACTTTGACTAGGCGTATATCTATTAAAGAAAGTAAATCAATAATTAATAACCTTCCAAAACAGGAAGCACCAGACCCAGATGGGTTCACTGGTGAATCTACCAAATATTGAGGAAGAAATTATGGCAATTTTCTACAATCTCTTCCAAAAGACAGAAGCAGAGGGAATATTTCCTAACTCATTCTATGAGGCCAACATTACCTTAATACGAAAACTAGATGAAGACATTATTAAGAAAGAAGACTACAGATCAATATCTCTCATGAACAAAAATCCCCAATAAAATATTAACAAAAAGAATGCAACAATGTATAAAAAGATTACACACTATGACCAAGTGAGATTTATCTAAGGTGTGCAAGGTAGTTTCAACATTCAAAAATTAATTAGTGTAATTCCATCACACCAATAGGCTGAAGAAAAATTACATGATCACACAAATAGATGCAGAAAAAGCATTTAATAAAATCCTACATGCATTCATGATAAACCATTCAGAAAACTAGTAATAGAAGGAAACTTCTCAACTTGATAAGAAGAAATCTCCAAAAACCTACAGCTAACATCATAGTTAATAGCAAGAAACTAGAAGTTTTCCCACTAAAATCATGAAAAAGGTAAGGCTCTCCTCTCACTACTCCTTTTCAACATCATACTGGTAGTCCTAGTTAATACAATGAGACCAGAAAAGGAAATAAAATGTATACAGATTGAGAAAGAAGAAATAAAACTATGGTTGTTTTCAGATGACATGATTGTATATGTAGAAAATCTGAATGAATTGACAAAAAAAAAACCGCCTAGAACTAATAAGAAATTATAGCAAGGTTACAGGATACAGGCTAACATACAAATGTCAATCATGTCTCAGTGGTATAGTGGTGAGCAGAGCTGCCTTCCAAATATCAACCATTTTCCTATATAACAGCAAGGAACATGTGGAATTTGAAATTAAAAACACATTATTACTCACATTAGCACCACCAAAAATGAAATACTTAGCTGTAAATCTAACAAAATCTGTATAATATCTATATGAGAGAAACTACAGAATTCTGTGAAAGAAATCAAAGAACAAAATAAATGGAGAGATATTCCATGTTCATGGATACAAAAAAATTAATGGTTTCAAAATGTCAGTTTTTCTAACTTGATCTATAAATCTAATACAATTCCAAAATCCCAAAGGCAAAAGACCCAGAAGGGCCTTCTCAATATTGAAGAACAAAGTCAGAGGATGGCCACTATCTGACTTGAAGACTTTGATCTTTGACAAAAGAATAAAGGCAATACAATGAAGCAAAGAAAGTCTTTTCAAGAAATGTTGCTGGAACAATTGGAAATCCACATGCAAAAGAAAGTCAATCTAGATAGACATAACACCCCTAACTAACTTAACTGAAAATGGATTATAAACCTAAATGTAAAATGCAAAACTATAAAACTTCTAGAAGCTAATACAGGGGAAAACCTAGATGACCTTGGGATGGCGACGACTTTATAAATTCAATACCTAAGGCATGATCCATGAAAGAAATAATTGGTAAGCTGGACTTCATTAAAATTAAATTTTCTTCTCTGCAGAAGACAAGTCAATAGAATAAAAAGAAAAGCTACAGATTGGGAAATAATATTTGCAAAAGACATTATCAGATAAAGAACTGTTATTCAAAATACACAAAGAACTCTTAAAACTCAACAATAAGAAGGCAAATAACCCAACTAAAAAAGACTTTAACTGACGACTCACCAAAGAAGACACAAGAATGGTAAATAAGCATATAAAAAGATGCTCAACAACATATGTCACTAGAGAATTGCAAATTAAAACAACAACAAGCTAACACGACACATCTATTTGAATTGCCAAAACCCAAAATGCTGACAACATCATATGCTGGTGAGGATGTGAAGCAACTGGAATTAGCATTCATTGCTAGTGGGCATGCAAAAAGCCACTTTGTAAAAGCTTGGCAGTCTCAGGGATTCTCCCAAATGAATTGAGAACTTACATCCATGCAAAAACCTGTATGCACAAGTTCATGACAGCTTTATTTATGATTGCCAAAACTTGGAAGCAAATAAGATGTCCCTCAGTAGATGAGCAGAAATACAAATGGGTATAGACAGAGAATAAAATGTTCTTCAGTGCTAAAATAGAAGTGAATGATTTAAGTCACTAAAAGACATGGGGGAAACTTAGTGCATATTACTAAGTGAAATAAGCCAATCTGAAAATCCTACATATTGTAATGATTTCAATTATACAACATTCAGGAAAAGGCAAAACTATGGATATGATAAAAATATCAGTGATTGGCCAGGCATGGTGGCTCATGCCTATAATCCCAGCACTTTGGGAGGCCAAGGTGGGCGGATCATGAGGTCAGGAGATCGAAGGCATCCTGGCCAACCTGGTGAAACCCTGCCTCTACCAAAAAAAAAAAAAAAAACAAAAATTAGCCAGGCGTGGTGGGGTATGCCTGTAGTCCCAGCTACTCAGGACACTGAGGTAGGAGAATGGCTTGAACCTGGGAGGCGGAGGTTGTAGTGAGCCGAGATCTTGCCACTGCACTTCAGCCTGGTGACAGAGCAAGACTCTGTCTCAAAAAAATATATATATACATATATATATATATATATATATATATATATATATATATATATATATACACACACACACACACACACACACATATATATATATACACATATATATATATATATATATACACATATATATATATATATATATATATATATATATAATCAGTGATTGCCAGGTCTTAAAGGAGAGGGTGGGATGAATAGACACAGATAATTTTTTTTTTGAGATGGAGTTTCATTCTTGTTGCCCTGGCTGGACTGCAATGGCACAATCTCAGCTCACTGAAACCTCTGCCTCCTGGGTTCAAGCGATTCTCCTGCCTCAGCCTCCTGAGTAGCTGGGATTACAGGCCCCCACCACCATGCCCGGCTAATTTTGTATCTTTAGTAGAGACAGGGTTTCACCTTGTTGGTCAGGCTGGTTTCGAACTCCTGACCTCGGGTGATCTGCCTGCCTCAGCCTCCCAAAGTTCTGGGATTACAGGCGTGAGCCACCACGCCCAGCCCACAGAGAATTTTAGGGCAGTAAAACTACTCTGTATGATACCACAATGGTAGATACATGTCATTGAACACTTGTCAAAACTCACAGAATGTACAACACCGAGAGTGAACTCTAATGTAAACTATGGACTTTGTTGATAATCACGCATCTCTATAGGTTCATTGATGGTAACAAAGGCACTTCTCTGGTGTAGGTTGTTGATAATGGAGAGGCTGTGCATGTGTGATGGCAGAGGATATATGGGAATTCTGTTCTTCCTGATCAATTTTGCTGTAAACAAGAAACTACTCTAAAAACAGTCTATTTGTGAAAAAGTACAGAATGGAATTAATCACTCTAGGAGAAAAATTAAGAAAATAGAAACAACAACAATAAAAATGTAGACTATCACTAGAACCAAGATTTTTGAAGTGGTAAGTGTGATCAATAATGTTAGCAGAGGCCAGGCACGGTGGCTCATGCCTGTAATCCCAGCACTTTGGGAGGCGAGGCAGGCGGATCAGTAGGTCAAGAGATTGAGACCATCCTGGCCAACATGGTGAAACCCTGTCTCGACTAAAAACACAAAAATTAGCTGGGAGTGGTGGCGCACACCTGTAGTCCCAGCTACTCGGGAGGCTGAGGCAGGAGAACCGCTTGAACCCGGGAGGCAGAGGTGGCAGTGAGCTGAGATCGCGCCACTGCACTGCAGCCTGGTGAAAGAGCAAGACTCCGTCTCAAAAAAAAAAAAAAAAAAAGAATGTTAGCAGAAAAAGGGCTTCTGAACGTTCTAAAAATGACTTTAACATTACAGACATATACTTAGATCAAGTATGTCTATCATTACTCATCCAGAATAGCGTAATTTAAGCAAAGAAAGGCAGAGAAAGAGGGACAGTGCCAGGTTCTGATGAAGAATACAATGAAAGGATTGTCTTATAATTTGAAACATTTGGAGAAGGAAGCCTATTAGAATTAAATGTATTCAATATATTAGAGTCAAAATCATCAAACAATTTAGTTTTAAAAGTTTGATGGAAAATGAAGCGCAATTTTAAATTCTTTATTTTAACTGAGTGCTTCCAGAAAACAGTTTTCTCTCTCACAAAAGGAAACACAGTATAATCTCTAAAATGGTTTTAAAGGAAAAATATAAAAATATATAAATAAGTAATCTTAAAACCCTAAATTGGCTCAGTTTTATAAAACACTGGTAGCATCCTCATTTTATCTGTAATGCCTCTACTCAACCCCCTAAAACTTCTCTATAAAAAGATAAATGTATGCTATAGAAAGGAAGCAATTCTCTCCTCCAAAATTGCAAGATCGGTTATGCTTCCATGTCCTCCACCTCCAGCTAAGTCAATCTCTGTGGCTGCTAAACTATAATTTGGCCCCAGGACTGCTGTGAAATCTGTCTGTTGACCAGTATAAGCAGTCCATCTTACAACAGGAAGGCCCAGATATAATCAAAAGGTGATTTGTTGCTGAATTTTCTCAAAAAGAAAATAAAAGAAACAAAGTCACAGAGGAAACCTGGCCAAAGAAAGTACAGCCTGTGAAAATTCTCAGCTGGACAGTGCCTAAGGCGTCTTTGAACTTGACCTTCACCACAGGGTCTCTCATGTTACTGAGGAGCTGCTGCCACCTCATGGAGAACTGAGAGATCTCATTTTCCAAGCGCGTGGGTTTCTAATAGCCAAATGATCTTTGTCAAAATAAAGGTAATGCAATGAAGCAAAGAAAGTCTTTTCAACAAATGTTGCTGGAACAATTGGAAATTCACATGCAAAAGAAAACCAATCTAGATAGACAAAACAATCATTTTCTAGGTGCATGGATTCCGGAATCACTCATTTATATCTTGCCTTTTCTCTTTTGTTGGACTATTAAAAAGAAAGCATAACAACCACATGAATCTCACATAGACAAGCCCATTCTCGTTGGGCGCAATTCTCCTAATTCAATTTTTGATAACCATAGTATTATATAGCACATGCATATGAAATAAATATCATCTCATTTTGAGTGATTACTGCGTGGATTTAGATCTATCATCAGTCAAATTATGTTCCACAAACTGACTGCAGAGAAATAACCTAACACCGACAGGCTACAATTCTGCCCTGAATGTACACTTTACAAAGCTAATAGCTAAATTGCAAAATTTAGAGAATAACAAAATTTAAAAGGGTCTTGATGCTCCTTTTCCACCTTCCCTGCAACATCCTCACTGAAAATCAAAAGATCTTTCCTTCTTGTTTTTTGTATTATTGTCTCTCAACTTTTTTTTGTTTTGTTTGTTTGTTTGAGACGGTGTATCGCTCTGTCGCCCAGGCGGGAGTGCAGTGGCGCGATCTCAGGTCACCGCAACCTCCGCTTCCCGAGTTCAAGCGATTCTCCTGCCTCAGCCTCCGGAGTAGCTGGGACTACAGGCGCACGCCACTACGCCCGGCTAATTTTTGTATTTTTAGTAGAGACGGGGTTTCGCCATGTTGGCCAGGCTGGTCTCAAACTCCTGACCTCAAGGATCTGCCCGCGTCGGCCTCCCAAAGTGCAGGATTACAGGGGTGAGCCACCACGCTCCGCCGTCTCTCAACTTTCAAGTTCTATCTTAAGCCACGTGACCCGAGCAATAGAAATGGGCAAGTATTTCTAGCTTGGTGCAGTGTTTCATGCCTGTAATACCAACACTTGAGAAGTCCAAGGTGGGAGAATCCCTTAAGGCTGGGAGTTCAATATCATTCTGGGCAACATAGCAAGACCTCGGCTCTACAAAAAAAAAAAAAAAAAAAATGCGGGAGGTCAAGGCTGCAGTGAGCTATGATTGTGCCATTGCACTCCAGCCTGGCCGACAAAAGTGAGACCTTGTCTCAATTCTTCAAAATAATGAAGAAGAAGACATGGGCAAGCGCAAGAACTAAAATAAAATTATAAATTCATTTCCAAGGAGCTTTTATATCTTACTCGCAGAGAAAAACCGTGTTGGGTGTTTTTGTAGAAGTGCCATTGTGTGGATTTTGATCTAGAAAAAATTACCTCAAAGTGTAAAATGTAATTTTTATGAATGATATTCTTCACTGGAGACAGAATGGGATTTCTAATAATCGCATCTTCATCATTTGAAACTTGGTGAGTTTTGGCATTTCCATGGTTTTTGTTTGTTTGTTTTTAATGCTTTAAGCAGGTACTACTGTCCCCCAGGAAATTTGTAGATAAAAGCAAGTTATTTACAAATTTGTTCGCCTACTTTTGATCCCACCCCAGCTCTGTACTCTGGGCTCACACTTCAACAAATCTTAGTAAAGTTTAAAAACAAATCTGAATTTCCATATTTGTATTTCACATGTCCTTCAAATATTTAGAAAGTTGGAAGAGAAAATCTGAAAGTAAAATGTCTGCTTTCAATTTCTTCACCACGGTGAGTTTACATAGAAACTTAAGGAACCTCCAAAAATAAGTTATAAAATAATAGGTTATACCACATAAATGTGCATAGATGCGCACACACACACACAGACACACACAGTAGGACTTCAATGGGTGTTTATCATATTACTCTTTACAATGTATCTACGTAACCTATATTCTTTTATAAAGATGAAAATTTTATTAAAAATGAAATAAAAAAGACATGATTGTAAGATTATCGTATTAGACACAATTCAAGGCTGAAACTAATTAAACAAGGAAAAGAGGGAATATTATGTAGTGGCAAAAGATGCAATGATAAAGAATATACACATTGTATTTCTTCATGAACTAAATAACATAAAGCTAAAAATTCCAAAACTATAAGAATGTGATAAAATCATCTGTCATGATAATAACCTTAATACAACTCTTTCAGAATTTGACAAAGTACACAAAGTTACAATGTTATAGAAGATGTGAATAATCTGTGTTTTACTTAATACGCATATCTGTATAAAACGTTGTATTCCACAAATCCTATAAATTAAACTTCTTATATGTATGAAGTAGCTTTAAAAATCAGTCAAGGCCGGGCGCGGTGGCTCACACCTGGAATCCCAGCACTTTGGGAGACCGAGGCGGGTGGATCACCTGAGGTCAGGAGTTCGAGACCAGCCTGGCCAACATGGCAAAACCCCATCTCTACTAAAAATACAAAAATTAGCGGGGGGTGGTGGTGGGCACCTGTAGTCCCAGCTACTCAGAAGGCTGAGGCAGAAGAATTGCTTGAACCCGGGAGGTGGAGGTTATAGTGAGCTGAGATTGCACCACTGCACTCCAGCCTGGGTGACAGAGCGAGACTCCGTCCCACCCAAAAAAAAAAAAAAAAAAAATTCAGACAAAATTCCAACTCTATTTGTTAGCTTTGTGACCTTGGAAAAGTTCTTTAATCTTTCTAAATTCCTGTTTCCGTCTCTGTAAAATAAAAACTGTCACACTTACTCACTGGACTTTTGCGAAGGTTTAAATGATTAATAGGAGTAAAAGCCAAGCATGGGACCTAGCACTTACAAAACAGTAAATAACAGTGTTTTTTCTTTCTGTTATCGTATTTCTTCCTGGTCGTCATCTTCTCCAACTTGAATGCTAAGTACTTTTCACTCCTTCTTCATATCACACCTCTCTATTACTTCGAAAAATTTTAGATGCCACAAACTGGGCTACCCAACATACTCCAACATCATTGCAGCTTCGAATCAGAGTCAGGCGGTTTTATAGACCAGCATGTCCAATGAACTGGTCTTGCCCTTAGCCGCGCTGTATTATCCAACTATAAGTCTAAAATAAGTAATCACAAAATATTAACAAGCCAGTCAGAAAAAAAAAAACAAACTGAATTCTTGGCCACGAAGAAAACCTTAATGAATTTCAAAAAATAGAGAGATTTTGTCTCACGTTTTCTAACCATAATTGGATTATAAACTAGAAGTTTACAACAAGAAGGAAAATAATAGCCTAAAGGCAGAATAATATGAAATTAAGGCATACTCTTCAAAATAGTTCCTATCCAAAGAGGTACTTAAAACTGATATTACAGTCTGGGCAAGATGGCTCATGTTTGGAATCCCAGCACTTTGGGAGGTCAAGGCAGGAGGATTGCTTAGGACCAGGAGTTTGAAACCAGCCTGGACAACATGGTGAAACCTCATCTCTACAAAAAATTAAAAATTAGCCAGGTGTGGTGGCACAAGACTGTAAGCCCAGCTATTCGGGAGGCTGAGATGGGAGATCACTTGAGCCCGGAAGGTAGAGGCTGTAGTGAGCCATAATTGTGCCATTGCATTCAGCCTAAACAACAGAGTGAGACCCTGTCTCAAAAAAACAAAAAACAAAAAAACACCGATATTACGAATAAAAAGAATACTTGATATAAAAATATCTAGGCATAGGTAAACTCTATACTACAGTAGGAAATATCTTAAATGCTTCTATTACTAAAAAGAAAAACTAACAATAAATGAAGTAAGCCAACTAATGAACTTTCTAAAAATTACGATAAATCAAAAGAAAATCATAGAGAATGAAAAATCAAGGATATTGACCAACCAATCACACTTCTGGCCACACAGTATCTGTACACAATTGTTCATAGCAGCTTTATTTGTAATAGTCAAGAACAGAAAACAATCAAAGTGTCCTATGACAGGTGAATGATTAAATCTATCTGTGGAACATACATGCCTTGAAATACTACTGAGCAATAAAAAACAAGTTGTTGATATGCCCGACAACTTGCATTAATATCATGAGCATTATGCCAAGTGGAAAAAGCTAATCTTAAAAGATCGAATGCTGGCTGGGCACACTGGCTCACATCTGTAATCCTAACACTTCGAGAGGCCAATCACTTAAGGCCAGGAGTTCGAGACCAGCCTAGGCAAAATAGCAAGACCCTGTCTCTAAAACAAAATTTTAATTAGTTGGGCATGGTGGCATGCACCTGTAGTCATAGCTACTCAGGAGGTTGAAGATGGAGGATCACTTGAGCCCAGAAATTCAAGGCTGCAGTGAGCTATGATCACACCACTGCACGCCAGCCTGGGTGACAGACAAGATCCTGTCTCTAAAAAGAAAAAAATAATTTTAAAAATCACATACTATATGATTCCATTTATATGATAATTTTGAAATGACAAAATTATCTATCTGGAGAACAAATTAGTAGTTTCCAAAGGTTAGGGAAAGTAAGAGGAGGAGGAAGCATGACTGTAAAGGGACAGAACAAGAGAGACGTTTGTGGGGATGAGCCTGTTCCGTATCTTGATTGTGGTGGTGACTACACTAATCCACACATGTGATCAAATGGCCCAGAAGTACATGCATGCCTTGTACTAAGGTTGACCTCCTAGTTTTGATATGTAAGCCATAACCATTGGGAAAATTGGATCAAGGGTACATGGGAATGCTCTGTATTATCTTTGTAACTTCTCACGGATCTATAATTAGCTCAAAAAAAGATTTTTTTTAAAAAAAAGATGAAATTTTAAAATAAAAAGTATTTAAAATTTATTTTAAAGTTTTTAAATAAAATCTTGGTTTTTGAAAACATGAATGAAACAGATTAAACCTCCAACAAGGCTGAACAAGGGGGAGAAAGAGAGATTATGGAAAATATACAAGTAGGAAGAAGAAATAAGATATTACCCCAACTACAGCTGATACTAAAAGTAAGAGACATGATATACACAATTCAGTGACAATACATTCAGAAACTTAGGGTAAACTGATCTACTATGGGCCAGACACGTTTTTAGGTAGGGTCTCCTGGATATTCACATAATTTTTGCTCACGGAATCCCCAGGAGGCACCATTCCCATAGAACACAATGGAACCCACTAGAAATCTACAGGGGGAGTACAACTGTGTCTATGAACAGCCCTCATTACAGGAGCTTAATGTAGATCAATTTACAAGACCTCATCTATGCCTTTCTGCAGCATATAGATGCAAAAGCTATAAATACACATATGAGTAAGTCGAATCCAGCAGTGCATTGAAAAAAATACAACATGGACAAGATACATTCCAAGAATGTAAAGATCGTTTTGAAATAGAAAATCTTCAACATAATTCATTATATAAACTAGCAACAAAACCATTTGATTATATCAATAGTTGGCAAAAAAAAAAAAGAATCTGAAAAAATTTAGCTGCTATTCCAAAAAAGATTAAAGTAAAATATTAAAATAATACAGTTAACTCAATATTCTAAAATAGTAAAGACTGTTTCTTGAAATAAAAGAAAAAAAAAAGCAAATGGTACCTTAAAAGACAAAGTACTAAAACTATTGTTATAAAACAGGAACAGACAAAATTATCTTTACTCACACATATTGTGATGAACCTAAAAAACAAGAAACACTAAAAAGAGATTAGCATTAGTAGCAAATTTGGTAAGACGCTGTTATAAGAAATACATAAACAGTAATTTTTTTCTTTTTATGGAGAAAAATAAATGAGAAATGGAAATGGAAAAAAACCTAGACGCACGATAGTAACCACATATGATAAAATACCTAGAAATACATTAACAAATGTAGCTAGACAGTCTATATGAAGGAAACTCTAAAATTGTATTAACAGACATAAAACAAGAACTGAATAAATGGAAAGGTATGTCATGTTTCTGGATAGGACGACTTTTTAAAATGTCACTTTTATAAATTAATACATAAATTTAATGCAGCTCCTGTCAGGATTCCAAAGGACTTTATTTTGTAACTGGGCAAAATGCTTGCCAAAATAGTAGTTACTAAAAAAAAAAAAAAAAAAAAATAGTGAGAGAACTTAATTTATAAATATACTGTAAATCAAAATGGTTGTGATTTTGGCATAGGACTATGTCAGTGAACAGAACAGAATCTAGAAACAGACTCGACTGTATATGGGAACTTACTCTTTGAAGAAACAGAAACTCATTCTCAGCAAACTATCGCAAGGACAAAAAACCAAACACCGCATATTCTCACTCATAGGTGGGAACTGAACAATGAGAACACATGGACACAGGAGGGGGAACATCACACACCGGGGCCTGTTGTGGGGTCGGGGGAGGAGGGAGGGATAGCATTAGGAGCTACACCTAATGTTATATGACGAGTTAATGGGTGCAGCACACCAACATGGCCCATGTATACATATGTAACAAACCTGCACGTTGTGCACATGTACCCTAAAACTTAAAGTATAATTTAAAAAAAAAATTATTCATCCAGCACCGGGGCCTCCTCCCTTTCAACTTTATCCCAGGTTATAACCTGAACCTACCCTCAATGTCTGAATGTCAAACATCTCTCTGACATTTCTTTCCAGGTCCCTTGCCTGAGTATATCTAGGCCGAAATATTTGGCCACATTAGGAACACCCACCCTTTGGTTCTATCTACTTTTTTCGCCCTCCATCATCAACTTCTCACTGACCTCACTTCTCTCTTTATCCAGTTGAGATTCCATAATGCATCATTATAATTTGTCCCTTGTGTTTACTTTTAGATAACTTGTGGGGATGGACCTATCCCCATTTCGCTCCCTTAGGAAAATCCCAGCCCTGCTTAAATTCAACTTTTTACCCACTCTGTGTCCCTAGATGAACTTCCTAGAAAAACACACAGAATTAAACTGACTGGCCTCTATTTTTGACCACACATTTTAAAAAATCACTTTGCACTACTGATAAGTTCTATTACATTACCCTAATAGAGTTTCTTTCCTATTGTCCTAGATAATTATTTCCCATTTTCTTTTCTCAAATCCTTTCTTCCATTTACCTTAGTGATGATCTTGCTTTTTACATGAATAACACAGAAGAAATCAGAAGACAACTCTCACATCCTCCTACCCCAAACCTACAAGTCTGTCCATATGTGTGCTCCCCCACAGTCTTGCCATCTGATATGAGGGCTGCACTATCTCTGCTCCTGTCTGAGGTCACTGTCTCCACTCAAGAAGTAGATCCCATTCCTTCTTACCTACTAAAGAGCTTTGTTCCTACCAGTTTCCCTTTTCATGACTGTTATTTTCTTTCTAGTAGATCATTTCTGATGCAGGGCAGGTGAGCCCCCAAACTAGGGGTTAGCCCAGGGGACCTCTTGCCTTCGCCCAGAAAAGAATTTAACAGCAAGTCAGTGATGTTGGACAGTAACTTTTACTGAAGCAGGAGTACACGGCAGCAGCAGAGGGACTGCTCCTTTTGGAACGGGGCTACCCATCGGCAGTGCACCCAGAGCAGCAGCCCAGGGGCAGTTCTGCAGTCATATGTATACCAACTTTAAATCATATGCAAATTAATGGACAGGTTATTTAGACATTTCTAGAAAAAGGGTGGTAACTTCTGAGTGTTGCCATGGCAACGGTAAACTGACATGGCACTGGTGGACGCATCTTATGGAGAGCTGCTTTCACCTCTTCCATACAGCCAGTCTTCAGTCTGGTCCAGAATAAATTCCTGCCGCCTACCTCACTGTCTCATTCCCATCAACACAAAAGCATTCTGTAACATGTCCCATTTTCTCTCTTCCTAGGCCCACTTACCCTCTCCTCACTTCCAGCTATCTTTGCCTATCTTCCTTTAACCCACTCTCTCTAGGCTTTCATTCCACCCACCTCTGAAATCTGTCAAAGTCACCAGTGACCTCCACATTACCAAATTTAAATGTGAATTCCCTGTTCCTATATGTCTCAGCTCTCAGCAGCAGGGGATAGTGTCTAAAAGCACTTTACACCAGAGGACAAGAATCTGGTCTTGAATCAACTGTGAAAATATGGGCAAGTTACTTACCTCCCTGTGCCAAGGTTTCCTCATTTGTAAAAGGACGATGCTCATACTACTCTAACACTATATTATAGGGTCGTGGAAGGATTCTGTGATTTAATATGTATAGAGCACTTAGACCTTGTCTGGCACAACTTAACAATTCAATAAATGTTGGCTATTATTAGTATTGATTGTTCGCTTCTTCTTGAAACCTTTTTTTAGACTGACTTCTAGGATACCACACACCCCGGATTTTTCTGGCAACTTCCCAGTCTCATTTGCTGACTCTTTCTTCTCCTGTCTAAACAGCAAAGGGTTCTAGGATTACTTAGCACTTTCTTATTATCTATTTTATAGATATATTCTCCCCTTGGTGATCTCCTATATATCTCATGTGTCTATGGCTTTAAATTTCATCTCTGTGCTGATAATCCTCAAATATATATTTCCAGATCTCTATTCTCTCCTGAGCCCCAGACTCTTATACTCTTATATTCAAATATCTATTCAAGGCCGGGCGCGGTGGCTCACGCCTGTAATCCCAGCACTTTGGGAGGCCGAGGTAGGTGATCACCTGAGGTCAGGAGTTCGAGACCAGCCCAACCAACATAGAGAAACCCTGTCTCTACTAAAAATACAAAAATTAGCCAGGCGTGGTGGCACATGCCTGTAATCCCAGCCACTCGGCTACTTGGGAGGCTGAGGCAGGAGAATCGCTTGAACCTGGGAGGCAGAGGTTGCGGTGAGCCAAGATTGCGCCATTGCACTCCAGCCTGAGCAACAAGAGCAAAAACTCCATCTCAAAAAATAAATAAATAAATAAGTACAAAACAAAACAAAACAAAAAACCTCTATTCAAAATTTCCACTAGGATATCTAACAGGCAACTCAAATTTAGTAAGTGCAAAATAATTTTTCCCCAAGTCTGTTTCTCCCTCCATATTTCCCATCTTATAATGGAGCACCGTTACCCAGTTGCTAATGCTAAACAACCAGGAATCATCCTTTGATTCCTCTCTTTTCCTCATCCAGTCTCTTAGCAGGTCTTATTGTATTTACCTTTAGAATACATCTTGGATCTGACCACTTCTCACTACCACCCTTAGTCCAATCCACCATCATCCCTTCGTTAGACTTAAGCAACACCCTCCTCATAGATCTCCTTTCACTCTTACTCCCAAATACCAGTTTAGCAAATATTTTGAAACAAGTATCAGATCACATTACTTCTATGGCAAAGTTGGTTAATTATCTTCCTAATAACCACCTAACACTTCTTCCTTACTGCCACTGGAGACAGCAATGTGCCTAACCTAGACTATATTTTCTAGCTTTTTTTGTTAGGTGTGGCCAGGAGATTACATTCCAGCCAGTGAAATAAATGGGAATGGTATACGTGTATCTTCAGGAAGTTCCCCCAAAAGACAACTGACTCAGTAGAGAGTGTGCCCTTTTGTCTTCCTCTCTTTTCTGCTGCCTGGAATATGGATGTGATAAACAGAGCTCTCCCACCCTGCAGCCACTTTGGACCATGAGGTAGTCTTGAGGATGGATAGAAATGGCCAATAGAGTCACTCTCAACAGTCCTGAATGATCATTTTTGGACTTCTCTGGTATGAGAAAACAAATCCTTGCATATTTAAACAATTATTATTCTGAATTTTCAGTTAATATACACCCAAACCTAATCCTAAATAATACAATTCCTTTGTTTTTTCTTAGTCATGCTAGTTAACATATCCACCACTTCATGTACTTATTTTTCTGTGGTGAGAACTTTTTTATTGGTACATAATTTTTGTATGTATTTATGGAAAACAAGTGACATTTTCATACATGTATAAAATGTGCAATAATCAAGTTATCTGATTATTCAGACTACCCATCACCTCAAGCATTTATCATTTCTTTGTGGTGAGAACATTCAAAATCCCCTCTTCTAGCTATCTTGAAATATACAATAATATAGTGTTAACTATAGTCACCCTACTGTGCTATTGAACATTAGAAATTATTTCTTCTATCTGTATTTTTGTAACCCTTAACCAACTTCTCTTCATCCTCTTGCCCATCTTCCCTTTCCAGCCTCTGGTAACTATCATTCTACTCTCTACCTCTGTTAGGTCAACTTTTTTAGCTCCCACATATGAGTGAGAACATTCAATATTTGTCCTTCTGTGCCTTGTTTATTTCACTTAACATAATAACCTCCAGTTCCAACCATGTTGCTGCAAATGATTTCATTCTTTTTTATGGTCTAATAGTATTCCTCTTTCTTTATCCATTCATCCACTGATAGACACTTAGGTTGATTCCATATTTTGGCTATTGTGAATAGTGCCACAATAAACACCGGAATGCAGATATTCCTTTCATAGCCTGATTTTTTTTCCTTTGAATAAATACCCAGTGGTGGAATTGCTGGATCAAATGGTAGTTCTATTGTTAGTTTTTTTGAGAAATCTCCATTCCATGGTCGCTGTGCTAATTTACATTTCCACCAACAGTGTAGAAGAGTTCCCTTTTCTCTGCATCCTCACCAGCATTTATTTTTGTCTTTTTGATAATTGCCATTCTAAAACGTGTGAAATAATATCTCATTATGGTTTTGATTTGCATTTCCCTGATGATTACTGATGTTGAGCATTTCTTTTTCATATACCTATTGGCCATTTGTATGTCTTCTTTTGAGAAAAGTTTACTCAGATCCTTTGCCCACTTTTTAATGGGATCATGTTTTGCTGTTTGTAACTTCTGTATTTAAAGCTCTTCAGTGGTTTCCCATCACACTCAGCATAACATCCAAACTCCACAAAGGATCTACATGTTCTGACTCCTGCTTCCTTCTTCTACCACCCTCCTGCTCGCTTTCTGTGCTACATAAACACTGGCCTTGTTATTCCCTGAACTCACCAAGCAGGATCTGCTCAGGCCCTTTCACATTTGCCAGTCCTTCTCCAGTAAACTCTCTTCTCCCACAGGTAGGCGTATGCGTAGCAACATCTTTTCTTATTGACTAGAGTCTCTGCTCAAATGTCACTTGCCCAGAGAGGACTTGCTTCAGACTGAAACACTTTTTATCCAGTTAGTGTGGTCTATTTTCTTCCCACTCTTATTTCAAAATCATGTAATTAATCTTTTTACTCTCTTTTCCACCCTACTACATATACTAACATGAGGACATTGACTCCGATTTATTCACCATTCTATCCCTAGGACTTAGAACCATGCCTGGCAAATAGGAGGTCTGAAATAAATCTTTGCTGAACAAATCAACAAGTTATGGAATTTCTATTCAGGGGAGAAAAGATTAAATTGTGTTGGCACAGTTTGCTATCTGCCTGGAAGAAAATAAACATCATAAAAACACCATAAACACAAATAAATTCCAGATGGATTACATAATAAAATGTGAAGACAAATAAGCAAACAACAAAACTATGAACATAGTAGGAAAAAAATGTTTGAGAATGGCTGTATAACCTTGGGATGGGGTTGCCTTCTTAACTAAAAGGGAAACACAAAAGCCATAAAGGATTAATAATGCCGTCCACACAAAAGTGAAATAATTAAATTTAATAGTTAAAAAACAAATGATTGACCAGGTGCAGTGGCTCACACCTGTAATCCTAGCACTTTGGGAGGCCAAGGCAGTGGATCACTTGAGCTCAGGAGTTCAAGACCAACCTGGGCAACACAGTGAAATCCTCATCTCTACAAAACGAAAACAAAAAAGCCAAATGACTGCTCTGAACCATTGCGCCCGGCCAAGAACAAATGCTCTGTCTCTGACAAGGACATGAGTTGGTTCTTATGCCCTCCCTGAGAACATGTTAAAAATATATTTTAAACATTAAAGAACTTTGGGAGGCCGAGGCGGGCGGATCACGAGGTCAGGAGATCGAGACCACCCTGGCTAACACGGTTGAAACCCCATCTCTACTAAAATTACAAAAAATTAGCCAGGCGTGGTGGCGGGCGCCTGTAGTCCCAGTTACTCGGGAGGCTGAGGCAGGAGAATGGTGTGAACCTGGGAGGTGGAGGTTGCAATGAGCCGAGATTGGGCCACTGCACTCCAGCCTGGGCGACAGAGCAAGCCTCCGTCTCAAAAAAAAAAAAAAAAAAAAAATTAAAGAAAAGAACAAATCTTTGTTGTTGTTGTTTTTGTGACGGAGTCTTGCTCTGTCACCCAGGCTGGAGTGCAGTGGCGCAATCTCGGCTCACCGCAACCTCTGCCTCCTGGGTTCAAGTGATTCTCCTGCCTCCCAAGTAGCTGGGACTACAGGCGACCACCACCATGCTTGGCTAATTTTTCCATTTTTAGTAGAGACAGAGTTTCACCATGTTGGTCAGAATGCTCTTGGACTCCTGACCTCAAGTGAACTGCCCACCCTGGCCTCCCAAAGTGTTGGGATTACAGGCGTGAACCATTGTGCCCAGACAAGAACAAATCTTAATAGTAAAGGGCTGAGGCGGAAGGATCACCTGAGCCCAGGAGGTCAAGACCAGCCTGGGGAACATAGAGACTCTATCTCTCCAAAAAGTAGAAAAATTTGCAGGGCATGGTAGTGCCTACCTGTAGTCCCCACTACTTGGGAGGCTCAGATGGGATGATTGCATGAGCCCAGGAAGCTGCAGTGAGCTATGATGGCAGCATTGCACTCCTGCCTGGGCAACAGGGTGAGATCCTAACTAAAAATAAAATAGTGAAGGCAGCGAAGAATATCATCCTGAGATATTTCTACAGATTTATGCAAGATAGAGGCCTCTAATAGATAAAGGAAGAGAAAAAGGAAGTCTAGAACACGTAGGTAGAGACTGCAGAGTGATGAGAGCCAACCTGCCTCGGGGTGGCCAGGAAAGCCCTGATCAGTGTCAGGTATAGTAGAGGTGGGAGGAGGGAGACCAGACATAATCACAAGGAAACTTTCTGGTAATACAAATATTCTGTATCTTAACTGACAGTGGTTCCTTAGGGAGTGGGGAGGACAGGGTCTCACTCTTGCCAGGCTGGAGTGCAGTGACACAATCACAACTCACTGCCACCTTGACCTGGGTTGCTCAAACGATCCTCTCACCTCAGCCTCTGGAGTAGTGGAAACCATAGCTGCACCACAATATGCCTGGCTATTTTTTTTTTTTATAGTTTTTTGTAGAGACGAGATCCCACTATGTTGCCCAAGCTTGTCTGGAACTCTTGGGCTCAAGCAATCTTCCTGCCTCAGCCTCCCAAACTGCTGGGATTACAGCCGTGAGCCACCACACCTGGCCTTGATTGTGATAGTATTTATACAAGTGCATATATTTATTAAAACTCATCAAGATGTAGCCTTATGTAATCAAAGTAGATTACAGTACTTATGGGAATTTCATCTAAGGCAGTAAACATAAACACTGAAAAATTACAAATTGCATTTTTGCTATTTTGCCTAGAAAATGAAAGAAACCCTAGTTAAACCAAAGTACCAAATGAAAGAAATTAATTAGGTGTCTCAATAAACTTAGAAAAGTCTATAGCTTTTCTTTATTAGTGACAACTACACAGAATTCTGAAATGAAGAAAACCTACGTTCTATTCACACTGACAAAACAAAATTCATAGGGATAATTTTAATAAAGAAGGTATAGGTCCTATGTGAAGAAAACCATAAACCACTAAAAACATAGAATCTGAATACAGAAAGATACCCCATGTAACCTCATGGCAAGTCTTGTAACTAAATTATCAGTTTTCTCACAATTAATGCAGGAATATCATGTAATCCTAATTAGAATCCTGATTTTAAAAAACTAACTAAAAATTAAATTTTTGGTTTTTAAAACTTTTAAGGATGCAAAACTTCAAACAAATTCAAAAGACAAGTCACTGGGTGAAGATGTCAGCAATACATATTAATGACAAAAGATTAGTAACCATATTCCATTAAAAGAAATAAACCTCCTTCATATGAATATTTTTTAAAGGACCCACCAAAAGGAAAAATGGGTGAGGGATCATTTTGAAGATTCATATGTGAAGAAAAAAAATAAAGCACGTAGAAGGATTTGCCTTACAAGCCATATACTATGTTTTCTGTTATCTAAAGCCATGATCAAGACTTTTGCTTTACCAAACCCCTGTGGCAGTCTGATGAAACCTGCAGAGCTATTTTAAGAATGTTTTTTAAAACATAAAATACACAGGATTAAAGAAAAACCAATTATACTAAAATACATTACTTTCCAAGGTTAAGAGCCCCTAAAATAGAAGGTCAAAGTAGATTACAGTACTTATGGGAATTTCATCTAGGGCAATAGCAGTACTTCAGCTCAGTAGGAAAAGGCAGGCTTATTTCATGTTTTGTGCAGAACAACAAGCTACATGTATGAAGAATGAGATGGCTCCTTATCCTGTGCCATAAACAAGTGAATTCCAAGGGATTCAAGATTTTAAAAGAAAAAATAAAATAAAAATCTCATAAGAGGTTAAGGAAACTATGTCAAATTTAAGAGTTGAGGAGCCCAGAAGCAATAAAACATTTTTTTTAATTGTAAGGAAAATACAGTATAAACAAAATTTAAAAAGGCTTAGGTTTGAAAAAATGCTTATAACATACACATTTAGATTAATATCTGTAGTATACAAACAGCTCATATAATAAAACCACAAAAAACTGAACAGAGAAACTGGCAAAGGATATAAATAATCATTTCAAAAGAGTCGACAAACATGAAAACGACTGCAGAAAATGCAAACTAAGTTACACTCAAAAGTTACACCTGGCCGGGCGCGATGGCTCGTGCCTATAATCCCAGCACTTTGGGAGGCTGAGGGGGGCAGATCACCTGAGGTCAGGAGTTCGAGACTAGCCTGGCCAACATGGTGAAACCCCGTCTCTACTAAAAATATAAAAATTAATCAGGCATGGTGGCACATGCCTATAATCCCAGCTACTTGGGAGGCTGAGGCAGGAGAATCACTTGAACCTGGGATGCAGAGGTTGCAGTAAGCCAAGATCACGCCACTGTACTCCAGCCTGGGCGACAGAGTCAGACTCTGTCTCAAAAAAAAAATATATATATATATATACTATCTGGGAAAGATTCATTTGTATTCCAAACCTCAGCATCACACAATATACCTTTGTAACAAACATGCACATGTACTCCCGAGTCTAAAATAAAAGTTGAAAAAAAATTACACCTTATAAGTATCAAAGTAACTAAAATGTGGTAACACCTCAGGGCTGATGGGGAATGCAGGGAAAGTGATATGTCCATAGTTATTACACTAGTGGAAATGTAGAAGGTTACAGACTTTGGGAAGCTATTGAAAAAATATATCAAAACTTAAAAAATGCATTGTCTGATCTATGGATCCAACACATAGATATCTAACAAAAGGAAATGTGTACAAGGATATTTATCGTGGTACTATCTACAGCAGGAAAAACATAGAAACAAGATAATTGCCCATTACTAGAGGAATAGTTGAATAAATTGTGGTATCTGACACATTTAGAATTTTAATATTGTACCATCACAGAAATGGATCTTAGATGTCCAGAAATTGGTTTGGAGGGATTTTCACAATCTACTGTTAGGAAAGAAAAGCAGCCAGATGCGGTGACTCATGCCTGTAATCCCAGCACTTCAAGAGGCCAAGGCAGGATAGCTTAAGCCCAGGAGCTCGAGACCAGCCTGGGCAACACAGGGAGATCCTGTCTACACAAAAAGATGTTTAAAAAATTACCCAGGCATGGTGGTGCACACCTGTAGTCCAGCTACTTGGGAAGCTGAGGTGAGAAGATCACTTGGGACTGGAAGGTTGAGGCTGCAGTGAGCTGTGATCACACCACTGCACTCCTGCCTGGGCGACAGAGCGAATGCCTGTCTCTAAAAAAATAAAAAAAAGACAAAGAAAAACAACATGCAGAGATGAATATACAGATGGTTCCAATTTATAATACATATTTAAAGAAAACTGTAACTATATATAAATATTTATGTATCTATATGTATTTGCATATGATTATAAACATCGAGAAATGCAGAAAGAGCATATGGCTAGGATGCAACAGATACCTCAGGGAGGAGAGGAACGAGAGGGCATGCTCGGGTGACAGAGGAAATGAAAAGAAACCACATCATATATGTATGAAGTTAACTCATTTACAGTTTTCTATGTATATATCCATAAAGAAATACGTAAAAGTATTCTCACTAAAATGTTAATAGTTATTTAAGAGTAGTGGCTTTTCAAGTGGTTTACTTTTTTTCTTCCTTATGCAAACAATCTATTACTGATGTAACTAACTTGACGTACGAGCACCTCTGTAAATAAGAAAAACACACACATTCTCACACTACTTATATTTGGTTGCAAGAAAAAAGAAAATCCAAGTCAAATTGCCTTCAACAAAAAAGGAATTTATTGGCTCACATAAGTGAAAGCTGAGAAATAGATCTCAATTCAGGTCCAATTTGATCCAGAAGTTCCCAAGGGCTCCAATAGACTCCCTCTCACCCTGGTACTGCCTCAGGCTGGTTCCTTTATATTAGAAAAACGAGCTGCAGCAAGTTCAGAATGTGACTCCTCCCAGCACACTATCTCCAACAAGATGTCTTCAATTGCTCCTGAAAAAGCCTAGGCAAACATCTTTATCTCAGTAGTCTGGTCTGGGTCAGGTGCCTACCCCTGAACCATTGCTACTGGGGAAGTGGGGCACTGCTAAAAGGTAACTGGGTTAATCTAGAAAGCCGAGGGTGTGACAATGCCACCCAAACCACATGCCAATTGTTTGCAGGGGTGGGGGTGGGGGTGGTATGGTGGGAGAAGGAAGTAGGTGCTGGATCGGGCAGCCACAGCACACACAAACAAGAAATTAAAGTCAGTCACAAACATATCCAATAAAATATTAAAAGTACTCAAGCTCACTAGTAATCAAAGAAACACAAAAAAAACTACGTAATTTGTTGCTTCTCCGGTTAAAAAAGAGGAAAAAAAAAAAAAGCAAGAAATAACCTGCATGAGAAACGGTAAAGGGGACAAGACTGAGAACAGGCATGAACACACGACTATTCAAAATATGTGTGTAGGTGTGTGTGTGCTTACATTCATTGAACAGCTTTAACTAAGGGGCACTTAAGCAAACTTTATACCACAATCAGAAACATGACTGATTCCCAAGTATGAAACAATAAGCTAGCAACAAAACAGTAAAATGTAAAGCCCCATCACAGTAGTCCTCCAGCATGATAGATGTTCCCAACTGAGGAGAGAAAAATTAAAAAAAAAAAAAAAGACCTGGGTGATTCTATATTCCTTAGCCCCTAGTCTTGACTTAGCTAGCCTGTCTATGTCTATTTATTCTCGTCTTTCAACAGTTTAGGCAAAACCCAGGGTGAAGTCTATATAGTTGAGTATACACGGCAGGGTCGGAGTCAGAACAATGTCTTCTGAAAGCTGAATAACGTTTTTACCCCTATACTTAACTAGGGAAATACAGGAAAGACAAAATAACTTCCTAAGTATTACTAGTGAAATGTACCCCCAAGAAAGAGAAGCATAATGCTTGAATATGGAGAGGATCTCTGATCTATAATACCTGAAGAATTGTTGAGTTCATTTGAAAAAAATACACAGAAAAAATATGTATTAAGTTGTACTTAAAGACACTATGGTTATTAGGTAAGTCTGTGCCAACTCACAGGCAGAACAAGTACTGGTGTAAGAAGGATTCTTTTATGAGCTATGGTGCTAGCCCCACCCTTAGTAGAGAATCATGTCTCTTGACCATGCAAGCTACGATGAATCAAAATCAAGTCTATTTCCACAACACTCAGCTAGAATGTCAACACCAAGTATGAGTTTATGGATGGCAATCAAATACATGAAATGAAAACATCACCCCAGATTTCAGTTTTGAGCAAATTACTGTTTCCATAATTTCTATTCTCACATAAAAAGTGAAGGTACCATAAGTCCCCTAACTTTGTACCTTTTCTAAGTCAGGATTTTCAGTCCACTCTGAGCAGGTGAAAGAAATAAGACCACCTACTCCACTACCTTAACTTTTATGTCACATGACTTATGAGGTAGGTTTACATCATGGGATTTACTCTATAACCCAAAAGTGTGAAATACTTCTATTACATATAACAAAAGAGTGATAAAGAAATAGTGGAACTGCCTTAACTTGGTTGTGTTACAAAAAGCTGGTAACTAACTACCCATTGTAAAATGAGCGATGGTGAAGAGTATGGGCTCAGAAGTAAAAATGCCATGACTGGAATCCAGCTCAGTGACTGAGTAGCTATGTGATCTTTGGGGGTTACCTAACATACCTACATTGTGTTGTCCTCACCTTTAAAATGGGCATAATAGGAGTACTAATCTCTTAAGGTTGCTGTGAGGTTTAATGAGATAATTCAGCACTTAGAAAGGCATCTGGCACCAAGGAAGCTTTCAATAAATATTAACTATTACTCAGAAATTGAATAGTTTTTTATTTGTTTGGGTCAATCTCAGTACTACTAGAACTCAAAATACTATATTCTAATTGTTCTAATTTGTACCATCTGCAAAAGACCCTTTAAGACTGCTTCAATGATTCTGAAAAGAATTAACAAAACCCTGTTACTAGGTGCCTGACCTTAGATATTACAACTGTTTCATTTACAAAACCTCCACTACAAAACACTAAGCTTGCAACAAAACAACAAAATGAAAGCCACATAATTTGAGTAACACAATAGTACATATTCTTCAGCTGATGAGAGTAATAGGGAAATGTATATACTTCCTACACAAATGCATCTAGGGAAAGCAGGCTATATTTATTCAAGAACTAGAAAAAGGTTACAATATAAATCTATCAAACAAAATTCATTTTTGTTATATTCAAGTAACTCATATATATTCAAATTTAGACCAAATCAAGACAACAATCCAATACACAGATTATTATATAGCTCAAGGAGCAAAAAACAACAGTCTTGTCAATACAGACTCTACATAAATACACAAATCTCAAGTTTTAATATAACATGAACAAATCACAAGTACATGTGTTAGTGTTCTTTCTCCAAATTTCTAGTAGTAAATCTTGTATATTTAGTAAAAGCATATAGAATGTATAAAACCTTCAACCACATGTAATGTAGACTAGGAAGTGTAAATCAAGTAGAATGTGAGGTTTTTATATGTAAAGATGTACATTTCAGAAAGAACCCAACATGAAGTAAATTAACAAACATATTGCAAAGGTGGTCACTCACAAAAATGCTTATCATTTGCAATTGTATACAGAGAACAAACTGCCCAGAAATTAATACTGGAATCTTACTGAGGGGTATTATAGTAACCAACCTTAAAGGACAAATAACTTATTTGGGGGGTTAAAATAGCAGAGATCAGTGTAAATTAAATAACACATGAATGAAAAAAATCTACAATATACAATAGCAAGAGGTGAGAAAACTGAATACTGTGAAAAAGATTTATTAGTCTGTACAAGTTGGTTTTGATGAACTACTGGTTACTTGTTAAGTAAATTGTCAAGATTTTCATTGTGACAGTATTTTCCCTCACACATCAGAATCTGGAAGCAATATGCCTTTTTCAAATTATCACTTAGTGTTTTTTTTCCCCACCCCTCAAAACACAGAAATAGGTTTTTGAATATCAACTAGCCATTATGGAAGCCGTAAGATACAGATATTCATCAACATTACACAAGCTACAGTTAAGGTACCTGGACAAACACTACCAACATTTATGAAAAAAGATGTTGGTTTTAAAAGTGTATGAGGAGTTACAATAAACACACTATTCATGTCCTCCTGAAACCAAAATGGGGGAAAACCTTATTGTCATTCTGCCAAACACCACATAACTAAAAATGCTGCACAGTCATGAATCCAATGTACATATCACAGGATTAAAACTCCAGTTAAGCAACTGAGCTAATCATTGAAGTAAATTAAAAATACCAAGCTTCTTTAACCTATCAATGCTGTTTTAGAAGCATCATCCGAACAAATAGAGATTTAGTTATAAATTGGCCTGGGCTACATTCTGTGATGAGAATTTTGCTTAGTACTAAAAAAGAATCTCAAACATCCCAGAAAAGCTGTGGAATCATGCTCTTTATTATTCCTGAAAGAAAATTTGCCACGTTTGATGATACCTCTATTCTTCCCCGTGGTGCTAGGAGTTCTAAATACCAAGTAATTCAGAAAATGATAGGAGTATTTAAGCAAAAAGAATAGCAAAAGCAGACTTTGTATCAACATATCCTAGATAGATGGATTTTTTTAAAAATTACATGATAAATGTAAATCATAAAATTGAATGTACTTATAAAGGTACACCTATTTTGTGCTACATAAAAAAACTGTAGACTGCAAACTGTGCATGCTTACCATAACATTTTACCCGGGGTCGATGAGTGGGATTTCTTGCAAATATTTACTGCTATGATATAAAACAATTATGTGCAAACTGCAAGGTCCCTAAAATAGCAGTTAAAGAGTTTATATACAGAAAGATGTCACTATCTGATCAAATATGCAAGAGATGGAATTTCCCAGAGTTTATAACACAGAGCAATAACCACCACAGGCTCCTCCTCCTTGGCCTTCTTCCCTGTGTGACAGTTTGACTCCTTTATTCTGGTTCTCACTTTCCCACAGTCCAGGGGTCTGAATGATCTTTTCAACAAGTTCTTCAAAGGCACATTGTACACCATCACAGGTTTTTGCACTTGCCTCTGAAATTCAAGGAAAAAGGTCATTCATAGTATATTCCTTTCTGGCCATATTCTCATGTTTTTCTGGGAAACTATCAGGGCATAAATATCAGCCTACAATATATTAAGATCCAAATCAGCAATTTTTCCCCAAAGGTCAATAACTAGTGAATTTCCAAATCTCAAAATTGAGCTAATTAAATTCTATCCATAAGAATACTAGTATATAATTTTATACCAAAAAAACACTGGTTTATAATCTTAAAACTGTGATAGAATTGTAACTTGTAAAGCCCTACTTAAATAGCGAGCGAAAGTTTTTTCCTTAAGCTTTCAGTTAACTCTTACAACTTGCTCCCAAGGCAGATATTATTCCTATTTTAAAATAAAGAAATTCATACAAGTTAAACAATTAATCTGATTATTCTGTGCCTTCAACCAAGCAGCTCCAGGCAGCTGGACAAAATGACAAACCACCATGAAAACTGGTCCCACAGCAAATGTTTGCTCATGAAACTCAACTGGACACTCAGCACTGCTTCCAACCCTGCGTTTCCTTAGTGATGATCTTTCTCACCGTCTGAGATGAGTACTTTATTCCTTCCTCTCAAAACTCTATCGCAGCTAATAATCTAGCTGCATTATGCTGAGAAAATCAGAAGCAATCTGGCAAGAACTGCCTGATCATCCCACTAATAAATTTACCAAGCTACCTGCATATGTATCCTCATGCTCTGCTTTCCCTCCTGTGAGAATGGATAAACTGTCCCTGCTGCTATCCAAGCCATCGCCTTCTTTTGTTCCTGGAGTCCCATCCCTTCTCATTCACCGAAGGACCAAACGCTCTCTCTACTGGATCATACCAATCAGCCTAAAAGTCTGCCGAATTATTTTCCATCCTATTAAAAAACAAACTTGCTCTCTAGGCCACATGCCCTTCTTGTAGCCACCCATTTCTCCACTCTCTTTGAAACCTCTTCTAAAGAGTTATCCACATAAGCTGTTTCTACCTTCTTATCTCACGTTCTTTCTTCAAACTACTCTAATTAGGCTTTCATTCCCACCACTCCACTGAAATCATTCTTTTCCAAGACCACCAACACCCTTTATCTTGTCAAATCCAATATCCTAATTTTATTTGACATCTTTGGTATCTGATACTGCTAATCACTTCCTCTTCTTTTAAACAAGTTGTTCCCTTGACTTCCAGGACACTGAACATGCCTGAAAATCCTCTGAGCCCACTGACATGTCATGTGCAGCCTTGTTTGCTGGCACTTCCTCTTTCTGCTGACCTCTAATTGCTGGAATCCCCCAGGGTTCAATCTTCTGCCATTTTCTTTGTTTTGTTTTGTTTTTGAGACAGGGTCTCACTCTGTCACCTAGGCTGGAGTGCAGTGGGAGCTCCACTGCAGCCCTGGCCTCCCAGGCTCAAGTGATCCTCCCACCTCAGCCTCCAGAACAGCTGGAATCACAGGCACATGCCACTATACACAGCTGATTTTATTTGGAGATGAGGTCTCACTATGTTGCCCAGGCTTCTTCAGCCCTTTTCTATCCACGTTCTTTCCTGAAGTCACCACTCTAATCACATGACCTTGAATGCCACCTAAATGCCAATGACCACCATGTCCACCGGTTATCGGAAAAATGTCTCATTCTTATGTCAAAGTGAAATTCTTGATTCCTCACTTCCCTACCCTAAACCTGCTCTTATCTCAATCTTTCACATCCTAATTATTGGCAGCACAATCTACCTCACTGCTCATGCCTAAAACATGGAGTTATCTCTGATTGCTCTCTTTTTTTTTTTTTGAGACAGAGTCTCGCTCTGTCGCCCAGGCTGGAGTGCAGTGGCGTGATCTCGCTCACTGCAAGCTCCGCCTCCCAGGTTCAAGCAATTCTCCTGCCTCAGCCTCCCAAGTAGCTGGGACTACAGGCACCCGCCACCACGCCCGGTGAATTTTTTGTATTTTTAGTAGAGACGGGGTTTCACCGTGTTAGCCATGGTCTCGATCTCCTGACCTCGTAATCCGCCTGCCTCGGCCTCCCAAAGTGCTGAGATTACAGGCGTGAGCCACTGCACCCGCCTGATTGCTCTTTTTAATTATCCTCCATACCCAATCCACCCACAAATCCTGTCAGCTATACCTTCACTGTATCTCCTAGAACTGCCAATTTTCTACCACCCTCTACGGCTACACAGTCAAACCGCTTCTTCCTTCATCTGGGCCACTGCAAGAGAAGAACTAGTCTCTTGCTTCTGTTTCCCCTAGTCCATTTTCTACACAACAGGATCTTTTTAGAGTATCAGGTCACACCGCTGCTTCCCTACTTTCCACCACAATTGGAATACAATCCATCTCTTTACCATTTGAATGGCATCTCTCACCATCTGCCTTCTCCTTAACACACTCTATGCTCCAGTACACACGCTTTCTTCCTGTTCCTTTAACACAGTAGCCTGATTCCCACCTCAGGAAATATTTGCTCCTCTCTCAGCCTGAGATGATCTCCCTCTAGACTAGGGGTGTCCAGTGTTTTGGTTTCCCTGGGCCACATTAGAAGAAGAAGAATAGTCTTGGGCCACAAATAACATACAATAACACTAATGATAGCTGGAACTTAAAAAAAAGCACAAAATCTCATAATGTTTTAAGGAAGTTTACAAATTTGTGTTGGGCCACATTCAAAGCCATCCTGGGCCACATGCAGCCCATGAGTTGGACAAGCTTGCTCTAGATCCTCACCTGAGGGATTTCTGCTCAAATGGGACAGCCTCTAAGAACTTTCCCTAAGCAGTCCCCACTCCAGTCATTCTCTCTCCCCTTATAATGTTTTATTTCCTTCATAGCACTACTTACTTATTTAAGTCTGTCTCCCTTACTAGAATGTAAGCTCCATGTGGGCAGAAAGTTTGTCAGTTTTGTCCACTGTTACATCTTGAGTGTTCAATAAATATTGGGTAAACTAATGTATGGAAATGAGGGACATACAGCAAGTAAAAGTACTCGATTCCTTTCTGAAAATCTCAATACTTTCCACTAATTCCATTCTGTTTTTATCTATATATGAAGTCCTCTCAACTTCATTTGCAGATTCCTGGTAGCTTCTAACGCCATGGAATGGTTAAATCCGTAATTCCTAAAGCTGGCTTCACATCAGAATCAACTAGAGTGCTTTCAATAAACTGCCTTTCAAACCTGTAATAAGGCACAGGGCCCAGGTGATTCTGACATAGCTCATCCAATTTTCTAGATGAGGGGTTGGCAAACTCTTTCTGTAAAGGGCCAGATAGAAAATATTTAGGCTTCGTGGGCCGTATGGCCTCTGTTGTAACTACTAAACTCTGCCATATGGCACAAAAGCAGCTACAGACAACATGTAAACACATGGACATGGCTGTGTACCAATACAAATGGTGGGGCCAGATTTGGACCAGGCTGTAGTTTGGCAACTCTTGCTGGACCATGTTTCTCAAAAATTAATGTGCATACAAACCATATGAAGAGCTTGTTAAAATGCAGATTCTAATTCAGAAAATCTGGGGTAGGGCCTGAGCTGAAGCACTGCTAACAAGCTCCCAGGTGGTGCTGATGGTATCAGCATATGGACCAGCAAGGCATAACTTTAGCACTGGGTGCCAAACTTTACTGAATGCCACTATATCCTGTGAGGAATGATTTGACTGTTTTTTAATATGATTTCACATAATATGATCATACATTTTACAGGAAGAAGAATAAAGAACCTTGTTATATAGTTAGATTTTGTAACACAAGGCAACTAGGAACAATACTCTAAACACATTTTATGGTTCATAAAGAAATAAACTTGGCAAAAACTCCATTCAAAAATTCCTCATTAATAATGAAAGGACAGATATTCATTCACACACCTACCTATAAATAACATGGAATGCTTTCGTGCAAATTTCAGGCCTTCATTTCTATCGACTTCACGATTTTCCTAAAATATAAATGCAATGATTAAGAAAGGCTACCAAAATATAGAACCAAAATGCCAAGTGTCTGCCTTCTTACCTTATCGATTTTATTTCCAACTAGCATGTTTACTATGTCATTTCTTGTACAGTATGTTTCCAATTCATTTAACCAATTATCCAGTTTAACAAATGTATCTCTTCTTGTGACATCATAAACTGAAATAAAAGGAGTCATTTGTTAAATAAGCATTAAAGAAAGAAGCAATGGCGTATTTCTGATATGTAGCTAGGAGTTAGCATTACTAAGCAATATAGACAAGTCTTTTTTTTATTGTCTTCAACGATTAATATTGAGTGTCTACTGATCCAAATGGAAGAAACAAGTGTTTTTTTTTTAAAGCATACACATTTCAATCCTATTAACATATACTGTCACAGAAATGAAATTATATCCTGTGTAATAAGTGAAAACACATTTAATACCCATTAAAGCAAAACAACAGCTATTCCCATTCATAATGATGAATGAGGTCTATCCAAAAACCAGAGTGTTTAGATTCAAATCTGTGGCAAAATATTAAAAAAAAAATACATGAATGTAAACATCTATGACCCCATTAATTTGTTTATTACAAGAACCAAAATTTACAGCTTTGAAAAAATTGTAGTACAGTTAGTAGATGGGTTCCTGGTGGTCTTCCTGTTATCACTTTCATCTTATGTCATTCTGCATTATAACAAAAACCTTATTAAAGTGTTTTATAAACTCAAGAGATGCTGAACCAAAAGGCTGTCACTACCAAGCCATAATATTTAAAAAAAGAGAATTCTACCTATTAATACAATTGATCAATATTCATTTTAAACAGTTTCCCAGGAATATCAAGAACAAGCACTTTTCAACAAATTACACTGAGAATCCACATCTGGTTTCTAAATTTTGTTTGATTATAAATCAATAGTGTTAAGTGCTTTGTGATATTTTTAGGACTAATAAAGCAGATTCTACTAATCAACAAATACTTTTCGTCCTTTATAAACTACAGCAAATATTAATATGCTGATAACAGAAGCCCAGTTTCTGTAATACTCCAAGACAGTCCAACATATGCTGATTAATCCTCAATTACGTTCTCATTGACATGTGTTTTCAAACCAAATAAATTAGCCTTGTCTATTTTTTAAGTGCTAGACAAGACTAAAATCAAAAGTTTTAATATTCATTAATATTACATGAAGTTAATACAACTACAAGTTACATAAAAGTAGCTCTAACGAGAAGTAAAACAAAGACATATTAACTTTCACAGACTAGGACAATCAGAAACTCCAATAAATATTTTTAAATAGTACATTAAAGTAAACACTTACCTAATATAACACCCTGTGCACCTCTATAATAGCTGGGAGTTAATGTTCTAAACCTCTCTTGACCAGCAGTATCCTAAAAATGATCATTATTATTAAATTAAACAAAGTATAAATAGACCTTCAATATACTAGTTTAAGAGTAGAAAGTCAAACAGCATTACTAAAAATAGTATTAATGCATGAGCTCATTAAAAAACTGGAACTTAAATAAGATGTGTTCGCTTACTGACAAGTGTCACAAAATAAAATTATTTATAAATACTGATCTCTAGAAAAATGAAACTATGTAAAGGTTTTCTGCTGTTTTGAATTTAAGACTTTTATCATACATGAAATGAAACCCATGGTTCTAAACTCCAGCTGCACAATGAAATTTTCTGGGAATCTTGAGTCTAGCTTCCAAAAAATTTCTGCTTAATTGGTCTAAGGTAATGACAGGAATTTTTTTTTTTTTAAATCTTACCAGGTGCTTTTAATGTAGAATCAAGGCTGAGAACCACTGATTTGAAGAAAATTATGGGATGTCTTACTTTAGGTAACAGATTTTTAGGTTGGGCTCTTTTAAGTGTTTTCTATGTATCTCCTTTTGAGAAAATGCATATAACCAAGCCATTCTTTATTACATGTTATTTCTGACTCATGTTAGGGTTAGTGAACAATGTACACTAGGTAGAAAATGTAAATTTCATAAAGCAGGGACTCATCTGTTTAATCACCAGTTTAACCATTGTGCTGAGACCAATTCTTGAAAAAAGGCAGTTGCTCAGAATTTGTTGAGAAAAAAAAAAAAGAATGAACCTATTTAACAAGCCTTTACTTCCGGGCCCAATTCCTTCTCTCTCTTGTCTTTCTACCATCCTTGGACTATGGATTCAAGGTACCTAAGATTATACAAAGCAGCTCAGCCCACCACCTGTTTTATTAAATAAAGTTTTATTGAAACACAGCAGGCCTATTTGCTTACGTATTGCCACATGGCCCACTTCAGGATTGGACTATTTCCTATCTGGCTCTTTAAGAAAAAGTTTGCAGTCTGCTGATGCAAAGTAACCTAAAGAAAAGTAAAAGTAAAAACATGTATCAAACCTCAACTTAGCTACCAGTCCCACTGCTGTAAATGAGGGTTTGTTATGGGACAAGCAGAAGCTCCCCCAGATATAAAAATGTTAGAATAACCTGTAAGAGGTTTATAAGATTGGAGAAGAATTCAAACCAGGGGCGTGAGGGGCTTCAGCAAGACAGTAGGGAGGATCTGCAGTCATTTATAACCCCAGAAGAGAAACTTAAGAGGAAAGTAACGTTTCAATGTAAACCACTTTGAACATTCACCACTCTTCCACAGATACACTTACATAAATTTGAAAGCCTTTCCTTCCAGATCCTTACCACCACAGAAACTAATCCCCACCCTGCCATGCTTAAGTGAAGAATTAACAGATTTAAAGTAAATGTTCTGAACAGATAAATTTATAAAATAAATAATTTTTCTCTTTACAAAAATTCTCTCTGCCTCTAAGTTTCTTACAAAACCTGCCTTGGATTTTAAAATTATTCAATTTGCATATTTACTCACCTTTTCAAGAACAATAATATAAATTAAAAGCTGTTTAAAGCAAAGTGAACTTGCTATATAAAGCAGATTATAACTTTGATAACATGAGACAAGTCAATATTGTAGTCCATTAATCATTAATGAAACGGTATATGGATGCCCAGTGATCTTTTTTGATCACTATGCTCAAGTAATCAAAACCCAAATTTGCAGGGAAAAAAAAAGTAATCAACTAGAAGCCAAAAGATGTAACTACTATGCATATCATAGTAAAATGATTACTATGTGTATCAGTAAAAGTGTCACCACTTTTAGGAAGCAATTGGTAATATATATAATAAGAAACTAGAAATGCTCTTCATAGCCTTGTACTAGTACCTATTTCAGACAATCTGATTCATACTCAATAAAAAATGTATATTTTTAAATGACAAATCATTATGAGAACGTATCCTAGCTATCTGCTTACATGCAAAAAATGACAAATTAGTAATATTCAAATTATTCAGTATCCAGATACATTATAACTTTGAGAACTGCACCATGTTAAGCATTTAACTTTTAGTAGTACAGACTATCTGTTTTAGAGAGAAAGAAAAAAAAAAAAGAAGGAAAAGCCATTACTGAAAAGACAAGCCTTGGATTTGGAACAGTGAATTACTGAATTTGGAAATTTAAGAAGCAGCTATTTTTCTATACAGTGAATTAGTGAATTTGGAAATTTAAGAAGCAGCTATTTTTCCATACATGGAACACTGTTCTATATTCATAACAAATAGTTTGAGGCAAGGACCAAGTATGAAATATTTTAGCCCCAAGACTTTTTGATAACAGGAAGAAAGTTTATTCTATTTGCATAAGGAAACTGTATCCATAACTTCCAGAGCTGGCAGAAAAACAAGTGAACATGAACTTTGTTCTCTCTGGTCTTCATTGAGATCAACTTCAAAAACTGCCTTAATGAAACACAACATAAAAATCAGAACTGCAATTCCAGTTAAAATATCCATAAATCCTGATGTTTTAAAAGTAAAAACCATAGCAAGAAAGTTTTAATGTTGAAATATTACACTTGACTTTGAAACTTTGCTTGTGAATATTTATTAATAATTAGGCCAGATGTTTAGAGGCTTGCCATTTTTGGATTCACTTACAAAAGTGTTTAAATAGGTGTTATAATTTAGGGGGTGGAGGGAACCATGTGCAATAGCATCGCATCAGGATTTATAGTAACTATAAAGTGTATATGCTTAAATAGAAGTTAGATTGTTGCTTGTGTTTGTTTTCAAAACAGGAATATGTGGTAGGTATAATAACATCTTTGTAAGATAAATGAAGCACAGCTTTTTGTCTCTATCCTGTAGTTTTATTTTCTGATGGGGGAAGGAGAGAAGAAATTACTGAAAGATATATAGATAAACTCAGGGCTAGGAAAGATCTAGAAAGGCTTAATAATAGATGTAGGGAGTGAAAGTGAAGCAAGGACATAGGAAAAGGCAGTAGAAGAAAACAAGGTCATGATGAGTATGCACTTTCAGGAGGTAGGAGGGGCAGGGCTATGCTTAATTATTCTATTTCATCCTAGAAGAAGCTTCCAAGTAGGAGAGAAACTCATTTTATAAATAAAACTATAGAAGAATTAGGCAACTATGGATTCATATATTTCTAATACAGAGGAAACGCCTTCCTAAATACGTTACACCCAAATGCCATGATGAAAATAGCTGATCCAACCATATAAATATTAAAACCTTGAAATGACAAGAACACCCTTTACCTCCTCTTCACCTCCCCATCCCCATATTCATCCTTAACAATATTGGAAGGTAAATGACAAACTGGAAAAAAAAATCTGTAGCATATGGCAGTATTACACACACACACAAGAACACAAACATATATTCAACTGATACATGATTTTAAAGGCAAATGATAGCTTAGAAAATTGTACCACATGACAAAGAGCTAATAATTTTATTATATAAAGACTTTAATGAAGAAAAAGATGAATGCTAACGTATAAAATGGGTAAAATATGTAAAAAGAAAACTTATTTTTTAAAATGATCAATAAACAGGCAAAAATCTCTTATCAAAAGAAATGCAAATATAAGTAAAACAGCAACACTCAGAGGCAAAAACAGAAAGAATGATAACAGTAGAGATAAGGATGTGGCAGAATGAATATGAATACAATTGGTGGGAGTATAAACTGAAAAAAAAGGCTTTTTGGTGTACATTAATGTGAAGACTTCATATTCATTTCTACTTCCAGCTACACATTCTAAAGTAACTGGACAAGTACACACAGACGTATAAATCAGGATGCTCAAAGAGCTGTAATCTTTGTGAAAAGCTGGCAAAAATGTAAGTATCTCTCACTGAAGGCTGACTAAAGTACAGCTATGAAACGGAATACTAGCTGGCCATCTAAACGGATACAGCACATACTATGAGTGGGGGTGAGGTGGTAGGAAAGGAGGACAAACAGGTTTAAAAATGTAAGATATAATATAATCCCTTTGTTTTGGAAAACTCACATACTGGTATGTATAGTGGTATGTATACATATCCCTTGATATTTTAAAGAATGCTCACTAAAATGTATTCAGTGGTATACTTTTATAGATGTTCTTCTCTGCTCTTCTTATTGTCTCAATTATCCCTTTTAGAATGACCCTGTATTATTCTTACAGCCAGGGGGAAAACCTCTCTTCTTTAAAAAATGTTTATAGGCCTATGGTAAAAATGTCTCTTCAATAATACCTGCCAGCCTTTTTATTAGGCAGGAACTAGAAAATAAATTTAAAACAAAACGAAACTATGAGAGAAAAATCTCACTGCAACCAGCAAGTCTCAGATACTACTCTAATCTACGGATTTCACAAAGCAGCAGCAAGGCCGGAAAGGGATAATAAATTAACCATGAAAAGCATATGGAAATCAGGCCCCCACTTTAGTATGGAAAAAGCCAACATTCTTATATCGTTCAACACATTTTACCATACTCTAGTCCAACATTTTCCAAATTGTTTTCTGTTAGACATTACCGTTCTGATTGATATTAAACATATTTGGGGGAAAGGGGCAAACAGGTTAACAAATTTAAAGTATTGTATGTTAGGAAAAACTGACATAAAAACATTAAACACACTTACACAATTATTTGTTATTTGGGGATAAATGTGTATTAGAAACAGTGTGCCATTCAGAGAATGCCAAGAAATATGACATCATACAATGCATGAACACTTGCTGTTTTCAATCTGTGACTGATGTACAAACAGCATTTACCATTTAACCACCATGTGGAAATAAGTCTCGATTTGATGACTGATCAGTTCTAATATGATTTCTTATATTACAAACATATATGTATAATTATCACAGTCTATGTGAAAAATAGATATATAAAACAGTATATATTTAGAATATACATATATATATATAACCGATCATATTTAGATAGACAGATATAGATAGATCGGTATGTGGGTGGGTAAATAGACTGATGAAAGGGAGACACAGAGAGAGACAAACATAGACACTAAGCATCTTGGATATTTTTGACAGTTAATGCTACCTTATTTGACACTAGCATGAGCGGTCTAGCTAGTACAGTAACGGGGATCAGAATGGTTGGATTGACAGGAAAACGAAAAGAAGCCAGTAAGGAAAAACGAGGCATTAAAAATAAGCCCAAAGTTTGAAACCTCAAATTTTATAAATATCTATACTAACAAACAAGAAAAATAAAATTTTTTCCTAAATATCACGTCATTCCTCCTCCCCTTAAAAATTGTCTTTAGTGTTAGTTCAGTCTAGATGGTCTTTTTAAAACTTCAAAGAAACATATCCAATTATGATTCTCTTTGGCAGATGAGATGATTTTTTAATATTCTGTTCTGTTTTGAAATATTCATAAAGAATTATGCATTGTGAAAATTTAAACAAAACATAGCTGCCTAATTACCCAATTATAAGACATTACTGTTTATCCTTTAATCAGTATCAAATCTCCCAAAAGTTATTTAATACAAATTGTTCATTCACCACCTCTAGAACACTACACAAATCAATTTCTGCATCCTTAAAAAGTAAAGTTTAATATTTTAAAAATACATTTTAAAAACTCTTACCCATATTGCAAGTTTAGCCTTATTTCCATCCACTGAAATTGTTTTCACCTTAAAGTCAACACCTTAAAGAAATGAAAATTTTGATAAGTCTCCCAGTAAAACAGACTTTTAAAATCCATTACCAAGAAAACCAGAAAACAGAAAAGTCACTATTATCAAATGCCCAATTCACACCCCAACTTCTTAGAATTCTGGATGTGGAGATAAAAAGTGTCATTAAAATCCAGGATCTTAGGATTTAATCAGGATAAATGAAAATCAAATGCTTGTAGAATTCACTCACTCACCTACCTTCTATTCTTCCAAAAAGGAAAAACGAAATTCAATTTAAGGTGATAACTCACTATGCGTGTTAAAAGTCAAGAGCTGCAATTACAATGCTCACATAAAGAAGACTATCCATGGCTGACTGTGGGTCATGGCAGCTTCCAGGGGCTCCCTAAGCATCCACATGCTACTGTTAAGAGTGCTGTCCACTGCCAGCCAACCACTAACTCAGATCTTGACTGTAAGCAGCTTGGGGAACCGGTAAAAATATTAAAGGGCCACTCACTCCTTGTCATATAATCTCTTTATTTTTATCCTAAAAAAATACTATTTTTATGTAATAACCTAATCAATAACTTGCTACAGCACAATTTCAATAAAACAATTTATACATGAAAACATTTATATACAACCATCTAAGAATCTTCATAAGTGAAAGAGGAGTGCCCAAAGTTCTATGAAAAGCTTCTATAAGTACTAATTTATGTAAAGAAAAGAGTTTCATAAGAAGTCCACAAGGCTTTATTACAGCAGCCAAAAAAGAAACCTCTCCCTTTCCAGGAAAAGGAGTTGACACATGCCATCTGGCTTAAATGAACAGCAACTGCCCACATGTCTTTCAAGAGTTCAGTCTACCCCACTGGCCAGAGGGAAAACATTAGCTCAAGAAGCTTGGAAAGAAACTTTCAAAATATCTTATTAGCTTGTCACAATTAATTCAGAACAGCCCCAACTAAGATGAACAGCACCCTCACATACTAAATGCTTAATAGAACACCTGTCACCAATATGGAAATATATTTGTAATTCTTGGAAGACTTGTGGTGATCCATTACATATACAAATTCAGTAATAAAAATGCACATTCAAAATGTGCATTATGCCAGGTCTTTCTGTATACCAAATATATATATTTTTAAGTTTGGTGTTTTGAGCTGGGGTGATAAAGGAGTTGATAAAGCCTAGAATGATGGGCAACCATTAGTAAAAGGACAGTGTTGATTACATAGCCCAACAAAAACCTAAATATAAAATTTCTTCACAGCCAAACAAACAAAAAATCCCACATGCTAAATAATCTTGTATTAACCAGGTCTAAATAAAGAAGTTACTATGCCATTTTAAAAGTGGAACCATCTACATAAACAACATGAAATTATCTACATTTTCTTCCTATTGCTTTAAAAAAAAAAAAGCAAAGCACAAACCCTGAGAAAATTCAGAGGAGGAAAATGGTTCTGACTTGGTGCAGGTACTAAATGACAGCCACTGGCAGACACTACACAGAGATAGCCTCTGTCATGCACACTCTACAGTTAAATTCTCAAGGTTTTTCAGGGAGTATATAAAGAACTAATTTTTTTCCTTAATAATCCCAGATACATGTTCAAGAGCAGACAAGCATCTTTCCTATGAGCTAATTTGTTTACCCAAGAAAAGAAACCCACCGCTTCCAGAATGTATGTGTTTTCTTCCCATACCCCAACTCCTCTTTCTCTATTATTATTTCCTGGTTCTGCAAGTTTGTTGTGAACAGTCTAATGACTGTCTCTGACATAAGAATAATTTGCATGTGGATAACTAACAATGTCTCTAAGTTATGCTTTTGACATATTATATCTGAAACTTACCAATACCCATCCACAGGAGACACTGAACACTGTCGTCCTGCCATCAAAGCCAACAGACACAGGTAGCCTGAAGGGGCACCTAATCTAAATCCAGACCCCTAAAGTCCCCAGTCATCTTCCCTAGGTTCCTCTGGTGAATCTCACATGCAGCAATTGAGCTCTTCAGATCTCACATGCTAAAACTGCTTCTTCATCATGCTTCTCTTTTGTTAAGTGGCTGATAATTTATCTTAATTGGTAGCAGCAGTGGGAGTCTTTTTGAGAGATTTGATTTTGCCAGTTTCTTACCCAATTTGATTAAACTGTGTCTTCAATCTCTTCATGTGGATAACATGGAGCTCACAACAGAAACAGAAGAACTGTCATCTCAGCTTTTCCTTGTTCATTTGTGTTTGCATTTTTAATATGATCTTTAATTCAGTTTCTTTGCAAGAATCTTTTTTTAGGCACACTGGTAAATTTTCATGTTGCACTTACTGCTTATTTCAAAGGCTCCATTAACTATATTATCTAGTTTTAACTAAAATAACCTTCATGAAAAAGGCCAAAGAAAATATGAACTCAACAGTAGATATATGTGAATGGGAGACCAGAAGATATTAATGGAAGCAGAAGCACACATCTTGTTGAAGAGGAGAAAAATCAATCAATAGAAACTGACTCAGAACTGACACAGATGTTACAACTGTACACCACATGTTCAAAAAGTAGACATGAGTGACATAAAAAAGGATCAAACAGAACTTTCTAAAGATGAAAATGGGCTGGGCACAGTGGCTCACGCCTGTAATTCCAACACTTTGAGAGGCTAAGGTGGGAGGATCGCTTGAGGCCAGGAGTTTAAGACCAGCCCCAGCAAAACAGCGAGACTTCGTCTTGACAAAAATAAATTTTTATTTTTATTTTTTTTTTGAGACGGAGTCTTGCTCTGTTGGCCAGGCTGGAGTGCAGTGGCAGTGATCTTGGCTCACTGCAAGCTCTGCTTCCCAGGTTCATGCCATTCTGCTGCCTCAGCCTCCCAAGCTGCTGGGACTACAGGCGCCTGCCACCACGCCCGGCTAATTTTTTGTATTTTTAGTAAAGACGAGGTTTCACCGTGTTAGCCAGTATGGTCTCAATCTCCTGACCTCGTGATCCGCCCGCCTCGGCCTCCCAAAGTGCTGCGATTATAGGCGTGAGCCACCGCACCCAGCCAAAAATAAACTTTTAAAATTAGCCAGGCATGGTGGCTTGCGCCTGTAGTCCCAGCTTCTCAGGAGGCTGAGGTACAAGGATGGATCGAGCCTGAAAGGTCGAGGCTGAAATGTGCCGTGGTTGTGCTACTGCAGCCCAGCCTGGATAACAGAGCAAGACCCTGTCTCAAAAAAAAAAAAAAAAAAAGGTAAAAATGGCAATGTCTGAGATGAAAAATACACTGGATGGGATTAACAGCAAATTAGGCGCTGCAGAAGAAAACATCAGTGAATGTGATGACACAGCAACAGAAACTACCCAAAAGGAAGCAGAAAGAAAAGGTTCAAAGAAAATGAGAGACCATCAATCATCTGTGGGACAACTTCAAGCAGCCTATTATGCAAACAATGGAGTTGAGGAAAAAGAAGAGAGAAGGGGGGAAAATATATCTGAGAAATAATGGCTGAAAAATTTCAAATTTGATGAAAAATATAAATCCACAGATCAAAAAAGCTCAATAAGCCCCTAGCAAAAAAAAAAAAAAAAAAAAAAAGAAGAAGAAAAACTCGGAGACATCATAATGAAATTGTTCTAAGTATTTTAAATTAAATATTTTAAACAAAAAGAAAAACAACATCAAAATTTGTATGATGCCACTTAAGCAATACTTAATAGGAACATTTATAGCACTAAACACCCATATTAGAAAAGACAAGTGATCTAAAATCAATGACCTAGGCTTCTAAACTAAGACAATAGAAAAAGCAGCAAATTAAATCCGAAGAAGTAGAAGAAAGAAAATAAAGTTCAAACCAGAAATTAAAAACAGAAAAACAACAACAAAAATCAATGAATCCAAAAGTTGCTTCTAAAAGAAAACCAATAAAACTGATAAACTTCTAGTCAAATTGATCAGGAAAAAGAAGACAAAAAAAATCATTACAAAGGATGAAAAAAATCACACCATTTATAGATTGTACAGAAGTTAAAGGAATGACAGAATGTTATGAACAAGTTTATGCCAATAAATTTGACAATTCAGATAAAAATGGACAATTTCCTTGAAAGATTAAAAGCTACCAGAATTTACTGAAATAGATCACAAAGAAAATATATATAGAATATAGATAAAAAAGGAAATGTGAAGAGAGTCAAAGCATATTATTATGAAAAATCCCTAAACAGATAAGAAGGCAGTAATGGTAAGAATTCAGGAACAAAAACTCTTTAAGGAAATAAATAGCAAAATGGCAGAAGTCCTTCCTTATTGGTATATTAAATGCAAATAGAATAAACTCTCCTATCAAAAGATTGGCAGAATACTTTTTAAAAATTCAACTACATGCTTTCTATCAGAGATTCACTTTTGGTCTAGAAACAAATATAGGTTGAGAGTGAAAGGACAGGAAAAGATATTCCATACAAATAGTAACCAAAAGATAGCAAAGGTAATTATTCTAAAATCAGACAAAATAGACTTTAAGTCAAAAACTGTTAGGAGACTAAAACAAAATATTTTGATAAAAAGGCCAATTCTCAAGAAGATACAACAATTATAAACATATACACCACAGAACAGAAGTCCAATATATACAAAGCAAACACTTGATAGAATTAAATGGAAAAATAGTGTTACAACCATCAGAGATTCTATTTATTTATTTATTTATTTTCCTAAACACAAGCCCTCCACTGAAAATACTGATTATTTTTATTGCCTGACTGAATTCCAAAACGTCTTTTTTTTCCCCACAAATTACATTTTATTTAGATTTTTACAATTACAGTTTCATTACAAAGGATACAATATCAGGACCAACCAAAAAGAGAAACACATAAGGATGAGGTCTGGGAGGGTCCCAAACACGGAGCTTCCATGCGTCTCCCCTTCCTCTCCCTGCAGAACCAGAGCACATCACCCTCTTGTTTTTTTTTTAAATCCTCCCATATACTTTATCCTATTTTTTTTTTATTTCAATAGGTTTTTAGGAAGAGGTGGTATGTGGTTACATGGATAAGTTCTTTAGGGTAATTTCCGAGATTTTGGTGCACCCATCAACCGGGCAGTGTGCACTGTACCCAATGTGTAGTTTTTTAAATCCCTCATCCCTCTCCCACCCTTCCCCGAGTCCCCAAGTTCCACTGTATCATTCTTATGCCTTTGTGTCTTCATAGCTTAGCTATCACTTATAAATGAGAACATACAATGTTTGGTTTTCCATTCCTGAGTTACTTCACTTAGAATAATGATCTCCAGTTCCAGCCAGTTTGCTGCAAATGTCATTATTTTGTTCCTTTTTATGGCTGAGTGGTATTCCATGGTATGCATATGCCACATTTTATCTACTCATTGATTGATGGGCATTTGGGCTGGTTCCATATTTTTGCAATTGTGAATTGTGCTGCTATAAACATGCATGTGAAAGTGTCTTTTTCACAGGATAAACAGTCGGAGATTTTAATACACCACTTCCAATTATGAATAGTGTACTGAGATATATTATCAACAGAAAACAAAGGGTTTGAAGGCCAATTAGAGCCAACAGAATACTCCGTATAACAACAAATTTTTTTCAAGTATACATGAAACATTCTCCAGGATAGGCCATATGTTGGCTACAAAACAAGTCTTAATACATATTAAAAAACCGAAATCATGCAAACCATTTTTCTGATTACAATGGAATAAACCTAGAAATTAATAACAGAAGGAATACTGGCAAATTCACAAATACGTGAAAATGAAACAATACCCTTTTAAACAACCAATAAAATCACAGAAAAAAAATTAGAGAATGCCTTGAGACAAATAAAAATACAATATATTAAAATTTAGGGAATGCCGTGAAAGAAATGTTAAGAGAAAAAAAAATTTTCTTTTTTTTTTTTTTTTTTTTTTTTTGAGATGGAGTCTTGCTCTGTCACCCAGGCTGGAGTGCAGTGGTGCGATACCGGCTCACTGCAACTTCTGCCTCCTGGGTTCAAGTGGTTTACTCATCCCAGCCTCCCTAGTAGCTGGGATTACAGGTGCCCGCCACTATGCCTGGCTAATTTTTGTATTTTTAGTAGAGACGGGGTTTCACCATGTTGGCCAGACAGATCTCGACCTCCTGACCTCAGGTAATCTGCCTGCCTTGGACGCCCAAAGTTCTGGGATTACAGGCATGAGCCACCATGCCCGGCACAGAAATTTATAGCTGTAAATGAATATATTATAAAGGAAATAAAACTTCAAATCAATAACCTAACTTTATACCTTAAGGAACTAAAAGAGAGGAGTAAACTCTGTGCAAAGCTAGCAGGGCAGAAGTAATAAATAATACGAGCAAAGATAATTAGAGAATAAAACACAATAAGGAAAACTGATAACCAAAGTTGTTTTTTCTTAAAGATCAACAAAATAGACAAACTTTTAAACTAGATTAACTTCAAAAAAAAAAGAGAGTGAGAGAAAAGGTTCACATTACAAAACTCAGATATGAAAACAGGGTCATTACTACCAATTTTACAGAAAAAAAAGGATCATAAGAGAATACTATGAACAACCGTTATGTCAACGAAATGGATAACATAATTAAATGGGCAAATTCTAACAAATACACAATCTGCCAAAATTTACTCATGAATAGAAAACTTGAATAGACCCATAACTAGTAAGAAGATTGAATCAGTAATCAATCAAGTTTATTCCCAGAATGCAAGAACAGTTGAACTTTAAGAAAAATGAATCAAAGTAATACATCGCATTAAAAGAATGAAGGTTTTTAAACACATGATCATCATCTTGATGCAGAAAATGCATTTGACAAAATTCAATTCCCTTTCATGATAAAACACTCAACAAACTAGGAATAGAAGGGAATTTCCTCAACATGATATACACCATATATGAAAAACCCATGGCTAATGTCATACTCAATGGTGATAAAGCTTTGGTTTTTTTCCAAGTTGTTTTGGCTAGTCTACTTCCTTTGCATTTCCTAGTGAATTTTAGAATCAGCTTGTTGATTTAAAAATAAAAGCCTGCTGGGATTTTGATAGGGATTATGTTGAATCTATAGATCACTTTGGGGAGAACTGACCTCTTAGCAATATTAAATCTTATGGCTACTGAAAAAGTTATATCTTTCCATTCATTTAGGTCTTTAAAAATTAATCTGAAAGTATTTTGTAATTTTCAGTATTACAGGTCTTTGACAAATTTCGGTAAATTTAGCCCTGGGTATTCCGTAGATTTTTATCTAAAATTGTATTTAAATTTTTCATCTTCCTTTTATTCATTACTAATAAACAGAAACACAATTGATACTATAAATATGGATTTTGTATTCCTGTGGATTTTTACATTCTTCTTTTCCAATCTGGATGCATTTCTTGTCTTACTGCCCTGGCTAAAAATTTCTAGTACAACCGAAGTGGTGAGAGCTTATATTCTTATTTTGTTCCTCATATTAAGGGGAAAACATTCTTTATTTTATCATTAAGTATGATGTTAGTTGTATGTTTTTTATAGATATCCTTTATCAGGTTTCTATTCACAGTCTACTGAAAGATGTTATCAAGAATACATGATGGATTTTTTTCAAATGCATTTTCTGCATCTATTGAGATGATTACGTGATATTTCTTTTTTAGTTTAAAGTAGTGAAGTATGCATTGATTTTTTTTTTAATGTTAAACCAACTTTTCCTATGTGGGATAAACCCCACTTCGTTTTGTTGGTTTATTATGTGTTGTTCTTCATATGTTTCATATCAACTGATAATTTTTCAAAAGTGCAAAAGCAATTCAGTGTAGAAAGGACAGTCTTTTCAACTAAGTGTTAGCACAACTGGATATCCATATGCAAAAGGAAAAAAAAGAACTTCATACCTCACACTGTATTCAAAAATTAATTCAAAAAATTATACTTAATGTAACACTTTATAAACTATAAGACTTCTGGAAGAAAATATAGGGGAAAATCACTGCAACCTTCTGTCAGGCAAAAGATACAACACTGAAATCATCATCCATAAACGGAAAAATTAAGAAGTTAGATTTCATCAAAATAAAAAACATATGCTGTTAGAAATATACTTTTACACGAATGAAAAAACAAGCCAGAGACTGGGAGGAAAACATTTGCAAAGCATATATCATCTAATAACAGACTTAAATGCAGAATATATTTTAAAAACTCTCAAAGCCCCCAAAAAAGCAAAAAACCCACTTAAAAATTAATGAAAGACTTGAACAGACACTGCAAAAAAATACATATATACAGCCTATATAAATGTGCATATAGACGTTAAAAAGATACTCAACCTCATTAGTCATTAGCAAAATTCAAATTAAACCACAATGAGATCTGAACACATACCTACTTACTCATTTGAAAATATGGTTAAAATTTAAATAAGGCTGCTCGTAGATATATAATAGGTGAGGGGTATAGAAGAATAAGAATTCTCATATGAAGCTAGTGGGAATGTAAAAATGATACAACCACTTTATAAAAATATGGCCAAACTGTTTTCCAAAGTTAAATATGCATTTATCATATGACCCACCAATTCCATTACTGGGTATGTATTCTAAAGAAATAAAAATTAGTATTCATACAAAATCCTATACCTGAATGTTTACAACAGGACTATTCATAATCACTAAAAACTGGAAACAACAAAAATGTCTCACAATTGATGAATAGATAAACCAACTAAAACTGTGGTACATCCACACAATGGAATATAGCTCAGCAATAAAAAGGAACAAACAATTCACAGGAACTTGGATGAAGCTCAAAGGCATTAAGCTAAGTGAAAGCAGTCTCAGAGGTGCACATGTACCCTAAAACTTAAAGTATAATTAAAAAAAAAAAGGTAACATACCATATGACTCCACTTACATGACATTCTCAAAAAAGATAAAACTAGAGACCAGGTAAGTGGCTGCTGAGGTTAGAGGCAGGAGGACCAGACTAGAATAGAACAGAAAGGGATAGCACCAGGTAGCTCTGGGGATGATGGAACTATTTGGTATGCTGACTGTGGTGGTGGCAATTATATGACCATAAACATTTGTTTTAATACATATGTTAAAAATCAAACTGTATACCAAAAAAATCAACTTTAATGTATAATTTTTTAAAAAATGCTGCTATGAACTCATATGTAAGAAACACAATAGGTCAAACATATTTTCTGAAAGAATAAATTATCAAGAATGTGTATTGTAAAACCTCTACTTCTTTTCAATTGAGGATTTACTTTGTTGTTGTCAAGTCTGAGATTGATTCTGTATAATTGTTCCATGGGCTTTTAAAGTAGTGAGGTCTTTATTCAAAAGATTTGCTGATTTTGTTAGTCCAATTCCCTATGCCTTTATCTGTATCTTTTGGGTCTATCTATCTACAAAACAAATGCAGCAAATCTAATATTACTGTATTTTCATCAAATTCTTTTTTTTTTCTTTGAGACAGAGTCTTGCTCTGTCGCCCAGGCTGCAGTGCAGTGGCACAATCTCGGCTCACTGCAACCTCTGCCTCCCGGATTCAAGTGATTCTCCTGCCTCAGCCTCCCGAGTGGCTGGGACTACAGGTGTGAGCCACCATGCCTGGCTAATTTTTGTATTTTTAGTAGAGACAGGGTTTCACCATGTTGGACAGGCTGTTCTTGAACTCCTGAAATCAGGTGATCCGCCCTCCTCAGCATCCCAAAGTGCTGGGATTACAGGTGTGAGTCACTGCACCTGGCCCTCATTGAATTCTTTTCTTGTGTTTTGAAGCTTTTATAGAGAGCTTCTATGTTTGGTGCCTACTTGTTTATGACTGTTATAGCTGCTTAGTTAATTTACTGGGCCAGCATTACATACTATCCACTTTATTCTGTCCAGTGCATTAACCTTAAATTCTACCTAACTTAGGCTACATTTTACCATACCACTTTTGCATTTTTGCATTTGCCTGGTTCATCTATTTTCAACCTTTTCTTACTTCTTTTTCAACTCTAGCTGATAATTTGAATTATTAAGAGAAGTGGACCCAGGCACATTTAATTAATTAACATATTTTTTTACTGCTTCCCTCTTAATTATATTTAGCATTCTTTGACATTCAGGTCAAATCTGTGGTTGATATACTGTGAAATAATTAAAAGAATTCCAAATTAGAAGTTGGGAGGCTGGATTTAGCCCCAGCCTTCTGACTAAGGTATAGCCTAAGGAATATAGACTAAGGTATAGAAATCAAAGATTTCTCTCTTTTTTTTTTTTTCTTTTTGAGATGGAGTCTCTCTCTGTCACCCAGGCTGGAGTGCAGTGGTGCGATCTTGGCTCACTGCAACCTCCATCTCCTGAATTTAAGCGATTCTCCTGCCTCAGCCTCCCAGGTACCTGGGATTACACACACCTGCCACCACGCCTGGCTAATTTTTGTATTTTTAGGGGAGATGGGAGGTTTCACCATGTTGACCAGGCTGGTCTCGAACTCCTGACCTTCAGTGATCCACCTGCCTCGGCCTCCCAAAGTGCTGAGACTACAGGCGTGAGCCACTGCGCCTGGCCCAAAGATTTCAAATGTTCAAAGGGGAAAACTAAACTGAAAATTCAAAGTATCCAGAGCAATGACAAAGAAACACTCCATACCAAAACCTATGGAACACAGAATTGGTTCTTAGAGAACATCTTTAACAAAGAATAAGCATTAAAAATAAGGGGACTTAATATTTATCTTAACAAACCAAAAAAATAACACCAAAAGAAAAGCAGGAAGAACGAGGGAAAAAAATTAAAGCAATCCTCAAAACAATAAAATAGATACATTCCTTAGGAAAAGACAACAAAAATAGACAATTTTAGAAATGAAGAGCCACGATCACAGATAATGAAAAGTTTAAAATAATACTATGTGCAACTATCTTAAGAGAAAATGAATACTTTCCAAGTTACACTCCCAAGACTATTCTAAGAATAGAAAACTTGAAGAGGTTGGAATGATAAAGAAGGAAGGAGGATCAGATTGATTCAACAGGTAAAATGTAACCTTTAAAGAACAGATAATTCCAATATTATTTAAGTTTGTCATGAAAAAAAATTTTTTTTTTTTGAGACAGGTCTTGCTCTGTCACCCAGGCTAGAATACAGTGGTACGATCACAGCTTACTGCAGCCTTGACCTCCCAAGCTCAAGTGATCCTCCTGCCTTGGCCTCACAAAGTGCTGGGATTATAGGCATGAGCCACTGTGCCCAGCAGAAGTCATAGGTATTTTTGAAAGCTCACTAAGGAAATAACATCAACCCATAACAACCACAATTTGTCTAACTGTAGTTGAAATATACCAACCCTCAAAAGACATTTTCACATATTTTAACAATTATAAGTCTTAAAATAGATTAAGAAATATGTTGTGACCCAGTCTGAAGTAGAAAAATGGTTTTACATTCATTTTCTAGGTTTTTATTTGAAAATAGTTTTTAAAGCACCCTTTTTATAGTCAAAAGGTACATAAAACAGGGTAAATAAAAAAATAAAAAACTTAAAGCGAATTGTGCCTATTTAATCAGATTATATAAAATTAGTATAACTAATTTCTACAGGATCTAATTTCCATGCTTACCAATTCCATCTATGCTACCAATTACTTAGATAAGTACCTAAGGACCACCATGTGATCCTGTCACAGCAGAAAAAGAAACCTAATACTATCTTTTATCAAACACTCCTATGTAATAAGCAAACAAACAAACAAAAAAACTGGTCGAGATATTTTTGCAGGCTGAGAGCAGTGGCTCACACCTGCAATCCCAGCACTTTGGGAGGCCAAGGTAGGAGGACTGCTTGAACCCAGGAGTTCAAAACCAGCCTGGGCAACAGTTTGGTGAGACCCCATCTCCAAAAAAATACAAAGATCACCCGGGCATGGTGGCACGTGCCTGTAGTTCCAGTTCAGGAGGCTCAAGCAGATCACTGGAGCCCAGGTGGGTGAGGCTGGAGTGAGCTATGTTTGTGCCACTGCATTCCAACCTGGCGACAGAACAAGACCCTGCCTCAAAGAAAAAAAAAAACAAAAAAACAAAAAAACTTGCAATTTTGTGTGTATGAATGTTTATTTTTATGTCAGAAATGTTATCTTGTACTACATTTTTAAATATTTGTGTTTCATTATGTTTCCTTCTTAGTCTCAAATATGCATATGTTGGATTTCCTTTTCTGATTTCCATATCTATCATTTTCTAATTCGTTTTAACATTTTCATTAATTTTGGTAAATTCTACCTTTTTCCATTTCTAGACTCTGTCTCTTATTGTATTTTCCACAGTTCTCTATTATCTATGTGATCCTTTCAATTTCATCTTCATTTCAGTAATAGTTTTATTTTCTAATTTCATTTATTTTTCTTTCCACTCAATCAGCTTACCTTGCATTTTCTCATGCAATCATTCTATTTCTTCCCCGGCCTCTTATGTCAAGTGCGTTGTGCTCTCAGCAGTAAATACTTCATTAAGTTTTCTAAACTCATGGCAAAATGTTTGATCACAATATTCATCTTCTTTATGGCAATATTTTAGGTTACTGTTCTTCATCTGTCCTTTGTTTTTCTGTTTCTTTCTTCCTTTTTTATTTCCAAACATTTGTGGCAGTCAAGCTTAATGAATTCCTTTTGATTATTCATCTCTGAAGAAGTGCTGGTTGTCCAGAACCTGATATTTGTAGGAGGTTTATGCAGAAGGCCAGAGTGCCTCCAGTTCTGGACTGACAACTTTTTCGTGATTCAGAGATTTACCTAAGAGACAGTTTAGCATTTTACTTCTCAACAGCCAATGCAGACAGGCAGTCTGGAGGTTTTTCACAATGCAGTCATCTCCTCCCCAACTGCTATAGAGATAGACACATATTACTTCCTGCAAAAATGGCTTGTTTATGTGACTCCTTGTTTGGCTTCATTTCCCCGACTTCTTAGAATTAAACCAGGTGCAGGAAAGCTCCTGCCTTGAGCTGAAGAAACCCACTTCACTTTTGTAAACAAGGGGTTTAGGTTTTATACCTCAGGGGGGCCTTGCAGTTTCATGGGTGTTTCTTGTTGTCTCTGAGCTCCACAGCCACGGCATCCTACCTACTTCTTCCCACATGCAGCCAGCCTGATGGCCACTGCTCCTGGCAACATTTCCACCTATTTTGTGGCTTGGGGTTTTTAACTGTCTTCTAGTTTAGTGGAATGCTGGGTTTGTGTGTCAGTTTTTCCCTCTCTTTGTTGTTTTTAGCTAATTGCCAAGAAAGAAGAATGCTAACTTTATAGTACCATCTGCAAATCCCAAATCCAACAATTATCTTAAAAGAGTATTTTATGCAAGACAGAAACTTAAGTGTCTCACTAAGTTACTAAAAGGTAACAATACACTTTCCTTACTACTATTTTACTGTGGGGTAAAATACCAATTTTCATAAAACACTAATTTTCACAAGGCCATTAAGTAATTGTTTTTATGTTTAAAACTCATGTGTGGGCTGGGCGTGGTGGCTCACACCTGTAATCCTAGCACTTTGGGAGGCTGAGGCGGGTGGATCACTTGAGGTCAGGAGTTCAAGACCAGCCTGGCCAATATAGTAAAACCCCATCTCTACTAAAAACATAAAAATTAGCAAGGCATGGTGGCACACACCTGCAATCCCAGCTTCTTGGGAGGCTGAGGCAGAAGAATCACTTGAACCTGGGAGGCGGAGATTGCAGTGAGCTGAGATCATGCACCACTGCACTCCGGCCTGGGCAACACAGCGAGACTCTTGTCTCCAAAAAAAAAAAAAAAATATATATATATATATATGTTATTACCTAAGGCTGAAAGTAATCTGATGCTTCAATGTAAAAGATATTTTGTTCAACATATTCAAGATCTAGGGCCTATTTGGGGAACAAATTACATATATTTTCACCAGCATACTATAATCTTAGTATTTGTCTTTGCAGAAGACAAAGCCTTTTTAGTAATAAAGACAACCCACGATTTGTCATGCCACAAGTCCCCAAATTCCATTTGGGTTTGTAATGAAGACAGTTAATATTATATGTATGTTCATTCCTTCAGTAAAATTTTAACTTTAGGCAAGTTTATTTTCCTGCCAGTTGCTACTGCTCTCCTCCTGGCTAGCCAATACCAATACGTACTCAGGCAGGTTCTGACCAAAATAAGGTTTTACTACTAAGTAATTTTTTATAGGAGTAAATAATACACCAGTATGGGCACAGTGGCTCACACCTATAATCTCAACACTTTGGGAGGCCCAAGGTGGGTGGATCACTTGAGGCCAGGAGTTCAAGACCAGACTGGCCAACATAGCAAAACCCATCTCTACTAAAAATACAAAAATTAGCCAGGTGTGGTGGTGCATGCCTGTAGTCCCAGCTACACAGGAGGCTGAGGCACCAGAATCACTTGAATGGGGAGGTGGAGGCTGCAGTGAGCCAAGGTTGTGCCACTTCACTCCAGCCTGGGCAACAGAGCAAGACTGTGTCTAAAAATAAATAAATAAAATTAAATAATAATAATTATTATTATAATACAACAAAGCCAAATTACAATGGATTTTGAATTCGTGTTTTAAATGATTCCCTTTCCTATGACACAAATAAGAGTAAATCTGTAAATCTTAATATCATGCAAAAGCTAAGTAATGCCTAATTTATTGAAAATTTAGAGGCACCATGAGTTCATATGAAGAAAAAGAAACAAACAAACATGAGCTCCTCCTGAGCTGGGCATGGTGGTACATGGCTGTAGTTCCAGCTACTTGGGAGGCTGAGGCAGGAGGATCACTTGAGCCCAGGAGTCTCAGGCCAGCCTGGGCAACACAGTGAGACACTGCCTCACAAAAAAAGAAAAAAAAAGAGCTCTTACTTACAGAATTCCAAACAAGATACATAGACAGAGTGATGGCATTTTAAAAAAATCCCCATTTGATAACCATCACAGTTGGAATGAAAAGATCATATACTGTCCTTATCACTTGTCACAGGCAAGAATTATCAATGGATGCTACAACAGGAGGGCAAAAAGTGTAAGAAGGAGGATACCTATACAGTCTCAATGTATCTCTCTACAAGAAATATATTAGTTATGAAGGGAAAAATAATAACTTCACTGACACTATGTTCTGAAAAACACTTCTGTGGAATTGCTGCCAAAACTGCATAACCTGAATCTAACCGTTAAGGACATACTGGACATACACAAATTGAGAGACATTCTACAAAATAATTATTTACTCTTCAAAAATGTCAAGGCCCTGAAAAGGCAAATAAAGACTGAAGAATTGCTGATTAAAAGAGGCTGAAGAGGCTCGACGCGGTGGCTCACACCTGCAATCCCAGTACTTTGGGAGGCCGAGGTGGGTAGATCACTTGAGGTCAGGAGCTCAAGACCAGCCTGGCCAACATGGTAAACCCCGTCTCTATCAAAAATACAAAAAAAAATTAGCCAGGCGCAGTGGCATGTGCCTGTAGTCCCAGCTACTTGGGTGGCTGAGGCAGGAGGATCACTTGAACCTGAAAAGTGGAGGTTGCACTGAGCTGAGTTGGTGCCACTGCACTCAGCCTGAGCGACAGAGCTAGACTCTGTCTCGAAAATAAATTAATTCATTAATTAAATGAAATAAAAGAGGCTAAAGAGAAATAACTAAAATCAGTGTATGATCCTGGACCCGAAACAATTATTTGTCTTTTGCTATATGGGACATTAATGGGACAACTGATAAAATCTGTGTATAGACAATAAAATGTATCTATGTTCATTTAAGAAATACACATTAAAGTATGCAGACGTTGAAGACATCATGTCTACAATCTACTCTCATTTTTTTAAAAAAGAATACTGTGTGTAGAGAGAGAATGATAAAGCAAATGTGACAAACATTAACATCTGGAGTAATTTAATAGGATACATAAGAATTATTTGTGCTATTTTTACAAATCTTTGAGTCTGAAATTGTTTCACAATAAAATTTTAAAAATAGACATACAATCAATGAAAACAAATAAAGCCAGTTAACAGAAACTCTTTATTTTCCCTAACAATAATGCTAGGATCATCTTTACTATATTCTCCTCATCAGATCATGAAATTTTAACAAAACCTCCCAATTTACAGATGAAGTTAGTAAGTTAAGTGACTTCATCAAGATTACATGTAATTCAAGGCAAAGTCAACCAAGACTATTATCTAGCTCTGACTCAGCTCAGCTACCTTTCAACTATTCCAAGTGGTCTCTTCATCCCTTTACGTTGTCTGCAGTCTAAACACATGATACCAAAATACTTACCTCTATCTTCTCATATATTCTCATAAGTTAGTGTGACTAACCACTTTCAGGCGATCTAAATCTTATCCTTAAAAGGCATTTAAGTATCATTGCTCCTAACAATCCTTAATAACTAGTATCAATACATATGTGAAGATAAGAATACACGTCAAACACTGTAGCAAATGCTGAACATACAAAATTAACACACTCTGTTAGGTCCACGATGACAGAGACCAAGTTTGTTATTCACTATTATAACCCCTCCTCTTAGTAGCAGTCCCTGGCATACAATAAGTATTCAAATAACTGTTGTATATTACAAAATAAAAGACAATCCATAGTATAGGAGAGAAATGTGTGTACAGATAATCACATTAGCAGTTTTAATAAAGTATCATGAGACAACAGATAAGGAAGTTATTTTCTCTTGGTAAGATCTAGAAAGGCTTCAAAGATTTAATGATACCAAAATTAAGTCTTGAAGGACAAATAAGATTTCAACAGACATGGAGGCAGTGGGGTGGTGAGAGGAAGGTAGAAGG